>NC_000018.10:26536206-27161206 GCF_000001405.40 Homo sapiens | reverse complement strand
CCCTAACATCACAATTAAAAGAACTAGAGAAGCAAGAGCAAACACATTCAAAAGCTAGCAGAAGGCAAGAAATAACTAAGATCAGAGCAGAACTGAAGGAAATAGAGACACAAAAAACCCTTCAAAAAATCAATGAATCCAGGAGCTGGTTTTTTGAAAAGATCAACAAAATTGATAGACGGCTAGCAAGACTAATAAAGAAGAAAAGAGAGAAGAATCCAATAGACGCAATAAAAAATGATAAAGGGGATATCACCACCGATCCCACAGATATACAAACTACCATCAGAGAATACTACAAACACCTCCACGCAAATAAACTAGAAAATCTAGAAGAAATGGATACATTCCTGGACACATACAACCTCCCAAGACTAAACCAGGAACAAGTTGAATCTCTGAATAGACCAATAACAGGCTCTGAAATTGAGGCAATACTTAATAGCTTACCAATCAAAAAAAGTCCAGGATCAGATGGATTCACTGCCGAATTATACTAGAGGTACAAGGAGGAGCTCGTACCATTCCTTCTGAAACTATTCCAATCAATAGAAAAAGAGGGAATCCTCCCTAACTCATTTTATGTGGCCAGCATCATCCTGATACCAAAGCCTGGCAGAGACACAACAAAAAAAGAGAATTTTGGACCAATACCCCTGATGAACATCGATGCAAAAATCCTCAATAAAATACTGGCAAACCGAATCCAGCAGAACATCAAGAAGCTTATCCACCATGATCAAGTGGGCTTAACCCCTGGGATGCAAGGCTGGTTCAACATACGCAAATCAATAAATGTAATCCAGCATATAAACAGAACCAACAACAAAAACCATATAATTATCTCAACAGATGCAGAAAAGGCCTTCGACAAAATTCAACAACTCTTCATGCTAAAAACTCTCAATAAATTAGGTATTGATGGGATGTATCTCAAAATAATAAGAGCTATCCATGATAAACCCACAGCCAATATCATACTGAATGGGCAAAAACTGGAAGCATTCCCTGTGAAAACTGGCACAAGACAGGGATGCCCTCTCTCACCACTCCTATTCAACATAGTGTTGGAAGTTCTGGCCAGGGCAATCAGGCAGGAGAAGGAAATAAAGGGTATTCAATTAGGAAAAGAGGAAGTCAAATTGTCCCTGTTTGCGGAAGACATGATTGTATACCTAGAAAACCCCATTGTCTCAGCCCAAAATCTCCTTAAGCTGATAAGCAACTTCAGCAAAATCTCAGGATACAAAATCAATGTGCAAAAATCACAAGCATTCTTATACACCAATAACAGACAAATAGAGAGCCAAATCATGAGTGAACTCACATTCACAATTGCTTCAAAGAGAATAAAATACCTAGGAATCCAACTTACAAGGGACGTAAAGGACCTCTTCAAGGAGAACTACAAACCACTGCTCAATGAAATAAAAGAGGATACAAACAAATGGAAGAACATTCCATGCTCATGGGTAGGAAGACTCAATATCGTGAAGAAGGCCATACTGCCCAAGGTAATTTATAGATTCAATGCCATCCCCATCAAGCTACCAATGACTTTCTTCACAGAATTGGAAAAAACTGCTTTAAAGTTCATATGGAACCAAAAACGAGCCTGCATTGCCAAGTCAATCCTAAGCCAAAAGAACAAAGCTGGAGGCATCACGCTACCTGACTTCAAACTATACTACAAGGCTACAGTAACCAAAACAGCATGGTACTGGTACCAAAACAGAGATATAGACCAATGGAACAGAACAGATCCCTCAGAAATAATGCCACATATCTACAACCATCTGATCTTTGACAAACCTGACAAAAACAAGAAATGGGGAAAGGATTCCCTATTTAATAAATGGTGCTGGGAAAACTAGCTAGCCACATGTAGAAAGCTGAAACTGGATCCCTTCCTTATACCTTATACAAAAATTAATTCAAGATGGATTAAAGACTTAAATGTTAGACCTAAAACCATAAAACCCCTAGAAGAAAACCTAGGCAATACCATTCAGGACATAGGCATGGGCAAGAACTTGATGTCTAAAACACCAAAGCAATGGCAACAAAAGCCAAAATTGACAAATGGGATCTAATTAAACTAAAGAGCTTCTGCACAGCAAAAGAAACTACCATCAGAGTGAACAGGCAACCTACAAAATGGGAGAAAATTTTTGCAATCTGCTCATCTGACAAAGGGCTAATATCCAGAATCTACAAAGAACTCAAACAAATCTACAAGAAAAAAACAAACAGCCCCATCAAAAAGTGGGCGAAGGATATGAACAGACAGACACTTCTCAAAAGAAGACATTTATGCAGCCAAAAGACACATGAAAAAATGCTCATCATCACTGGCCATCAGAGAAATGCAAATCAAAACCACAATGAGATACCATCTCACACCAGTTAGAATGGCAATCATTAAAAAGTCAGGAAACAACAGGTGCTGGAGAGGATGTGGAGAAATAGGAACACTTTTACACTGTTGGTGGGACTGTAAACTAGTTCAACCATTGTGGAAGTCAGTGTGGCGATTCCTCAGGGATCTTGAACTAGAAATACCATTTGACCCAGCCATCCCATTACTGGGTATATACCCAAAGGATTATAAATCATGCTGCTATAAAGACACGTGCACACATATGTTTATTGTGGCACTATTCACAATAGCAAAGACTTGGAACCAACCCAAATGTCCAACAATGATAGACTGGATTAAGAAATTGTGGTACATATACACCATGGAATACTATGCAGCCATAAAAAATGATGAGTTCATGTCCTTTGTAGGGACATGGATGAAGCTGAAAACCATCATTCTCAGCAAACTATCACAAGGACAAAAAACCAAACACTGCATGTTCTTACTCATAGGTGGGAATTGAACAATGAGAACACATGGACACAGGAAGGGGAACATCACACACTGGGGCCTGTTGTGGGGTGGGGGGAAGGGGGAGGGATAGCATTGGGAGATATAACTAATGTTAAATGATGAGTTGATGGGTGCAGCACACCAACATGGCACATGTATACATATGTAACTAACCTGCACGTTGTGCATATGTACCCTAAAACTTAAAGTATAATTAAAAAAACAAAAAAACAAAAAAACTTTGTGATGTCTCTCTTGTAAAATTCTCCCTTCCCTTATCTATATTTTGTAACTGTATTTCTTTTCTAATTCATTTCCTTTCAGTTTAGAGAGGTTTGATGAGGGAGTAGAGATCAATGCATGAGTCCAATATGCCCCCATTTTACTGGAAATTCTCTTCATTGATTAGTTAACTAAACTAACTAAAATTAACCAGCATATTCATAACACTAAAATTATCACTAATTATTTATAATTTTATGGTATCCTTAAAATTTTACAATGCAGTTTTTTTTTACATGTTTTGTATTTTAAGCTTGTTTTTCTGGAATTAATTTTCAGAGTTATATATTATTTCTGCTTTGATTTGCTGGCATTATTCTAGGCTTCTCTATATATCTATATTTATTTCAGTAACTACCTTAGGCAGTTACTTTGGAATTTTAATGTGAGCACTGTTTGGTGTGGTTTTTGAAAATGCCTTAAGCGCTTCCTATACGTTTCTTGTCAGTAGATATTTTTGCGGATTTAATTTAGTTGTCTTTTCTAAACCAAGATTTCTGGATTAGGACCTCTGCTGTTTTAGTCCATGCTATTTCTCTATTAAATGGTTGCAGGCTAACCACACATGGGCTAGAATGTGAAACGAGAGATAAGACAGGGAGCATATAGTAGAACTTAATAAATATTTGCATGTGATTGCTTGAAGCTAGCAATGAGTTCATGGCTCACAAACTTTATAAGAAACAAATCATATTAATTTCAGAATATACACATACTTCTAGTGTTTTATAGAGTTTTATGTTAGCCATTGAATTTTACTGTTGTATGGAGAGCAGTATTATTCTTTCTATAAAAGACACACTACAATAACAACACATCTGATGCCTAGATAATATATGATGAAGGAAAAAAATCAATCTTCCAAATAGGTATTGACTGCTAATCATTAACAGAAATAGCTATGTCACATATCTGGCATAAGGAAGGAGGATTCTCTATAAATACAATACTTCTACAAGGATTTTATTGTTATGTGATGAGCAGAAGGGGGAATTCAGAAATAATGTGACAAAAATAATTCAGAAATAAGGTGACAACATATAAACACATTTTATCTAGATAATAACCAAAACAATTATATTTATTTACATTTTATTATCTCACCATAAAAATATTTATTTGAAAATATATCTAGACACTGTTTAATATTGAGCAATGCCAAACATTTTGTATAAATTATTTGTCACAATAATTTGTTGCATAGATGTAGCCTTAACTATTTGACATTAAGTGCAGATGTTTCTATTTTACTGTAAATATTTATATTTCAAAACCAGCTTGATCCATTCTGTTTTACATTGTGGCTAATAATCTAATTTGAACTACTTTTTACTCATACGAAGTATGTGGGGAGATCATAATGACTTTCTAGGATACTCTGTTGCCCATTGCCTCTTAAATGCTGCTCGTTTTTGTTTACTTGTTTGTTGAGATCTTAACACTATGAAGCTTTTTAAAATCTTTGTCTCTTTCTCATTCTCCTGCATTATCCTGTTTTTGGAATATCTCACTATTTTCAGTCACAACACCCCACCAAATTCACTTGATTTTATATATTATACTACATCCGCCTGAAAGGCAATTTCTTCTATTTAATTGACATGAAAAACTCATGTACTGTCATCACTGAAACAGAAAATGAAAATTTAAATTAGTATTGATTATATACATAGTACCCAAAATACCTTATTTTTATTTAAGGTTAAAGGGTATATCTCACATACACTTCTTCTTTTCTGACATTTCAAACTAATGGGAGGGATACTACATTTCTCATCTTTCAATTCCTTTCTTCAGAACCCTTTGGTCCTTTTTGATTTTCTCTCAATACTTTTGACACTGACAAAATCATCTTTTCAGGTTCATCTTTTTTCACTGTTTTTTTTTTTGGCCATATTTCATAGTTAACCCTCATTCCTACTGTTCCTTAAATCCTTTCCTTGTACTTGTTTATTAATGTATATTAAAAGTTTGTTTTCATGCATATTGTGTGATAATATCCTATCTCGGTTTCTTAATCACACGTTTTTTATAATATGTTTCCTACTTCATGATCTTTTCCTTTGAATTATTTTTTATATCTTGTATTTTCCTTTCATGTGAGCTAAAAGAATCCCCCAAGCTTCTAACATATAACCTGCTTTATTCTCCCATTTTACCGGTGGATGCATTCAAGTTTAGCCACCATTTTTATGGTGCTGATTCTCATAACACTATTTGTCCATTTAATCATGCTTGGATTATTGTATCTATTTCTGAGCCCTGGATTTACAAAAAGGTATTAACAAACTAGAATATGTCTGGAGAGGATGATTAAACTGATTGAATTCTCCTAAACCATGTCCTATACTAAATGGCTGAAGGAATTGTGTATATTTATTGTTTATCCTGGAGTAAAAAAGATTAAGTGTAGACAGGATAATTGTTTTCAATAATTCGAAAGTGTTTCATGTAAAGGAGAGAACAGATTTGTTATGAGTTGTTCTAGAAAGCTCAACTAGAACAACCAGTACAAGTTATAAACAGATAGGTTCAAATATTCTCTAATGAAGATCAGGTATTAAATCTTACTCATTCTGGCTTTGCCACATTGTCTAGCACAGGGCCTTAATCATATCTGGGCCTAATAGGTGTTTATTGATTGATTTGAATTGGCATGAATGGAAAGAATAAACCTCTCTAGCAGTAAAAATAGACTGTCTTTTGAAGTAACAGTATCCAATCTTTCAACAAAGAATTATTCATTACCTACAATGTAGCTGTCCCTGTGCTAAGCATCTGGAATATAAAGATACTAACATCTTAATATTGTAGATCATTTCTATGGGCAAAGCATTCTTCTAAATATTTTTCATGTACTAACTTATTTTGCAGCAGCCTTTTATGGTAGGGGCTTTTATTATCCCCAATTTAGATGTAACTGAAGCACATAGAGGTTACTTCTTTTTTTTTTTTTTTTTTTTAACTTTTGAAACAGTCTCACTCTGTTGCCCAGGTTGAAGTGCAATGCTGTGACCTTGGCTCACTGCAACCTCCACCTCCCAGGCTCAAGGGATTCTCATGCTTCTGCCTCCCGAGTAGCTGGAATTACAGGAGCGCACTACCATGCCAGCTAATTTTTGTATTTTTAGTAGAGACAGGGTTTCACCATGTTGGCCAGGCTGGTCTCAAACTCCTGATCTGAAGTGATCCACTCACCTCAGCCTCCCAAAGTGCTGGGATTACAGGCATGAACCACCACACCCGACCACATAGAGGTTACATAATGAGCTGTGTCACAAAGCTAGTAAGTGGTCAAGTTGTGATTTGAATTCAGGCAGTCAGGCTCCAGAATCTGCATACCGAACCGCTGTGATAAACCTCCTCCAAGAACAAGGCAAGATGTGCATATAAACCAAAGGACAGAAAGATTTTTATATTGGACTATAATCTAGTATAGTTCTTTTCTGGTGATTCCCTGGCCAATGGCTAATCTGTTGACTTGAATGCCTGTGGTCTTCTTTATTTTCAGTCAGCTTGCACACCACATCCGGGTGATCTTCCCCAAAAGTAAAGCTGATCATTCCACTCCCTTGTCCACAGCACAAATCTATTCATTCTTCTTGTCCACAGAACAAATGTAATCACCATAATTTAGACACCAAGGCCCTCTGCAGTCTGTCTCCACCCATACCTCTTACCTCATCTCTCCCTGAACTCTGAATTTGACCATGTGCTTAAATGATATTTCTTGTCTGAAAAGAAAACAAGGTTATTGTGAAAATTAAGTTAAATAATCAATATAAAATGCTTAGAGTAGTAGCACCGAGAATATAACTGCTTAAGAAATATTAGCATATTTATTATCATTTATTTCTGATTATCATGCAAAAAATGCTGTACCCTAACTATAGCTTATTTTTAGTTCCCTCACTATACCTTAAAATTGCCTCATAATAAAATTGAGAAATAAAAATGTATTGGCTTGCCTAATTTACAAATTCAGAGGCAGGGTGGGTCTAGTTGGGGTCCAGTCAGAGCTTTTCCTCTGTTTCTCTACAGGTTTCTCAGCTTAGCCTCCTCTGTGCCAGCTTATTTTT
The DNA here is from genome assembly GCF_000001405.40 of Homo sapiens. Taxonomy (NCBI): domain Eukaryota; kingdom Metazoa; phylum Chordata; class Mammalia; order Primates; family Hominidae; genus Homo; species Homo sapiens. The sequence continues at coordinate 27,153,970 of NC_000018.10, read as the reverse complement.
CAGACTGGCTTCCATCAAGGCAGCCAGAGAGCTGCCAGCAACAGCAGGAACTACATGCTTTCTTATTCACATTCACTAGGACATAAAATATTACTTCCCATAACCATCCAACTGAGGCTCTGAGCTTCATTCTCAGATCACCTGCAAAATAATCACTGCAGCCTGGGAAGCCCTGAGTCACCTGGTGTAGTGGGTTGAATGGTGACCCCAAAAAGATATGTCCACATTCTAACACCCAGAATCTGTGATTTTATTTGGTAAAAGAGTCTTTGCTGATGTAATTAAGTTAAGGATCTCAAAATGAGATCATGCCAGATTAGCTGGATGGGCCCTAAATCTAAGGACAAGTATCTTTATAAGATACAGGACAGAAGAGAAGGCACACACACACACACACACACATACACACACACACACACACACAGAGAGAGAGAGAGAGAGAGAAAGACAGAGAGAGACAGAGACAGAGACAAAGAGAAAGCAAGAGAGAGGAAAAGGCCATGTGAAGTGGGAGGCAGAGACTAGATCTACGCAACCACATACCTAGAGCCACCAGAAACCTAAAGAGGCAAGGAGGATTCTGTCCTTGCCTCCAAGGGGAGTGTGGCCCTAATCACACCTTGATTTCAGACATCTGGCCTCCAGAACTGTAACAGAATACATTTCTGTTGTTTTAAGCCACCATATTTGTGGTAATTTATGGCTGCCACAGGAAACTAATATAAGTGGTCATTCCCGAACCAACTATTTTGACAAGGAGCATAGGATGACACTGTTGGGATTACACTATTTCAGGCCCATGGCTGGAGCTGGAGGTGGGGGCAATCCATTCTAAACTGTGTAACTTCCACACACAGGAGCAGAATGGATATTAGAGCAGCAACACAGCACCCACTTCGGTATTCTTTAATTCCACTTCCTGCTTATAACCTGCTCGTTTCTATTGGTTACAGCACAATGGATCCCAATCATGGTCTTTATTCAAGAGCTTTATTCAGCACTTCTTAGTTTACATGATTAATTACGACAACTAAAACTTGATCATCTCATTTGAGTTGCTAACTGACTTACCCAATCCATAGTTATCTTAGCTCATCAGACACATCCCTCACTGATAACTCCTTCAAGTCATCTTAGATATGACCACCCAAATTACCATTTTTTTGTACCACCGCAGAAAAATCCCAGGACTCCAAAAATTTTTTAAAAGGCTCCCTTTAAAATCTTCTATCTCTATCTACATTGGTCTCTTTAATAAATTATAATTTGAGTCCAGATGTACCTTACATGTTACTTAATGCAATGATGATTCTCAACATATGTTGGTTAACATTGATCCTGATGATGCTTAACTGGCATGTAAGTGCATGCTGCATATTCTTGTGACTATGTGTAAACAAATGTCAAATATGATATTTTTCTTTCACTCAAATTTAGTGCTTTGAAATTCTTTAAAACTTTGAAATCTTTAGAATGGGGAACAAGCAGACTTGAGGGATGGGATGAACAAATCATTTTGCAATAACCTCTGTGTTTTTTCACTCTTTAATGCAAATGTGTACAAAGGCCTTTGGTTTTAGCTTGTGCAGTCTAAAGATAGACTATTGTTGCTTAAAATGAAAAAAAAAAGACTCTACACTGAATACTAGAATGTAAAATATGAGTTTAAAACTTTTTCTTCTAAAACAAAGAATATAAGGGCAAAGGGTTGTCTTGCTAAAAATTTTAATTATAATTAAGTCTTAATCACAACAGCTAAAAGTAGAAGACACCTGTTAAATAAATTATAGAGAAAATCAAAGCAACAAGATGTATAAGGAAGCACCTATAAATTAGTGTCTAGAAAAAGGATATATTTCTGTGTTCTGTATGACAAAACACAGTGAGCAGTTGAGTTATTACAGGAATAGCCCATGAAACACTGCATCTGAGAAACCATTTGAAAAATATGTGAAAAAATCCCAGAAGGATTTTACCCATTCAAAGCAACTTTACTACTGTCTTCCTTCAAAATGATACTTTGCAAATGGCATTGTACTGTGTTCGTTTTCTTTGCTGCTATAACAGATTATCACAAATTTGGTGGCTTAAAACAATGCAAATGCATTATCTTACAGTTCTGTAGGTCAGAAGTCTGACAGGGGCTAAAATTAAGGTGTCAGCAGGACTGCGGTCCCTTCTGTAGCTCTGGGTAGAATCTGTTTCCTTGTCTTTTTTAGCTGCTAGAGGCCACCTACATTCCCTAGCTCATGGTTCCCTTTCTTTATCCCCCAAATGAACAAAGGTGATTCCAGTCGTTCTTAATATCACATCACTCTGACTTCCTCCTCTGCCTCACTCTTCCATTCTTCAAGACTCTGTGATTACATGGGGTCCACCCAGATGATCCAGAATGATCTCCCTATATTAAGTTGGCCTATTAGCAAACTTCATTCCGTCTGCAAACTCAATTCTCCATTGCCATGTAATGTCACATATTCACAGCTTCCAGTGATTAGGGGGTGGACCTTTTGGGAGACTCATTATTCTGCTTGCCACATACACCATTGTCAAATTCCTGGTCTTGGTAACTGTACTGTGCTTACGTGAGGTGTTATCCTTTGAGGAAACTGGATAAAAGGTATGCAGGGACTCTGTGATATTTTTACAACATCTATGTAAGTCTAAAATTATCTCAAAATCAAAGTTTAAACAATCCCACTTTTTTGGAGAATTGAGTGAAAACATATAGAAATGATTACAAAATTTCAGGAATTACACAGTATTAAAATAGATTAAAATGGGGTTATTTAACTACTAAACTAGTAAATGAAATAATAAATGATAAAGGTCACATTCTTCATTTAATTAAAAACAATTTAGTAAATATTTACTATTTATGGTTGTTACACATTTTACAAAGACTTATATGAGTACCATCTCAGTTTCTTTCCCTTTAAATAAACCAAGGCCCATAATTGACTAAATATCATTAAACTACATACCACAGTTTAATTTCACTATGGTTGATAGAAACAATACATTTTCAAAACGTTTATGTGCCTACCAAGCCTATCAAATGAAAATCTAAACCCCTTAAGCCAATTTATACTAAGGTGCTTTATAATAAATTTCATACTGTTTTTATAGTTTTCTAAAAGACCATCACATTCTGTTTTACTTAATATTTTGTAAAGCTGTTGGATACATAGGGTAGATTTTATTGACCTGTTCTTACAGACAAAGAAAACTAGGATTGAAAAGTTACATGAAGGTTTCTGGTCAAGAAAGACAAGTGTATTTATATTTGGGTATTCTAGTCTGCTCACTAAACAAACCAAAGTCAGATAAAATTTAAAAATGAAAAAACAGGAAGACATAACCAGGACTCAAAATCAAGAACAGAAGTAAACTAACAAAAATGGTGAAATGGGCTGAAACTGTAGTAAGCCTGTTAGACTTTAAATTTGGAAGCTGCTGGAACAGCTAGAAGATTAACTCCTAAGTAAGAGCTGGGAGGCAGGCTCATTGATTGAAGACAAGGACAGGGACTAAGGTGCCAATCTATGCCCCAGTGAGAAAGAAGGTGGAAGTAAAAGAATGGTAGCAATCTCCACCTGAAGCTGTAATGTTTAGAATGTGCTAGGCTTAGAGAACCAGACTCAGACACAGACACAGAAGTGCTGGAAAACCAGCTAATCTCCAGGCTAACTCTCTTGCCTGCACTAGTACCAATGTCACTCTGGCTCAGGGGACACCAAGCCAATGATGGGAAAACTTAGCTCTGAAAAAGAGCCCAAAGAGCATTTTAGAGATAACTGCAAAGTTGTTTGATAAGGAAGGAAGTGACAAAGAGAAAAAGAAGATAAAGAGAAAGAAAAAAAAAAAATCAAAAAGCCTTTCACTAAAATGAATGTAAACATCAGAATTTAAAATAAAGAAATAAATCTAATGCTAAGAAAGAGAGGCCACAATACTACAAGCAAAATGTAACTTTTATATTGCAGTCTGACAAAAACTTAGATATATATTTTAAATATGCAAAGAGATAAAGGATGATTTTCAATTAAAGGATATATAACTTGAAAAGCAAAGAAAAATGAAACTTGAACAAGTGAATATGAAATAAGTAGGAACAGAATATTAGAAATGAAAAATACGGCATTAGGAAAACACAACAGGCAAAATAAACACTAAGATATAGATAAAGACAGAGAAATTGCTAAGTTGCAAAATGGCTCAGAAGAATTTACCCAGATTACAGCTTAAGAAAAAAGGAATGTTTTAAAATAAATGGCAGAGCAGTTGAAAACCTTGTGAGGTATATTGAAAGGCCTCAACATTTAGTAAGAGTTTCAGAAAAATACAATGTAAAAAGAAAAAAAAAAAAAAGCTGAAAATAGTTTGTACAGACAACTTCAGCAATCCCATTACGGGATATATACCCAGTAATATAAATCACTCTATCATAAAGACACATGCACATGTTTGTTCATTGCAACACTATTCACAATAGCAAAGACATGGAATTGACCTAAACGCCCATCAGTGATACAATGGATAAAGAAAATGTGGTACGTCTATACCGTGGAATACTATGCAGCCATGAAAAAGAATGAGATCATGTCCTTTGTGGAAACATGGATGGAGCTAGAGGCCATTATTAGACTTCGTGTCTAAAACACCAAAAGCAATGGCAACAAAAGCTAAAATTGACAAATGGGATCTAATTAAACTAAAGAGCTTCTGCACAGCAAAAGAAACTACCATCAGAGTGAACAGGCACCTACAGAATGGGAGAAAATTTTTGCAACCTACTCATCTGACAAAGGGCTAATATCCAGAATCTACAATGAACTCAAACAAATTTACAAGAAAAAAACAAACAACCCCATCAAAAAGTGGGTGAAGGATATGAACAGACACTTCTCAAAGGAAGACATTCATGCAGCCAAAAAACACATGAAAAAATGCTCATCATCACTGGCCATCAGAGAAATGCAAATCAAAACCACAATGAGATACCATCTCACACCAGTTAGAATGGCGATCATTAAAAAGTCAGGAAACAACAGATGCTGGAGAGGATGTGGAGAAACAGGAACACTTTTACACTGTTGATGGAACTGTAAACTAGTTCAACCATTGTGGAAGTCAGTGTGGCGATTCCTCAGGGATCTAGAACTAGAAATACCATTTGACCCAGCCATCCTATTACTGGGTATATACCAAAAGGATTATAAATCATGCTGCTATAAAGACACATGCACATGTATGTTTATTGTGGCACTATTCACAATAGCAAAGACTTGGAACCAAGCCAAATGTCCAACATTGATAGACTGGATTAAGAAAATGTGGCACATATACACCATGGAATACTATGCAGCCATAAAAAAGGATGAGTTCATGTCCTTTGTAGGGACATGGATGAAGCTGGAAACCATCATTCTCAGCAAACTATCACAAGGACAAAAAACCAAACACCGCATGTTCTCACTCATAGGTGGGAATTGAACAATGAGAATACATGGACACAGGAAGGGGAACATCACACACGGGGGACTGTTGTGGGGTGGGGGGAGGGGGGAGGGATAGCTTTAGGAGATACACCTAATGCTAAATGACGAGTTAATGGGTGCAGCACACCAACATGGCACATGTGTACATATGTAACAAACCTGCATGTTGTGCACATGTACCCTAAAACTTAAAGTATAATAATAATAAAATTAAAAAAAAAGAAAATGTGGTACGTCTATACCATGGAATACTATGCAGCCATAAAAAGGAATGAGATCATGTCCTTTGTGGAAACGTGGATGGAGCTAGAGGCCATTATCCCTAGCAAACTAACCCAGGAACAGAAAACCAAATACTGCATGTTCTCAGTTATAAGTAGGTGCTCAATGATGAGAACATGTGGACACATAGAGGAGAACAGCAGACACTGGAGCCTATCAGAGGGTGGAATTTGGGAGGATGGAGAGGGTCAGGAAAAATAACTAATGAGTACCAGGCTTAATACCTGGGTGACAAAATAATCTGTACAACAAACCCCTGTTACGTGAGTTTATTTAACAAATCTGGATTTATATCCCTGAACTTAAAAGTAAAAAAAAAAAAAAAAGAAATAGTATAGTATTGAATCAATAGAACAGAATAGTGTCCAGATAAACACACACATATTAGGTGATCACTGTAGGGGTTTACAGAGGAAGGTGTCACTGAGAAAAGACGTAGAGGATAAGATCGGACTGGGGAGGTGTTGATGGAGTTGCGTTTCACCAGAACCTGGAAAAGATAGAGGCAAAAGTGAGGACTCCTGTTTTTCAGAGACAGAGGCAAAGATGTGTGGGTGTGGACCAATGAAGGTAAACATGTAAGGGTTAGTAGTAAACGGAGGGAGTTCATCCCTGCTGGTCTCGGTTTACTCAGAGAGTGGGAAGGAGATAGAGGATGGTGTAGCTGCTACCGGAGGGGAGAAAGAGTGGGCTACCAACACTCATCTGGGAACAGCAAGCCCCCGACTCCTGGTTTCTTTTCTGCTAAACTGCCTGCATCATTTGGTCCAAACCGACATTCCCCAAAACCCCACCACTCCTTCCTTAAAATCATAAATGTCTGCTGGGTGCGGTGGCTCACACCTGTAATCCCAGCACTTTGGGAGGCCGAGGCAGGCGGATCACCTGAGGTCGGGAGTTGGAGACTAGCCTGACAAACACGGAGAAACCCCGTATCTACTAAAAATACAAAAAAATCAGCCGGGTGTGGTGGTGCATGCCTGTAATCACAGCTAATGGGGAGCCTGAGGCAGGAGAATCCCTTGAACCCAGGAGGTGAAGGTTGTGGTGAGCTGAGATCGTACCATTGCACTCCAGCCTGGGCAACAAGAGTGAAACTCCATCTCAAAAAAATAAAAATAAAAAAATAAATGTCTGCTAAACTGGGAAACTCATAATTTAATTTATGTGAATTGTCTTCAGCAAGTAATTTATTGCTATACTTAAGTCCCAAAATACTTCCGTTTGTAGCCACAATTATTTAAAAAAATAATTTTTAAACTTTTGGAAAAGAGATGACAGAATGAAATAATTATATTTCTTTTCATAATTGTTAGAGATAAATAAAAAGATATGCAAATGAAAATATTTTTAACAAAGAAACATCGACCCTATCTTTTAGTATTTCTCCATGTTTCTTCATTTGGAGGTTAGGACTAAGGATTTACAAATACAACTATAAAAAGTATCAATTACCTGTATTTTGTTATTGGAGCTCCAAATTCAGTTCAATGCAACAAGTTTTTAAGTACCTTTTAGGCTCAAGATATTCTGTTTATGGGAAGGGAGAAGAAGGAGTTGTACAAAATACAGGAAGCCTTTGGCTGTAGAAATGTATAATGCTCGTACATAAAGCAGCATTATTCCAAGTAATTTAAATCTCCAGTAGTCTGCACTTTTTCCGCAGGCTTGGAGATAGATATATGATCTCCAAATAGGTGTGTTTTCCCATCACAGCTGACCTTCAGGTTTGCTTAAAGCAATCCTGCTGCTCCTACCACCTCACCTTTGTTTAATGAGAGCCATTTCCTAACGCCAACGTTGGGTTAATGGACTGAGATGGGAGAAAATCAAACATATCTCTCCATTTTACACCAGATTGCCTTTCTGCCTTGTGGCTTTAATCACTCAATCCTACTCACATCTGCCATAATAACAATTATGGGTTTTCTACTGCTTTCTCACCCAGGAGGATATGTCAGAGGATAGTAACATCTCCTGAAGAAAGGAAGGGCAAATTCTTAATCTTTTTCCAGCATCGTAGGTAATAATTTTCCTCTGCAAACCCCCGAGGAGTACTCCTTTTGGCTCTTACTCCCACCGTTCCCACAGGTTCGTGGCTCTGCTTGGATTTATGAGTTTTCTTCTAGCCTTTTCTCTTCTGAGATAAGTTTTAATTATGTAGACAGATTGTAAAAGTCTCTTTCTTCTTGTAAACAACTATTTCTTTGTTAGTACTAGATTTTGTTTAACTGGTTTCCTCCTTTCTGAATCTTCTTATGTACCCAGGAATTATGTCTGTTCATTGTTTAATGGCAGCATCAAGAGAAGAGAAAGCTGGCTTCATTTCATAGCTTCCCTTGAGGGATTCAATTTGGAACACCTCAAATTGCAAGTCTCCCTCGGGAACTGTTCTTTGTTACATATGTTTGGAAGCCCATAATATTTTAGTTTAGATTCAATATAAGAGCAAAGTATCACCCATCAAATAAGCAGTATGATAATACTCTCGGCTCTTCTACTTATTTAAAAACTTTCTTTACTACCTGAATCAAGGAAATGTCTGAAATCCTCAAAAGCACTAGTGAAATGTTAAACAGTTGCCCCTTCCTCAGAGAACTCAGAGAACTGGATTTGAGAAAGCATCTTAGGTAGCGCTGACAAACAGCTCTTACCCTGGCCCCTTCCAGGTCAGAGTTAAAATATAAAGAAGAATAACTATTCAGGCCAGGGGCAGTGGCTCACGCCTGTAATCCCAGCACTTTGGGAGGCTGAGGCGGGAGGATCGCCTGAGGTCAGGAGTTCAAGACCAGCCTGGCCAACATGGTGAAACTCCATCTCTACTAAAATACAAAAATTAGTCGGGTGTGGCTCAGCTAATTCTAGCTACTTGGGAGGCTGAGGCAGGAAAATCGCTTGAACCTAGGAGGTGGAGGTTGCGGCGAGCCAAGATTGCGGCACTGCACTCCAGCCTGGGCGACAGAGTGAAACTCCACCACAAAAAAATAATAAACAAAACAAACAAACAAACAAACGGAAAAGAAGTATTCATGACATGATATTTTTCTCATTTTGCATAAGAACTTTTAACTATTTGGTGGGTTTTTTTTTCTAATCAAGAAATCATTCTAATTACTTAATACATTCACTTCTAATTCTGAATTCTTACATTATCTTTGAAGCTCATTTGTTTGAGAACTGGTTTTTTATTTTGTATTTTTTTTTGAGACACGATCTTGCTGTGTTGCCCAGGGTGGAGTACATTGGCACAGTCACAGCTCACTGCAGCCACAACCTTTCAGGCTCAAGGGAAATGCCAGCCAGCCTTAAGGACTGTAGAAACGCAGGGTTGACAGGAGGGCTCCCATTGAGTCATCTCTTGTTCTGATTTCTGAGGTCATTTTTTGAGCTCCTTTAAGAGATGAGGAATTCTATCACCACAAAGTTAAATGTGGTATCATGGATATCAGCTACAGTTTTTTTGTTTTTGTTTTTTATTTATTTATTTATCTATTTATTTGAGACAGAGTCTCGCTCTGTTGCCTAGGCTGAAGCGCAGTGGCCTGATCATGGCTCACTGCAGCCTCCACCATTCTGGGCTCAAGTGATCCTCCTACCTCAGGCTTTCCAGTATCTGGGACTAGAGGCCCATGGCACCACGCTGGGCTAATTTTAAAATCTATTTTATTTTTTGTAGAGACAGGGTTTCACCATGCTGCTCAGGTTGGTCTTGAACTCTTGAGGTCAAGCAGTCCTCCAGCCTCAGCCTTCCAAAGTGTTAGGATTACAGGCATGAGCCACCTCGCCAGCCCTGAAAATTGGTTTTGCCAAGAATACCTAAATATTATCCTTTAACCAGACAAGCAATTTCCCACAGCAGTTTTTAACTTTTAACTGGCACCCCATAAAACACCTCTTAGGCAAAATCAATATTTTCCATCAAAGACTCTCCTCAAATATTTTGAGGCAATGGAATAGAAGAGATAACTTTTTGATGCAGCAATGTGCATGATATCTTCACATTTAAGAAACATTTATTCGGCTCACCCAGAGGGGTTGTGTTCTGTGGCCAAGGAACTGAGCCAGGGTTTCTGGCCAGCGTTAGATACAAAGCCGTGACCTTGGCCCCATTAGCCGGGCTGCTAACTAGGTGAGCTCACCACACGGCTTACTGCATACTTGTGTGGCAGTTCATTGGGAACAGGGATTCTTTTTGTTTGTTTGTTTTTTCTATTTTTATTTTTATTTTATTTTACTTTAAGTTCTGGGATACACGTGCAGAACGTGCAGGTTTGTTACATAGGTATACATGTGCCATGGTGGTTTGCTGCACCTATCAACCCGTCATCTAGGATTTAAGCTCCGCATACATTAGGTATTTGTCCTAATGCTCTCCCTCCCCTTGCCCCCCATCCCCCAAGAGGCCCTGGTGTGTGATGTTCCCCTCCCTGCATCCACGTGTTCTCACTGGGGAACAGGGATTCTTAATGTGGGTTTCAGTGAAGGTACATGAACACTTTGGCATTTTATGTAAGATTTTGTAAATCTTTTCTAAAGAGAGGGCTCACATTTTCATCAGATTCTCAAAAAAGGATGCAATTTTTTTAAAAAAAATAAAAGGTTAAGGTTATATTAAACGAGATTGTTCTAAAAGAAAATCTGTTCAGTATTTTTAAAAAAATAAAATAGCTCTTTATTACTGAGGTAGATTTCTGTAATCTGAGGTAGATTTCAGTAATTTCATGTTATTGTGGGAGGGGTCCTTGAACCCTGACCTTTTATTATTTATCTTTTTATGCCTCTGAAGGATTTTAAATGTGCTCTTTAAATTGGAGAAATCTGTTACTTTATATGAGAGAAAAATGATATTACACCTTCAATTTTTGAACTTTATATATTCTTAAGACAGGAGGTGATTTTTCCTTACATTCTACAAGCATGTTTTTCAAAACCCGTCCTTTAACAACCCATTCTGTTATTCTTCCTACTTGCAATTATTTTAAGGTATCCCAAACCTTACTTTACACTTTACAATACAGGAGGACTTAAGTCTGGCCAGACTTTGCCTAACTAAATGTTAGGATGTTACTTATTAACTGTAGGATAATACATTCCTTAGATAAGATAAAAGTATGCAATAGAAAATTGCCATTCTAGGAACACCTACTACAGTCTTTTCTGTCTTCAGAGCATTAGTGTGCACATTAAGTCTTCAGCCTTGTTGAGATAGTGAATATTTATGCCGTATTTGAGAATTAATATTAGCAGAAATGTACAATGTAGATTTCTTTTTAAAATTCTAGGTTACTTTATGGAATTGGGCTCTTAGAGAACAAGAAAAGACTGAAGTTTTACGGGAAAACAAATCATGTGGTCTTCAGATTCTGAAATAAGGAGAAATGCAGCCATCTGAAATGGTCATGAACCCCAAACAAGTCTTCCTCTCTGTGCTGATATTTGGAGTAGCTGGGCTACTCCTCTTCATGTATTTGCAAGTCTGGATTGAAGAACAACATACAGGTAACACATGTGCTTTTTCTTCTATTTTAATTGTAACAATAATAGCTATTTTTAAATTAAATTAGTTGTGATGCTTATTAATATATTGAGAATCACAATATTTTCAACAACAAAAAATGAGTCATAAGATAAAATTCCCAGCTCCTAAAAGGAAGGAAAATTATACAACTCTGGTAGGCATTTGTTTGGTGGCTTAACAATGGAAATTTTTGTTATCTCAGTGGGGGAATAGCAGTGCTCCCACAGTCCAGCAAGAACTGCTTGTAGAGAATTTGTCTCCAAAAGTATAGCATTTATCCTACTTCTTATCTGTCCATGGAGCATCAGGCATAAGCCTAAAAGGCCCTGAATGTACAGCAGCCTCTCCTTTAATTCTGTCTTAATTTATATTGATACTCAAAATTGGTATAAATATCATTTAATACCTTTATTATAAAGGAGGGGTTGGCAAATCTTTTCTATAAAGGACTAGATCATAAATGTTTTACTCTTTGCAGGCCATACCATCTCTACCACAACTACTCAATTCTGCTAATATATCAAGAAGCAGCCATAGATTACATGTAAACAAATGGAACAGGCTGTGTTCCAATAAAACTTTATTTACAAAAACAGCTGGTGGGCCAGATTTGGTCCACAGGCAATAGTTTACTGATCCCTGCTGTGCTCATCTTGTACTTTTGTCTTTCAATTTGCAATTGCTGCCCATTGGAGGCACTCACTTACTGTTAAAAATGATTATATTTATAATGATATAGTATTATTAAAGTAAAAAACTTAGAATATCATAGAAATGTATACATACAGATCTTGTGAAGTTCTGATGGTTTCCATTGGTAGAAATAGACTATGGCTTATGACTGTTAAGGATAATAAAGTAAAAGCAGAAGAATGATTTTTTGATTGTCTCCAGTTGTGGCCCATTTTCTTTTTTTTTTTTTTTTTTAAGTTATTCTAGATATAAAACCCTTAAGAATCTTCTCCAAAAGACAATTTAATACTGAGTTACAACTATGATTATTTTTAAAATTGTTTCCATTTTTAAATTCCTTTCTTTGGTTTATCCTCCTACTTTTTTTTTTTTTTTTTTTTTTTTTGAGTCGGGATTTTACTCCTGTCGCCCAGGCTGGAGAGCGATAGCATGATCTTGGCTCACTGCAACCTCTGCCTCCCAGGTTCAAGTGATTCTTCTGCCTCAGCCTCCCAAGTAGCTGGGTCTACAGGCACAAACCACTGCACCCGGCTAATTTTTGTATTTTTTGTAGAGACGGGGTTTCACCATGTTGACCAGGCTGGTCTATTTTGTTGTTGTTTGTTTGTTTTTGAGACAGAGTCTTGCTCAGTCGCCTAGGCTGGAGTGCAGTGGCGCGATCTCAGCTCACTGCAAGCTCCGCCTGCTGGGTTCACGCCATTCTCCTGCCTCAGCCTCCCAAGTAGCTGGGACTACAGGCGCCCGCCACCACGCCCGGCTAATTTCTTTTTTTTTGAATTTTTAGTAGAGACGGGGTTTCACCATATTAGCCAGGATGGTCTCGATCTCCTGACCTCGTGATCCACTCGCCTAGGCCTCCCAAAGTGCTAGGATTACAGGCGTGAGCCACCGTGCCCCGCCCAGGCTCGTCTTGAACTCCTGAGCTCAAGTGATCCACCTGCCTTGGCCTCCCAAAATTCTGGGATTGGGATTATAGGCGTAAGCCACTGCCCCTGGACAACACTTTTGATGTATTTAATTTATATAGTAACTTTGTGAAAAGAGGTTGCATATAATGATTTTCTAAAGAATATGTAACATATTGTCAAAATATATTCTTAATTCCCTTTACAGTTTACATAAACTATTATGCTAACTTTTCTATACTACTGAAATAATTTATCATAATAACATCATATTTAATGAAACCACCTGTAGTAAAATATATAGGCTAATTCCTCCTGAAATATAACCCTTAGCATAGATCCTGTAACATAGTAAGCCTTCAGTAAGTTTTTGTTGAATGAATGAATGAATGAATGAATGGATTGAAAATTCACTGAAGACTATAGACTGAAATACAGCAAAGGAAGAAGAAAGAAAAAGATCTCATTATTTTGAGTTTTGCTCATATCATGGTCTCATAACAAATTTCACAAAAAGACTATCACAGCAAGATTTTAATACTTAAGGGAAAATATATTCATATGTATAGACTACTTTTTTGCAGAAATGTGTTTAGTCTGTCACTAAGAAATTATATATCTAAGGAAACAGGTTAATAATACCATACATATAAAATGTAGTTTACCAAATGTGTCCATAAGCATTAATAGCTACCATTTATGGAGAGCTTAATAAGTGCCAAATGTTTACATAAATTTTCTGTAATCCTCATATCTTACTAGGTGAGTATTATTCTAAATTTACAGATGAGGAAAATGAGACTCCAGAGGGATAAGGGGCGTATCCAAGGCTTTGCATGGCCTTGTTGCAGAGGGGAAAGCCTGGATTTGAACCCAGGTTGTACTGCTACGAGGTCCACGCCTCTGCTCAATGTATCACTTCCATGAAGGAAAAAGGTGAATATTATTATTTCTCTATAGCACAGATGAAGCAAGGGAGACTCAGAAAGTTTAAATGACTTAACCTGTAGCTATAAAGCTACAGGTTTTTGAAGTGTAACCCATACCTAGGTTTTCCTAATTGTCGGAATCCCTGAAAGAGTCTCCTAACCAAAACACTGGATTATGTAGGCATATAATTATAAATGCAGTAGTATCAGTACAGATGTTTTAAAATCACTGAAATTGGTAAATTAAATGACATACAGATGTGTAACTTCTTCTACAAGATTAAATCTTAACTTGAGTTCATAATTTTCCCAAGTGTTGGAAAATTATTTTCCTTGGTTAAGACTGGTAAAACACTTACCATTTATTCTCTTAAATTTTATTTGTAATTTTGATAGAAGTGCTTTCCCTGATTCTTGATATATTTTAAATGAATTATGTAATATTTCATAAACTACTCATGACAAAAAGCATAAATGTAAAAGTCAAGAGTCCTGTAGATAACTATTTCTCTGACGAAAAACTGTAATATTCTTTAAGAAGACTTCCATCTGAAGTTCTGCCTTATACTAGGTTAGTGCTGTGAGTTGAAATTCTGCAGTTTTCTAGGTAGGCAGACATTTATTTTTTATATATATATATATGTGTGTGTGTGTGTGTGTTTCAAATAACATCAGGAGCATTAGGCATTTTTAAAGGCAATCTCTTTTTAAATAAATAAATATATGAATATGTGCTTTGATGTTAAGTTTAAAAAAATGGAAAATCTGTCTTTTGGACACTTTAGAACTGTCACTCAAAGAAACTTTGAAAGATGAGCTGGTTTGGTTCCTGAGACTTTCTATAAGTAATGCTGGTTTTAAAATCTAAATGGCTTTGATCACACATATATTTCAGTTATATATGAGAATTCTTAGGTTTTCTTCGTGTCTTTTATTTGAGGCTTTTCAAATCTAAGATATGGACTATTTTCTAAGCCTCCCTGGTTTTCTTGGGTTTTTCGTATTAAAATAAAATACTTTAGAATCCAAAAAATCTGAAATATGCTCTGATATACTGGTAAAGGATTATGAAAACAGATTTTTTTGGAAGTAAAGAGAAGCTGTATGACAGAGAAATTAAAATCTATCCAATTATGCAATAGAGTTCCATAATACCATCTACTTTTTCAATATCACTATCCATTAATTTATCCATTTCCTAGTGCTAATTTGCAGTATGTTGATATGTTATCACAAATTTTATTTTAGTTTTTTTTTTCGTAGTTGTTACAGGTACAAGTTTTTCATTCAGAAGGATCTTGAAAAATCTCAGATCTCCTGTTTGTTAGCTTTGTAACCCTGGGCAAATTTCTTTGCCTCTCTAAGCCTCAGTTTCCTTATCTGTAAAATGAGGATAGTCATATTTTTCACAGAGGGTTGCAGTGAAGATTAAAGGAGACAATGCTTGCAAAGCACTCAGCATGGTGCCTGGCAAACAGTAATGCACAATGAACGTGAGCTGTTATTATTATCCTGGAAATGACGCAGAACATCTGAAAACTTGCTTTTTCTGAGTTGCCACAATTAAAACTCAGCCACAATTCAGGAAAATTCAATTGTGCCCAAGCTTGTGCCTTGACTGAGTAAGGTTTAAAAAAAAAATGAAGGCTTAGATCCAACTTTGGTTAAATTAGTTGGGAGAAGCTAATTGGCACAGAGCCATTCTGGTTCCTAATGTAGAAGCTGGCAGGAGAAGGATAGGATTGAGTGCATAGAGAGAGGTCATTGTCCAGGGGTATCTCGTGTCCATACAAGCTGCCTCCATGGGCAGAGGAATCACTCATCCAGCAGTATTTCTTGAAGACTTAACAATTGGATGTGCTGAGCACCATGGTGAATACAGGCATGTAATAGTGAGCCAGATATAATCCTTTTTCTCAAGGAGAGTGCAGTCAAATGAATTGTAAGGGAGAAAATGGTCCTGAGTCCAGGCCAAGCCATTGGGACAAAAGGAGGAGTCCTTTGTGACAGAAAAGAGACAGGCCCTCCATTATGGGACAAACTAATGAGTTGCAGGCAGGAGAAGCAGCACAGTCAGTTGTCAGGGATAGAATTGCTGACCAGATAGAAGTGCTAGAAGGAGGGGAGTGGAGGCTGGGCAGGTGAAAGCGTGCAGAGGACCCAGAGGACCAGAGGAGAGCAGGGAGCTATGCGTATGATGCAGCAGTGATGAGGGCTGGTTAGGATAAATCACAAGAATGGCTTGTTGTTTATTTTTTCCCCCAGCTACTGTTTAAGTTTATAAGTGGCACTATTTGTCTAGTTAGAATCTTACTGCTATATGGAACTCATACCAAAAGTCATGGTGTATAACTGTTTCGTATGTGCCGTAAGACAGCTTTGAGACCCTCTAACGACAGAGTCACCATCTCAGCTTTAGATAAGAATTCAAAGATCCTCTTGAATCCACCCGTTTTTTAAAAATACAAATTGGATTATATCACTCCCATGTTTAAAATTTTTCAATCATATTTCATTTCCTTTAACAAAACCTTCTCCCCAGAGCCCACAGCTGTGTGAGCTGTAGCCACTGCCTGCCTCCTCAGCCTCATTCTCCATTCACTCACCATGCTTCTGGAGCTGCCTCTCTTCCTCTGCTAAACCAAGCCCTTTGCTGACTGGATGTGCTCAGTTTCAGGAGCCTGGGATCCCTTCTGTCCTCTCACCTGTCAGGGCTTGGCTCATATGTCACCTTCTTTGATCACCCCCACAGTCAATCAGTGCCTCTTTCTCTCTCTCTCTCTCTATACACACACACACACACACACACACACACACACACACACACACACACACACATATATAAATAAATCAATATATACAGATTATATAATTATGCATATAAATCAATATAATCAATTATGAGTCAATATAATTAATAAATAATAAATTATATATTCATTATATGTATAAATCAATCTCTCCTTCTTATTCATTTTCTTCAGAAAAATTATCACAATCAGCAATTGACTCCTTAATTATTTGTTGACTTATTAATTGTCTGTATCCTTTCCTATTTTATGAACTCTGTATGGACAGAGAGCTCATAACTTGTGTTAGAAATACTCATATGTAACAACATTTTCTATCAAGTAATGAAGAGTTATATGCACATATTTTAAAACATACAAAGCAGTAAAAATCAATACAGATTGCATCTAATAGTTTACATTATATATTTTCCTGAGATTTTCCAGAGTCAAGTTTAGTTTGAGCCATTCCAAACTGAAACCATTTCCTCAATGTAGCCTACATTACAACAATCTGTCCAAATAACTTCTAAGCATTTCTATCTAGGACCAATACTTTTTTAGCTATTTATTTATAACAATTTTACATGTTTACTTAAAACTCAGAAACTTCTTTAAAAACTGTATTAAAAAAGCTTTTTGTAGACAAGAATGGAAGCGTTATAGTTTAGCAGTTATTGGGTCCCAGGCAATGCTCTAAACACATCACACCCACTATCTCATTTAATCCCACAACAAGTCTGAGATAGGTACCATTAGTATTCCCATTTTTCAAGACAAGAAAACTGAGGCTAAGCAAATAAGAAACCAGAAGTCTGATTCAAGCCGCCTCATTCTAGGACTCCAACTAAGCCACCCTGCAGTGTGCAGAGATGGTGAGCATTGTAGAGTCATGCTAAGAGAAGGCACTAGAGAAAGACACAGTGCACTGGCCAGGCAGTGGGCAGCCTGGGCAGTCACTCCAGGTGCAGAATGACACTCCGTGCTTCCAGACCACACCACATTCCTGGGATGCCTCGCTGTGCCACAGTAGGTCATCACGTGTTTCCTGGTTGTGCAACCTTTCCTGGGTTCCTGTGAAGCCTGATCTCATTTCCACAAGTAAGCCTTCTCCATTGCTCTGGATAAACTATGGTATCTCCCTTTCTTGCCCCTCAAAAGCCTAACACTCAAGTAAACTCAAAAATATTATCCAATCCAATAGTTGTTCTCAAACTTCAATGTACATCAGCATCCCCTTAAGGTTTGGTTAAAACAGACTGTTGGGTTCCACCCCCAGAGTTACTGATTTACTAGATCTGGGATGAGGCCCAAGAATTTGCATTTCCAACAAGATTTCTGTGGACCCTGATGCTGCAGATCCAGGGATTATATTTTGAGAACCCCTGATCCAGAGTCTCTGTACCCAAAATGTGGAAAGCAGCAGAAGCAACAGCGTCACGTGAGACTTGTTAGAATTGCAGACCCTCAGCACCCACACAGGTCTGCTGCATGGGAATCTGCATTTTAATAAAACTCTCAGGTGGTTGCTGCACATGGTGAAGTGAGAAAAGCAGTTAGATCAGTGGTTCTCACCAGCTGCTTGAGAAAGACCAGACGTTTTAAGGAACACGTGCCTTGGTCCACACCCTGACATGTTGATTTTGGTTCCTGGCCTCCTCCCCAGAGATGCTAATTTGCCAGGCTGGGAGTGCGGCCCCGATACGGGGATTTTTAAAATCTCCCCAGGTGATTTTAATATTCAGTCAAGGTTATGAACCACTGACCCAGAGGTACTGACTTTGGCTGATTTATTGGCACTTCCTCTTACCTCTCACTCATCTACAAGGCATGCACTAGAAGAAGAAAGAGTGGTCACTGTAATACTCTTATTAAGCTGACAGAAGAGGAGAAAGACTGTAAATAACATTATGTCTGAGGTCTCCATTTTCACCAAGACAGGCTTCAAGTTATAAAAAGTTGAACAATAAAGTGAGACCAACAAAGTGAAATTATTTCTAAACCCAGAAAATATTACTGCAGTATGGATCAGCTGACCCAGCCAAGGAATCAGACAGAAAAATATACTCTTCCCAAACAAGTATTTGTTCCCAATATGAAACGGTTCACTACTGCTTCCCTTCCTTTTAAAGCACTTTTTTGTCCCTTGTTTTGTGTTATTTTTAAATTTTTTTAATTGACAAGGAAAAATTGTATACACTTATGGTACACAACATGATGTCTTAATACATGTACACCTTGCAGAACAGTCAAATCAAGCCACTTAACATATGCATACTCTCACATACTAATTTTTTTGTGGTAAAAAACACTTAAAATCTCCTCTCTTAGCAATTTGAAAATATACAGTATAATATATTGTTATTAACTATAGCCAGCATAGTGTACCATAGATGTCTTGATGTAATTGTCTCTGTCTAACTGAAATTTTTTGTTTTCTGACTATCTCCCCAGAACTCAGAAACTTTTTACATTTTTCTTGTATACTTCTAGTTAGATTTTTTTTCCTGACTTTTACCAGTTTTTTTCTGATTTATGTCAAATAAGTACAATGTCTGAATTTAGGATTCAGCATTAACATCTAAGGTCAATAATTTAGCTATGAATTATCATTGCTAAGGCTTAGCAATGCTAAGGCACATAGCAATGTGCCTATAAGAGAATTATATAAATATAACCCCACCTTTTAAAAACTCATTGTCACCAATCCATGCTCTGTAGGACCCTGGTCCTGAACTTATTTTGCCTGAAAATACTCTTTTTTTGGTCAGTGATATGACCTTTTGGTAGGTCGAGGTTCTATTCAAATCCTACATGCTACTAGCAGTGGCAAGTTGGCCAGAATAGATGGTGACTTGTACTAGTTTTTGTTTTGTTTTGTTTTGTTTAAGCACATAAACATCAGTAGTCCTGGTTGTATTTCAACCCTCCCACTTTGTATGAAAATGAAAAGTAGTAGCTGCAAGCTTCTGATTTCAGGCAAAGTAAAGCCACCTTATTGCTTTTTCTCAGATAATTGATTCTGGTCTGTGCATCTGGTGTTTCTAAGGAGACTTCATCTTGCTTTTTTTTCAAACTAAGTACACTTTCTCTCTCTACATTGAAGCATATTTTTGGCATATAAAGTTTTGTTTCTAGACTGGACTGATATAATTCTTTTCCCCTGAGCCTCTCTGATGAGAGAGTCTGTTCTTTTCCTTCAAAAACCAGGCCGTTCATCCTGATTGCGATGTTGCTGTTTTGAAATTGTATTTTCTTTCAGGTTATCTCTGTATACCTGAACTAGAACAAAGCCATTTTTTACATAGAAGGACTTTATGTTTACTGTCAATCATATACTCAGGGAAATAAAATTGCTTTTCTTTAAAAAGTCACTGATTTGAATTACTTTCTCCTATATCTGTAAGTGTGGCAAACAATTTTTTTAATCAAATGAGCACATGCTCCTGCTGCCCACTTCTGGACAGCGCCACACCTCGTCTTCCCATTATGTGATTATTCCCATGTCACGGCTGTTCCCTCTTCCTGGAGCACGTTTCCTTGGCCATTTCCATGGCTGACTTTTCTGAATCCTTCAGGGTACAGCTTCAATATCACCTTCCCCAAACATCCTATGTAAAGTGGAAGTTTTCTCTCTCTGCAGCTGTTTCATTGTTTTTTAAAATTTACTTCATGGCACTGATCTCAATTTGTAATAATTCCTTTTGTTTGCTTACATATGCTCTGCATCTCCCAGTAAAATGGAGGCTTCCTGAGGGCAGGAAACTTGTATTTTGGTCACCAGTGTCCCACAGCTGCCCCTGCTTCCAGATGCACATTTCAGTCCTCACCTTGCCATGTACCCCAGCAACCCTATTCACTCAGCCAATTACAACTCAACTCTGTGGGCTCTGTCTTAACTCTCTGCCCTAGCTTTTTGAGTCTCTTGTATTCTTACGTGCTGTCCCCTGCTTTTGCCCGATACCCCAGAAGTGAAGGAGTCATGGATGTCAAATTGCTTAAAGTCTTCTGAACCTGAATAACATGCAGCAGCCAAGCTTTGCAACAAAGTCGATCCCATCAACATAGATGTTTAACATCTAGTAATATATTGAATGTGTTTGTTCTCCCAACATGTTTTGAGCACATATAAACAATGATGCACTTGCTATCTACGAAGTGGTACCAGGAACTGCCATATTACAATGTAACCCTTCATTAGTTCTGTTGGCAGGTACCTGGCCAATGCTAGACCTGTTATTCCTAGTGTACCACACATGATGAGCACAGTAAATTTATCGTCCAGGGGATGGGAGGCTAATCCAAGCCTGGCCAGTGATTCCCTTTCTGGGCATTCTGGCTTTTGAGACTTGGAATATAGGCTGAGTACCTGGACTGTCTGATGCAAAGGTCAGAAGCTTGTTCAGCTGTTTTCTACCAGGTGGACCAGAGCAGCTGAAGATTCTAGGCTTAGAGCAAGAGAAAGAAGAAAAGCAGACAGGAAGAAAGGAGCAGAGTTATATAAAGGGAGCCCCAGCAAATGTTGGGGTCCCTTGATCCATTTACTCCCAGACCTAACACTATTCCTACTCTTTCTTAATCTTCTTTCCTACCCACGGTGAGCACTCATCTGTCTCAGAGAAGGCTTACTGAATTTCAGAGGGGCCTCATAATGGACCCCATTTTCTCTATTTACCTCTTAGAGTAGAGGGTAAAGCAGAGGATGGCGCAGAGCAATCCTTCTTCACTGTTTTTAATTCATTTTACACCACAAACCCCAAGGTATTGCCTTGTTCACTCCTGTGCCCTACGACTGAGCATGGTGCCTGGCACATAGTAGATGCTCAGTAAGTCTTTGCTGTATGAGTGAATTCACCCCAAAACTAAGCACCTAAGCTAAGGAAGACAAGTGAAGCTGGTGTTTAACTCGATTTTTCAGAAGTTAAATTGCTTGGTTTGGGGTGGGGTGCAGATTTTCTCCAGGGATATCCTGAAATGTCTTCGTTGAGGTCAGAAATGTGTTATCTGCAGTTTATTTTTCCTTTTGCAATACAGTATTTTGTTTGAATAAAACAGTGGATCATCATTTAGCTGACATGTTGTGAAGAAAAGTCAAAACCTGAATGAGGAATTATAGAAGATAACCTTTTAAAGTCTCTTACAATGTTAAATTTTATGTGACTATCATTTTGTGTCTAAAGGAGATGTTAATTGAAAAAACTAATCTCTGTGAAATATTTTAAAGAGGGTTATTCCAAGCCAATATAAGTGACCAGAGCCCAGGGTAAACACAAACCCAAGATGCCTTTAGTAAGTGGCCCCAAGGCAGTTGGATGACGGTTTGGTTTTATACATTTTAGGGAGGTGGGCATTACAGGCAAAGACATAAATTAATACATGAAAGGTATACATTGGTTGGCCCAGAAAATGCAGGGTATCTTGAAGTGAGGGCTTATAGGTTAAAAATGGATTCAAAGATTCTTTAACTTACAATTGGTTGAAGCAGTAAGACTCTGTGTAAAATTTGGATTCGCAGAAAGGAATGTTTTAAATTAAAATAGGGATGCTGTGTAGCAAGATTAGTGGCCTGCAGGTGTGTCTTCACCCTTGCCTTTCATGGCCTTAGGTCTTATTTATAATTTGTTACCTATTGCCACAAAAAGTCTGTTGTGTCAGACTTATGATCTCGATTTTAACATTAATGATTATCAGTTGTGTCTAAACTCCAAAAGGGGTGGGGAGGGCATAACAAGTCATGTCTGACCTTGTTTCTCATCATAGCCAGGAACTCAGTTTTTGTTTTTTTGTTCTGTTTTGTTTTTTGATACGGAGTTTTGCTCGTGTCGCCCAGGCTGGAGTGCAATAGTGCGATCTTGGCTCACTGCAATCTCTGCCTCCCAGGTTCAAGCAATTCTCCTGCCTCAGCCACCCAAGTAGCTGGAAGTACAGGCGTGCGCCACCACGCCCAGCTAATTTTCTGTATTTTTATTAGAGATGGGGTTTCACCATGTTGGCCAGGCTGGTCTCGAACTCCTGACCTCAGGTGATCCACCTGCCTCATCCTCCCAAAGTGCTGAGATTACAGGCGTGCGCCACCACGCTTGGCCAGGAACTCAGTTATTGAAGGTTTCTCTGGGGTCCCTGGGCCAGGAGGGGTCTATTTAGTCGGTGGGGAACGTAGGATTTTATTTTAAGTTTACAGAGATATTAACAAATAAGTCTCAGAAGCTCTCCAAAATGGATTAGTAGTTAATGCTCCAGTTAGTAGTTTGTAGTGAAAAGTATTCTCTAGGATACTCACTTCTAACCTGCTTTGTGTCTTTGAACAAATTGGAAGTCTCTGTACATGATGGTTTCTTTTCTTCTCTCATTTTCGTACCTTCTTTCTTGCCTTCCTGAGGTAACCCCATCCTAAATTTGATGTTTATTACCACATTCCTGTATGTCTCTATAATTTTTAACACATGCATGTATTCCATTTTCATATTTGTAGCCTTATGTGAAAGGTATCTATCTGTATATACCCTTTGGCAACTTGCTTTTTCTTTCAACAGTAGGTTTTTGAGATTTATTTGCATTGATATATATAGCTCTCAGTCATTTACCTAACTGCTAACTAATATTTCATTATATGAATAAGCTGTAATTTATATATACATTCTCCAACTGATGCACATTAAAGTTGTTTCTAACTTTTGACTCTCACACATAATTCTGCTAAGAATATCATTGTATAATCTCTTTGTTTATATGTTTGAAAGCTGCTATAAGGGGCTGAATTGCGTATTCTCCAAAATCCTGTCAGCTTCAAAATTCTATGCTTCCATATCGTATCTATTCCTCGGCTCACATGAATCCAAATTAGGGTTTCTTAAAACAGTAGAAGTGTTCAATGATAATTCTAATAAAACATACACAGAACTATTTTTTTGGATACACTGATTGCTATTCAGAATTATAGCGGAAAGATATAAATATAAGACACAGAATCTGCTCTCAGTGTTTCTTACTTTATTGGTATGCCAACAGAGTATTTCACAGTTCATTGAAAATCGATTAAAATAATTACTAGGTCATTAGTGTGGACTTTGAGTATGAGTGTAAAGACCTCACTCACTAAATAATTCATGGCAGTCAGCAAGTTAAGTCCTGTTAGCAAGTATTGATTCAGTAATGTAATACTACCTAGTCCAAACTACGTAATTTTCCTAATAGAAATAAACTCCTTTAAATGTCAAAGCACCATCTAGTCCCAGCCTCCTCCCGAAAAGCTTAAATTTGCATAGCCAGTAGGTAACAAAACTGGAACTAAAACAGAATTCCTGCTAATTGTTTTTCCATGCTGATTTTTTCCCTTCCCCTCCTCCACCTTTGCCTTCTTCTTTCCTGCCTTCTTGAGATCCAAGAGGGCTCAAGATCCTTTGGAATTATTGGCTTATTTCCCAAACTGGTTTGAACATAGCTTTTCCAAAACCTAGAATTAGGAAGTTTAGCAACTAGATGCACCACGAGGAGCAAGAATATGGTTTCTGTTCTCCAGCTGAAAATCTGTCTGCTGAGAACTTACTACTGTACCAGCCCCAGACTTCAAGAGAAAGTTCAGAAGTACAGAACCAATGTCTTTGGAACAATTCACTGAGGTTTTATTTTCAAACTGAGGTATTCTTTTCAAGAATAAACCAAGGGTCATGCAGTGGCTCACATCTGTAATCCCAGCACTTTGGGAGGCCGAGGCTGATGGAACATTTGAGGTCAGGAGTTCGAGACCAGCCTGGGCAACATGGTGAAACTCCATCTCTACTAAAAATACAAACATTATCTGGGCATGATGATGCACATCTGTAATCCCATCTACATGGGTGACTGGGGCAGGAGAATTGCTTGAACTCAGGAGGTGGCAGTTGCAGTGAGCTGTGATCATGCCACTGCACTGCACTGCACTGCACGCCAGCCTGGGTGACAGAGCAACACTATCTAAAAATAAAAATAAAAATAAAAAAAATAAAAAATAAAAATAAACCAAGCAATTAAGGCAATTAAGAGGTTTGGTGGCAAGTTGCACAGTTTCTCTAATTCATCACAGACCAAAGAAGTATAAAACTTGAAAATAAAATAAGGATCATTTTTAAATGAAAGAAGAAACTTAGTTTTCATTAAGTGTTCTGTCTGTTATTTTTCCCTAAGTCACAGAATGCTAAAAGTTTTATCGTGTTTTATACAGAAACTTGAAAGTACATTTTGTGTGTGTGTGCTAATCCAACAGACAAAATTAATTCACTTTCCTCTACTATTTCTCAACCTTTTAGCTTCATTTCTTACTGCATGATTCTGCCTGGGTTTTAAACATTTGCCATTGTGCCTGCCTCCTTCCCTACTGAAAGCCCCATGAGGGTTAGGACCACAGGGCCTAGAACATAGGAGACCCCAAAAAGGAATTCAATGGAAAGAAATGGAGGAGTGATTCCAAAAAGACAGAGCAGCCAACGGTTTATCCATGATTCACAATGTATCAGATCTTTGGTGTAGTCACTACCTTCTAGGTCCATTTGTGAGCATTGCAATTCTAGATACTTCATTTTGCCAGTTTCCAAGAATTAAACAACTTTTGGGTCACTAATCATACTACACAGTCACATAGGAATTTAATGTATAACCCAAAAATCATTTAACCAATGATTATCACATTAATGGAGTAGTATCTTGCTACTAGTTAAGTAGATATATGGACTGGCCAATCTTCTCCGTTTTGCTAGGTTCAGAGTGTTTGAGAAAAAATTTACTGTTCCTGGATTCACTTAATGATTTGGGGCCGGGCACGGTGGCTCACGCCTATAATCCCAGCACTTTGGGAGGCCGAGGCGGGTGGATCATGGGGTCAGGAGTTCGAGACCAGCCTGGCCAATATGGTGAAACCCCGTCTCTACTAAAAATACAAAAATTAGCCGGGCGTCATGGCACTTGCCTGTAGTCCCTGTTACTCAGGAGGCTGAGGCAGGAGCATTGCTTGAACCTGGGAGGCGGAGGTTGCAGTGAGCCAAGATCGCGCCACTGCAGTCCAGCCTGGGCGACAGAGCAAGACTCCATCTCAAAAAATAAATAAATAAAATAAAAATGATTTTGGAATCTTTTTGTGGGTGTGTTTTGCTCGGGTCATGAAGAAGCCTCATAACCAATGTATCACAAAATACTATATTTCATGGTTTCATCCCCAAGATCAGCCAGGGTGTCTGTTTTCATATATGGCAACTGTAGATTGTGACAGAAAATTACACAAGATGGATTGGTACCAGGATAAATTGATGAGTCCTTAATGTTGCTTGGCAATCCTAAGTTCTCTACTGAGCTTTTTCCCTCCTGTTTTCTAGAGAGGCAGCTTTTATGTTACTTTCTCCTTGACACTCCAAACACGTCTCCTCCCCATGTCACTGCAGATCACCTCTCCTCTGTCGTCACAGAAAAGAGATGGCTAGTATCAAAGAAAACTCCCAGAGCTTCCTGCTACCAAGACATAGACTCACTTATTTCCACCTTCATGCCTGGCTCCCCTCTCAGCTACTTCCTCCTCCTCCTCCTTATTCTTCTACTCACATCTGGCTCCCAAGGGCTTCTGCCTCCTCAGTGGTCTTGCCCATCGTCTATGTATTCTCTTCTGTATCATCGTCTCTTTCTGTATTGCTTTGTCGTTTCTGTAATTATACACAGTTCAATCTCTTCTGTCTAAAAATAAAGCACAACTCAAATATCTAATTCTTTCAACCATATTTTCCCTATTCCCCCCAATTTATTTCTTCCCTCCTCTTTAACTTCTTTGAATAATTTTGTGTCATAACTATCTCCACTGTATGACCATCCTCACCCTCACCTTTCTTACTGGAGTCTGCCCCTATCAACCACTGGTCCTTTTCTCCGCAACCACCTTCCCACCATTAAATCCAATAAGTCCTTTTCAGTCCTCCTCTTTTGAGTTCTGTGCAGCATTAGATACTGGCGATGTCCACTTCATGCCACTTTCCCTTGACGTCCATGAAGACAGGCCTTCCCAGTTTTCTTACTGCTGTCTGGCTGCACTCTCAGTTTGCTCTTCAGACTACTTTATTTCCTTTTCTCATCCCTTAGATATTGATGTTCTTCAGAGTTCTACCCTTATTCTCTTTCATCTCACTCTACTTGGATTCCCTGTGTGATCCCATACACAGAAATTTGATCCCTTGCAAGTCTCTGTAGTGCCATTTGTTCCCTGGGCATCTATACTTGAATGTCTCCAGACCCCTTAAACTCAGTAATTGAGCTAAAGTCATAATTTCTCTCCAAAGTCTATACTTCCTCCAGAATACTCCGATTCAGTAGTGGTGCAATGGCTCCACCTAAGACTGTTGTCATGTATGATGCCTCCAGTTTCCTCTTCCTTCCTCTCTGCCTGCACCTACATGTTATCCAGAAAGATCTTTGTAGCTACTCCCAAGTGTGTCTACTTCTCTCTATCCCATTACTACTGCCTCAGTCTATGTCACAATTATCCTTTTCTGAGGTTGCTGCAGCAGCCCCTAAAGCAGCCTTCCTCCCCATCCCGTGACCTTGCCCTGTCACCATCCCATTGTCCTCACTGAGCCTCATTGTCCTGCTTGAAGCCTGATTATCCTCCTGCTTGAAGCTCTTCATGTCTCCCCAGTGGCTCTCAGGACAAACCTCAACTCCATACTCAGGCTATCAAAACCCTTCATGATGTGGCCTCTGCCTAACTCTTTAGGCTCATTTCTGGCCACATTGCTCACATTGCCCTAAACCTCCAGCTGTCCTAAATTTTCAGTTTCTCAACTGACCATCAGATCTCTCAACCCTAGGCCTCTGCAGGTGCCTCTCAAACAGTTCCTGTTACTCAGATGCTTAAGTTGCCTCTCCCTTGTGCTCTCTATTCTTCCCAGTTGAAGCCCTCACGAGGGTAGATTTAAAGTGTTGTTTAATATCATCCTTATCACACTCAACCCACTAGACCATGAGATCTGTGATGGCGGCACTGGGGGAACATTGTACCATTGCATCCCCTGTGCCTAACATATGTGTTCCTTGGCCACAACTGGTAGGATTTTGTTAACTCAATTTGAAAATATCAAGTTAGAAATCTTGGAAGCTAAATACAGGTGTATGCCTTCTCTCTTAGTCAGAGGCACATGTAGCAACCTCCAAACTTCCGTAACCATGAAAATGATGTTTTTTATCAGAATGTCTGTGAGAATCCATCATCTGATTTCATAGAGCGAAAAGTGCATGATTGTACTCTGTCAGAGCAACATGCTTCTGCAAAACTTCTTTATCATGCGGTATTTTACTGAAAAGGTAGCTAAATTTTTGTGTAATATAATTTTGTTTTTTTCTGTAATAAATACAATTTACTATTCAGATTAGTTATCAAACTTTCATTCTGTTACCCAGACTCCTTATTTCTCTTATTTTCTCCATGTTACCCTTTTACACTTCCTTTGTTTTGGAGAATATTGAAACTCACTTGGGTAGCCTGTCTATGTGACCCACAGTAGAAAGTTGTTGTCTAAAGTACTTGTGATTTTTAAAAGCCAACAAAAAAGAATATGGAGGCAGAGATAACATTAGTGACATTGACGGCTATCTTCTCAGGAAGCTTCCCATTTGTTTGGCTCCGTCTCAGAGAAAGAACAAAATATATCCTGTACAGATGCCATTTTCTTCTTTCCCATTGACATTTAACTGATATGTGGGTGGCTGCTGGCTACATATTTAGTATGAATCTCTTTAGCAAGAATCTTGATGAAGAATTTTTCTCATTAATTCTTAAAAAAATTGAGAAGGGGAAAAGTTAATATGAAAAATGGTTCAAATTTATTTAGAGAGAAACCAATACAGAAGGAAACTCCCCAGCTTCCCGTGCTGGGGCTGTGTTCTGAGCCCAGTACTGGTAGAAAATGCCTAAAAGTACTCTTAAGAAAAACATCAGAATGATAAATGTAGAATTCCAGAATGTTTATTACGTACCATATGGGCAAAGTCTCAATTAATACTTGTTTGCAAATGAAAAACAATAGACATAAATACTTACATATTTCATGGTCTTATGAACAGCTTTCAAATTACTTTTATAACTAATTTAATGTGAATAGCTAGTTTGTATAAATTAGGGCTCTCACAGTTTTACATTTCTTATCATATGAAATATACTTAAAAATTGGAATGATTTCATCATAATATGTTCTCATTGCTTTCTATATGACCCATCACATAATAATTAGCTAAGAAAGACATATTTAGTAGCACAAAGAAAAAATCCTCAATTTGAAAATTCTTTTCAGATGTATAAAGCCAAAGAATGTCTAGTAACAGGAATAAACCGAGTAGCAGCCAGCTTTCATACACTCAATAAACCAATGTAGGTTTTACTAAGCCTTCTTTTAAGTTTGCTCGGGAGAGAGACAAATCCATAAAGTGATCAGGCTGCTTATTATCACTCTGCCAGAAATATACTGTAAACAATGAAATTGCTTCAGAATTTTGGACTCAGAATTTTGTGATTGACATTAAGGGTCAGTGCCTGCATTTTAGACCCATCCCAGAAGCAATTCAATAATCAACAGAAATCAGAACTCTATTCACTGAACCAGTGGCAGAAAATTAGGTAGAGACTCCTGGTTTGCTTTGAATCAAAGGTGTGTCCAATAAACTAAAGCTAAGGGAAAAGTTATAACTGCAACCTGAAACTCCATATCCAAAAAGCAGGATGCTGTAGTTTTGGAAGAGGTTTGAAGAGTTATGAGCAATCAAGAATTGATGGAAAAATGGTGGTGTGCTTAAATGGAAAACTAGTGGTAATGGGAAAATGTAATGGGTTTTAATTCTGTTTCTGGTCCTTTTGAAGTGTTTTTGCCTCAACTAGATTGAGCTTGTAAAAGCAGGTATGCATTTGAAATCATCCAAACGTATTCAAATTTTACTCTGGCACTACCCATTGATATTTAAATAGCATAAGTCTTTGTTCATTCACAGCAACAGGTAGGCAGCTTTTTCCCTCTGTATCTCTGAAATTTAAATTTCATGCTCTCTGTTTACAACTGGCAAGAATCAGGTTATCCTTGATTTCTGCCAGGATGCCAAGTTAACTTGGCTCATGTTGGATTCCAGAAGATAAAGAGCCTTCTTCCCTGAAGCAATTTCTGATTAAGAAGAAAATGAGATCTCAGGTGTATTTTTAGCATCTGGATTTCTTAAATATTCATTTATTCAGTTTTGACTTTGGGGACCCTTTGGGTTGTTACATTTGTGTGTGTGCAGCGGGTAGCACTACAGCATGAATCACTGTATTAACTTCAAAGAATTGTGTTGCCTTTCCTTTCTGTCAGCTCCTTTGTACAGCTCATATAACTTCATAAGGGCATACGTCTGTCCGCATTTGTACTCTCCAAATATTCATGAAAGTCACTGATGGCCAAGGACTGCAGAGAGGAGAAAGAATTCCTGAGAGAGGTGGGTCTGTGAAAATGTGACAGGATAGTATTTTCTCTGCTTGGCCCAGTATAAGATGGAGGTCCCAGGTTTGCTGTGGTGGTGGTGGTTTGCAAAGAGTAGCCTTGTTGCCAGTCTCTCTCTGGCCTCCTCAGATCCTAGCAGACCATGTTCTTGATGTCAGCACATAAGAAATACTCTCTTCTGTTGCCACAATATTTATTCCTGCTTTGCAGCAAACTGCTCACCAGCAATTCTAAGAACTAATAAGGTGTCTTGGAGAAATAAGTAAATCTTCTCTGATTTTTGACATTTTTCCCCATTGCCTATTAGCCCTCCCCAGACTTCTCTTTTTTTTCTGCTCCTGTAGAATTTAAACCCACAGCATGATGGTCTATCTTTATGGTATTATAAACTATTTTTTATCTATAAATGCAAGTCTCTATTTTTAAAAACCCTACATAATTTCAAAAGTCTCTCTAGGATATTATTGAACACAATGGCCTTTTACCAGGGTGATGGTGTGTTGGGAAAAAGAAGATAATCAGATTTGGGGGGTATTACAGGGCACCAGCTCTGAATTGGCACTACTTTTGGGAGAGCCAAAACATAACTGTCAGAGTATGGGTGTATGGAGGTCAGGTGATCAATGGAGTTTCAGCTTAGCTCCATCTCATAGTGGATCCAATGGTCCCCATATCCATGCTGTGGTCATTTTCCCTGTTTCTGCATGCATCATTGGAATAGACATACTCAGCACTGATAGAATCCCCACATTGGGAGTTCTGAGAAATGTGTCTAATATAAGAACTGTGCTTGATCTGTATGTTATTTCCTCATTGATATATATTTCAGAGAGGGAAATAAGTCATTAATTGGCACCACAAGAACACCCATTTAGTAGCTGCATTGTCTTAGCCAAGGCCCTCAGTCCACACAGATGCGTCTCCTCACCTAAACCATGAGGAAGTTATAATAGGAGTTGTTCAAGTTTCCTTCCAGCTCTGCAGTGCTGGTCCTTTCACTCACTTAAAATGCTTTCCTTTTACCCTATTTTTTTTCTTTTGAGTAGTCAAACTGGAGATGTATTAGGTTCATATGTGTTTCTTCATATGATAACCAAAATAAACCTTGGCACTCCTGCACATTTTTAGTAACAGATCGTTCAATAAAAACTGATGTTTTCCTATACTCTTTTGCTTCCACATGCATCAAATTTGCCTTTTTCTCCTTCACTCTTTCAGCTCCACCTCTTCATTTTGGAGTTCTTGCTAGTTCTGTATGACAAATGTTCATTAGTAAGTTGAATGGATAATTACATGGGATGGAGGGGGAGAGAATGATCTAGATTTCAAATGTGGAACTATTACCTAAGTCTTAACTGAAACTAGCGTAATTATGTACTTTCTTTCCTTCAACTTTTTTTGTTGTTGTTCTACATGTACAAGGCTGATTTTTCATTAACTTTTAATGTTGCTTGTAACCCTATTCCGATTTGTATTCAATGTAACTCTGAATAGAGGTCTACTCACAATAGAATGCAATATTATAAAGCTTTAATGTAAGACAAAAGCTCTTATTGAAGTTGTAAGAACAGCATTTTTATTAAGGTTGTTTCATTTAGTGGAAAGAACAGACCCACACAAATCCAGAATTATATCTGGGCAGTAGCAAAATTTCTGAGCAGTTCAGATAGTAAATCAATTTTTAAACTTTCTATGAGAAATGTCTGTAATTCATTCATTTTAAATACACTGGTGCGTTTGTTCTTCCGTAATTATAATACAAAGATTGCTAAAGCAGTTATGATCCTGCCTCCATCTCTTATCCATACTCCTGCTTTTACTCCTCTGGGTTGTTAGAGAGAGACAGCCTCAGCCTCAGCCTCTCACGAGCTTCAAACACAACACCCCAGAATAAGCCACATTGACCACCAATTTATCATAAAAAAGACAAGTATATCCAAATGTACTGTACAGAACTCTGGGTTTTAAGTGGCAGAAATTCATCTCCAAGTAAGTTAAACTAATAAATACATTAATAGATAGATGCATAGAAACCTAGATGTATTCATTTGATGAGAGACGTTCTCAGTATCGCCCCTGGAAAGTCCAGAGTGATTTCAGAATAGCTAGATCCAGAGGGCCAACAATGTTTTCACCAGGGCTCTCTCCATCCATGGCTTCTTCTCTTGACTCTACTTTCCTCCATATGGTGTCATCCTCAATCCTCAGCAGATTCCTGCGTTTGACATCAAAGATACCCACTGGGAAGTTCCTGCCTTTTATCATCTTTATTGATAGCAGTTTCAAAAAGGACTCCCTTTCTTCCCTGTTTCCCCAATTATTTACCAAAATTGGATTCTGATTCATCCTACTGAGGTCTTCTGCTAACCTATGTACCAGCTGCCATACCCACAGAAATAAATATTCTGATTGGCCAACCTGAGTTATAGACCTTCTTCACCTGTGGCTAGGAAAGTATGATTTGAGAACTGACAGCCTCCTGCCAATCAACAGGGAGGGGGAGTAGGGGCAGTACTCCAAAATAGGCATGTGGTACACCAAAACAGGCATGTAGGCAGGTTTTATGACAGTAGCTGATGCCAGGCATGGTGACTCATGCCTGGAATCCCAACACTTTTGAAGGATGAGGCAAGAGGATCACTTAAGCCCAGGAGTTTGAGAGCAACCTGGGCAACATAGTGAGACCCTGTCTCAACAAAAAATAAAATAAATTTTAAAATTAGCCAAGTGTGGTGCCTGTAGTCCCAGCTGCTGGAGAGCCTGAGGCGGGAGAATCACTTGAGCCCAGGAAGGTCAAGGCTTCAGTGAGCCGTGATTGTGCCACTGCACTTCAGCCTGGGTGACAGAGTGAGACCTCATCTCAAATAAATAAATGAAAACAAAAACAACAAAAAAACTGTAGCTGATATCCATGAAACCACATTTAACTCTGTGGTGGTAGAATTGCTCATCTCTTAAAGGAGCTCACAAAATGACCTCAGAAATCAGAACCAGAGATGACTCCATGAGAACCTTCCTGTTTTTGGGAAAACCCTGAGTTCCTAAGGCCTTTAGAACTGGCATTTCCTTCAGTGGCTGAGTTTCCCATCCAAATATGTTACATGAACTCTGAATTGTCTACATCTTTTTATACTGACAACAACTCTGTGAGATAGGTACCATTAAGATTCCTATTTTATAATTGAGGAAACTGAGTCACAGAGAAAATAAATAATTTGCCCAAAGGCACATAACTAGGAGTGAGACAAGGGTTCCTAGCTCTCCTTCAGATCATAATCACACGAGAAGCATTTTTTTTTTAACGTGGATTACTGAGGTCTTTCCCTGGGACATTTCAGTTCATGAGTTCTGGAATTGGTTGGGGAATCCTACAGTTTCTAAGATGGCCAAAGTTATTCTGATGAGTAATTAGGCTCAAGAACCACCAACCTTAAGAACAAGAAGGAAGCAGAATGGCAGAGGGTCCAAGGGTTTTAGTCATAAAATAAACAATAGTAAAAGGCAAGGGGAGAAAAATAACATCTGTTATTACTGGTGGTAACCTTATGAGGAAACTCTGCTACTGGGTCATCAGGAAAGAGTATTCTGAGAAGAGGATAAGTGGTAACGTACTTGGATCTCTCCTTCACCCACTACTTTCTTTACCTGTATCAAAAATTTACTCGTAATGTAGGCAATTGAAATATATCCAACTGTTTCCTTGCCAGCAATATTGAAAAATGCACGGTTTCATCATTGGTTAACTAATACTTGTACTAGTGTAAAATGTAAAACTTAAAATAAAACCTTGGGATCATTCTAAATGCTGTTTCTCTTGATGGGGCCTTTCCCCCTCTACCCATCTCCATTAGGTTCCCTGGATATTCTCTCTCACAGCACCTTGTACCTTTCCTTCATAACATTTATCATACTTTGCAATCATTAATTTACTTGTGTGACTTATAGTCAGTCTAGTATTGATCTCCCACACTAAACTGTAACTGAGTGACCATATTTTACTGTTGTATTCTCAGCATGCTTTACTGTGCCTGACCCTTACTTAACATTGGTTCATTCTCTGTTGAGTGAATGAAAAGACTCTTTTAAGAAAACATCAATACCTAGAATAAGTGCTTAAGGAAACATCACTCTAAATGGAATTTGAACCACTCAAAAGAAAAAGGTGTGAAAGAAAGTCTAGGAGAAACTTAGAAAAGGCTTAGAGAGCAAGTAGAAAAAAAAAAAAAAACCCAAAACAAAAAAACTGATAAGTAGGCAATTATCACCTGCAACCTAAGTATAGACATAAACAAACAGAGGCTTAAGCTGTGAAAATAGCTAGAGACTCACTGGAGAGGGGCAAGTAATCAGGCTAGAGAAATAAGAGCTAATTACAGTGAAACAGAGATAATATTCATGGGAGTATTTTGTGGTTTCTTTTTCACAAAATGTTACAACTGAAAAAGACTTTTAATATTACCTAGCTAGTAATCCACAAACTGGGGTCCCAATATCCCAGGTACTCAGATCTGAGAACTATTAAGCTAAGTTCAGAACTTCTAAAAGCCCAATGAATGTTACACCTTTTTCTATAATGTGGCTGAGTGATGTAGAAAACAAAAGCCCTTTGCATTTGTTTCTAGGCATATCGATTCTGTGAGGTTATAAGAACACATTATTAATTAAACCGAGAAGGCAAATGTACTTGGTTTGGTGGGTTAATCATTTAAAAATGCTGGGCCAAAGGGGAGATGAAATGTGGTTGGATAATTTTTTTCCAGTGGCAACTCTAATCAACCCCTTGCCCAGAGCCTATGATCTTTTCAAAGACTTGTGAAAATGTTTGGGTGCTGAAAAACATAGGTTTTGGTTCCAAAAAAAGAAAAGAAAAAGGAAATTGCTAAATCAAAATGAATACGTGCCAACATAAATGCCTACAAAATGTAACTGTTAATCAATTTTATTAATGGTTAAATAGAAATAATTAATGATTTCATTATTTTTGAAAACCATATAATTATTTAGGCAGAGATTTTGATTTGCATACGGTGGGTGATGGAAAAGGAAAAGTTAGAGGAATAGTGGCCATTCTGGCAAGACTGTGGGACTACTTGGGAAGAACTGACCTCACCAGTGGCTAAGTGAAGGAAGCCACCTGGGCAATCCAGGAGCATGATGATGTTTCAAGGCAGCATAGGTGAGCATGGCCTCAGGGGCCATAGGGGCACCATGGGATGCCTTCTCCAGAGCCAAATGCAGACCTTAGGGTCATTGGTATTATTTTTCATTTATTAAAAATCTCTTTCTAAAGCATTTTGTTGAGTACCTTAAATCTGGCTTTTCAGCCAAACAACCTGGTTTCAGATCTCTCCTCGATTGATGGATATCTAAATCCCTGATGTTGAACTCTCTGTTTTCTCATGTGTAAAATGAATTACTAATACTTATTTTGAAGATGCTTATAAACTTACTACATAATGTAGGGAGAAGTAATTGATAAGCTGGACTTCATTAAAATTAAAAACTGTTCTGCATAAGACAATGTCATGAGATTGAGAAGACCAGCCACAGACTGGAAGAAAATATCTCTCAAGGACATCTAATATAAGACTGTTATCCAAAATATACAAAGAACTCCTGAAGCTCAACAATAAGAAAATGAACAACTCCATTTAAAAATAAATGGGCAAAAGACCTGAATAGACACCTCACCAAAGAAGATAAGCAGATGGCAAGTAAGCATATGAAAGATGCTCAACATTGTATGTCATTAGGGAATTGCAAATTAAAACAGTAAAATACCACTGCATACCCACTGAATGGCCAAAATCCCAAACACTGACACCACAAATGCTGGCAAAGATGTAGAACAATTGTAGCTGTCTCATTCGTTATTGGTGGGAATACAAAATGGTACAGTCACTCAGGCAGTTTGGCACTTTCTTTCAAAACTAAACATACTTTTTTTATGTGATACAGCAATCATGCTCCTTGGTATTTATCCAAATGAACTGAAAACTTGTATCTATGCAAAACATACACACAAATATTTATAGCAGCTTTATTCATAATTATCAAAACTTGCAAGCAAATAAGATGTCCTTTAGTAAGTGAATGGACAAGTTAACTGTGGTACTTCTACACAATGTAATATTACTTGGCACTAAAAAGAAATGAGGTGTCATGCCATGAAAAGACATGAAGAAAACTTAAAAATGCATATTAGTAAATGAAAGAACCCAATCTGAAAAGGCTACATACTGTATGATTCCAACAATATGACATTCTGGAAAAGGCAAGACCATGGAGACAGTAAAAACATCAGTGGTTGCCAGGGTTAGGGGAGAGGGAAGGATAAGTCAGCAGAGCATGGAGGATTTTTAGGGCACTGAAACTACTATGTAAGATACTATAATGATAGATATATGTTGTTATACATTTATTAACCCTATAGAATGTGCAATACCAAAAGTGAATCTCAATGTAAACTATGAGTCCACTTTAGTATGTTCATGTGTAACCAGTGTTCCACTGTAATGAGGGATGTTGAAAATGGGGGAGGTTGAGCTTGTGTGGGGCAGGGGGTATATGGAAATTCTCTATCTTCAGCTCAGTTTTTCTTTGAACCTAAAACTACTCTAAAAAATTTAGTTTATTAATTTAAAAAATGTAGGAGTCACTTAGCACAAGGCCTGACATAGGGTAGATATATTTTTTTCTATCATAAATATCCAAGTAATTTAAATATAACATACATCTTCTTATATATTGCTTCATTATTATTTCTATTTTTCAGTCATTTTAGGGAAGAATCATCAAAATTTCATATGAAACGTATAGTTAAAAAGTAAAGTCCAGTATGTAGATTGGAAAGGAGAAACTATCTCTTGAAAAATCCTAAATAATCCACCAAAAAAAAAATTAGAATTAACAAATGACTTCAATGAGGTGGCAGGATACAATCACTTATAAAAATGATTTGCATTTCTATATACTAGTAATGAACAATTTGAAGTGGAATTAAGAAAATAATTTCATTTATAGTAGCATTACAAAGAATAAAATACAAAATTAAGGATACATTTAACAAAACAATTGCAAAACTTACACTCAAGCTATAAAACATTATCCAAATAAATTAAATAAAACCTCAATAAATGGAAAGATATCTAATGATCAAGGATTGGAAGACTAAACATTGTTAAAATGGCAATAACTCTCCAAATTTATCTATAAATTCAACATACTTGCTGTTAAAATCCCAGCTGCCTTTTTTGCCAAAATTGATAAGCTGAGTCAAAAATTCATACAGAAATTCAAGAGACTCAGAATAACTAAAACAATCCTGAAAAACATGAACAAAGTTGGAAGAATCACACTTTCAATTTTAAAACTTACCATAAAGCCATAGTAATTAAGACAGTGTGGTTCATCAATGGATTGGAATTGAGAGCTCAGAAATCAACCCTCATATTTATGGTCAATTGATTTTCAACAGGGTTGGCAAGACAGTTTAATGGAGAAAGAATAGTATTTTTAACAAATAATACTGGCGTAAATGGATATTCATATGCAAAACAATAAATTTGACCCTTACCTCACATAGATAAAAACCTCAAAATTAATCAAAGACCTAAATGTAAGAGCCTAAACTATAAAACTCTTAGGAGAAAACATAATCATAAATCTTCATGACAATGGGTTCCTTAACTCTGACACCAAAATCACAAGCAACAAAAGAAAAATAAGGTAAATTAGATTTCAACATTAAAAAACTTTGTGTTTCAAAGGTCACTATAAAGAAAGTGAAAAGACAACCCAAAGGATGGGAAAAATATTTGCAAATTATATACTTGATAAGCCACTTGTAACTAGAATATACAAGGAACACTTACAACTCAATAATGAGAAACAACTCAATTAAAAAACAGGAAAAGGATCTGAATAGACATTTCTCCAAAGAAGACGTATGAATGTCCAATAAGCACATAAAAGGTGTTCAGCATTGTTAGTCATCAGGGAAATGCAAATCTAAACCATGATGAAATATCACTTTACACTCCTAGGAATGGCTAAAATAAAAAAGACAGGGCTGGACATGGTGGCTCACACCTGTAATCTCATCACTTTGGGAGTCCAAGGTGGGAGGATTGCTTGAGCCCAGGAGTTCAAGACCAGCCTAGGTAACAAAATGAGACCCCATCTCTACAAAAAAATATTAAAAAGCCAAGTCGGTGGCATGCACATGTGGTACCAGCTACACAGCAGGCTGAGGCAGGAGGATTGCTTGAGCTCAAGAGGTTGAGGCTGCAGTGAGCCATGTTTGTGTCACTGCACTCCAGCCTGGACAACAGAGTGAGATTTAAAAAAACAAACAAGATAACAAGTATGCCAAAAATGTGGAGAAATTGGAATTTTATATATTACTTGGAGAATTGTAAGATGGTTCAGCCACTTTGGAAAAGTCTGATGGTTCTTCCAAAGGTTAAACATAGAGTTATTATATGAACCAGCTATTCCATTCTTAGGTCTATTCCCAAGAGAGTTGAAAATATATGCCCACAGAAAAATTTGTACATGAATGTTTATGTGTTTATATCATATATTATTTATAATATCCATAAAGTTCAAACAATTCAAATATTCTCAGTTGATAAATATATCTGTATTAGTCTGTTCTCACACTGCTATGAAGAAACACCCAAGACTGGGTAATTTATAAAGGAAAGAGGTTTAATTGACTCACAGTTCCACATTACTAGGGAGGCCTCAAGAAACTTACAATCATGGTGGGAGGTAAAGGAGAAGCAAGCACATTCTTCACAGCACAGCAGGACAGAGTGAGTGCAAGCAGGGGGAATGCCAGGCACTTACAAAACTTCTGATCTCGTAAGACTCACTATCATGAGAACAGCATGGGGAAATATGCCCCCATGATTCAATTACCTCCATCTGGTTCCATCCTTGACACGTGGGGATTATGGGGATTACAGTTCAAGATGAGATTTTGGGTGGGGACACAGCCAAATCACATCAGTACCCACGTATCCAAATGTGGTATTCTGCATAAAATGTGGAATGTGGTATTCTATACAGTGGGAATGATATTCAGCCATAAAAAAGTACTGATAGATGCTACAACATTGATGAACCTTAAGAACATCATGCTTAGTGAAAGAAGCCAGACATAAAAGGTCACATGTATAATTTCATATATATTAATGCCCAGAATAGGCAAACCCATAGAGACAGAAAGTAGATTAGTGGTTGCCACAGGCTGAGGGTTGACTGCTAATATCTATAGAGTTCCTTTTGGGGACAATTGATAAGTGTTTTGAAATAAAATAGTGGTGATGGTTGTACAACTCTGTGCATAATTCCCCAAACCACTGAATTTGTATACTTTTAGTGGATGAATTGTATGGTGTGCAAATTATACCTCAGTATAGCTGTTAGTTTTGAAAAAGTAGACTCTGAAAAAACTTGATTAAATATAAGGAAAAACATCTTAGCTGGGTGTAATTAAACACTAAAATGTATTGAGGAAGTTCATAGAATCCTCAGAGGAATTTAAAAATAGGACAGACAACCATCTCGTCTATATAAAGTACAGTTCTGTTTTGGGATAGAAGACTATATACTTAGATGTTACTTCAACTCTTTTTCACTTATAAAGATTCCGTCGTTATAATTGGGTCATAATCCTCAAACATAAAACATCACCTAGTGCATAACATATAACATTATAACACAAAAATTCACTCATTTTCAAACTTCAGTCCACTAAGCAAGTTTGCATTATGTCAGTTTGTCTCTTTATATCCTCTGCTGTATTTACATCAGCTTTATCTAGGTCCAAGAGCAGTATTACTTAGATTAACAACATTAACAAATAAAGTAAGTGTTTGCATTATGTTCACCCCTAACATTTAAATTTTCATGCAGAGCTGTGTATAATCTAATTAAGACTTGTTTTTCTATTTGCAAAATGCTAAAATTTTTACAAATTCACCATTTGATATAGCTCATTAGCTATATTAAACTAAATTTGAATTTAAGTACCTCAAGTTGGTTTATGTGACCAGCAACGGTTATGTCTTAGTCCATTTGGACTTCTACAACAAAATACCGTAAACTGGGGAGCTTGTAAACAACAGAAATTTATGTCTCATCATTCTAGAAACTGGGAAGTCTAAGATCAAGGTGCCAATAGATTCAGTGTCTGGGTGAGGAGCTGTTTTCTAGCTCAGAGATGGCACCTTCTTGCTGTGTCTTTACATGGTTTAAGGAGCAAGTGAGCTCTCTGGGGTCTGTTTAAAAGGGCACTAATCCCATTCCCAAGGGCACCACCCTCCTGACCTAATTACCTCCCAAGGCCTTGGGGTTAGGATTTCAACATATGACTATTAGGGGGACACAAACATTCAGACCATGTCAGGTTGCTAAATAGGTTTTAACAATTATTAAATGAGGCATATTAATAGTTTTTTATTTTTCCTTTTAAAGTAGAAAAACACATACTGAGAAATAAAAACAAATATAACATTTGAGTTAAGTGGGATACCAGCTGAGTAAAGAAAATGACTAGAAGATATTTGACTAAAATGAATTATTTAAACTACTTTTGTTACTGAAAAGACCAAGTCTGGGAAGATGATAGGTTATGTGATAGTACTGATTGGTGTCATCAATTGATTTTTTTTTTTTTTTTTCTGAGATGGAGTCTAGCTCTGTCACCCAGGCTGGAGTGCAGTGGCGTGATCTCCGCTTACTGCAAGTTCCGCCTCCCGGGTTCATGCCATTCTCCTGCCTCAGCCTCCCGAGTAGCTGGGACTACAGGTGCCCACCACCACGCCCGGCTAATTTTTTGTATTTTTAGTAGAGGCGGGGTTTCACTACATTAGCCAGGATAGTCTCGATCTCTTGACCTCATGATCCACCGGCCTCGGCCTCTCAAAGTGCTGGGATTACAGGCGTGAGCCATCGGGCCCGGCTAATTGATTTTTAAAAAGATATAGGCAGCAAATTGCCAGAAAGAAGATAAGTCATATTCTTAGGGATGTATGGACTACTTATGGGAAATGCGTTGCCATTTTGAAAATTAATCATTTATATGTGATGTACTCTAAGCATTTTTATTTTTATTTTTTTTGCTTCTTGACTGCATGACTAACAAAATATAGGTGGTTTTATTTCAAGACTTAGAGTTTTGTGTCAGGAAGTTTATTAAAGTTTTCCAAGAAAACAGAATCAATAGATTATATATATATAATATATATGTATCCTACACACACACACACACACACACACACACACACACACACGTTGAATATCCCTAATCTAAAATCCTGAAATCCAAAATTATTCAAAGTCAAAAACTTCTTAAATACTGACATGACACCACAAGTGGAAAATTCCACACATAAGTACTTAACATAAATTTTGCCTTATGCACAAAGTTATTTAAAATATTGTATAAAATTACCCTCAAGGTGTGTTTATAAGGTGTATATAAAACATAAATAAAGTCTGTGTTTAGACTGCGGTCCCATCCCTAAGATATTTAATTATGTATATGCAGATATTCCACAATCCAAAAAAATTTAAAATCTGAAACACTTCTGTTATACACACACACATACACATCCTGGGTTTCCAGCTTGCAGATGGTAGATCATGGGGCTTCTCAGCCTTCATAATAACATGAGCCAATACCATATATATATACATGTAGGTATATATAAGTATAAATATAAATATAGTTATATGTTTTATTAATATAATATATACATTATTAATATATTTATACGCATATGTAAATATATAAAAATATATATCTATATGTATATTTTTAGAAAGAAATTTATTTTAAGGTATCAGCTCACAACAGTTATGGAGTGAGAAGACCCATGATCTGCCATCTGTAAGCTGGAGACCCAGGAAAGCTGATGGTATAATTTGAAGGTCTGAGAGCTGGAAAGCCAATGGTGTAGATTCCAGTCCAAGTCTGAAGACCTCAGAGCCACGAGTCAAGGGCAGAAGAGCAATGCCTAAGAGCAAAGTCAACCTTTCTCACCTTTTTGTGCTATTCAGGCCCTCACTGAATTAGGTGATGCCCACTCACCTTGGGGAGGGTGATGTGTCGTCTGCCAATACAAGTGCTAATCTGTTGCAGAACCATTCTGACAGATGCTTTCAGAAATAATGTTTAACCAGCTATGTGGGCATCCCATGGCCTGGTCAAGTTGACACATAAACTTAATCATCACAGACAGCAATTCAGTTTACTTCAGTGGGTGATCTTGAACTGTTTTAAGTTTGTGTGGCACTCTTGAATTCTTATGTGTGTAAGGGGCTTTGTGTCATTTTCTTGCTACTCAAAATACTTTCCTGGAAGCAAGGAAGTGCTCCCCCATGCCTGTCCCTCCTGAGCAGTGTAGTTCTGCCCTGACTGGCCTAGACTCTAAAGCTTCAAGACTCAACTCTCATTTCTACCACAGAAGGATAAAATATAATTCAATTTTCTTATAATTTCTAAATCTTTCACATTTTTGCATTTCCAAAACCCTGTAAGGTCAATGTATGCACTAATTATCTGAAAAGTGGTGATTAAATTGCTGGTGTTTCTTATAATTTATGGTGTCTTAGAAAGCAGGACATAGGGTGGTTTCTGATGATAATGGAAGATCCAGCAGATAATAGTCCCATGTGCTGTTTCTCCTGGGTTCATTCACATCAAAGAAGTTACCTACAAATAAGGTTTGTTCTCTCATGGTCATCAGCCCCGCAGCATCAGGGAGCCCTGTTCTTTGTAGACCTCTCTATGACTTCAGCAACTCATTTCTTCTCACAAGAGATGGTGGAGAAGCCACACTGATAGACTTTAAAGCCATTCTATCCAGGACGATCAGTGGAAGTCAAAACTGAACTTGAATCAAAATCACTGGAGGGTTAAAGCACAGATTGCTGGTTCCTATCTCCAGAGTTTCTGAAAATGTAGGTTTGGGGCTCAGCCTGAGAAGTTGCATTTCTAGCAAGTTCCCAGGTGATACTGATGCTTCTGGTCCAAAACCACACTTTCAGAACCACTAGCCTTAGGTCACAATGCCCTAGCTCAACAATGTCCTAGGTCAGCAATGCTCTAGCTGTCCACAGATGAAGAAATTGGCATGTGATCTGAATTTGGCCTCTGAAGCATGAGGGGATGTCTGCTGGGAGACATGTCATACCTCATTTGAGAATGAACAGTGTTCCCTCCCAGTTCCCCACTCTTTTCCCTCTAGGTAGTGTGTTTCTATATGTGCAACCTAGAAACAACTGAGGCCTTGCTGGACCATCCTATAATCTTTGTAAAGTAAGCCCTACCATTACTCCAGCCTGAGATTGCCAGAGCAGGGAACTGGAAGTAATTTGGTTACATGATGACAGGTGGCCCAGAGAGTAACTAGCCTGGGGCCTGCACTTTCAGAGAAAGTAAATATCTTCATTGTTTTAGCCAGTTTGAGTTAGATACTTCTGGTTTTTATAAAGTACCCTGATTAATACAGAAATGTCAGGGAATCCGAAAACTATAAAAGGAACAGAAAGAGGTAAATAGAAAAAAAAAATCATCACATGCAAACGAGGAAATACTAGACAGTGTCAAACAGGAGGAAATATTTAGACCCCTAAGTGGTAAGAAAACAACCAGGCTAAAGAAGTAGCAAATTGGCAAAACAAACCTTTTTTCAAGTGGCAGGAATAATCCAAAAAAAAAAAAAGACTGGGCTAAAAACACTCTGGTGAGGAACTCTACATTGAATCTTTACACTTTTATAGTAGGATTTATTTTAATGTGTTGAAACCCTGAGACAAAAGCTCTGTCTTTCTCCATCTGCCTTCCCAGACCACCCTGGTAATAAATGACTCAACTCTGCTTATACCTAAATAAAGGAAATTGGACTTTCCCATTTCTGTGCTCATCCGAGAGCTTCCCCTCCTGCTAATGGATAAGACATAGAGGCCTAACTTCTCTCCACGGTGCCAAGGACTCAGGGTCTGACTGCCTTGAACCATCCCTGATTATGAAGAGAAACATCAG
The DNA here is from genome assembly GCF_000001405.40 of Homo sapiens. Classification (NCBI taxonomy): domain Eukaryota; kingdom Metazoa; phylum Chordata; class Mammalia; order Primates; family Hominidae; genus Homo; species Homo sapiens. The sequence continues at coordinate 27,109,822 of NC_000018.10, read as the reverse complement.
ACTGTCAAACTCACCTAGGTAACTGGGGCACAGCCTTGAGGTTAAAAAAAAAAAGTTGTCGGAACCAATTTTATAATTCACCAGGAGCCCCTGTCAGACAAATGAAGCAGCAGTGATGAACGGATTCAGATAGATCGTGATGGGAGTCAAGCAGCTGGCGTCAGCACCAATTAGATCTGGCACTAGAGCAGTCAGTGCGCGCATGGCCCTGCTCTCCCTTGAAATAAACAAGCTGTCGCAGCTACATTGGGACTGAACAATGACATAAACACAGATCTCAGTTGGATCAGTCAAACGCTTTGCGTAGTCTTCAACTGTGGCTGCATGCCCTTTCCTCTCTACGCTCAAGACAGCAGCTATATCACTTAGTATTTTGCCGCATAAATCCAAAGCGAAAATGAGCGACTTCTCAGCACAATTTAAAATAACCCAAGCTTTTTCATACCATAGAAAAATACCACTTTTCAGGGTAAAATAGAGACAATAAATCCCAAGAACCAACAGCTTGTGTCCTATGGGTTTGCAGGGAGAAAAAAAAAAGGTGCTGGTGTCTTAATTAAGAACTTAACTTATGCGCCAGCTCCCAGGTGGCTGGAGGCCATCCCAGGTGTGGGCATGAATTCTTGATATTGCAGTATCATCTGCTTTCCTGTGCTTTGCTTATTTTCTACATAAGTCTTGCTGTGTAGTGGGATTTGTTAGAAACACAACAGGCATCTAATTTTGGTTACAACTCAAGACTTCTGACCTCCTCAGCATACAATTATCCCTTACTGCCTTGAGAGTTGTCACGTGATATTTTGGTGTGTCCATCAATGTGTGACAGTGCAGTTCTGCGTAGTAAGGACTGTAGTATAGAGAAGTAGAATAACAGTTATTATAAACTTTGAAGCAAATTTTAAAAGATATTTTAGTTTAAAATTTCTAGGAAAAATAAAGTTTCAGTTCACTCCACCCTCTGTCCTGTTAAGGACCAGAATTAAAAAACAAAAAACAAAGAATAATTTTTGTGTCCCAATATGAAAGACTAAGTGTATCTTTATATTATGTTATGTTTGCAGTTTAATTAATCATAATGACTTCTGATTGGTAGGATAAGAAGTGATCATTTTTCTTACATCTCCATGATTCCTTCCTTCCCTTTCAACTTGTCCACAAATATTGAGATGTTTCTTTGTAAAAAGTGAAATAGGATGGTCTTGAAGAGAAAAGAATTCTTTGGGACAGAAAATTTCATATTTCTAATTGGATGCATTTTTTTCTTTTCATTCTTCCTGCCCCTAATCTATCTTTCAGTATGTGTAAATGTGCAATCTAAATCCCGTCTTTTAAAGAAATTACCTGTTTTTATCAGGTAAAGCTCTATCAAAGTGAAAAATAATTTAATATGTTAGTGACATACCATTTAAATACTTGCCCACACTAGAAAAATCTCATTTGCTTATTGCTATACAATAATGTACGTGTTGACATCATTTTATATAAAAAGTCCTAAAGAATACTGGCTTGACTGATGATTTTTTAAAAAGTCAAACCAGGGAATTTTGAGACACAACACAACACCTCAGCAGAGACATGTATTTGGAAATAGATCCAGCCACAGCTGTGAGGGGAGAGCTACACAGGCAGGTGAACCATGATTACAAGAGTCATGCAGGCCTAATAAGGAATAATTAGTGGGTGTCCCAGCAAACAAGTAGAATAGGTCAACAGAGAACTCTGGGAACAGGCAATAGTTAGGTGTCTAGGTGGGTAGATTGTTGACATTAGGAAGTTTCAAAGAGAACTGCTTAGGATAAATGGAAGACTCATTTCTGAGAAACTGGACAAGTAGACTGGGAACCAAGAGAAACAAGCCCTGAGTAATAACGTGGACGTGAGATTGAGTGTAACTAGAACACAAAGCAGAAATGCACATGATGGGGAATCTGCAAGATCCGCTTCATTGTTGTCCACAGTTGCCCTTCACCAAGACTCTTATCCTCCAAACACAACACATTTAGAAGGAAACACATTCCATTAGATTAAAGTTCTGGAGATAGGTATTTATCAAGTCCTCATAAGTTTTCCCTGAAATGACTCAGAAAAGTTGTGGCTATCTCTGTGGAATGTCCTGTAGGATGATGTGGTAGCCATCTTTCCTCTTCATCAGTGCCATGAGAAGTGTCGGCTAAAGACCATGTGCACTCCAGAGCTGTTAACAGATGCTTGGATAGGAAGCACACTAGGAAGACAAAAGTTTTCAGGGCTTTTATTCTAGCTGCAGTGTATTACCTAAGCCTGCATGTCAGCAATAGTATTTCAGCATCTGTATAATTCCAGAGAGCATTTAACTGACAGAATTGACCCATAAACAATGAGAGCTTAGAAAATTCTCAATACAAGTCTTTGCTGTTTTTATGTAAAAAGCAGGGAACAAGATGATACCCAAGCAGTCACACTATACAATGAACTGAACAGGCGACCAAAGCCAGGGAACCCTCATCAGCTCTGTTCTTTCCTAGTCCACTTTTGATACTGCTGAGAAAGTTATTTTCCTAAAATAAGTCCCCATGATACCACTGGCGGAAACTTCAGTAACTCTTCATTGCTTATAAAATAGTCATAGAATTCTAAGTCTATAGGTGAGTATTTAATAACAATTTGACGTATAGTCACTATTTACCTTTCAAGACCACTTCACTATTCTTCCACATAATCATATACTCCATTCCCCCAGGGCCCTCACCTTCTCTGGCCATTTTTCACACTTCACCTTTTTTCTTCCCAATGGCCTTTCCCATCTGTGGAAACCCACTCCATCCTTTGATGCCACATTTAAGCTATGTCGGTCACAGATTGTCCAGCATTGTCTTCCAGTGCCCACCCACCCACATGTACACATATATAACCTAGTGAGATATTTAAGTGGAACCAAAGTGCTAGGATTATTTTCCTTTTTATTGATGAAAAAGATCTAGGTAAATAAAAAGGTTATTTTATGGAAATAGGGTAGTAAGCAGGTAGATTAACTTGCCAACTGCGATAGACTGGTAAATTGTTCATTGTGAAATTTATCAAAATTAAGAAAGAAAATTATATGATTTCTGCTTTTTGACAGGCATTGCAAAGTAAAAGGATGTGTTATACAAATAAGCAATGCTTTAATTTAGGCTTTACTCCTAAATTTTTTACCATTAGCCAGAAAACAAACTATAAATACTAAATAAATTCTTATTTCAACATAGTTGGGAATAAATTATCATGCATTCAAAATAATCTAGAAGGGGGAAAGCTTTAGTACACAAGTTATAAATGTGTTTTCCAAAGGTCATGTGCAAAGTCTGAGAGAATAAGAAGCTGTTGCTAAGACAACAATTACAACAAAATAGGAACAAATTGGTTGGGCTAGTAGGCGAATTTATCCAACTCCAATAATGGCATTAACAAAATTAGAGAGCTACTTTTCAAATGGAGCTAATCATTAAGACGGGAAACTAAGAAGAATGATCCTTAGTCAATAATGTTGTTCAAAGTTGAGGCTCAACTAATTTTACTCTTAGAATTAGTCCCACACAGCATGGGACTGTCTTTATTTCCTCAGAGGCAAATAAAAGCAGTTGAAAAAATCTATAATTCAATTAATGGTCTGGATGATGATGGCAACCATTACTAAGAATAATGTCTGACTGAGTTTCCTGGCTGTTTATATATTGATAAATCCTTAAGGTTATAAATTGCTAAATCTTTAAGAAATTTAAGTTTCTAACTATATAAGTTACATTCTTCCTCTACACATTTAAATTTTTTAGTTTCGTGAGTAAAATAGCCTGCCTTTCCAGAAGTAGAAAGTTTACACAGTGAGTCGGAATCCTAAAAATTTGCGAAATGTATTTGATAACTTGTATTAATTGATACATGTTTTTCCAACTTCCTACATTTGAAGGATACTTCATCCTTATTACCTTAAAATCTCATTCTAACTTTATCGTCCATTTAGACTATCACCTTAAATTTTAAAAAAACAGATTATTGCCTGTGTGAGGGGTTGAGTGCCAAAGCACATTTCTGGTCCAAATAAACTTTTAAAAGTTTTCATAACTGCATGTGTAATCACAATCACACATGCATCAGATTTTGCATAACATAATAGTAAAAGCAATAGCCAAAGAAATTAAAAGAGAACTTCCATATTCAATTGGGTCCCTTGCAGGACTTGAAAGAGGTGTAATTCATTGCACATAGGGATATTTCTCAAAAGTTTCTTTCCTTTTCTTCTTAACTTCTCTTCTCTTCTCCTCTACTTTGGGGCTGCTTCAGAATTTCTCATACACCAAACCTACAAAACTTTCTCTCAGTAAACATGCATAACTTTTCTGCAGATCATCCTCCTTTCTCTCTGTTCTTTATTATGAGACTCTCCAGGTTCTAAATCACAATGAGTCCTCAGATTGGTCTGACAAAGACAGAAGTCTTCTTAGGGAGAAGTCAAGGAGAAGAAATTGATCAAAGAGAGATTTTCTTTATTGCTTTCTTTTCTTTAAGGCAAGTAGAGTGGCTTTAAGACAGGAAGAGGAAAAAGATTTGAACAAATTCAAAATTAGTAAATTCTGTCTTTATTATGCAAACTTTGATGAGTAAAGAAAAGTGAAAGGCCATGTATCTTTTTTTATAGTAATAAATTATTTTTTAAAAAATTTATCTATTTTACTAATGCCTCACATGCTGTCTTCTTTTCAAATGTCACTAACAAAGAAAGAAAAAGAAGAAAGGACAAAGGAAGGGGAAAAGAGAAGAGGAGAAAACCTGAAAAAATAGATGCTAATAAAACTTCATTTCCATAAATTACTGGAAGGCGAACAGTTCCTATGCTTAAAGTGACTAGTATTTGCATCTTTTATTCATTTAACAACTATGTCTTTAGTGCCGTCTATGAGCCAGGCACTAAAGAGGCATCCTGCTTCCTCAGATCCAAATGCTAAACAAATTTCATTTTTTTTCAAGTATTCAAAACGAAAGCATGAAAAAGAAGAAAAGATGCCATATTCTAAATAATCTGTGGGCTATAATTGTTTGTCCTAATATGATTACACTGCACCCTGGCTTCATCTTAGTCTATGAAATTTGATTTGAAAGTTTATGGAAAGTGCATATCTCAACAGCACCATCAATCATTTTTCGAAGTTGAAATAAACAGTCAAAATCAACAGCTTAGCCAAAGGTGCTGCTTATGGTGTAGAGATGCACCATCAGAATTACTAACCAGAATAGTTTTGGGACTATCTTATTGGCATGTTGCAAGAATCACTCTTATATGCTGACTTGTCTCCCAGCAGCATCTCTTGCCTGAGCAAAATCTGACTTTCATAATAGTCTAAGGAAAGGGTCTTCATTAAGGGTGATTTATCACCAGTCACAGAAAACAAAAGTAACAACTTCTGAAAAAAATTTCTACCCATGCAAAGCAGGCAAAGAACCTTTACCAATGAAGTTAGCACAGCACAGAAAATTTTGCATCTGCCAATCAGTCAGACACACAACTCCTTGTTCAGACACTGTGAAAAATCACAACAATGCCCTGACTATGTATTTGAATATATTCAGTCCATCTGTTGCAATTTATAAGATAAGCTTGGAAGGATGTAGAATTTACTTAAATGACATATGAAGACTTTTCCTTGGGCACCCAGTGCAGTGCCTAGTTCTTAGTAGGTGCTCGATGTGTGGTGGTTTTGGTGGCAGGAATAGTGGTAAGATAGCAGGTAATGGCTTTTTTAAAAGTATGATAGAAGATTTTAAATATCATATTATATATTTAATGCACATTTAACATAGTATGCATTTAGAGTTTATTAAAATAAGTTGAATTCTCACCCCCTTGCATCAGGTAGTATTGATTAGTAAATTACCTGTAAATCCTAGAAATCTCATAATATTCAGGGACTTCAGGGTAATGAACCTCTTGCTTCTCTGTACTCTTTACTATAGTATTTATAAACAGCTATGTGAGAGCAAGAAAAGCATTAATTCCAATTGTGTGGTTGGTTATTACAATTAATTACTTGCCTTGGACTCTGCTAATGACCAGCAGTTGATGATTTAAAGAGATCTATGCCACAAAAGGCCACTTGGCTTAACTCGCCAAAGGCATCTATATACTCCCATGGAAGGAATCCAGTCTCTTTCAATAATCCTTATTGATTGTAAATGATATCAGAGGATAACCTGGTTTTGGTAAACTCCCCTTAAAAGCCCCTCATTTGATCGCATACTCTTGCGGTCACCATCTTAGCACCATGCTGGTTATTTGCAACCTGGATTGCCAGATACCATTGTTTTTTCTTAGAGTAGATTTTCATTCACCTTGATTGAGTCTTAGGAGTTTGTGGAGGGGGACCTTGACTGAGCCATTAACCTTGTGCTTCCACACCTTGAGGCCAGGGATGAGGCTAAACCAGAGGCACTGCCTGTCCACTGAGGCAGAAGTTAGCAGAGACTGACCAGGTACAGTACTTCCTCATTAACAAGGGGAGTCAGGACTGGGGGCAGCAGCAAGGAAAGTACACAGCATGGAATCATCCTGAGACAATGTAGGTGTTGATTCTGATTCTACTATCTTGTTATGTCATCTTGAATCAACCACCTACCCGTTCTATGCCTCAGTTTACTCATTTTAACAATAAAAGGAAAAGGTTAGAGAAGGTGTCTCTAAGGTCTGTTGAAGCCAAGGAATTCCAAAATTCTATTTGTCATTTAAGTGGCCATTTTTCCCTGCTTTTTTCCACTGTCTACAAACACACTTAGTTGAAGACTTGGGCAACAACAAGAATACATTTGGCTACTATCACATTTTCAAGACTAATGAGTCTCTTTGTCAATGACAAACAAATGGCCCATTATGCAAGCTGATAATTGCAATATATTACCTTCTTACATTAAGTTAGTCACAAACAGTACTTTAAAATTCAATACAGAAAAAAAAAAGTGTTGAATCCCAGCTTTGGCTAAAGTAGACACAATCCCTGCCCTCAATGTAGCTTTGAGTCCTGTTGGAGAGACAGATATTAGACAGATAATCACAGGAATGAATACTGTAGTTGAGAACCTGCCTGTGAGGGAGAAGTTCAGGGTGATACCCAAGTATGTCCCAAAGGAACCCAATCTCATCCAAAGATTAATGTGTGAATAAACTTATCTGTGCAAAGCTTAATATCAAATTTTGAGGTGATAATATCGTTATCTAAGAAGTTGTTACACATTGTTAACTGAATAAGATTCTATATTTCCCCAATGAAGAATGCTACATGTGCATAGAAAAATTTATCATTTAGGATGGGGTAAATATGGCAGTATAATTTTAGACCCTTTTTATAGTCGAGGATGGTCCATCTTCAATAGTTTGCGCCACTAGACCAAAGTAGAATGAATCCCCAAATAGGGAAAATCACAGCCCTTGTTTCTCAAGCCTTAATCATCACAACACCTTCATAAATTTTGCCATGGCCATCAATCTGTTCTATAAATTACTAATACTTTTCCTCAAATTGACTTAAAAATGCTTACTTACATTTACCCTAAACAAGGATATCCATAAATTAGTACAAAAGTTTTAACATACTAATTATATTGTTTTATTAACTTTTAAAATGAATGCATATCTCTTCAAATAAAACTTGATCATCAGTATAGTTAACATCATTTTGGGTACCAAACTTTGGAAAACACTGACCTCAACTCATGGCCCCATGTGTACACCCAAACACAAAACATAACCCTGGGAAAATTCTTCAGTTAGTGGGAATGATGCAGAAGCCCAGTTGCAACTCACTATCTGTGCCTTTCAGCAAAGTTTTTATAAATTTTCCTCATGAAGCCACCTGTGATTTCCTGTGGTTTTTAATTTACTTAATAGGTGATTATGAAGGAACAATTGTGTAGTCTTATTTCTGAATGCAATGACACCTGATCACTTAACATACAGAAATTTGGAGCGATTTTGATTTGACATGATGACTAAGAGCATTTTGTGCCGCCAGTCTAAGAATATTCACACCTAATATAGTTTTGCAATAACGTGTTAGGATATACAGTTTCTCAGAAAGGTAAGTTAAAGTATTTGCAGTGATAGTGAGAACCCTTGGTAATTCTGAGAGCAGAGATGTCATTTATAGTAGTTAATAGCCGTGAGATTTTTTTTAATTTTTTTATTTTTTATTTTTATTTTTATTTTTTTTGAGACAGAGTCTCGCTCTTTCACCCAGGCCGGACTGCAGTGGCGCAATCTCGGCTCGCTGCAAGCTCCGCCTCCCGGGTTCACTCCATTCTCCGGCCTCAGCCCCCGCCCACCCTCACCCCCGCCAGTAGCTGGGACTACAGGCGCCCGCCACCGCACCCGGCTAATTTTTTTTGTATTTTTAGTAGAGAGGGGGTTTCACCGTGTTAGCCAGTATGGTCTTGATCTCCTGACCTCGTGATCCACCCGCCTCGGCCTCCCAAAGTGCTGGGATTACAGGCGTGAGTCACCGAGCCCGGCCTGAGATGTTAACTACTATGTAAAAAGAAAGTGTTTAAAGTCAAAAAAATTATATATATTTTTTACCTCTGTGCATATGTTAGCTTCACTCTATGGTATTCAAAAATAATAATGCATGTTAAATAAAATAATTACTTGACAACAAAGAAAATCAATTATATTTTGGCTGTTCTTGGATTTAGATTCCTGTGTTAATAAATTGACAGATTAGGGTGTGCAGAACAAGAGTTTATCTGTGGCTGGAGACTCAAAGCTTCCTATAGTTCTCTTGACAAGCATACAAACTATTCCTTAAAAAGGAGCATTAAAGCAAGCAGTGTACTTCACAGACAGCAAGATGTAACTGACTTGGCTGATAACATTTGGCTGCAACAATCTCCTCTGTCCCAACCAATAGGAAATGCCAAAATCAATTAGGATGAACTGTGGACTATACCATCATGTCTGAATTACATGCTGTAAGTTCTTCCTGTTCATTTTTTATCTGAAATTATTTAAAAATCTAAAATTGTGACAAACATATTTGAGGCCACTACATTGATTTTCTTATCATATTATGATTTATTTGTTGCCCATATAATATACACACTAGGAATTCTAGTCATGACTGAGCTCTGTTCAACTTTATTTTTACATTTTTGTACATTAACTTATTTTTTATTTACACATGCATCATATTTTACCGCAAACAAAGCAAAGTCAAATTGAATACCATTTTACACATAAAACCACAGGGGAATTTTTGCACTGTCCTCTAGCAGTCAGTCAAGAATCAGTGCCCCCCTTTCCCTAACTATTCCATACCCACTCTTATTCTTCCTTCCATAGGTGTGTGTTTTTAACTTGCTTGACTCCCTTCTTTACTGCTAGCACTTATTTATCTTTTATTTTTCAATTTTTGTTTTAGATTCAGGCAGTACATGTGCAGGTTCTTTTCCTGAGTATATTGCATGATGCTGTGGTTTGAGGTATAAATGATCCCATCACCCAGATACTGAGCATAGTACCCAACAGTTGGTTTTTCAACCATTGGCTCCATCCTCCCTCCTCACTCTAGAAGTCCCCAGTCACAATTGTTGTCCTATTTATGTCCATAAGTAGTCATTGTTTAGCTCCTGCTTATAAGTAAGGACATATAGTATTGAGTTTTATGTTCCTACATTAATTCGCTTAGAATAATTGTTTCCAGCTGCACTCGTGTTACTGTAAAGAACATGATTTCATTCTGTTTTATGCCTTTGTAGTACTCCATATGTGTATATATATGTGTGTGTGTATATATATATATATCATTATATATATATCATTTTATTTATCCAAAATACCATTGATGGACACCTAGGTTGATTCCATGTCTTTGCTATTGTGAATAGTGCAATGAGCATACACATGCATGTATCTTTTTAGTAGGATTTGTTTTCTTTTGGGTATATAGCCAGTAATGGAATTGCTGGGTGAAATGTTAGTTCTGTTTTAAGTCCTTTGAGAAATTAAAGGAATTAGCTTTCCACAGTGGCTGAACTAATTTACCTTCCCACCGACAGTGTATAAGCATTCCCTTTTCTCTGCAGCCTTGCCAATATCTGTTGTTGTTGTTGTTGTTTTTAATTTGTAAACCAATACCTATTCTGACTGGTGTGAGATAATATCTCATAATGGTTTTGATTTGCATTTCTCTTGTGATTGATGATGTGGAACATTTTCTCACATGTTTCTTGGCCACTTGTATGTACTCTTTTGAGAAGTGTCTGTTCATGTCTTTTGACCATTTCTCAGTGGGATTATTTGTTTTTTGTTTGTTTTGTTCTGTTTTTTTGCTTGTTCAAGTGTTTTAAGTTCCTTATCAATTCTGTATATTAGACCTTTGTTGGATGCATAGTTTGCAAACACTTGTCTCCTGTTCTGTAGATTGTCTATTTACTCTGTTGATAGTTCTTTTACTGTGCAGAAGCTCTTTAGTTTAATTAGGTCCCACTTGTCAATTTTTGTTGTTGTTGCAACTACTTTTGAGGACTTACTTTTAAGTTATTTCCCATGGCTGATGTCCAGAATGATGTTTCCTCAGTTTTCTTCTAGGATTCTTGTAGTTCGAGGTCTTACATTTAAATTTTAATCCATCTTGAGTTAATTTTTGTATATGGTGACAGGTAGGAATCCAGTTTCATTCTTCTATATATGGCTCACCAGCCATCCCAACACCATTTATTGAATAGAGAGTTCTTTCTATTGCTTATTTTTGTCGACTTTGTCAAAGATCAGATGGCTGTAGGCATGCAACCTTATTTCTTGATTCTCTATTCTGTTTTATGTGTCTGTTTTTGTACCAGTACCATCTTGTTTGGGTTACTATAACCTTATAGTATAGTTCAAAGTTGAGTAATGTGATGCCTCCAGCTTTTTCCTTTTTGCTTAGGATTGCTTTCACTATTCAGGCTCCTTTTTCATTGAAGTGAGTTTTAGGATAGGTTTGTTTTTTTTTTTTCCAGTTCTGTGAAAAATGCCATTGGTAGTTTGATAGGAATAGTGTTGAATCTGCAGTTTGCTTTGGGAAGTACAGCCACTTTGTACTCCCACTTATGGGTGAGAACAGGCAGTGTTTGGTTTTCTGTTCCTGTGTTAGTTTGCTGAGAATGATGGCTTCTAGCTTCATCCATGTTCCTGCAAAGGAAATGAACTCATTCTTTTTTATGGCTGCATAGTATTCCATGGTGTATATGTGCCACATTTTCTTTATCCAGCCTATCATTGATGGGCATTTGGGTTAGTTACAAGTCTTTGCTATTGTAAATAGTGCCGGAGTAAACATACATGTGCATGTGTCTTTATAATAGAATGAGTTATAATCCTTTGGTTATATAACCAGTAATGGGATTGCTGGGTCAAATGGAATTTCTGGTTCTAGATCCTTGAGGAATCACCACGCCATCTTCCACTATGATTGAATTAATTTACACCAACAGTGTAAAAGCATTCCTATTTCTCTTCAGCCTCACCAGCATCTGTTGTTTCCTGACTTTCTAATCATTGTCATTCTAAGTGACGTGAGATGGTATCTCATTGTGGTTTTGATTTGCATTTCTCTAATGACCAGTCATGTTGAGCTTTTTTTTTTAATGTTTTTTCGCCACATAAATGTCTTCTTTTGAGAAGTGTCTGTTCATATCCTTCACCCACTTTTTGATGGGTTTGCTTTTTCCTTGTAAATTTGTTTAAGTTCCATGTAGATTCTGGATATTAGATGTTTGTCAGATGGGTAGATTGCAAAAATTTTCTCCCATTCTGTAGGTTGCCTGAATGCTACCTGACTTCAAACTATACTACAAGGCTACAGTAACCAAAACAGCATGATACTGGTACCAAAAGAGATATATAGACCAGTGGAACAGAACAAAGACCTCAGAAATAATACCACACATCTACAGTCATCTGATTTTTGACAAACCTGACAAAAACAAGAAATGGGGAAAGGATTCCCTATTTAATAAATGGTGCTGGGAAAACTGGCTAGCCATATGCAGAAAACAGAAACTGGACCCCTTCCTTACATCTTATACAAAAATTAACTCAAGATGGATTAAAGACTTAAATGTAAAACCCCAAACCATAAAAACCCTAGAAGAAAACCTAAGCAATACCATTCAGGACATAGGCATGGGCAAAGACTTCATGACTAAAACACCAAAAGCCATTGCAACAAAAGCCAAAACTGACAAATGTGATCTAATCAAACTAAAGAACTTTTATATTGATTTTATACCCTGAAACCATAGTAAAGTCATTTATCAGTTCCAGGAGCCTTTTGGTGGAGTCTTTAGTGTTTTTTAAGTATAGAATCATGTTGTCTACAAAGAGAGATAGTTGGATTTCTTCTTTTCCTATTTGGATGTTTTTTATTCCTTTCTTTTGCCTGATTCCTCTGCCTAGTGCTTCCAGTACTATGTTGAATAGGCATAGTGAGAATGGGCATCTTTGTCTTATTCCAGTTCTCCACGGAAATGGTTCCAATTCTTGCACATTCAGTATGATGCTGGCTGTGTTTGTCATAGATGGCTCTTATTTTTTTGATATATGCTCCTTCAATGTCTAGTTTCTCAAGAATTTTGAAAACTATTTCTGCATCTATTGAGATGATCATATGGTTTTTGTTTTAAATTCTGTTTATGTGGTAAATCACATTTATTTGATGTATATTGAACCAACCTTGTATCCCGGGAATGAAGCCTATTTGATCATGGTAAATTAACTTTTTGATGTGCTGTTGAATTCAGTTTGCTAGTATTTAGTTGAGGATTTTTGCATCTGTGTTCTTCAGGGATGTTGGCCTGTAGTTTTCTTTTTTCATTGTTTCTTTGCCAGGTTTCAGTATCAGAGGGATGCTGGCTTCATAGAGTGAGTTGGAGAAGAGTTTCTCCTTGATTTTTTTGGAATAGGTTCAGTAGAATTGGTACCAGCTCTTTGTACATCTGGTAGAATTTGGCTGAGAATCCATCTGGCTTGAGGCTTTTTTTTCGTTGGTAGAATCTTTATTACTGATTCAACTTTGGAAGTCTGTTGATTTATTCAGTGTTTCAGTTTCTTTCTGATTCAATTTTGGGAGATTGTATGTGACCAGGAATTTATCCACTTCCTCTAGGCTTTCTAGTTTGTGTGCATAAAGGTGTTAATAATACTCTCTACGGATCTTTTGTATTTCTGTGGGATTGGTTGTAATGACACCCTTGTTATTTCTGATTATGCTTATTTGGACCTTCTCTCTGTTTTTCTTTGTTAATCTAGCTAGCAATCTACCAATCTTGCTTATCCTTTCAGAGAACCAACTTTTGGTTTCATTGATTCTTTGTGTGGATTTTTGGGTCTCAATTTCATTAGGTCCACTCCAATTTTAGTATTTCTTTTTTTCTGCTATCTTTGGGATTAGTGTGTTCCTGTTGTTTTCTAGTTCCTTGAAATTTGATACTAGATCATTAATTTCAGGTCTTTTTTTGTGAGGTAGGCATTTAGCACTATAAACTTTCCTCTTAACACTGCTTTTGCTGCATCCCAGAGACTTTGATATGTTGTGTCTCTGTTTCCATTTATTTCAAGGAATTTTAAAATTTCTGCCTTGATTTCATTGTTTACTCAAAAGTCATTCAAGAGCAAGTTGTTTAATTTCCATGTGATATTGTGGTTTTGAAAGATCTTCTTGGTATTGATGTATATTTTCACTCCACTGTTGTCCAAGAGTATGACTGGTATGATTTCTATTTTTTGGAATTTATTGACTCATTTTACAGCTGAGCATGTGGTCAATCTTGGAGTATGTTCCATGTGCAGATTTTAAAAAATGTCCATTTTGTGGTTGTTGGGGGCAATATTCTGTATATGTCTATTAGGTCCAATTGGTCACATGTTCAGTTTAAGTCCAGAATTTCTTCGTTGGTGTTCTGCCTCAATAGCCTGTCTAATGCTGTTAGTGGGGTATTGAAGTCCCCCACTATCATTGTGTGGCTGTCAAGTCTTTTTGGAGAACTAGAAGTTCTTGTTCTATGTATCTGGGTGCTCCAATTTTAGGTGTGTATATTTTTAGAATAATTAAGTCTTCTTGAATTGAACCATTTAACATTATGTAGTGCCCTTCTTTGTCCTCTTTTACTGTTTTTGGTTTAAAATCTGTTTTATCTAATATAAGAATAGCAATCTCTGCTCTTTTTGTTTTCCGTTTCCATGGTAGATCTTTCTACAACCCTTTGCTTTGAGCCTATTGGCGTCATTATGTTTGAGATGGCTCTCTTGAAGACAAAGGATGGATGGGTCTTGTTTTTTCATCGAACTTTTCACTCTGTGCCTTTTAAGTGGAGCATTTAGATCATTTACATTCAAAGTTAATATTGACATATGAGGTTTTGATCCTAACATGAAATTGTTAGCTGGTTGCTTTCTAGTTTCTATTGTGTGGTTGCCTTATAGGTTCTGCAGGCTATATACTTAAGTGTGTCTTTACGGTAGCATCAACCTAATTTTCATTAAAAGATTATTCTATTCATCTTCATGCTAGATTAGAGAATGATGAGGAAATTTACAATATACATTGCTTTTCCTTCAAAGTGGCTCTTGTTTCCTGACTGCAAATATGTGGTGCACAGTTCACAAACCCCTCATCTTGCTAATTACTCATTGTTTACTCAATGCTTGAAACTAACTTGCACATTTTATACGTCCTGGAAAATTGTGAGTTAAACTTTTTATGTAATACACTACCTCATTTTGAAGGGGATCTTCCCCAAAAGAATATTTTTTAATGTCAACTAACCTGTCTCTTAACATATAGTGGATAGAGTGTGGATAGTAGAAATAGAAAATGTGGGTTTTAGTTGTGCTATAAAAATTGTTCAAATCACTTAACCATAATTAGAGTGCAATTACCTTGTCTGTAAAAAGAAGACAGAATCTTAGGCTTTGAAATAAAAAAGACAGAGGTGTTGATTCTGCCTTAGACACTAGCTAGCTGTGTGATCTTTGATGAGTCACCTGAACTCGCAGAGCCACATTGTGCTGAATTATACATTTGGGGTTGTAGTTTGAACTTTGTTAGGTTGCCATGAGGGTTAATTGGAGTAAAAATGTCCAAGCTTTGTATCTATTATTATATGAACATAACACTTTATAAATTCCTTCTGACCATTGCTTTTTCTCCAAGTTGTTCCTGAAATCTCTCTTTGATATATTTAAAATGAAACATCATTTATAATTTTCATTGCTAACGTTTCATGTAACTGCACATTATTATCAACATAAAATAGTTATACATAAGAAATTGCTAAATCTCTTTAACAATTTGGTAATGAAAACTTGAGAACTCAGTCATAAACATTTTGGTCACTTTGATGTTATCACCTGACAGAAAGGCTTTTTACATTTTCTGATGTTAATATTTATTCTGAATTTTGAATAAAAGAGAGGTTGCTATTTTGTATATATAAAACACCAACAATAAACAAATGAGAGTTAAGATTTTCTTTGAATAAGATTTTGTTTTCTTTATCAAGTGTTCAATAATTTTGTCCCATTCCACATCCCTACTGTGAATATGATAAGGTGTTACAGTTTGATCAAGATGTCTCAGTGTTTTATGATTATGATTCCCCCAGTTCATTCTGTTGTCTATAGCAAATAAGAGTTTTCCACTATGTATACATAGTTCCCTTATAAAAGACACAAATAAAAGTAGGAAAAAATTAGTTTCCATCACATACTTTAATTCTCTCATTGTGAAAATAACCCTTTTGCAGATATTTAACGTAAAATTTGCGTGCTCCACTATATGGTTTTTTACTTTGATTCTGACTTAACATGAAGATAAAAACTAAGAACATACACCTTTTTATGTTTGAGTAGCATTATTCAATCATCTCTCAGCCTCTTTGTTTAAAAAAAGAAAAAAAAAAAAGGAAGGGAAGGTGGCTGAAGAGGAACAGCTATGGTCTGCAGTTCCCAGTGTGATTGACACAGAAGATGGGTGATTTCTGCATTTCCAACTGAGGTACCTGGTTCATTTCACTGGGACTGGTTTGACAGTGGGTGCAGCCCATGGAGGGCGAGCTGAAGCAGGGCAAGGCGTCGCATCACCTGGGAAGCACAAGGGGTTGGGAGATTTCCCTTTCCTAGCCAAGGGAAGCCGTGACAGACTACCTGGAAAATCGGGAGACTCTTGCCCAAATACTGTGCTTTTCCCAAGGTCTTAGCAACCTGCAGACAACGTGATTCTCTCCCATGCCTGGCTCAGTGGCTCCCACACCCACAGAGCCTTGCTCACTGCTAGCGCAGCAGTCTGAGATCGATCTGCGAGACGGCAGCCTGGCTGGGGAAGGGGCATCTGCCATTGCTGAGGCTTGAGTAGGTAAACAAAGCGTCCAGGAAGCTCGAACTGGGTGGAGCCCACCACAGCTCAACAAGGCCTACTGCCTCTAGACTTCACCTCTGTTGGCAGGGCATAGCTGAACAAAAGACAGCAAACAACTTCTGCAGACTTAAATGTCCCTGTCTGACAGCTCTGAAGAGGGCAGTGGTTCTCCCAGCACAGTGTTTGAGCTCTGAGAATGGAGAGACTGCCTCCTCAAGTGGGTCCCTGATCCCTGTGTAGCCTAACTGGGAGACACCTCCCAGTAGGTCCCAGTAGGGGCTGATGGACACCTCATATAGGTGGCTGCCCCTCTGGGATGAAGCTTCCAGAGGAAGGATCAGGCAGCTGTTCTGCAATATTTGCTGTTCTGCAGCCTGCACTGGTGATACCCAGACAAACAGGGTCTGGAATAGAACTCCAGCAAACTCCAACAGACCTGCAGCTGAGGGACCTGACTGCACCAAGCGGACCTAATAGACATCTATAGAACTCTCCACCCCAAATCAACAGAATATACATTCTTCTCGGCACCACACCGCACTTATTCCAAAATTGACCACTTAATTGGAAGTAAAGCACTTCTCAGCAAATGTAAAAAAATAGAAATTATAACAAACTGTCTCTCAGACCACAGTGCAATCAAACTAGAACGCAGGATCCAGGACTCACTCAAAACTGCTCAACTACATGGAAACTGAACAACCTGCTCCTGAATGACTACTGGGTACATAATGAAATGAAGACAGAAATAAAGATGTTCTTTGAAACAAATGAGAACAAAGACACAACATACCAGAATCTCTGGGACACATTTAAAGCAGTGTGTAGAGGGAAATTTATAGCACTAAATGCCCACAAGAGAAAGCAGGAAAGATCTAAAATCAACACCCTAACACCACAATTAAAAGAACTAGAGAAGCAAGCGCAAACACATTCAAAAGCTAGCAGAAGGCAATAAATAATTAAGATCAGAGCAGAACTGAAAGAGATAGAGACACAAACAACTCTTCAAAAAAAAACAATGAATCCAGGAGCTGGTTTTTTGAAAAGATCAACAAAATTGGTAGACCACTAGCAAGACTGATAAAGAAAAAAACAGAGAAGAATCAAATAGATGCAACAAAAAATCATAAAGGGGATATCACCACCAATCCCACAGAAATACAAACTACCATCAGATAATACTATAAACACCTCTATGCAAATAAACTAGAAAATCTAGGAGAAATGGATAAATTCCTGGACACATACACCCTCCCAAGACTAAACCAGGAAGAAGTTGAATCTCTGAATAGACAAATAACAGGCTCTGAAATTGAGGCAATAATTAGTAGCCTACCAACCAAAAAAAGTCCAGGACGACAGATTCATAGCTGAATTCTACCAGAGGTACAAAGGGAGCTGGTACCATTCCCTCTGAAACTATTCCAATCAATAGAAAAAGAGGGAATCCTCCCTGACTCATTTTATGAAGCCAACATCATCCTGATACCAAAGCCTGGCAGAGACACAACAAAAAAAGAGAATTTCAGACCAATATCCCTGAAGAACATCAATGCGAAAATCCTCAATAAAATACTGGCAAACCAAATCCAGCAGCACATCAAAAAGCTTATCCACTATGATCAAGTTGGCTTCATCCCTGGAATGCAAAGCTGGTTCAACATATGCAAATCAATAAACATAATCCATCATATAAACAGGAACAATGACAAAAGCCACATGATTATCTCAATAGATGCAGAAAAGGCCTTTGACAAAATTCAACAGCCCTTCATGCTAAAAACTCTCAATAAACTAAGTATTGATGGAACATATCTCAAAATAATAAGAGCTATCTATGACAAACCCACAGCCAATATCATACTGAATGGGCAAAAACTGGAAGCATTCCCTTTGAAAACCAGCACAAGGCAAAGATGCCCTCTCTCACCACTCCTATTCAACATAGTGTTGGAAATTCTGGCCAGGGCAATCAGGCAAGAGGAAGAAATAAAGGGTATTCGATTAGGAAATCGGGAAGTCAAATTGTCCCTGTTTGCAGATGACATGATTATATATTTAGAAAACCCCATCATCTCAGCCCAAAATCTCCTTAAGCTGATAAGCAACTTCAGCAAAGTCTCAGGATACAAAATCAATGTGCAAAAATTACAAGCATTCCTATACACCATTAACAGACAAACAGAGAGCCAAATCATGAGTGAACTCCCATTCACAAGTGCTACAAAGAGAATAAAATACCTAGGAATCCAACTTACAAGGGACGTGAAGGACCTCTTCAAGGAGAACTACAAACCACTGCTCAATGAAATAAAGAGGACACAAACAAATGGAAGAACATTCCATGCTCATGAATAGGAAGAATCAATATCATGAAAATGGCCACACTGCCCCAAGTAATTTATAGATTCAACGCCATCCCCATCAAGCTATCAATGACTTTCTTCACAGATTTGGAAAAAAACTACATTAAAGTTCATATGGAACCAAAAAAGAGCCTGCATTGCAAGACAATCCTAAGCAAAAAGAACAAAGCTGGAGGCATCACGCTACCTGACTTCAAACTATAATACAAGACTACAGTAACCAAAACAGCATGGTACTGGTACCAAAATAGATATATAGACCAATGGAACAGAACAGAGGCCTCAGAAATAACACCACACATCTACAACCATCTGATCTTTGACAAACCTGACAAAAACAAGAAATGGGGAAAGGATTCCCTATTTAATAAATGGTACTGGGAAAACTGGCTTGCCATATGTAGAAAGCTGAAACTGGATCCCTTCCTTACACCTTACAAAAAATTATTTCAAGATGGATTAAAGACTTAAATGTTAGACCTAAATCCATAAAAACCCTAGAAGAAAACCTAGGCAATACCATTCAGGACATAGGCATGGGCAAGGACTTCATGACTAAAACACCAAAAGCAATGGCAATAGAAGCCAAAATGGACAAATGGTATCTAATTAAACTAAAGAGCTTCTGCACAGCAAAAGAAACTACCATCAGAGTGAACAGGCAACCTAGAGAATAGGAGAAAATTTCTGCAATCTACCCATCTGACAAAGGGCTAATATCCAGAACCTACAAAGAACTCAAGCAAATTTATAAGAAAAAAACGAACAACCCCATCAAAAAGTGGGCAAAGTATATGAACAGATACTTCTCAAAAGAAGATATCTATGCAGCCAACAGACACATGAAAAAATGCTCATCATCACTGGCCATCAGAGAAATGCAAATCAAAACCACAATGAGATACCATCTCACACCAGTTAGAATGGCAATCATTAAAAAGTCAGGAAACACTGGGCGCGGTGGCTCACGCCTGTAATCCCAGCACTGTGGGAGGCCGAGGCAGGAGGATCAAGAGGTCAGGAGATTGAGACCATACTGGCTAACACAATGCAACCCCATCTCTACTAAAAACACAAAAAAATTAGCCGGGCGTGGTGGTGGGCACCTGTAGTCCCAGCTACTGGGGAGGCTGAGGCAGGAGAACGGCGTGAACCTGGGAGGCGGAGCTTGCACTGAGCCCAGATCGCGTGACTGCACTCCAGCCTGAGCGGCAGAGCAAGACTCTGTCTCAAAAAAAAAAAAAAAAAAGTCAGGAAACAACAGATGCTGCAGAGGATGTGGAGAAATAGGGACGCATTTACACTGTTGGTGGGACTGCAAACTAGTTCAACTATTGTGGAAGACAGTGTGGCAATTCCTCAAGGATCTAGGTCTAGAATTACCATTTGACTCAGCAATCCCATTACTGGGTATATACCCAAAGGATTATAAATCATGCTACTATAAAGACATATGCACATGTATGTTTATTGCAGCACTATTCACAATAGCAAAGACTTGGAACCAACCCAAATGTCCATCAATGATAGACTGGATTAAGAAAATGTGGCACATATACACCACGGAATACTATGCAGCCATAAAAAAGGATGAGTTCTTGTCCTCTGCAGGGACATGGATGAAGCTGGAAACCATCATTCTCCACAAACTATCACAAGGACTGAAAACCAAACACCGCACATTCTCACCCATAGCTGGGAATTGAACAATGAGAACACTTGGACACAAGGCGTGAAACATCACACACCAGGGCATGTCGGGGGGTGGGGGGCTGGGGGAGGGATAGCATTAGGAGAAATACCTAATGTAAATGATGAGTTGATGGGTGCAGCAAACCAACATGGCACATACCTATGTATCAAACCTGCACGTTGTGCACATGTACGCTAGAACTTAAAGTATAATAAAAAAAAATGAAGGAAAGAAAGAGAAAAAGAGGAAGAAAATAGAGCTTCATTAACAATTACATGGAATATTGGTTCTAAGTTTTACGAATAGTGTGAAGTTGGAAACTATGGAAAACTAACCAGGCTGTTAGCTTATATGTTTTAATATCAAATCAAATCATGACACTTTATTTTTGATCAGTGACTGAAGGGTAGCCTTTTCTCCTCTCTGTTTACAGAGGTTCTGAAGGGCAGACTGTTAGAGCTGCCAGTTCATTGACCTGGGCATTCTGTAGGAGGATTCTAAACCAGGTCCCTGGTATGTGAAACCCTGTCTGGCAGCTCCTCTCCATAGCATGTCCCTAAATCTGTGCATCTATCTCGAAGATGGCATTAAATTTACTAGCAGCTTGAGTAGATAGTCCTTGTCTATCCCTAAGGGAAGTTTCCCAGCACACAGGCATTAAAAAAAGTGATAATAGGCCAGGCTCAGTGGCTCACACCTATAATCCCAGCACTTTGGGAGGCTGAGGCGGGCAGATCACGAGGTCAAGAGATCGAGATCATCTGGCCAACATGGTGAAACCCCATCTCTACTAAAAATACAAAAATTAGCTGGGTGTGGTGGCACGTGCCTGTAGTCCCAGCTACTGGGGAGGCTGAGGCAGGAGAATCTCTTGAACCAAGGAAGCAGAGGTTGCAGTGAGCCGAGATCGCGCCACTGCACTCCAGCCTGCCGACAGAGCGAGACTCCATCTCAAAAAAGCAAAAAAAAAAAAAAAAGTGTTAATAATTGGAAATGCAGTACAAATGCTTGTAACTAAGTATATTAGTAACATGGGAAATTGAATGTGTGAGGTACAAAGGTGTAAATTATTGGGAACATAAAGAAGACTTTTCTTGGTAGTTTTGTGTCCCTTATCTTTGCCAGGAAAGCCTGTCTTTCCAACCTTTTAATTGCTAACATTGTTCTCCTATGGCTGTATGTAAATTCCCCTCTCATTTACTGAGGAATCCAAAACTATATGCAGAGTATTCTGCAAAATCCTGGATATTACATATTCTAAAATGTTGGGATAATTATCACTAATATAAACTGGGAGCCTATAATGTAATATTGTACTTACAGAACACAAATAGGTCTCCAAAAATTCCAGTCTTTGAAAAGGAGCGTTTGGCTTTTTGACAAGTCATCAAGTGGGAGAAATTGAAGTGATGAAGAATTTTTAACATGATCTTCTTGGAATACCCAAAATTGTTGGGAGATTGCTCATTAACACACAGATCACCTTGGGCAGTGTCTAGGACCAACAAGTGTACGGGAGAAGCTCTCATTTCCCTTACAGATGCCCTTTTCACAAAGGCCATTCGCTAGGGGACTGTTGTATACATTAGCTTCCTCTGGAAGTTAGCCCACTAATAAGGTCATCTGGTTAGCTATTGTTAGCTAATAAGGTTATTAGATACTTATAGTTTAATCCCCCAATTCATTGTGGGATAGTGTTCCAACTGATTTAGTGAGGTCTCAGAGGCAAGTATGTATGAAAATATAGTCACCATGAGTTATAGTTCTGTGTATTTCAATTGTTACAAATTTGCAAAACAGGATCTAGTACAATGTTAAGGTGAAATATGCCTGGTACACTTTCCTTATTAAAAGGAGGTACTCAGTACATATTAGGGAGAAAAAATGAATGATTGAATAATTTACTGCAATCTACAGTTGGAAACCATCCAAAAGGGCAAAGAGACTCAATAAAAGGGCGAAGAAGCTCAGTTAGAAAGGTGATTTTGCTAGTGTTTCTGCTAATGTTGGGTCCAGATGAGCACTGAAAGTCACAGATACTGTCAACAGGGATGACAAGACAGAAACATGCTTCCTGACACCTTTTAAATTATTTTTTTCTTCTTTTCCTACTATCTTCATGCTGACATTTCTGATGTCAATAAACATAAATTTTTAGAAGGGGCTCTAGGAAAGAGAATAGAGTCCAATTCAAGAATGCTAACTTTCAGATATCCTAATAAGTGTTCTGTAGTTTTATTATTATATGATTAGATTCATACAGTAGAAAACATAGGAGCCCCTACTGTCTTTATAGGTTGACTTTCAAGACAGTATAACACACACTTCAATTCTTGCTTCATATGTCTATACATAAAAGCCATTCTGCTGTGCATAAATCATGTTTTAGGGTACTTATTTCTGTTTCATTTATTTTTTTTTAGAAAATTAAAGAAACCACCTCATGTTAGAGCCCCACATTTCAGTTAAGCAAGATTATCCACACCTCATAGTCTGACAACTTCCTTACTTTATAGAGACCCTTGAAGAAACAGGTTAGAATCTTCTCTGATTCAGTTGAGTACTCATTAAGGCTTTAAATCTCTGAAAGTGTATATAGTATACTCACTTTCTCCAAAGAAAAAAATCAAAAATTATTTTATGTGTATGTGTTTTTTTAAAGTAATTATCACCTTTATTAAAAACACTTTCAGATTGTGTTTTAGTTTCATATTAAGCACTCCCGCTGTAGAATCAAATAAGCTAGATTCAAGTCCTAGTTCTGCTACTTAAAAGCAGTGTCACCTTAGACAAGTTACTTAATTATTTCACTCTTCAGTTTCCTTACCTGTTAGAAAACTCTTTTGATTACTGTCAGAATTCAGTGAGATGATACTTATGAAGTACCAGATATAAAGGAAATACTCAATTAGGAATGAGTATTATTCTTTGATTTTCTTGGATAGTTTTAGGATTGCAAGTCAATTTGCAGAAAACAAATATCCCCAAACTTTTGGCAAAGGCCAACTCACCAAATTTTTAGTCCCTTGAATTGTAATTTGTCAAAAGAAAAATTCACTTTGAACTGTTATACAAATATATATATTTTTCTTTCCAACTTTCATTTTAGGTTCAGGGGTTACATGTGCAGGTTTGTTACATGGGTGTGTGTCATGGAGGTTTTGTGTACAGGCTATTTCATCATCCAGGCAATGATCACAGTACCCGATAGGTAGTTTTTAGACTCTTACCCTCCTCTCACCCTCCACCCTCAAGTAGGCCTGTGTCTATGGTTCCCAACTTTGTGTCTATGTGTACTCAGTGTTTAGCTCCCACTTATAAGTGAGAACATGCAGTATTTGGTTTTCTGTTCCTGCATTAACTTGCTTAGGTTAATGGCCTCTAGTACCATCCATGTTGCTGCAAAAGACAGGTTTTGTTCTCTTTTATGACTGTGTAGTATTCCATGCTATATATACACCACATTTTCTTTATCCAGTCCACCATTGATGGGCATCTAGGTTAATTTCATGTCTTTGCTAGTGTGAACAGTACTGCAATGAACATACACATGCATGTGTCTTTATGGTAGAAGAATTTATATTCCTTTGGGTATATACCTATTAACTGAAATGCTGGGTCAAATGGTAGTTCTGTTTTAAGTTTTTTGAGAAGTTTCCAAATTTTTTCAACAGTGGTTGAACTAATTTACATTCCTACCAGGAATGTATAAATGTTCCTTTTTCTCCACAACCTTGCCAACATCTGTTGTTTTTAGATTTTTTGGTAATAGCTATTCTGGCTGGTGTCAGATGGCATCTCATTGTGGTTTTGATTTGCAAGTCTCTGATGATTAGTGATTTTGAGCATTTTCTCATGTTTATTGACCACTTGTGTGTCTTCTTTTGAGAAGTGTCTGTTCATGTCTTTTGCCTACTTTATAACAGAGTTATTTGTTTTTTGGTTGTCGATTTGTTTAAGTTCCTTATAGATTCTGGATAGTAAACCTTTGTTGGATGCATAGTTTGCAAATATTTTCTTCCATTCTGTAGGTTGTCTGCTTTCTCTGTTAATCATTTATTTTGCTGTGCAGAAGCTCTTTAGTTTAATTAGGTCCCACTTGTCAGTTTTTTATTTTGTTGCCATTACTTTTGGAGTCATTATCATAAACTCTTTGCCAGGGCCTATGTCCAAAATGGTATTTCCTAGGTTTTCTTCTTGGATATGATAGGTGCAACAGACATCTACAGAACACTCCACCCAACAATAACAGAATATACATTCTTCTCGTCTGCACATGGCATATACTCTAAAACTGACCACATGCTTGTCCATAAAGCAATTCCCAATAAGATAAGAACCAAAATCGTACCAACCATACTCTCACACCACAGTGCAATAAAAATAGAAATTAATAATAAGATCTCTCCAAACCATATAATTTCATGGAAATTAAACAACCTGCTCCTGATTGACTTTTGGGTAAATAAATGAAATTAAGGCAGAAATCAAGAAATTCTTTGAAACTAAAACAGAGATACAGCATACTAGTATCTCTGGACACAGCTAAAGCAGTGTTAAGAGGAAAATCTATAACAGTAAAAGCCCACATCAAAAAGTTAGAAAGGTCTCAAATTAACAACCTAATATCACATGGGATGTGGGAATACAAAAACAAGAGCAAATCAACCCCAAAGCTAGCAGAAGAAAAGAAATAACCAAAATTAGAGCTGAACTAAACAAAATTGAGACCAAAAAAACCATACAAAAGATCAATGAGACCAAAAATTGTTTTTTTGAAAGAATAGATAAGATTGGTAGATCACTAACTAGACTGATAAAGAATAAAGAGAGAAGACTGAAACAAACACAATCAGAAGCAACAAAGGGGGCATTACCAGCAACCCCACAGAAATAAAAAAAAAAAAACCCAGCGAGTGTTATGAACACCACTATGAGCTCAAACTAGAAAACCTACAAGAAATGAATAAATTCCTAGAAACATACAAACTCCCAAGATTGAACCAAGAAAAAATTGAAACCCTGGACAGACCAATAATGAGTTCTGAAATTGAATCAGTGATAAAAATGCCTACCGACCAGAAAAAGCCCTAGACCAGGTGGATTCATAGCCAAATTCTACCAGATATATAAAGAAGAGCTGGTACCAACCATACTGAAATTATTCCAAAAAATTGAAGAGGAGGAACTCCTCTCTAACTCTTTATATGATGCCAGCATCATTCTGATACCAAAATCTGGCAGAGACACAAGCAAAAAAAAAAAAGCAACTTTGGGCCAATATCCCTGATGAACATAGATACAAAAATCCTCAACAAAATACTACCAAACCAAATCTAGCAGCACATCAAAAAGCTAATCCACCACAATCAAGTAGGTTTTATTCTTGGGATGCAAAGTTAGTTCAACATCCACAAATCAATAAATATGATTCATCACACAAACAGAACTAAAACCACAGACTACATGATTATCTCAATAGATATAGAAAGGGCTTTCAATAAAATTCAACTTTCCCTCATGTTAAACTGTTATACAAATATTTTAAACAAGACCCAGGATATGTTGTCACAGACAGAGACAAGGGTAGACATAAGAACCCAGATGGAATGGGGCCCATGAGAAGACTAGAAGCAGATGTTCCAAGAGTTCTAGGCATCTGCATTTTGAAACATGCCAAATGAATATTCACCCAATTTGGAATAAGTCAGTGGAAAAGGAAGCAGGGAAGACATGATGAAATTAACACTGAAAAAAATGTTGGATAAAATGGCAAATTGGTCATTTGACAAATTGGTTTGTAGTGAATTGGCTTTGGATAAATTAGTCATTTAGCAAATTGGTCTGTTTTGCTATGAGGCCTATTTTTATACCATGCAGGGGAAAATTAACATTTTAAATTTATCTTATGAAAAGACATGTTCAGAGGCAATCAAATCATATGTTAAAGAACATCAGCCTTGTAATACAAAAGTAAAATTTTCATCCCACCCAAAGTTTTAATGGATTTGGATCTCCTGCAGAATGTGCCTTAAACAATTAATGGCAACATAAAGTATAATTCATATTAAATTTTAGTAATTAATAATAAGCCCTTCACAATTGTACATATGAGAATAAGTGGTAATTAGAAAGAACGCTGCATTGCCTCCCTTCCAATGCCTATTTAAGCAAGCTTAATGTGAGTTAAATAGGAGTTGATGAGTGTGCGTATTTACCTGTATATCTATATCCATCTATCTACTTATATATACATACCATTCTTCAGATTAAATGTATTACCTTTCCTTACGGCTATCTCTTCACATGGATTATATATTTCTTTGTGGATCCTTCATCATTTGGGTTGAAATGAGCAATACCCTGTACTTTAATAACCTGTCTAACATAAGATCCAACACACCTACCAAAGAAACATGATGTTGTCTTACCCTGAAAAATATCTATTTGCTAAAAGATTTGTGAAAATCTCCTGATTGCTATAGGGATTTAAACCTAACAAATTGCACGTAGCACACCAAGTAAGCATTTAGAGAAAATTTTCTTGTGCTTGAGTGCCCTTTCAGCTGGACGTATCAAAGGCTTAGTGGGTTCCTCTTATACTGTCACCTCACTCTCTCAGGTAGAAAAATGCACAAAGTTATATCTTTTTCTTGTGTATTGATAAAACTTCAAGTAAATGACAGTGGAAACCAACTGTGAGAAGCTTTTGAAATTTTTGCCCAAGAGTTTTACTTAGAAATTGCCTTGGTTTGATAAATTAATCCCAGTTCCTGAACAGTGTAATTCAGTCATTAATTTTATTTTTTATTTTTGTTGTGCACAGTGTTGAGGCAAGGTGAGTGCTACACTGAGGATGGGAGAAGCCCCTAAAAAGATTGATGGGCCAGGTGGATGGTCATTGTCATAAAACTCACTTGTGGGACACAGCATTATAAGGAGTTTGTACTTACTTGGGTGTGGTAGAAACATAATCTGTACATTGTATGTTTTTCCATATAACATTGTTCTTTAGATAAATCAATACTAAATCTGAGAATTATCTGATAGTAGGAAAACTCATTGAAGTTAGTATATTATAATTTCTTTTATGCTTAAGTATAAAATATGAACATTGTGATGAATTTCTCAAATATCTGTTATTTTGACAGTACTAAAAAGCAAATTTTCATTATCTAAATAACTTCACATATGTGGATGTCCTTTGTCCTGAGTCTTTTGAAATCTTGTCTTATGGGATGCATTTGTACTTAATATGTTTCTTAGGTACACTTTTAGGGGAACTTGGTGGATCTTTTGTTAGGGCTACATTTCTAGTATCTTAGGTACCACTTACCCTCAGGGGAAACATTTAGTCAGACTGGCTGATAAACATGTCGCAGGTGACTTTAGAATTAAGTCTCATCTTGGAGATAGAAAGCTTGGGTTTATATTTTTAATTAAGTGCAGGCCTCTGTCCTTTACTTGAACCTAAGGAGTATCATGTAGCAGGAAGTTTTAGTTCAGCAGGATTCTGACTATTTTCAGGCAGTTCCACTTTGCAAACAAGATAGAATTAACACAAGGTGTGCTTTGAGCTTCTGGCTATGCCCAGTATTTTTAAGCTGCTTTGTAACATTTTTTTCATTCCAGGACCTTAAGGCAAACTTTAGGAGAAACTGGATATATTATGAAATAAAGAAATATCACAACATCTGACTCTTTCATTTATTACTCCATTGATTAATAAATATACTAAATGTAAAGAGGTGAGTTCAACACCCAGGAAACGTAAATATAAAAAGACAAAGCCTCCACCCTCAAGAAATATATCATCTAGGAGGGTTGGGATGGGAGACAAGTTCCATACTCAAAGAACAATAATGTAAGGTAGGTGCACTGCTTTCTGCTGTCTAGCAGCTCAGAGAGGGGAGCACTTTTCCTGTTCTCCTGCAATCAGAGAAACCATCATCTGAGAAAAACTGCTGCAGCCTTCGTCTGATGTTGATTCTTTTTTCTTTTCTTTTCTTCTTTTTTGTTTTTTTGAGTCAGGGTCTCACTCTGTCACCAAGGCTAGAGTGCAGTGGTACCATCATTGTTCACTGGAGTCTTGAACACCTGGGCTCAAATGATCCCACCTTAGCTTCCTGAGTAGCTGGGTAGCTGGGACTACAGGCAGCTACCACCATGCCCAGCAAACTGTTTTTTCTAATTGTTAGTAGAGATGAGGTCTTGTTGTGTTGGCTAGGCTGGAACTGATTCTTTAAAAAGTGCCCCCACCTAGGGTCCCTCTGAATATATTCACCAACATTCTGCCCCAGATGTTTTTATCTTCTCTTTTTCTCTTTTTGTCTACCTCTTCCTTTAAGCCATCCCTATGGCTTGTACTATCACTCCTAGGGAAACTAGCCTCAAACATAACTCTGATTTTTCTTCTAAATTCCATTTCTTCTTGGTCATGTCAGTGAGCTGTTGCCTTAAATTCTTCAGATTCATGGAGCCTAAAGTGAAACATAGATCACTTCTTTACTACCTGCCATTCCCTTGGGTATTTATGTTTCATTTCTGTTAAAGACATGACCATTTGCCTGGTTACCCAGGCTTGACAGTTGAGCTGCATTCTGCCATTTCTCCCATCTTCTTTCCAGATCTCCCTGATAACTAGTTAGTTGAAAAGACCTACTTGCCCCTAGTTCCAGTGTGTGGCTCACTTTTCCACTCTGCAGGACATCCTCAACACACCAAATTACACATTTGGCCACCTATGCCTTCTTTACACAGTGCCTACCCACATTAACTCACTCATCAAGTATTCACTGAATGCCTATTATATGCAACTCAGCATGAGGTGCCAAAGAATACAAAAGTAAAATTTTAAAAAAGTTGGAAGAGTTTTATAGAAGACAAGCATTCTTTCTAATGAGAGATATACATAAGCTATTTTTCAAAAACAATGTGACGAAATTACCGTCTCTGCTTGGGCATCCAGGAGCATGTCCTAAAAGAAATGACTTGAATTTTAAAGGCTAAGTAAGAGTTAACCAAGTAGAAGAGGAGGAAATGGCATTTCCAGATGAGAGACAAGTATGAACAAAGGCATATATTGCCTTGTGGAGATACGCAGGTTGAACCATTTTTTGGTCAGTTAATGACCCATCTCTTTCTTTTCTGAACTCCCATATGACATGAAAGTTCCTCTACCTTGTTTTATGGTCATTTTAGTATTTGCCAGCTCCTGCCTAGATTACAGGTTTTAAGGGCAAGGACCATGCATCAATTATCTTTGAACTCTCTATAGAACTTGGACCAATTATACATTTGTGGTAGGCTGAATAAGGGCTCCCAAAGATATCCACAATCTAACCCCCAGAACCTGTGACTCTGTAACCTTACATGGGAAAAAGGGCTTTGCAGATGTGATTAAGCAAAGGACCCCAGATGGGGAGATTATTTTGAATTACCTAGGTGGACTCCATGTCATCACAAGGGTCAGAATCCAAAGAGATGTGAGAATGAAAAGCACAAGTGAGAGCAGTGGGATAGCCAAATTTTAAGAGGGTTGTGAGCCAGAGAATATAGGCCGCCTCTAGAAGCTGCAGAAGGCCGGGGTGGACAGAGTCTCCCTGCGAACCTCCAGAAGCAGCACAACCCTGCCCACTCACGGTAGACTCCCGATCTCCGGGCTGTAGAATAATACATCTGCGCTATTTTAAGCCACTGTTTGTGATTGTCTGTTACAGAAGTAATAGAAAACTAATATGATGTTTAATATTCATAAATGTTTTATAGGTTTGTGACATGATTTTTAAACTTTTTCGTCTATATGGTATTAGGATGGCAGATATAAATTTTTTTAAAATTTATGCAGGGAATCCTTAATGTAACAACCACTAGATTGTGCTAATTTGATAAAGTAAAAAAAAATAGAAAATATTATATCATCAAAGAGGATTTTTAAAATAGTGAAGAGAAATTCTAGATATTGTGATTTTAGAGTCACATTATTGAACTAATGATATCCTATACTTTATAACACAATTCCAAGAAAATCTGACTGGGTGTAATTATCACAATCTGTGAATTTTCACTCAAATTTCCATAAAATATCATCCTCCATTTATCTTTTACTAGCTCCATAATTTAGAGTAAAAAGACAGTATGTAATGTGCATCGCAAGCTTCCCAGTATTTTCAAAGAAGAAAGTCCATAATCCCTTTTAGTAAATATTGGTGGACAATGAGGATGAAATATGGTTTATCGTATAAACAGTTCTGCCATTATTAGAGCATAGGAGGGCTTCAGAGTACGCCCACTCATTGCCACAAGCTGATGATGGAGACAAATACCTGTGGGACCCCAAGCATGCACAGGACATTGCTCATGGCTTTAGGAACTGAGGTACTCAGTATTTGGTCCTAACCATAAATGACTGCTAATGTGAGATTTACAAATACAGTAAACCTCATTAATGAATTCTATATCTGCAAATTCACCTACTCACAAAACCTTATATGTAACCCCAAAATCAATATTTATGGCACTTTGATGGTCAAAAGTGGATGTGTGCAGAGTGGCAAAAATTTGTGTTGTCCAACTGTGTACATTCCTAGCTGAGGCTAAAGAAGGCCACGCTCTGCCACCCTTTTTCAGCTCTTTATACAGAGATGACAAGAGGATGGAGATGGAAGAGACAGTCCAATGTAGTGCAAGAAGACTCTGCTCTGGGGCCATCTGGACAGCTTGAGTCCCATCTCTGATCCCTGTTAGTGGGGAAGCCTCAGGCAAGTCACATAACACCATTGAACCTTGTTTTTTCTTGTGTAATAAAATAGTATCTACCAGGACAACCTTGTTTTTAAGATGTTTTTAAGGTTTAAGATTATAATATATGTGAGAGAGATATATATATATATACTTTACATACACATGTATATACTTCCCCTAAGCGCAATGGTTCAGTATTCATTAATTCAGTGTTTGCAGAGGCTTTGTAGAACCAAACTACCATGAATAACAGGAACTGACTATACATTTCAATGTGAAGCATTTTATAGAGGGACTAGAGCTGGTCATGGTGATACTTAGAAAATGCTCATAATGAACCTCAGTTGGGAATAGATGGGCTTCACTCATGTGTTAGCATGCAGGCTGGCTGTATGTCACACTCTGTTACCCTGTTTCTCTCTTAGAGAAACAATAATGGATAAAATAATGAATTCCTTCTACCATGTTTGATATGGTTTGATTCTGTGTCCCCACCCAAATCTCAAGTCAAATTGTAATTCTCAGTGTTGGAGGAGGGACCTGGTGGGAGGTGATTGGACCATGGGGTCAGACTTCCCCCTTGCTGTTGTTGTGATAGAGTTCTCACAAGATCTAGTGTTTGAAAGTGTGTGGCACCTCCCCCTTCATGCTCTCTTTTTCTTGCCCCTGCCATGGAAACATGCTTGCTTCCCCTTCACCTTCCTCCATGATTGTAAGTTTCCTGAGGCCTCCCCAAAAACAGAAGCCTGTACAGCCCACAGGCTGCGAGCCAATTAAACCTCTTTTCTTTATAGATTACCCAGTCTCGGTTATGTCTTTATAGCAGTGTGAGAACAAATTAATACAATTTGTATATTTTTCTGTCTTTATATGAGCAAGATACATTATTTACCTACTAATAATTGGCAAGTTATAAGTTTTCCTCACAGTATTACATTTCAGAGGTGTAGATAAAAAGATATACAGAATTCATAGAGATGAAATCACTTCATCATTCCCCCACATTCCCGAAAGAAGTTTATTTCTTAGTTGCAAAAACACATCCAGAAAGAGGCTCCCTCCCCCACAATATTTCTCTATTAGGAAACAGAATCTTTTTTTCAAGACTCTGATTTAACAAGGTTTTATTAAGCACTGCACTGAGTGCTATGGAAGATTCAGATATAAAGGGTATTTTTCTTTCTCACCAATGCATTTCTACCATTTTGGGGGACACTAAGTGAAAATACAGAAAAGAAAAACTATAGAATAAAATATATGCAAGTATATTAAAGTCTAAACATTTAGTCACTAGCTTAAGACATTCCAAGAGAATTTGAAGGGTATTCAAACTAAAATTTTAGCCATTTGGAATTTTCCTTGATTTTCATTTATGTTCTAATTAAAATTATAATTGTTTTCTTCTATCAACGTGATTGACTCTAAACATTAGTAAAGAAAAAGAAAGAAAAACCCACTAGCACCACCAATGACTATAACAAAAATTGTTCCAAAGTTTCCACACAGAGTCAATAAACTCTATCTTGGTGGGTTAAATGAACCATGTGAAGCTATAAATTCAGAATTTTATGCACATTATAAGAACACAGTATAAAATATAGATGGACTGCCTTTTCTAGTAGAGTGAGAACTCCCTGATCAATTTTTGCAGTTATGCCTTGTATGAAAGCCTCTCGAGTCCATTTGACAGATCACCTCTCTAAAGAGCTAAATGTGTGGTTAAATGATTGATTATTCTCCCCCTTCAGCTCCTTTCCCCTCATTGGACATGTAGCCTCGTCTCCTTTTCCCATCATGTGCAGATAATATGGAACAACCTCTGTCCTAAGCTTTCTGTCAAACACTTTATTGGCCTGATGGTGGATGAGGAGAGATGCATAGGATTCAAAGCTTACACAGAGGATTCATATGCTGAATTTAAGTTGCAAGACCTCAAGGTTATGCAGAGGAAAACCAGGAGTCCCTCGTGTAAGCTGTGGATAGAATGGTCTGTTCTGGACTCATTCGGGTATACACTAATGAAAACCTAGCTGCTGTCAATAGGAGTTGGTAGGGAAGTATAGGCTCACGGACTGTGGAATTTCATTCTGAACTCCTTTGGCTCTCACTTGCCACACTGGCCCACACCTATACCAGGATTTGCTTACTGGTCAGGCACCAAAGTGTTCCAAGAATTCTAAAGAGTTTCTCCTTTGAAAATAAGTTTTAAGTGGAAACTTAGTGACCTAGAAAAAAACTGAACCTACTAAAATGGACCAATACTACACACATACACTTACACACACACATTCATTAATAACAAGTCAGTCCTTTAAATTAAAATAAACAGGATAGAGTTACTGCTACTGCTTCTGGAATTGTCCCATATCAGAAAGAGCCTAAAATTTCTAATTATCTCTCATTTAACTAAACTCTCAGGAATTTAATCCTCTTCAGAGAGCCTATTGTCTTGAAATTGCACATTTAGATAAGGAAACCAAGTTCTTTTTATCAAAGTACTTTATGAATATTAAGAAATGTCAGATTCAGTAATTTATCACCTGGATACCATGTGCTTTGAAGCGGAGGATGCGATAACAATGGTAATGACACAGTAAATTATGTTACCATGGCAGGACAGCCTCCAATGGCTACTCGGGTTTCAGCTCTGTGCACTTCACATCTTTATCACAACCTGGATCAAGGGGGTATGGGGATCACACAGGTGTTAAAATGTTTTGAGCTCCTAGAGTTTAATAATTTGCTCCATGGATCCTGGCATTCATGACAGTCTTTTAGGTGCCATTAAAATATCCCTAAATCTGGCAGATTTTTTTTAAATATTTAGGTGTTGTGTAATCAATTTTAGTCATTCTTACACAGTACATACGAGAAGAGTGAATGTTTTCCATGTCTAATAGGAGATGTAAGAAGTTTTGCACATCTGGGAGTATGTGTGTGGAAGAGATACTTCATTGTAGGTAATTGATGCTGGCAAATGAGATTTTTAAGTTTTGTTAAAAACAAAGTGTTTCTGGTACAGTCTAATATTATGTGTTATTATGATCCAATAAACTGTGTTCACATGAATTCCACCTACAAGTGGATAAAGTTAATTTTGTAAGAATGTCAGACTACTTGGAGTCAGAATGTATTTTCTCAACACTGAATCAGAACCTAGGAAAGAATGAATGATACTTTCAGATAAGACCAGTTGGCAGCCTAGAATTTGTTTTATTTTTCCTTCTTTGGTATCTATCTGAAAACAAGGCTTTCTTTTTTCTTCTCTGTCCCCCTCTTTGTGTGTGTGTGTTTGTGTGTATCTTGAGTACTTTGCTTTCTTAAGCAGTGGAAATTTAGTATGTTTGCTATCTGGTTGGAAAAGTTTGTAAACTGAGCGTGACAAATATCAACCCACCACTGGAGCTCCTTGCAACTAATGAAATGTGTCAGCCAAAAAAAAAACAAAAAACAAAAAAAACAAACAAAAAAAGCAACCCCCAAAACCCTCTCATAAGAGCTGCAATATACGCTAGTCAAAGAGGCAATGGCTGCACCAATTTAGGAGTGTTTCATTTTTCTTTATCAGTGATCTACAGTCTCTATTTCCTAGCTTTTACACATAAAAAAAAGAAAAACATAGTGGAAAAACATTTTCTTTAAAGCATTATATTTTTCCTATTTGGTGACTATATACTATAGATGTTAAATCTTATAAGTTATTGTCCTTTCAATATATAAAATATAAAATTTATATATTAGATATATAGATATACATAAACTATATATCATATATTTATATAATTATAATGTATATTTTATAATTATATATAAGTTAATATTATTTATTTTTATTAAGATTACATATAAATGTAACATATTGACATACTCTCCTAACCTCACCAATAATTAAAAAATAAAGTATAAGCTTTGTTAATTTTGCAAAGCTAGGAAATATCATGTGTTTTATATAAATAGAATACCAACATCAAACCCCCGCAACCCTAGACAGGCTGATGGCTTTATGTCAATGCCAGGACTTGGAGTAGGGGAAGACAGGTAGTCAGGAGGATGGGAATGCTTTGTCATCCTCATTTCCTAGAGAAAGTCAAAATTTGACAGACGGGGGAAGGATAACTTTAGTAGATTCCATTTTATTTAACTCTATAAACACACAAACCTTTTACCCCTAGGCTATTTTTTAAATGCTAATAATTTTAAAGGCACTCTCATTAACTTGAAACATTTTTATAGTTTTGTTTTTGTTTGAAAACTCATACCAGTCATTAAAGACTATGTCAGTTACTCCATAGATGGTATTCATGTGGATTCAGATATTTGGGGTAAATAATAAAGAAGAAAAGAAAATGAATTTGACGAGAGATCCTTCATGCTAAGCTGGCCAAAATAAATCACAGTTTTGAAAATAACATATCCCTTGGGAGAAAGTTGCTTCCACGCTTTGTAACTTAAGGATGTTAGTCTCATAAAGTTTCACACATTTGAAGTGCATGGTAAACAGCTAGTTGTCATATTCAAATGTGCTAGGATAAAATATGAATTTCTTTGTTCTGTTCTTAACTTTGTTGCCAAATATATGCTGCTTTAGGTAAGACATGTTGTTCTGTGTCTCAGTTATTGCTTTGTTGCTACTTATCAAAGATGAATGATGCCTGCACCTCCTCATAGAGTTGTAGGGTGCAACTAAGATTACAAAAAATAAGAAAAGATGAAATAATAAATGTGAACCCAAAGAGACAGAAAATGTAATGCTGCTACTTTATATAATATATATATTTGTGACTATATATAGTCAGTATATATATATAAATAGTCACAAAAAGTAAGCAAAATACTGTTTAAAGAGGTACTGAATGTCAGAAGCCACAAATAGCTTCTTGCAGGGGGTTGCGGGGGAGTAGGGGAACCACAGAGAGTGCAGCAGGAGTGGCTACTGAATACGTCAATCTCATGGAATGGCGACCTTGACTCTCCTTCCTGCAGCAGCCTCTCAGCATCAGCCCCTCGATGACCCCTCTCCATTACCCCTAGGAACCTTCCTGTCTAGGCTATGCCATCTTCCCTCTGGTCACACTGCAGGTTTACCCATTCCTGACTATATACTTGCTGCTGATGTCACCTCAGTGTGTCACATAGTGTTTTACAGTCTGGGCTACTCAGTCTAAGGGTTTCACTTCCCCACTTTGACCCAGCACCTGCGCTGCCCACCCCCACCCCCCACCCCCATCAGCTGGGCGCTACCAGTGCACCAGCTTAACTTGTTATCCCAGCAGTGGCATCATTCTTATCCTGGGTTGTCTCCTTAGGAGATCCTAGAAAATGCCTCAGCCAGGCCAGCATTCCAACAGGATAACTACATTAGGTTAAGCAGTCATAGCAATGCCCCTCCAGAACATACGCTCTGCTCTTCCAAGCCACTGTGGCCTTGCACGTCATAGTGGTTGGAGTTCTCAGAACATTGTGAGGCAGACCAGTGTGAATTCCAGCTTCTTCATCCAGCTACATATTCACCTACAAGTACAAAATTCCCATTGCCAATTAGAGGATGCCCTGGTGCTGATTCTGCTCTAGTCACTTGGTGATTTAGCCCAACGCTTCTCAAATTTCAGCGGGCAAACAAACTACTGAAGTCTTGCTGAAGTCCAGATTCTGATTTGGTAGATCCTGAAATGTAACCTGAGACTCTTCATAACTAATGAGTTCCTGGTAATCATACTGCGGCTTGTCCCCCATACTTTGAGTTGCAAGGATCTACCCAGAGTTGGATTGTACTTCTCAAACAGAAAGAGAAGCCCCTACTGGACCAATAAGTCTTAATAAGGCATACTTCTATGCTTCCATTAATTCTAGCAGTTACTTTAAAGCCATAAACTGGACTAAAAAGTCTTCTGCCAAGGCTTGGATTACTGGAGCAACAAAGCCTTTTGTATCTGTTAGGAAAGAAGCTATCTGTCAGGATGATCTGACCTGATTTTCTGGATCTCATCAGGTTTGGGTCCAAGTGAGGCTGCACATCTGGCCAAGGAGAACTGGTCTCTGTGTAAGGCAGAGTGTCAACTTAGTTACAGGTCACACATGTGGACACGCAAGCCTACAACTTCGACCTCTGGCACATCCTATGTCCCCTACTAACTTAAAGCATTTCATCAGCAATGTAAATATTGCCAAGAAGTTGCTAAGGAAAAGCCTTTTGGCAACTAGATGGTCTGTCTTCAATGTTCATCATGAGTCCACTGGAGCTAACAAATCATGAAATTGTTGCTGACAACCCTGGTTGTACAGCATCCTGAAGTGAGGGAAATGCCAACAATTATGCCAGAAGGAAAGCTTTAAGGATATTCTACATCCTGGCTTCAAACAACAAAGCTTTATTGCAGACTGCAAGGAAGTGGCAGACACAAGGAAATGAGGCTGGTGCATTGAAATCCACAAAGGAAGAACTTTTCTCAGAGCAGAGACTTCACAAGCTCACTATTAGTTTAAGATCTAGAGCTACAAACAGTCACAGCCTCTCAAAAGCCCAGCTATAGTCCAATCAAAGAACAAACTTCACACCGGGCAATATGGAAAAAGCTGTTGAGTCAACATTCATCCTAACAGCCACACTTATACATAATGGTAAGCAGGAACAGCATCACCGTCAAATAGAAAAGACAGCAAATATGTAGAAGGCCAATTGGTAATAAAATATATCACATTAGATATATACCAGCAGGAAAAAGGGGAAGATGAGAGACTATTTATACTAATTCATTGTGAAGATGTCTATAATTGATGCAGTCTTGGAATCATGAAAATAGGGATCCCCCCCAAGGCCCTTTGTTATTATATTAATGCCTGCTCATTATTTGTATGTCCTCTAGCAATAATGTCACTTTTATATGAATAATGCACAGTTCATTTTGTCCTGGCAGCTAATTTCTCAACAATGTATTTATGAGGATAATACAGATATTTTAGTGATTTCTCCAAAAGAAACAACAAAGTTTTTGAATTGAGAAAAAAAGTCTAATATTTACCACTTAGAGGAATGCAACAATATATTTATTGAGCACCTTCTTTGAGTGAAATATTTTCTTAGGATAAATCTCACATTATAAGTGTGATTGCTCATTTATGCTAGAGTGTGTCCCTGTGCTCAAGGACAGCAGATATATTTACATAAGTCATTATCTAATGAGTTAGAACATTTTAAATATCACAAGAGAACTATAAGCA
Source organism: Homo sapiens (assembly GCF_000001405.40). NCBI lineage: Eukaryota > Metazoa > Chordata > Mammalia > Primates > Hominidae > Homo > Homo sapiens. The sequence continues at coordinate 27,071,405 of NC_000018.10, read as the reverse complement.
AACTGTTAGGGAATTTCAAATATTAAGTCTAGATCATTTCCAGTTTTATAGTTCAGGGCTGGGGAAGAAGCCAAGGAAACCTTTATAACAAGGTGGATTAAACTTGTGCCCTGAAGAGTGAATGAAATACTGATGTGTATCAATGATGGAAGGCTAGATAAAGAGGAAGACTATTTCAGAAGATCAGGATCCAGTTAGAGAAAGAGAAACTACTCTGGTTACAAAGGTGCTAGAGAGCTGAGGAGCCTAACAGTGGATGGCGAGGTACCCCAAGAAGAACAAGACCAAGAGGCCACCAGGGTGGAAGGATAGTGGAAGGAAATCATTCTCAGAGCCCAGAAACTAGCGCCAGTTGGCAGAGGCTGGCCACAGGGAGGTGGAGCCATGAAAGGAGAGGGAGACTCATGGGAACTAGGCCCACGGAGAGGCCACAGGACCCTGTGGGGTACTGGGGGGTCAGCAACAGAGGAGAGTCTGGCTAGTCCCCTCCTTTTATCCTCCAAAGGTTCATCAATACCCAGCACTGACCAAACCTACCAAAAAGCACAAGCAAACTTGGAAAATTTAGCTTCTGCTAACACAGAGCAAAGTAGGATAAGGGTGTGAATAAACCTGAGAACAAACCAGCAGTAGACCTGCATAACTGGCAAAAGCAAGGACAACAAAAAGCAAGGAGTGTTTGGGAAATGGCAAGTTCTATAGTTTACCTCTAACGGGGGTGACATAGGACAAGGTCAAACCTCTTTTGTTCCCACTTAGTGGGGGACCTAGAGTACCTGACATATGGTAAGTCTCAATAAACACATCTTCATTAAATAAATGCAAGAGTGAAATCATGTAAACTAAATATGGAAACATAGATTGGAACCCTATCATGGAAAATATTAAATGGCAGGCTAAAAGGTTTGACATTTACTACTATTTGACATTGGTAGGCAATGGAGAGCCATTTCAGACCTTCATGCCTGGAAAGATGATCAAAATTATGCTTCCTATTGAACAGATATAGAGATAAGCCTTATTATATTTGGCCCAGTCAGCCAATTATATTATGTATAATTTGTAAGGCTTAGTATAAAATAAAAATGTAGGGCCTCTGGTTCAAATGTTATTAAGAATTTTATAAAGAGCATTAAGTGTGGAGCCCCTGAAGCTGACCCAAGCCCAGTGCATTATATTAGATGCCTCTGAAAAATAAATTTACTAGTATCATTGTTAATTGTCAAACTTAGGGCAGATAGTAGCTACAAGAAAGTTCTAAATATAAGACAACCACCATTATCTGATTTATTCTTGAATGGGCATTATCCTAATCTTTTCTGGAATTAACTTTTTATGTGCCGAACAGTGGCATAGAGGGTGATTTAAATACCAATTATCTTCCTATGAAATTATTGCTTTTTAAATCATTTAACGTGTTCAAGGCACTGTTGCTAAAATGGTAACCCATGTTCTCCTGCATTATTTAATTCATGTTCTTAAAACAGTTCATTTTGAACCTCTTTCTGGCTCAAATGCCAACTAATTTACTGCTGCTGCTTGGTTTACTAGGATTCAAATTAGAACAGTATCCTTTTGCTGTAATTTGTGTCTGGTGGTGCTCAATTCAGTTTAGGTAGCCCCCAAATCGGTTTTCACATATCTGTTTAATTTTCATTTTGTAGCAATAGAAGACAGGTCTATTCAAAAAAGTCACAATGAATTAATATAGCAGGAATTTGGAAACTGGAGTTATAGTGCATATAGCCCCTATGTTTCAATAGATATTTCAGAGTATGTTCAGTAGTTTATAGCAGATTTATTGTGCTATCTGTGTAATGGTTGGCATCTGCAATCCATCAAGACTTTATGCTTGTGAAGAAGGAGTGTTGACTTTGTATTTAATATGAGTATAGGAAGAAGACTGGCTTTTTGGGAACATTTTCTATCATTCTGATTTTTTTCAGTCATACATTTTCTCACTTTTTCATGTTGAGGACTTACAAAAGAAATTCTTAGAAATGTTTGCAATTGTCTCACAGGCTTATTGAACCACAGAAACGGAGATAAGAGAGTATGTCACAGGTGGGATCATTGCTTTTTATAACTGCAAAATTATATTAAGGAACTATAGGGTACATTAGAGAACATAAACAGCCTTTATTATAGGATGATAAGAAAACTGGTGGTCCAAAAGTTAGCAATAAGTAAAAGTACCAATTTCATAAATCAATTTATTAATATGTCTTTATCTATTCTACAGTTACTTATTTAACCCTAACACCACTTTACATTTTGGCTGCTCCTGATAGTAAGAGCTTAAAATCTACTGGAAGGGAAAAATAATTAAAGAAAAGTAAGCAAGGATTTCCAGGCAATTTGGCAACCTGAGCTGATGTGAAGGAATTTCTTCCCCGAATCCAAACACATAAAATGGCAGGCAAAATACAACAAAAGCTTTCAAACTCACCATAAAACAACAATAGAAAACCTTCATGTCCTAGAAAAGAAAAGGAGCTCAAAGTAAAAAATGTGAGGAGGAGCTGATTCCATTCTTACATCACGTTTGAAGAGAAATCCAGGCCACAGGCTTCATACATATGACGATGTGAAATCATGACCACATTTGTGAAAGGGGCCTGGAAGAAACCTGCAGTTGTCCCAGAGATGCAGCACTAGCAAGTAAGCCAAAGGCCACAAGAATAAAATGAGGCATCCCAAAGAAACTTGAACCTCTGACTTCCATACTATGTGAATGAATATAGGGTACAAATTCAACTACCCTAGTAGTATGTTGGTAAGTTAAAATAATAAATGGTCCAAAATTGATGAAATACCTGGATATCATCAGGAGCAAATGCAAATTACTCTAGAAAAATTTCCACAGCCAAGGACACATGTAACGTACACAAAGAGTTATCGCCATCTTTCACTGGGGATAATTCAAAGATTTAAACTTATATAATGATATGAATTATTTGAAGGGAGATCAGCACACATAACACAAAAGTTAGTTTTTACCCCAAGAACTAGAAACAAAGAACCTGAAAATGAAAAGACCTCAAGTACATCTTAAATGTTCAAAGAAATAAAAGAAATAAATGAATAGCTCAAAACTCTTAAGGAAAATGTAAAGTCAGTATGAAAAAAAGGACATATGGTATAAGTAAAAACCAAATAAAATTTTAAAATAAAAAAGTGCCTATTATGATAAAATTTAATAAATGGGAAGGACAGAGGAGCAATCATAGTTTTCAAAATTACTCTATCTCTCTTTATTCCTCTTATTTTCTCTAATTCCCACTCGAGTATCTGTAACATATACAGGTTCTTATCAATATAAGCAAATAAAGTAAGCACTTTATTTTCCCTTTTAGGGGCATGGTTAGGTTTGCAAGACAGAGGAGCAGACAGTGAAAGTTGAGGAAGGGAATGTTTCAGATAGTCTTGGGGACTCTATGGGAGAGAGGAAAATGGATCATTCAAAAGCAGCTCCCAAAGTAATATGATATGCAATAGTTATAACTTCTTTGTTTTCCCACAGATTATTTTAAATATCTGCTTTGAGTTTTGGTACCCTTTCTCCAGACCACGCCCTAGTGTGGCTGCAATAAAATGATAGAGGGACACAGGGGCTTAATAAACTAAACTGGACAGGCATTCCTAGAATCATCAGGGCCATCAGATTCAGTCAATCTCAATATATTAGGTTTAACATTCTAAAACTCACAGTAACCACTCCTTTTTAAAAAGCTGCTTTACGCAAGAGTACATATGGGCCCATAGAAAAGTGAAGATACGAGAGCAGAACTGTAAATCCTCCTCAAAACAAACCACTTCTTGATAAAAATAGATAAATGAAAAAGAAACACCTTGGGTACTATCCCACCATTAAAATTGACAGAATTGAGTTAGTCGTTGAATCCTTTGACCCTATTACAGGAAAGCCCTTTATTTATTTATTTATTTATTTTACTTTTTTCTTTTTCTTCTTTTTATTTTTCTAAGGAGAATGAAAATGCCAGACAGCAGTGTGTTGTTCCTGCCACAAAATATTATTAAAGCATAACTAGCAAACCAGAAAGCATCGCCCTGTAAATTTAATGCAGTGTCAGTTTTGATCTAGATGTTTTGCTCTCCAAAGAGATGCTTAATCTTCTAAACAAAATTGAACTGAATGATTTTCAAAAAAAAAAGTCGGTTATGGTGAAGTGTCAGTGCAGTTTACCAGCCAAGTTATCCACTAGTGACATTCCCATAGGTTAGTATATGAATCTGAAACTTTGGTCTAACTATGAAAATATTGATTGGGTGGTGCAATAATAAATGGTACCATACCATTTTACTTTCAAGAAAGTAGAATTAGAAAATTGGGTCCTACTACTGGAATTTAATGTTTGGAATATAGATAATTCTATCTTAATAAAAAAGATCAGAGTAATCAAGAGATCACACACATGAAACAGAAACCACCACAGAAACGTAAGGCCTTATTAAAAATAATCACTAGTAAGACAAAGATATTTACTGAACTTTGTGCTCTCCTAGAAGTCATGGTATTTATAAGTTTAATGAGTCCTATTTAGTAAATATTTTTAGAATTTACTCTAGCTTTTCAAGAACCAAATAAATACATGTAAGAAGTTAAAATAATTTAGGTTATATAGTGAAGTATAATTAATGAAAAACACAACTAGGTTTATGTCAAATTATAAATGCTAAAATATCACCAACTAGTTAAGGCACTTAATTAAATAATTAATGTAGGAAATGTGAATGATTTAGGCCTTTGGGGGTCAGTGTCATCCTGACAGGTATAACAATCATATTGGCTGAGTATTGTGGCTCATGCCTATAATCCCAACTCTTTTGGGAGGGAGGCTAAGGCAAGGGGATTGCTTGAGGCTAGGAATATGAGGCCAACCTGGGCAACAAATGGAAACCCTGACTCTAAAAAATAAATTTAAAAAACAGAATCATAGTTATTTTTATTTTACTATAACTTAAGAGTTGTGAATTTATATTTGTCATTTATTCAGCATTTCTTTTAACTTTTATAATAAGCCTAACAGTTTAGTATTATTGCTTCCACCTTGAACATGAGGAGATGGAAGTCCAGAGAGGACAGCAACTGGCCAAGGTCACTTTACTACACCTGGAAGAGAGAGGGTCCAAATGCTGGCCCTCTCGCTATTTTACCTTGTTAACTCCTAGCAATTAAAACTTAAAATATGCAAATAAGTAATAGCTGCGTTGCAGCAAGTTCTTCTCCTTTTGACTTTGTTGCCCAGATCCAAAAGTCTCCCACCCTTCATGAGGTACCCATTTTTTAAGATCCAAATAAATGGACTGTTTTTCCACCCTCTGTGAGGTCCTGTGCCCTCTACATGCCACCTTTACTGGGGGCTAATAAGCTCTTCCGGTTATCACCTGTTTCATTTTCTGCTTATGCCACATTCTTGTTCCTACTCCATGTTTTACCTCCTAGAACAAGACACTCTCTGATGTATATCAACCCCAAGATGGGCCATAAACTTTTGCCACCCTCACATGGCACTATAAAGCCAAAGTGACTTTTGTTAATTGGAAGATTGATAGAATGGGGTCCAACATAATGCAGAATTGGAAATAACTTAATATTGAAAGTAGTTATCATGGTTCCAAGTATTTTCTTTTCGTTTCCTAAAAAGGGAATTTCTTATTGATTGTATCCTTCCTTAGGATCCAACTGACTACCATATTTATATATTCACCTAGAGGAGGCCTCTCTTTTTATATCGTTTCTCCCTTACTATTTTCAGGGTCATTAAACCTTATCTCTCTCAAAAAAAAAAAAAAAAAAGCAGTGAACGACTCTATAAATCCTCTTACTTCATTATACCTTTCCTTTTCTCCACTCTCTCCCAACTGGACTATACCAGGAGTCTCACTTGAATAACCAAAATGAATTTTTAAGGAATCAGGGAATTTTCCTAAAGAATTATTTTTTTTCTGGAGATGGCATTCTGCTCCTCCCCTAGAAGGCAAAAGAAAGTGGCTGCCATTTGTTTTGTTTTGATAGCAAACTTTCCTTCTTGTTACATTTGTGTTTTTAATACTATCTATTTGCACACAGTGGTTATAAAAGATTCCAGAATTTTAAAAAAATGAGGTCTAAAATTCTTGGCTTTCCAAAATTGGAGAAAAACAAAATACCTCGAAGATTCTTACATTCCTCTGAAAGCAGACCAAAGTCCGACTAAATGTAGCTGGCTGTGAGCTGTTCTTTACCCAGCAGACTTCCTTAATATGTATGTATTTTAATTCCATTACATGACATTATCCAGTCTTCAAGATGAAATATTAAGATGTTTATGGAAGAGTTTTCTGCCACTTACACACAGGAAGAAAAGCTTCAGGCGACGGCTGTTCTTTCTGTCCCCTCAAGTTTATACATTACAGACCTTATTTGTATGCACCAAAACTAAACATCTTGCCAGGGGATACAGATCCCTGTGTGCCCTGCTAAAGAGGTGGCATGTGATGCTTGAAATGTTTGAGATGACAAATAGCCCAGCAGGCCTGGCCTCTTCCTCTCCTGCCCTGGGCTGCTGGCAATCTATTTCAAATTGTGTGTGCATTGTAGGGTGAAGCCTGTACCAAGAAGTGCCAGCCTCACCCCAAGCAGTGTCCTATTGAATATGGGATTAAGTGAAAGTCTCTGGACTAGCCAGAGAACAAAAGAGCGTATCATCACCAGAGGCAGGAGCAGCTCACCAGAAGGAACCTGTATACTCCACATTTCTTTCAAATGTTTATGTTGTCATATGGAATTCTGTCAAATGTTTTTAAATGGAAAAATGCACCCACCATGATTCTTTAAATGAATAGTTCCGCCATCCATGAGGGCATCATCTGAATGCCTAGAACAAAATCTGGAGTTCGAACTGTCTTGAGTTGAAGCTAGCCTTGCCATTTTTGCTTATAGCTCAAATAGTACTTTCCAGTGCAAAAATGTCACTGCTCTGATGCGTGCGGAACAGAGTGCTCTGCTTGTATTAATCATGGTGCCGTCTGCATGGGTGGATATTGTTGGAAGCCAGAGACAGCAACCTGGGCCCCATCATGCTGGCTCCAGGAAAATGTTGGCAGAGCCCACAAGCTGATTTTTTTTTTTTCGCTGTAAGGCTTAGGTATTACAAATGTGTGATCTGAATTTTGTAACATTTTTCTTCACCTTTTGAAATTACTCTTTTCTCTATCTATTATCACTTGCCCAGGGTTTCCAATGAGCTTGTTAAGAACTAAGATCAGCCAGCCTATTCATACTCAGGCCTGATTTTTCTTTACCCATAATATCTAGCAGTGTCACAACAGAGCTTAAAAAAAAAGTCTCTGTATATAGCCCATAGGTATTCAGGATTCTGGAGGATACCTGTTAGATGTCCCTGGAAATATAATTGGATTGTGCACATTTGGGATTGGCTTCTCCTCCTTCCAGAGCCACCCCATTAAGATGGAACACAATACTACAAAATTTACAGCCCTCGTGGCCTCCCACCTTCACCACCCCCACCACCCTCACCCAGATTTGAATACAACTGGCTCAACTGAAGGATAAAACTTCAATTAAAAAAAACCACACATGTAATATGCAAATAATCTCATAACTTTTTTGAAAAAAAATCTATAGCAAATAGTGAATTGAGGAGTTTAAAATCAAACTGACAGATTGGGGCTATGTAAGCAGCCAGTTCAGATAATTTTATGGAAGGAAAAACTTACATATTTTGCACAACAAAGGAAAAAGAATAGAAATGACCCATTTCCACAAGACTTCAGAGAACATTTTATACACATGACAGTGGATTGTCTGTATCCTATAAAATAATGCTAGGAGGAAAGGCTAACTCCATCCCACTTTATTTACTTCACACCAGTATAGGATTTTTAAAAAGAATTTCTTCAATTTTTAAAATGTACAATAAATTTGATGATGATCATTTATAAAGATACTTGTATTTAATTTATTTGTATTTTATCTCCTTAGGATAAGCTTTGCTAGGTGTGTTTGAGATAGGAAACTGGAGACTGTATAAATCAAAAGGATAGTTTAAATCAATTTGTGTCTCTCAGTTTTGTACATAAATTAGACCAGTATCACAAATATATGAGGGAGCATATGTGGTAAACAGTGTGATTTGTGAAAGCCCTGGATTCTAATCCAGAATCTAATGTTTACTGGGTAATCTTGGGCAAGTTTACCTCTCTGAGTCTCTATTTCTTATTTACAAGCTATGGACAAAATATTTCCCCCTTCTTTCCCCTGGGACTGAGCTGAGAATCCAGTGAGACAATGCATGTGTGCTAGTCATCTCTGTGCCTTCTCCCAGGAACTACCCTTGGTGTTTTGTCATGACACACCTGCCCCTGTAATTGCTGGGCCTGAGGCAAGAGACCTACCAGGTGAGGTGTCAGAGCCCTGGCAGCAAAGAGTGGTTGGCTCCCGGCAGTAAAAAGAATTGACTCATCATTACTGGCCATCAGAGAAATGCAAATCAAAACCACAATGAGATAGCAACTCACACCAGTTAGAATGGCGATCATTAAAAAGTCAGGAAACAACAGGTGTTGGAGAGGATGTGGAGAAATAGGAACACTTTTACACTGTTGGTGGGACTGTAAACTAGTTCAACCATTGTGGAAGACAGTGTGGCGATTCCTCAAGGATCTAGAACTAGAAATACCATTTGACCCAGCCATCCCATTACTGGGTATATACCCAAAGGATTATAAATCATGCTGCTATAAAGACACATGCATACGTGTGTTTATTGCAGCACTATTCACAATAGGAAAGACTTGGAACCAACCCAAATGTCCAACAATGATAGACTGGATAAGAAAATGTGGCACATATACACCATGGAATACTATGCAGCCAGAAAAAAGGATGAGTTCATGTCCTTTGTGGGGACATGGATGAAGCTGGAAACCATCATTCTCAGCAAACTATCGCAAGGAGAGAAAACCAAACACCACGTGTTCTCACTCATAGGTGGGAATTGAACAATGAGAACACTTGGACAAAGGAAGGGGAACATCACACACCAGTGCCTGTCATGGGGTGGGGGGAGGTGGGAGGGATAGCATTAGGAGATATACCTAATGTAAATGACAAGTTAATGGGTGCAGCACACCAACATGGCACATGTATACACATGTAACAAACCTGCACATTGTGCATATGTACCCTAGAACTTAAAGTATAATAATAAAAAAAAAGAATTGACCAAACAACAGTATAAGTTTGAAGAGGAATGTTTTATTAGATAGGAGGAACGCTGCAGCAGAGTGCAGCTTCAGTAAGAGAGGACTGAGTGTGCCCAGTTGGATCTTCCGTAGGGGTATTTGTGGACTTAACGCAGGAGCTGAAGGGTGATTTGGACCATATTAGTCACATTGGTCATGAGAAATGATTAACATTTGTGGATGTTTTGGTGCCTTTATGTCGGCAAAGGTTGTACAATGGGTTTCGACATGCTTGCATTCCAGAAATGTATAGAAATTCTAGAAGTCTAATTACTTCTGAATTCCTCAGATAAGGAGTTTTGCCTCTAGATGACCTGCTTGATGGCCACCAGGTGATCTTTGCTCTCATCGAGAACAAGTGTAGGTCCCCTTTTCTTTCTGCCTTCATCACAGTCCCTCCAGCATTGCAAGGGGCCTCATGCACGTGCACTGGGGCCATTGATACACACATCAAAGCCCCAGGAATCCTTTGAACACTCCTCGGGCCTTGGAGCCTACACACCAATGATGCAATCTGGTCCCCTCCTCCAGAGATCTGATCTGGGCAGAGTTAGGTCAGAGAATTCTGGCATCCCAGGTACTCAGTGCATGGTCTAGGAAAGGTGTGGATGCCATATACAGACACCTGGGCCCTCCTCACCTTCTGTGAAAGTGATGTGTGTGAAAGAGAGCAAGAGAAGATCCTCTAAAGTACAGTGCCTGGCTGGGGAAGAGTCTCACGCCTACAATTTTTGGAACTGTCTTAAAGGCAATGCTCTTTCCTTTAGATTTTATTCCTAGTGTATTTAGCATTGAATATTATTTTTGTAGTTGGCTTGTGTATGCTTTCAGCTACAAGTAACCAAAAACTTGAACTTATACCCAAAAAGGTTAAATAACACATAACAAGAAAACCTGATGCAGGGTGGTCCCGTGGTGCATTAATTCAGAGGCTTGGTGACTTCATCCTTGGGGTGTGTTCCCCTCAGTCATTCTTGAAGTGAGTTGATTTTGTCCTCAGATAAGGAGTTTTGCCTCCAGATGATCTGCTTGTGGCCACCAGGTGATCTTTACTCTCCTCAAGAACCAGTGTAGGTCAAGAACCAGTCATCATGCCCAGATGTGACAACATGCACTGAAAGAAAAGGAGATGGTTTCTCCCATGCGTGTCTTTTTATTGGCAAGAAAAATCTTTTAATGAAGTTCTTCAACAGAATTCATCTCACCTATAGCTGGATGTGATGGCACATGCCTGTAATCCCAGCTACTTGGGAGGCTGAGGCAGGAAGATTGCTTGAGCCCAGGAATTTGAGTTTAGCCTGCTCAACATAGTGAGACCTCATCTCTAAATAAATAAATGTACATGTCATTAGCCAGAAATGTCAAATGACCACCTAAACTAAGGGAGATGGGGACCACGATGATTAGTTTACATGTTTTATGCATGTCATGTGAGAAGAGGGTTGGGTACCAGAGTAGAAAAAGAGGAGAATGGACTGTGGACAGGCACTCAGTTGTGTTTTTCACAGTAAATAAAGCTAGAAAGTTACTGCCCTTCCCTGACAATGCCAAATTCTTAGTCTTGTGCAAATCTTAGCTCTCAGTGACTGCATCTAGTTGGGACCCTCTTTTCAACATTCCCACTCTCCTTCCTGGAGCTCACCCGCACCCACTCCCTGGAGTACCCTACTTCCCGCCCTTCTGGTGAGCTGCACTGTGCCAGTGCCTGGCTTGCTTTTTCTGAAGTCAGCAATTCACACTGAACACTAATAAAAGATTTTTCCAGAAAATAGCTTGTTGCCTTAGGCATTCAGACAATATTTCTCTTCACTCCTGGAGTGTCTCTTCCTCCATGTCTCTATTATTAGGTACAGGCCCACTTCCAGCCCCCACTTGAAGGCCCTAGCAGTTGCACCAGTCCACAGCCTCTTCTCTAGGGCCCCTCCCTGAACCTTGACTGTGAATTTCTTGTTTACTTTTTACAATAGCGTTGCAGACATTAAGTACCTATCTTTCTGTCTCTCACATAATAGACACTCAACAAGATGTGCTCTGGTTGTTTTCTCCTAAGTGCCCAAGTGGTGGGGAGCCTCTTCTACACCTAAAATGAACTAGACAATTAACAATTTTCCTAGTAAACTCCATTCAACCAAGTTTATGGGGGATAGTCTTTACAAGCTTACAAAGTAGCCTGTAAAGGCCTGAAAGCAATTAATCAATATCCACTGATCTAAACATACTTTTCATGTTTTCTTCCTTCTATCCATGAAATATCGGCTTCCCTGAATGTCTGAGGCCCAAACCTTTGACGTGGGTCAATGTGAAGGAAAAGATGAGTGTGAAGAGGATATTTTCAAGATAAAAAAGGAAAAACTTGGGGCTAGCGGGATTAAAACCTGTACTGACATCTCAAAGAAGAAAATAAAGCTCACCTCTGGCCTCCACCAGTTTTCTCCACAAGCTAATGAGATGATGATTAAGAGTGTGGGGAAAAAGAGCAATGAAATGTCCTTGTTTCCCCCAGATGAAAATCTAGGCAGGATTGTGTGTTCATTAGCCACATAAATTGCTATTTAAAGTGAACAAACTCAGACTTCACAAGCATAGATTCTGTTTGGACTCATATCATTACCTTTCCTAATGAAATGCTTCCCGTTGTTGCCTTCATACAGAAAATTAACTCTAAATAATATTAAAACTCTTAATTCAATATAGATTCCACTAATTGATCCTTTAGAAGTAAATCTACCCAGGGAAAATAAGACTATTTTAAATTATTTACCATAAATTGTGTTGAATCTTTTGAGTGTTTCAGTTCAGAGGATTTCTACATAATTCTAACAATATATGGTAAAGTTTTCGAAGCCTAGATACATATTTTAATGTCATTGTTTCAAATGGGTACCCCAATTGATGGTTTACAAGTTCTGATGTGCTGGACCACTGGCAAGTCTCCACTTTACTTTTACTCCACTTTACAGGGTAAAATTGTAAAACTCTAATAAAACAAAATATGTAGTAATCTATAGAAATTGTGCTTTAACTGCACTCCTAATAACAGGCTTTATTCTTTTTTCATGAAAAGGAATAATTTTAGATGCTAAAATGCTGAATAATAGAACATATTTATAGGTATATTGAACAAACCCTCTTAGGAAAGAAGGAATCTAGGTGAGCCCTGCTTCAAAGGAAAAAAAATATCAATATATATTGATATGTATGTCAATAAATATTCTCATTATGAAAAAAAGAAAAGCGTTGTTTTGACTATTCCTGTGTAACCAAGTATGACAAAACCTAATGATATAAAAATGATATTTTGCTTGCAGTTTTGTGGCTTAGGGATTTGGGAAAAGTCTGGCAGGGCAGTTTGTCTCAAATCCACATGGCGTTTGCTGAGGTGACTAGAGCTGGAAAATCTCCTTCTAAAATGGTTTCTTGACCCACGTATCTGGTCCCTGGGTTGGGATGGCTGGAACACCTGGGAGCTGGTCACATACTGTTCAGGCAGCTCTCTTTCCATGTGGCCTCCATGTGTGGTTAGCTAGAGCTTCCTTACAGCATGGTGGTCTTAGGGTTGTCTGATTTCTTACATGGTGTCTGGAGCACGTTTTTAAAGATGGAAAGTAGAAGCTGCCTGATGCTCAAGGCCTAAGCTTAGGGATTGGAAAAACATCATTTCTGCTGTATCCGACTGGGTAAGCAAGTTACTAGGCCTGCAGAGATTCGAGGGGAAGGGAATTAAACTCTAACTCTTAATGTGTTATCATTTTTTTCTAGCACAGGAGTGAATAAACATTATGAAAAGATTTGTCATTTTACAAAATAATTCATTCCAGTTTTTCTCAATATAATAAACACACCAAAGACACTTAGAATATTATATTATTTAAAAGTGACTACTCACACCTAACTTACTAGAAACACGTTCAATGCTCAGAGGAAAGTACAAATGCTCACATCCCTCCTTTAGTCAGTAGCTGCAGCTTACGCAATTAAGACTAGCATTCCTATTTTGCAAAGCTATTTAAAACCTGGCAATAATTAGGTATTTACTATTGCCAGTCTGACTTCAACCTCTAAAGGTCTTCCAAAAATCTTCTCTGCCAAGAAATGACTGCCTCAGAATGAGATCCTGAATATCAAAAGGTTTACTCTAAGATTTAATTCAGCCAGACCAATGTTGGGAATCTGAAAGGGGCTGTTGTTTGTCACATTAATTACGTGCTTGTCGGGTAGATCTCAGTGGGAAGAAATTTTGTACTTGGGAATTTCCAAGACAACCTAAAACTGTTGTTTCTCATACTGATTTTACTATTTCTTTACAGAGAGGTCAGCCGCCTGCAAATCTTTGAGCATTCAGTCCTTCTCAAGCTTTCTCCACGCTATGCCGGATGGCAGACCCCAGGGCTGGGGAGTGCAGATGGAGAGTCAGCCCTGCCAAGGCAGATGGCCGACCTCAGAAGCCCAGATCTATCTGTATCGATATGTTTCTGAAGGGCCAGTTTTTGTATCTCAGTACACACTGTCTGGAGCTCACAGTACTCGCTGTGCTCATAATGGCTCTCTTTGCCTAAGCGTCCTAGCAACATATCAACTAAGCAAATAGAAACAGACAGGAGCAAGTGGAGTTTATCTAAACCTGCAGGAGGGCAGAGAGGATTCACAGCCATATAGAGGCTATCCTCAATGTCTGCGGAGGCTGGTGTTTAATCAGCAGCATGAATCCAGCCATAAATTATAAAATAAACTCCTCATTCTTTTATACCATTGACCACACAGAAGCTATGCAGTTTCTACAGTTTTATGTAGACTTCTACAGACCAGTTGGTTTTCAAATTGGCCCAGTTAAACTTCTCTGTTCCTCCTCTTACAATGTAGTACATAAAATCCTTTCACATCCCTGTTTGCATAATTTCTTTTGGAATTATTGAAAGATAGCATTTACCTATCTAAATGAATAGACCATTGAATCTTGCAAGAGCCAAGTTACTTGTTCAAGATTCTACTACCAATTGTGGAAGAGAACAAGTTCTGGCAGGGAGGTCTCTGATTTCTAGAGCAGCTCTCCCTTTCTCTTCAGACCACATTAGACTATTGGCAGTCCACAGTTGGTGGCCACTCCAAAATGTGAATAGGAATTTAAGCCATAAAGCCTGCATCCTAAAATCATATGATCTTAGCTCATAACTGGGGAGAATTTTGACATGTAAATTTGGTTTTCATCAAACTAATTTGTATTTGAAAAGAGTTAGGACATGAGGATGAGAGAAAGGGAATCCACTAAAATGGGAAGCCCCTTTTTCCTTGGAAACAAAAAGAAGGGAAGAGAGGGAGGTGATGTAAACATATCAGAAAACTCCCAAAGTCTCAACTTTATAATATTCATAATGGAAGTCATCGACCTTAAGGATATAAAGAATTATTATATGCTATTAAGGACAACCTGATACAGAATACTTATAAAGAGGAGCACCTAGCAATGTACTATTTGCTATGTCCCAGGCACCAAGGTGAGAGCATTATAAATATTGTTGTGTTATGCACTCAAAACATGTAGAGATTATTATTAAACACATCATTTTATTTAATCTTCACAGTGACCCTGTGAAGTAGGTACTTGTATTACTCCCATTTCCAGAAAAAAACAATTCACCTTAGATTAAAATGAGGTGCCCACAGCCCACAGTGATCAAGTGGTAGAGCTACAACTCAAAGTTTTCACCACTCTACAAAATTGTCCTTAATCACCACAGCTAAAAAGCACAGAAAAGGTAAAAATCTCTGGATTCATATTCCAGTTCTGACATTCACTAACTGGAACCTTGTGCATGTGAAAAAAGATTCTGAGCCTGCCTTCACCATCAGAAAATGAAAGTCATTTACTGGGAAAATTAAATGAAATATTTAAGTGTCAATAGAATGCCCAACTCATAGTAGGTACTAAATAAATACTTACCTGATAAAAAGAAAATTGCAAGATCTTTCAAGTATCTTACTCCTGAAACATTGTGGTTAGATAATTATAAGTTAAAAAAATTGTTTCATTCAAACAAATAATTTGATAAACAATAATTGACTAATAAAAAGCTAGTCTGCAGAAAATTTTTTTAAATAATTTATTCCTGCAACTTTTAAAACCTAGAGACTGATTATATATGGCTTATGGATATGCCAAACGTATCTTGTGTATACACACACACACACACACACACACACGAAAGAGAGAAGAGGTGAGAAGAAAAAGCACATGTAATGAGAAGGTACTCAAGACCTCATTCCCAGATTACATGGCTCACAAGCATCCCTGGGTAGGATGAGAAGTTAGTCCATCGAACTCCAAATCCGTGTTCCTTTTGTTATATCATGCTATTTCCTGTAGGAAGAAATTGACTAAGAAAATCTTGCATTGAGGTGGATTTTATGTATCCATATTCTCTCATGACAACCAATAAGCAGGAATTTTTGGTGTACTAGCACCCAAGACAGCACTAATTTTGAAATTATTTTAATATATTGATAAAGGCATTTTTTTACTATTATTGTCCAATTCCACATCCCACTTTTCTAAAAAATCTTGCATTAAAATAGCTAAACATGGCAATAGTGGTGACCTGGGTTTTAGGTCTGGCCCTGCAAATCAACTAGCACTATAACCTAGTTACCCTGTCTGTAAAGGAAGCATTTGAAGCATTTCAAGCTCCTTCCTCTCTTAAATCCCTATGAAATGAACAGAACCAAAACCCTACCACCTTCCACTTTTTCTAGTTAACTCGGAAGTATAGAAGCACTACAGATTCTCATTATCCAAAAATATTGCGAGTTTTTTTTCCTTTAAAATCTAGGTGAAACAAAAACGATATTAAAAAATTCATGGCAGTTAGCATTATATTATCTGGTGGTTATGCTCTTCCTCCCTTTTTTAATAAGTAGCATGTGCACAGTAATTTTCATTGTCATGATTCTATGCCTTCTTCATAGTGCATTTTGCCAAAGAAACATCAGACATAAATGAACATTCTCAGGTATCCTAGCAACAGGATGTGATTAATAATACCTCTCAGAGCAAGGCAGATAAAATGCCTGAAAGTGAACGCAAACTCAGAATTGGCTACTGAGAAATTGGTAGTGCGGTGAGGCAAGTTTCATAAGATACCACAACAGACTTTATTATAAAAAGATGGAAGCAAGTAGAAGAGAGAACATATTTTAGAGAGGAGACTATAGTTGAGCATGAAAATATAGTATATATGTGTGTGTGTACATATATATATACCTACATATATATAGTGTACATATAAATGTGTATAAACATACATGTGTGTGCATGTGCACGCACACACACACACATATACAATTTCCTTCTCCTGAGAAGTGACATGAGATACTGAGTTATGATACAGATGCCCATACTCATTATTGGTGAGACAGCATCAAATTGCCATTTATGTGCCTGTGGTTTTAAAAGATCAGAAACAATCACTGTGATTAAGAGACTACTTCCATACTGAAGTACTGAAATGTACTGTAAATTGACATATATGTAATATTTCTCCATGAAACAATATCCACAACCTCAAGTCTAAAATAGCTTTTAAAAATATTGAGACTCAGTTTACATAGATAAATAGTCATGAGATGCGGAACTTTAGTGTTCAATTAAATAAATTTTCTCATATAAGGAAAAAGTTTTATCTTACAAATTCAATTTTTATGAGGTTATGGTCCATTTTTATTCATCGCAAGTGGAGTGCTGCATCCAGGTTTAAGCAGAAATAAGATGCAAACCATATTTTAATGTTTTGTTTTTAAACTAGAATCTGTGATAAAATAAAGCACAACTAGGACAGAATGTGTGTTCATTATTCTGAAAGCCTTTCTATTATTTTATCACCCACTTTTCTAATATAATAGTTTTCTTGGTTGTCAGTTGTAATATACATACCTGCTAAAAGCTCTATTCTTGGTTGTACTTTCACTGCATTTTAGCAGTACTAAAATTGACTTCATGTTCTCCAGCATTTCAGAGTGAGTTGGAGCATTTGTGTTTAAGGCACGGTGCTAGACATCAGGAGAGAGAACGATATGGGACTCTCGACTTGTCCTGAAGGAAGCCACCATCCAGTCAGGAAAACAAACACACAACTAATTGTGAACCAAAATAAGAATTAGTGCTATGGCAAAGGAGTAAATGAAAGGTTACAGAAGCACAGAAGAAGGGTGCTTCACTCTGCAGGGCATGGAGAGTTTGGGGAGCTGGCACAAAAGAAAAGACTTCACAGAGGACTGGCAGCTGAGCTGAGCTCTAAAAGCTGAATAGGGTTTTGATAGGCAGGAGCCGTGTGACAGGACATTCTAGGAAGCAGAAACAGCATGAATGGGGAACTGGGGTGAAGGTGTAATTCCTGGTGTAATGGCTAACTCCTCTCTGTGATGCTTGAGGAGTGACAGCAGAAGGAAAGTTATGGCCAAATTGTCCAAGGTCATAAATTTTATATTAAGAAATGTAGAGTTTGCTGTTTAGGAGTGATTGGATTACAATGACAGAAAAAACCAACAAACAAGTTAGGAGCCCATAGAAAATAGATAACCCCAGGAACAGATATAAAGTTCATGAACTAGGGTGATGGCAGTGAGAAAGGAGAAGATATGTCTCAAAGTCCTGATGGAGGGGAATGTATTGGACTGAGGGACAGATTAGATGGGAAGAAGGAGCAAAAGAAAGAAGACGGTGGTTCCTAGGTTTTATATTTGGGTGCCTGAGCAGACACCAAGGATGAGCAGTTTTGTAGGGGACTATAATTATTGCTTTTTTTTTTTTAATGAAATCTTCTCCTTCTCCTTCTCCTTCTCCTTCTCCTTCTCCTTCTCCTTCTCCTTCTCCTTCTCCTTCTCCTTCTTCTTCTTCTTCTTCTTCTTCTTCTTCTTCTTCTTCTTCCTCTTCCTCCTCTTCTTGTTCTTTCTTCTTCTTCTTCTTCTTCTTCTTCTTCTTCTTCTTCTTCTTCTTCTTCTTCTTCTTCTTCTTCCTCTTCTTCCTCCTCCTCTTCTTCTTCTTCTTTTCTTCTTCTTCTTTACTTTAAGTTCTGGGATACATGTGCTGAACATGCAGGTTTGTTACATAGGAATACCTGTGCCATGATGGTTTGCTGCACCTATCAACCTGTCATCTAGGTTTTAAGCCCTGCATGCACTAGGTATTTGTCATAATGCTCTCCCTTCCCTTTCCCCTCACCCCCAACAGGGTCCAGTGTGTGATGTTCCCCTCCCTGTGTCCTTGTGTTCTCATTGTTCAACTCCCACTGGTGAGTAAGAATATGAGGTGTATGGTTTTCTGTTCCTGTGTTAGTTCGCTGAGGACGATGGTTTCTAGCTTCATCCATGTCCCTGCAAAGGACATGAACTCATTCTTTTTTATGGCTGCATAGTATTCCATGGTGTATATGTGCCACATTAAGCTCATCATCACTGGTCATTAGAGAAACTGGGACTATAATTATTTAAGTTAAAAACATGTGTTGAAGTGCAGTGGAGGACACAAGTAGAGATTTCCAAGAGGCTTTAAAACCTAAGTAGATTTTGGAGCTAGAGATGTAGTGTCACAGTTGTCTCTTTGGGGGAAAGTGAACATTGAGAGAATGAGAGATAAGATCACCTATTCAGACTGAGATAAAGATACTAAAGAAGGAAGCCTAGAGGGTCGTCTCCATCTAAACAGTTCAATCTCTGTGTCCATGGATCAATATAGTACTGTCCTACCATGTAATTTTTATTTTTCTAATTTGATGTTTTGTGTGTATGTGTGTGCATGTATAAATATATATACACACATATATACATATATATACACACATATATACATATATACACACATATATATACATATATATACACATATATATATACACACACACCTATATATACACACATACATATATATAACTAAGAAATCTAAGTAGATTCCTGTAACAGGACTAATTCATGATAAAACTAATAGGTGGAATTTATATAGCACTCTACAATTTACAAAGCCCTTTCATATAACATAGGGGCTGAGAATTGTTCGAGGTCTTCATAAAAAAAATTATTTGAGGTATTCATAAAAAAAAGTTGCACCTTTCAGCCTCCCTTCTGAAACATGAGATGCCAATATTTCATGTGAATTTTGTCCATTTCTTGCTAGCTTTACCATATGGAATTGTTTCATCCTCATAGCATTCCAGAGAAGCAGACCCTGATCCCCACTTTAAAAATAAGAAAATCAGGGAGACTGATTGATATGCCTGCAATTAGCATTACTGTAGGTATAGTATATTAAATGATAAATTATTACAGACTTTTGAAACATATATTTAACACTTATCTCAGGATTTAGCAGCTAAAAACAACAATAAACTTATCAGCTCACATGGTTTCTGTAGGGGACTCTGGAATAGCCAACTGGATGGTTCTGGTTTTGGCTTTCTCAAAATTACAGTCAACATGTTGCCCAGAGCTGCTGTCAGCTGAAGGCTTGACTGGGGCTGGTAAATGGATTGCTCATGTGCCTAGCAAGTTGGTGGGGGCTGCTGGCAGGCCTTTGTTCCTCATTGGCAGTTGACAGGAGGCCTCAGTTCCATGCCACATGGACCTCTCCATAGGCCTGCTTGAGTGTCCTCACAACATATTATCCGGCATCCCCCAGAGGGAGTGATCCAAAAGAAAGGAATATTGAAGCCATAGTTTTTTGTCTTTGTTTTTTGAGATGGGGTCCTGCTTTGTTGTTCAGGCTAGAGTGCTGTGGTGCAGTCATAGTTCATGGTAACCTCAAACTCCTTGGTTTAAGTGATCCTCCTGCCTCAGCCTCCCAACTAATTAGGGAGGTGACAGATGTGTGCCACCATGCCTGGCTAATCTTTAAAAAAACAATTTAGAGATGGTGGTCTCATTTTGTTGCACAGGCTGGTCTGAAACTGCTGGCCTCAAGTGATCCTCCTGCCTCAGCCTCCCAAAGCATAGGGATTACAAGCATGAGCCACCACACCCAAACTGGAAGCCACAATTTTCTTAAGGATCAACCTCAAAATCACACTATATTATTCCCACAAAATCCTTGATTACACAGTCAATCTAATTCAGTGGGATTACACAGGACGTGAATATCAAAAGAAGAGAAGATGGGAATCATTTGGGATACCTTGATCACTACACCATATTATTTATCTCAAATACATACACTTCCAACTTTCAGAATTAGTGACTTATTCTAATATAGGTTAAAGACACTCCAAAAAGTTGTTTTTGTTTACATATTTTACAATTCAAGCCTTGAATACCATTTTTTAAAATTTATGAAAATGTCCGAGGCCTCTAGTATTCATAAGTGAATAATCCAACAGTAAGCAGTGGCTTGCCCAGTGGAAAACTTAAATGAGAAGGTACCCTGTCACACTTCATAATGAATGAGGCCTTTAAATGGATTATTCATGCTATTTATCTGTTGGAATCATTGAAATAAATTGCATCAAACAAGTCCTCTGGAAATCACCCAAATGAATATAACATGCCATTAATCAAGGTGCCAGTTAAATGAATTCTACACTTTTGGCAGCGACATAAGGGAAGATTGTACATTTTCCACCTTATATGTTAGGATTTTAAAAGACTCGAAGGGCTGTTAGAAAAGCTTGGATAAAGTTTACATGTAGCTTCAACGTGTGGCCTAACTTCTCAGTAACTAGCTCCAGCTGTGGAATGTTGATAGATGACAAAAAAAAGTGACAGCTGGAAGGATGGTCTTCACTTATCCCAAACCACGGTCCTCACCTCCACCGTGGTGTTCATACACACCATTGCCCAGGTACACAGTTTCTTACCTAAGTCTATAAGCATGCTTAGGATTTCCATAACTTAGCAAAAACCTTTAGTTGGCTTCTAGTCAAGCTATTACCCCATTTCACTTATTCAACTCATTTGGAGGCTGCCAAAGTTGATAAACAAGAAGCCATGTCCTCAGCTCCACTTTCTCATCACACACTTACTTCCCAAACCCTCGCAGTCTCTCTTGTGTTCTCTGCCCACTCTCTGCTAAAACTACTCTCTCACAATCTAGCAACAATCATGTGAACTCAGCAAGCAGTAGCAACATGCTGTTGAAAACCCCCATACTTCTAAAACTTGATTTGTGGTACCGGAGCCTGCACTTTGTTGAGGTCCCCAGATCTCAGCTGCTTCTGACTTCCCGTGGGCCTACATCACAAAACAAAAGCAGCAGTCATGTTATCTTAGTTATTGTCCTCCACCCACTCCTCTGTGCTGTCTGCCTTTATGCCCCATTCACTCCTTCAGCTTCAGCCATCTTATGATGAACATTTCTTGCATCTGTAATTTCAACTCAGATTTTTTTGAATTTATTGAGACTTGCTTTATGACTGAGCACGTGGTCAGTCTTAGAGAATGTTCTGTGCACAGATGAGAAGAATGTGCATTCTGTGGTTGCTGGATGGACTATTCAGTAGATGTCTGTTAGGTCCATTTGGTCAAAAGTTCATTTAAGTCCACAGTTGCTTGGTTAGTTTTCTGCCTCGATGATTTGTCTGATGCTGTCAGTGCCTGTTGAAGTCCCCCACCATTATTGTATGGCTATATCTCTTTTCTTAGATCTAGTAGTATTTGTTTTATAAGCCTGGATGCTCCAATGTCAGATGCGTATATATTAGGATAGTTAAATTTTCTGACCTCTTACAAGCTCCTTGTCCCCATAGTACTTCAAAGTCAGTAGGTCTAACACTGAACTTGTTATTCCCAGCCTCATCACATTCTATAATACCATTTCCCCAACTTGCATCTCTATACCCAAAGTCACCTAGCTAACCACTCATCTTGACTTCTTCTCCTTCCTGGCAACTCACATTTTATAAATCACTGGGCCCTATTATTTCGGCCTCCCCCCGGTCTCTTGCATCCACTACTTCCCTCCTCTCCACTCCCACTGCCATGACTCAGTCCACCCTTTCATTGCCTTGTGTCTAACCTCTAGGATAGTCCTCCTCCTATGCACTGCTGTAAGTGTGCAAGTTCTTCTTGCGCAAATACCCTGTCCATTTAGCCCATACTGTTTCCTTTGCCAAGAGTCAGTCATTTCTCTATTTCAAATTTCTCAAATCCCATTTGTATCTCAAGGTCAAAATCAAATACCACTTTCTCCATAACTTCATGAGCACCCCCTCCTTTCTTAAAATAACTGTTTCATCATCTCATATCTTTAAACATTCTACACTATTTGAGGCACATCTCACTTCATATTATATTGTCTGTCCTTTCTATTTTTTCAAGTGGGTTGTAAGAGGGCATAGTCTTATTTAGCTGTTTTCCCCATAATGGTTTCTATGGGGATTTGCCCTTTGTAAGTTTATTGTTGAGTAAACGACTCTGGCTAACAAGATTTTAAAAATCCAACAGCACATTTAATGCATAGTTATTTATTTTTTACTTTCATAAATTGGTTTGTAAGCAGTTCTTATGCCTGTCAGCTGAGCCCAGTCATCTCTAGGAGCACACTGGACATGGCTGAAGTAGAGGTTGTGTTTGGAAATTGCTGTAAACTGGGCTTTCATCTTATTTTCATCATATTCTCATGACTCCATGCTGTAACTTATCTTCCACTTCTCATTTCAGGGAGAGTGGAGAAGAGAAGAGAACAAAAAGTAACTTCAGGTAAGATTTTGTCCAATGGGCTCCAGCTTTATTTCCTGATTTTATTTCCACCTTTAAATTTTTTAAAATTTATTATTCAAAAATTCACACTAAAATTAATAGTTTATGGTTTTTGAACTGATCGATATTAATTTAATTAAAATAAATTCATACATTTAGCTTTCTCACTTTCACATCAGTTATGCCCTTTTCATCCAATCATTACATTCAAAAGAAAATGAGATGGGAATGTTGCTTAATTTTTTCATGATTATCTATTTAAAGGTAAGTCTTGCAACCAACAGTATTAAAATACAGACATTGTGATGTGATAGTTGACAACCAGTTTACTTTCCCAAATGACTATGAATCTCAATTTTATTTCTTAAAACCGTATATGTAGTGGATGCTTTTCAGGACAGTGTTAACTGAGAAGCATCTTTATATTTTGGAGGAATTTTAAGAATGCCTTCACTTCTAAATTCATATGGATTCAGAAGTGAATCATGCTTTGGCAGAATGCCATTGCACATAGTAGGGGTCAGTATTTGCTAACTAATACAAAATTAAGTTTTTACATTTTCATATTTCCATGACTTGCCTTTTAGCTTAAAGTTGTGAGGTAAGATAGATTTTCATTTACCAAGTCGATCTTTGCATAGGAGCAGTGTTGCAGCTCACAGTGCCCAGAAATTGCCAACAATCATAGAGAACGCTAATTTGGCATGTGTACCTATGCCCGCCATCCTTCCCAAGTTTCTACCAACCCACTATTCCTGTGATAAGCAAGAGCTACCAATCACTCCCATCCACTAGCTTCTTTTAGCTTCATTTCCTGTCTGGTAATAAGATATTATGTGTGTTTCCAAAGAGTCAGCATAGTCAATAGAAGACAAAGATCCATCTTAATCTAAAAGTGTATAAACAGCATAAGCTTCTGTCTCTTTTGTCCTTTCCAATCTTAGCATTCATTTCAGATAAGTGGGCAACTTAATACCTGCATGAATTTCCTGTTAAATATTATTGTTTGCATTCTCTGGGAACCTTTTAAAGCCTGATCATGAACACACACACACACACACACACACACACACACAATTATGAAGGCAAGAAAGTGTCTGAGTCCCTCACAGGTATGATTACCTTCATTATTGCTCCTTGGGGGAGAAATTATTTCTAAATAATTTCTAAATTGCTTCTAAATGCTATTTCCATAATGCTGTATGTACTACCTTCTTAGTTAAAGAAAATGCACAGTTTGGAAGAAAGCTAAGTTGGCCAAAGTGTTAAGTCTGATGCCTCATTAGGTTCCCTCAATAGTCATGGCTTCTGAAATTATTTGTGATCAAGGTGACACCAAGGTTAGAGACAGAGGCAGGACAAGGACTCAGGCATCTCCACTCCCTACCCTTTCCTGCACCCCCACCATGCTAACGTTTCTTTTCAAAACAAAGTGCTAATCACTTTAATGCTTTGTTCAGTTACTTGCTTAATAAAACACTTTTCAACAAATGGAAAATCTTTAAGGCAACAGCATCTTTGATAGGGAACACAGGTCACCAGGGCTATGAGAAAAATCCCTTTACTAGTGGAATTTTTACTAATTTGCCCTATCTGATCTGTAGCTTGTCAATTGCCTGATTTCTATGAGAGGGTGAGGTTAAGGATAACTAATGGATAGAGCCCATATTCTAGGGGAATGTTAGGGGGCTCCTAATCATTTCAAATGACAACAAATCACGCCATCAGGAAATCTAAATTTGTAACAATAGTCTGAGTTTTCAAGATTGGAACATACTGTTTGCCACTATAGTCATAAATACTACAATCAGTCTGTGGTACTGGCCTGAATGTAGACTTCTTTAGATAAAGTGTGTGGCTAAGATACCAAAAACATCATGGGAACTCCTATTTCTGACTTCCTGCTTGGAATTTTTTACATCTTAGTTCATTTTCCTCAGGTTCTATGTCCTGCCTCCCCAGTTACTATATACCCTGCACCCTCTTGTTTACAGCTGAGTTTATCTCCTGGCTAAGAAAGACCAATATTAGGTTCTGGACCATTTCAATCTACCCTATCCTATTGCACTAAATGTATAATAATTGAAACAAAAAAATTAGAAAATATTTTAGACAGAATATTCCTATTAAAACTGGGACCTACCAAGACCCTCATTTTTTGGTTGGTTAAGGTTAATTCTTTGTTTAAAGAGTCTTGCACTAAGATGAAAGCTACACAGAAGTAACTTTTTATTCAGGGTAAGAAATAACTTCCTAACAAGGAAACGTCTCTAGCATTGGAAAGAATGAGATTATGTTTGTAAACATGTGCAGGGGGTTGGGCACCCCCTAAAAGAATGTTGACAAGAGATTCATAAAGAGTTTGGTTAAATCATTGCCAACGTTTTTTCTAATTTTGTGTCTATGATTCTATTGCCATTTTCACTTAATTGAAATGGCTCTACTATGTATAATGGTGGTCAACAAAACTTAAGTGGCTTTCATTTCATTATATAACTGAGTGAATCATGTTCCAAAGATTACACTAATTTAGTTTCGACTGAGTTTCTCAGTAAAGCGTCTAGCTGATGGTGCCAGGACTATGGAATAAAACTGTCCTGTAGTCTATTTAGTGACTTCTATTTAGAGTCCGTCTACACTGATTGCAGTCCGGGCTATTGATTCATGTGTGATGCTATTTTTCATAAGCCAGAAATAACTTCACAAGAGAGTATGTATCACTTGGTATCATTCATTGTCATTTTTGAAAACCCATTCAAATTATATCCTCCTTGACACTAAGCTTGAAAGTCTATGTCATAGTCATAGAATATGGTTAGAAACATCAAAACTAAATTTGGCGATTTGGCTTGGTAAAGAATATTATAAAATATATGGTGATATAATGATAAGTGGATACATATGAGGAGGCAAATACCTGATGTCATCAATTTTCTATTTTCCCTTGATTCTCTTTACCGGGAAAATTTTTAAAAAGATCAGCTATTTCATAGATTTTATGTAAAAACTTCATTGTTTGAAGTACCTTTATCTCATCAGAAGAAAGACCTCTTTGTGGGCCATGGAATTCTCGATATTAGAAAGCAACACAGCATAAAGTGCAAAGAGGAATTCTTGTGAAGAAAAGTGGATTATAAATTATTGTTTAGAAAAAGGTATGTTAGGATGCTTACTAACATAAACTAGGGGAACACCATCTGTTAAATCTATATTCCAACATTTCCAAAAAGAAGAACTCTTTCAAATTCAGTTAAGTATAATGGAAAGAATAGCCCTAGTGGACCAGAGAATGGAGAAATCAATTGCGTACTTTTCATTTATTACATTAGAGCATCCCTAAAGTTAGAAATGGTTTGTTCATTTACATCATTTGCAAAAAGCTACCCACAGAGAGGAACAATGGTTTTTTTTTTTTTTTCTCAACTCAAAAGGTGAAATTCATTATTGGAAATTTAGCAAATGTAGAACATCTGCTTTGCAAACTCAGTCCCTTGCGGCTTACTTTTTGACTGAGTGTGTTGATGCTTGGAAATGTTCTACAACAGCAATGGCACCTCCATTTTAAAACTTTTTAACACACGTTGAACATGCAGTCATTCAGGATAAAAAAAATAGTTAAGTAGATACTGAATAAAATCTTCCATCTGTGCATGAATAACATGTTCATTTTATTATATGTCACATTTATTGAATGCAAATAATATTTAGCACATTTAGCATGATTTTTCTCTAGGCTATTTCTATTTTTATAGTGTTTTTGACATAGTTCCTATACACTATCAAAAAAAAACTTAAAAATCAAGAGTGAGAAAGACCTATTTTGTCATAGTTTTAATTATTGGTGACCAACATTAAACATATGAAGTTAGCAGGTAGAAGACATTGTGACAAATACATTTAAGCAAACTATTATCCTTGAAAAGCCCATTATTTTGGACATTGGTATTTTGCAATATCTACATGTTTCATTCTCACTTTGAGAATCATTATTCCAGTTAGAATCAAGCTTAAAATGCTTATCATCCTAACTTGTTCGTAGCTTATAAAAGCTATTTTCTTGACAGCACTTCAGGCACCACAAAAGGGGCAGAGAAGGAATCTGAGGTATTTATAAGTTGGTACTTTCAATTTGATAAATATTTTAATGGTCCAGGACTTGTTCTTAACATCAGAGATGCAAAGGTGAATAAGATGTGGGATAAATACCCTTAATTCACTCACATTCAGTTCAGGGAGAAAAGCAAGTACACATGATTACAACATGGTGTGAAGAGTGCCTTTTAGAGAATGATGTACAAGGTATCATGAGGAATTTCAGGGAGGGCTTCCTGGAAGAGGCGAGACTTGAGTCAGTCCTTGAAGAAAGAATTGGAGTAGTTTACCAGGTTAAAATAAAGGGGGGGGAAGGGCTCGCTGTCCAAAGGAGTGTGTTTATGCAAACTAAACAAATCTGAAACACCTAATAGTTAATGAAAGAGACATTGCCAGAGAGATGAAGGTAGTGGGAAAAGGCATGGCCTATTGAGGGAAAGCTTAGTGATTTAATAAGCCTGGAACAGAGTCATAAACAAGAGGTGGGAGATGTGGCCAAAATGTAGGCACACACTAGAATCAACAAGGACCATCTATGCCGTTCCATGGAGTTTGGACTTCATGCAGTAAGTGCTGAAAGCTAATGAAGTACAAGGAATTACAGAATCCATCTGCATTTTCTAAAAATCTCTCCAGGAGAGAGGTTTCTAAAAACCTCAGCGGAAGTATGGATTGGAAGAGAAATTGACGGGAGGCAAGGAAATCAGGAAGCATATCATTTTAATTACCCAAGAATAACAGGATGAAGGTCTGAGGTGTCTTTACTAAGACAGTGACATTAGAGAGGAAGCCAAGAAAATGGAATCCAGATACATTTACAAGATCAAACTGACCTGGTTGGATATGGAAGGTACGGGAGGATAACTCTTAGGTTTCCCACCTTAGAGAAGAGATGTATACTGCAACCTGTGTAGGGAATACGGGGAGAGAGACAAGTTTGGTGGAGAAAATAATAAATTAAGTCGTATCTATGTTGATTATAATGTGGCATGTGTGATATGGGGACAGAATTTTGTCAAGAATGTCAAATAAGTGGTAGGTTATGGGCAATAGAGCCTAGAACTTCAGAGAGATGCAGATTTGCCTTTTAAGTAATTGGTTCCTGGATAAGAGTTGAAGCCCTGGATATGAATGAGCTCCAAAGGCAGTCAGGAGTGAGAAAAGAGACAAGGCAAGGCTGAATCCTTAGAACATCCCCAACATTAACAAAGAACACAGTAAGATAACTCAGAGACCGAGACCCTAGGAAAGATAAATCAAAGCTGTCCTGTGAGAATCAACAGCATTCTCTGTCTCTGAATCCAAGAAAGACAGAAAGTTAAAAGGAGGGACTGGTCAAACCTGTCCAGTGCCACAGAGTGAGCAAGTAAAATAAGCACTGAAAACATCTATTGGAGTTGCAGGGAGATATCTACTCATCACCACAGAGAAATTATGCTGGAGGAATTCTGTAAGTGAAAACCAAGTGACAAGGGGTTGGGGAGCAAATATAAGACAAATGCAGACTTGTTCTTTCAAGGAATATGTGAAAGGAAGGAGAGTGAGAAGGAAGAAGATATAAAAGAGAGAGAGAGGGAGGGAGGGAGAGAGAGAGAGAGATAGAGAGAGAAGAGCTTAATCCTTAGGCCATTAAGTTGGGGAACTGATGTTTATTGAACCACTATTTTCAGGCTCTGCGCCCAGTATCTTCTATTTGAGCCTTTAAATGAACATGTAAAGTTTGTTTATGGTCAACATTTTAAAAATTGGAAAGCTGAGATTGGGAAGGTTAAATTACTTGCTTTAGGCCCCATTTATTAACTGGTGGAACCAGAAATGGAACCTAGGCTGTGGCTTGCTGGAGCCAGCTTATAATATCTGGAAAGCTGTCTGGAGAAAACTGATTGTGCTCCTCTCTTCCCAGCTCTGCATTCAGTGAGGTCATGCAGGTAGCTTAAAATTGGCCATGGTGGGAGTATTTACACATGGAGATTGGCAAACACTACAAACCAGGGTTCATTCAGTTTTAAACATTGACCAGTGTGCCCCTGGATCTAGGTCTGTGTGATAGCAAAGCCTGGTCATTTTGCACTGCCCTGCTATGTGACTTGGTCAAGGTCACTTGGGTTAGCTAGCAGATGGCAGAATTGAGACTTGAACCCAGACCTGTGATCCACATCTGGCTTAACACAGACCCCAAGGAATTGCTGAAAAAAGAAGCAAAATATTTTTTCCTAAGATCTTATGCCCAGTGGCCCAGGTTGGTATAAACAAAGTCTCACATTTTTCCATCCTGTAGTTCTGAACTACCAATTTTCTGCCTCGGCCTCCCAGGCAATCCATCTCCAGCATGTTTGCTTTTTTAAGCAGCTTTCCTGAAGACCTGGCTCTCTGAACTATGTTAATGAAGTCTATTTTTAAAAGCAACCAATTTTCTCTGGGTTTATGGTTTCGGAACAATATTTATTATTGAATGAAATGAAGTCTCTTAGATGCGTTTTCCCTTCCTCAAAATGGAAGACTTACACTTGGGCTGTTCATTAAAAGAAGTCCTACAGGTTTTATCTTTAAACAAATTTCATTTTCCAGCCAGTCGAATTTATGATAGAGATTAAATAGCAACACAGCTGTGCCACATTATTTTTAAAATACCTTAAATTTTATCGTGTAACACTGCATTTAAAGGAGTGTGTGTATGCAGACTAGACAAATCTGAAATGCTAAGTAGCTAATGAAGGAGAAATTGCCATGTCACACCACATAGTCAAAGTACAGATATGAACACATCTACCTGAAATTCCCTCCACATATTTGATGTTTAATTTGGATTGCTATTATACTACACCAAACAGGATTTATTTGCTCACAGTTGAGACTGGAAACATGCTTTCTTTAGGTGGCAGGGGAGAAGTATTATCTTCAGCTGCATCACAATAAATTTCACAGGGTGCCTCCTTGTGTAACTGAAAAAGAGAAACTTTAATCTGTGTTGACTCTTTCACAAACAACATGTATGTGTTTCTTTTACCCAGAAGAGGAAGTGGAGAATAATTTCATAGTTGGTGTTAGCCAAAAATTACTTTACACTTTCATCTTCAATTAAATATGGTATTACAAACACAAATCACAAATAATTCCCAATTGAAATAGAAAGTAACTCAAATAAAAATGAATATTCAAGAGCTAGATGACAAATCTCATCAAGGCAGCATGAGACGAAGCAGGTCTTGACAAAATTGGGCTCATGCTATTAGGCTCATATGTATGTGTTGAATGATCAACTAATTTATCGTGGAAGTTGTATCAAAGGGCAACCTAGGTGTGTGTATCTCTGTATCAGTCAATATAATAATGACAGTAACTACACTCTTATGTGACATGACCTGTAATTGAGCATTCTAGGTAAATGCATATTTTGACTAGCTGAAAGTGTCATTTGTATAAACAAAGGATTACAAATGCACACAGAAATAGAATATCAGAGATCCTCAGCCTGGCTTGTGCAAGGAGTGTTAAGTCATACCTGATTTTCACACAGGGTAAAAAAATGAGGTGCTTATTTCTAACCAAGAAACAGATGCCTAACTTGTTCTTTTAAATAGAAATGACCACAAACATTTTAATCAACTGTAAATGATATACTTGTATACTGTGCAACTTAAAACCTTCTAAAGTGAATGTATGTCACTTGAGCCATGCAGTATAGAAATCAATCATATACATTGTCTGATTATTTAACTGAAAATCCCCAGATAAGAGCATTCGTAGGACAACAGAGAAGCCATGAAACTCTAAGGAAACATGAAACACCTCAAGTCCACTCACCCCAGAAGTGAGGTTATGACTTGAGTGGCAGTTGGAGGAATTCCAAGAAAGGCTAAGCTTTAGTGGGAAAACAGAGAGACCCACAAAGGGAGGTACCTGTTGTGGGGGACACCAGAACCAGGGGTCCCTTTCAGAAGCAGCTGAGTGATCTGATTAATTAATTCACACTGAGGAGTTACAGATGACCATGAATTACTACATTATTGAGTGTAGCTAGCATATTTAAATTTTCTTAGACGTGATCCAGTATCTTGGCTTCCATTTGGACCATTTAAAGGGTGGGATGATCCCCATGCCTTTCTTTGAACATCTTTCCAACATTGCTTTCTTCTAGATTAGCAATATCCAATAAAAATACAATGTAAGCCATATATATAAATTACATTTTGAGTCCTTGGCAAATGTCCGTCTACCCTAGCTTACCTTCATTTCCTTACACACCTTTACTATGGCCTAGTTATTAGTATGACTATAAATCTCTAATACATTTCACACTGTATAGAAACAATCTGTACTTGTCAGTCAGATATAGTCCTTTCCTCCTCCAAAAAGTCCCCGAAATGCAATTTTACCAAGCCTTCTCTGAAAACGAATAGTTCTCTGTTTCACTGATATCCAGAGACAAACAAAACACTACATTCAAAACCTGACTTTATTTAATGAACTTTTATCTTGTTTTCTCTGGCCATTTTTCTTACCTAATCTGCTAGCTTTCTTGCCATTTAAAAATGTTCATCCCAGGACATATAGATAAGCAAATATGAAGTACATTAAATTTAATATTTTTCCTTAACCTTCATGGTAACTTGAAATGGACTATATCTTTCTGCAGCAATAGGAGCAATATAGCTATATGATTTTTAAAAATTATTTATTTATTTTTTAAAATTATAAAATACACATAAAACTTACCATTTTAACCATGTTTATGTGTTAAAAATGTTCAGTGGCATTAAGTACATTCACATTGTTGTGCAACTGTCCCCACCACCCATTCACAGAAATCTTTTCATCTTGCACAACTGAAACTCTGTATTCCTTAAACAGTAACTCCCCATTCTTCCATCCCTCTGTCCCTGGCAAGCACGATTTCACTGTCTGTCTCAATAAATTTGACTACTCTGGGTAATTTATATAAGTAGAATCATACAATATTTGTGGTTTTGTGACTAGCTAATTTCATAACATCAAATTTCATCCATGTTGTAGTATGTGCCAGAATTTCCTTCCTTTTTAAGACTGATTCAATTGTATGTATATATTGCATTTTATTTATCCATTCATGCAACAATGGGCACTTGAGTTGCTTCCACCTCTTGACTATTTTGAATTATGCTGCTGTGAACATGGGTGTACAAATATATCTCTTCAGACCCTGCTTTCCATTTTTTTGGTATATACCCCAGAAATAGAATTGCTGGATCATGTGGTACTTTACAAGGTTTTAACTTAGGCAGAAAGAACAAGTAAATTTGTAAGACTCTCCAGATTTCATCATTATTTACTTGTTGGTGTATTTTTTGTTGTTGCTGTTGTTTTTTACTCTGTCGCTTTCTTCTGGATCAGCAATATCCAATAAAAATACAATGTAAGCCATATATATAAATTACATTTTGAAAAGCTGCATTTCAAAAAGCAAAATGCAATAGGGGAAATTAATTTAATGATATATTATTTAAGCCAGGATATTGAAAGTATTATTGCAGCATGCTATCAATATAAGAAATTATTCATTAGATGCTAGAAATGATAGATAGGCTGAACATGTGTATTATAATAGAAAATAGTAGATTACATGATGCAATCATTGAAGAAAAATGTAGTCTATGGAAACAATAAAGTTATGGTTAATGAAAAAAACACTTTACACTACTTCAGATTTTAAAGTAACATTTTAATTAATTAAAATTAAAAATTCAGTTTCTGAGTTGTGCTAGTCACATAGCAAGTTCTCAACAGCCACATGTGGCCAGCAGCTACCATAGTGGACACTGCAGAACTGAAGCCCTTGCTGGAAGTTCTTTTTTTTTTGAAACTGAGTCTAGCTCTATCACCCAGACTGGAGCATGATCTCAGCTCACTGCAACCTTCACCTCCCGAGTTCAAGTGATTCTCCTGCCTCAGTCTCCCAAGCAGCTGGGATTACAGGCGCATGCCACCACACGCAGCTAATTTTTGTATTTTTAGTACAGACGGGGTTTCACCATGTTGGCCAGGCTGGTCTCAAACTCCTGACTTCAAGTGATCTGCCCACCTCAGCCTCCCAAAATGCTGGGATTACAGGCATGAGCCACTGCACCTGGACAGAAAGTTATCTTCTTTATTTAACCCAATGCAAATGTACAAAATATTTTTTAAAGTAAGACATGAATTCATTTTTAAAATTTACTTTTCTAGTGTTTATCTAAAACATAAGAAAAAACAATTCTTGTCATTTTCATAAGAGAGAGAATAAAAAGAGAGATAATCAATTTTTTAAATATAACCCCATAGCAGAAGTCTTTAAATAACACTTCCCAACATATGTGTATTAGGTCCTGGTTTCACATTAAAGTACCAGTAATGTCCTATTCTTGGTATCCTAATTATAGTTGTAATGTTTGAATTTCAGTGAACTTCTGAAGAAGCATTTAATATACATACTTGGCAGCAATGCTTTCTTATCTGAATGGCTTGAGAATTGGCAGTAGTCAAAGACCTTGAGAGCTTGTAAAAATTTAAAAAAAAAAAAACTTAACTAAATGACCTGAAAGATGGATTTAATCATCTCTTGCTTTTAAATAACGTATAATGATTAGTGGCAAAAATAAGCAAACAGGTGTCTCCAATCAGCTTGCATTGTTTGTCTTTTTTCTTTTGTTTTGCTTTTGAGACAGGGTCTCTCTCTGCACTCAGTTGCTCAGGCTGGAATCCAGTGGCAGAATCACAGCTCACTGCAGCTTAGACCTCTTGGGCTCAGGTAATCCTCCTGCCTCAGCCTCCTGAGTAGCAAGGACACACAAGCGTGTGCCACCACATCCAGCTAAATTTTTTTTATTTTTAGTAAAGACAAGGTCTCACTATGTTGCCCAGGATGGTCTTGAACTCCTGAGCTCCAGTGATGCTCCTGCCTTGGCCTCCGAAAGTGCTGAGATTACAGGCGTGAGCCACCATGCCCAGGCATTTGTTTGTCTTTTCAGAGACCACTGAGTTGTGCCCGGTATAAACACAATAGGATCTAGTTCAGTGTAAGTTAGGCATCATACCCTTTCCACTAGTAAATTATCAAATTCATTATCGTTACTCATGAGAAAATGTCAAAGGAAGATTTCTTTTCTGGGTGAAAAGTAACAGGTTTGGCTATGAAGATGGCAGATATGAGGGACCACTCAGTTCATATTGCTGGAAAAAAATGTAAACGCCAAGGCTAAGATGTGACCAATTTAGATTTTTAAAAACAATTTGACTTCAGAATTTGTATGAGCAATATACTACGTGACACAATAATCAATACTCATTGATGAAGGACCTCTCTAAACGACAGAAAACAAATGTGCCCAATAAGCATGTAGATGTTCTTCCCAGCAGTGGTGTAAGGAGACTTGAAGACAAAATTTAGTTCAGAGCTTTTTCAACCAACAAAAATATAGCAGCTGTTTAGCAACTCCCCACTTCCTCCTCCCTGCAGCCCCTGATAAGTTCTAGAGATCCACTGGACAGCATCATACCTACAGTTCACAATACTGTATCGTACATGTAAAATCTGTTAAAAGGGCAGTTCTCATGTTGCGTTCTTACCATAAAATAAAATTTTAAAAAAAATAGTCTCTTTCTATCTAGCAAGAGTGATTGGCTCATTGCAGGTATAAGCACACTAAAAAGGTAACCAAAATGTCAAAAATCATGTCGTGGCCCAGTCCTTGGTCCCAGGCACTTAGAGATTTAGAATATACTGGTCTTAGGCAGGTAGGAAGTTTTGATGTTGCTTGGCTTTGCCTGAAGTGGGAGAAATATGATCTTAAGAAATGAAGCTTTTCAACTTTTCAGCATGTTTGAAAATTATCTTAACAAAATGTTGGGAAACAAAAACAAAACACAGCACCTGTGCCTCTGTATTTCCTTCTATAGAAACCCTGTAATGTAATTCTAGGTTACGTTATTTAATTCTAGGTTACATTGTATTCCCAGAGGTCTAGTTGGATTGCCACATCAGTTTGTGTCTTCCAGACAGTTTAGACAAGCAAGAGATATTTGTTTCTTTTTTTAATTGTCCATCCTTCTTTCTTTCCTGAACTGGAGATAAAGGAGAGGTGGAAGTCCAGTTATCCTCAGCCTTGAGACTTACCTATGAAGCAGGACTCTTGCTTCTTCCATGTCCCATCGGAAGAGCTGATGCACCTTGCTCTCTTTTCACCAACCTGAATCATCCAGTGTCTGTATTCGGTCTGCATTCATAATATCATACGTACTGTTACACTCGGAAAAAGGGTGTGTACTTTTGAATTTGGCACATGAATATAGATATATATATAGCATTTTATATATTTTTATTTTTTTCCAAATTCATTGAGGTATAATTGACAAAATTATATATATCTAAGGTGTACAATTTGATGTTTTGATATTTGCATACATTGTTAAATAATCACCATTATCACACTAATTAACATATCCATCACCTCACATAATTACCTTTTGCATGTGTGTGTGTTGAGAACACTTATGATCTACCCTCAGCAAATTTTAAATTTTACAATACAGTGTGGTTAACTATAGTCACCATGCTCTACATTGGAGCTCTAGAACTTATTCATCTTGCATAATTATATCTATGAGTTCAACAATTTTAGATTATACGTATAATTGAGATTATGTAGAATTTGTCTTTCTGCCTCTGGCTTATTTTACTGAACATAAAGTCCTCCAAGTCCATCCACGTCATCACAAATGGCAGGATTTTCTTCTTTTTTTGAGGCTATATAATATTCCATTATGTATGCATTATATATAATGCATTATATATTATATGTACACATATATAATACATATACATATATAAAATGTATATATGTGCACACATAAACAATGGAATACACACACAAACACACGTCTCACATTTTCTTTATCCATTTATCTGTTGGTAGACATTTAGATTGTTTCCATATCCTAGCTATTTTGAATAATGCTGCAATTATATAAGAAATGCATACAACTTCATAGCAAAAAATAACAACAAAAACCATGATTTAAAAATGGACAAAGACCCTGAATAAACACTGCTCAAAAGAATGCATACAAATGGCCAATAGGTATATGAAAATATATTCAACACCACTAATCATCAGGGAAATGCAAATCAAAACCACAATGACATATTAGCTCACACTTATCAGAATGGCTATCATCAAAAAGAGAAAAGAAAACAAGTGTTGGCAAGGATGTGGAGAAAAGGGAATCCTAATACACTGTTGGTGATAATGTAAATTAGTACATCCATTGTAGAAAACCATATGGAAATTCCTCAAAAAATTAAAAATAGAGCTACTTTATCATCCAGCCATCCCATTTCTGGGTATGTAGAGCCAAAAGAATTGAATTCAGCATCTCAAAGAGATATATTAAACTATTTTTCTCTAATTTTAAATAACCTGCTTCAGTAGGCCTGTATTTTTCTATTTTAAGAAAAAAAGCTTTCAACTTTTTCCACTTTCAATTTTTTAGTTAAAAAAGAACACACACATTCATCAGTCTATGGTAATTATCCCATCAGAAGAGATAAAATTAAATTCTGAGGAGTTGTAGACAGGCATCACATTAGCCAGAATGGGAGAGGAAGACTTCTCTGAGGAGGAGGCATTTGAGCTAAATCCTGAGTGATATGAAGGAACCAGCCTTGAGCAGATCTGAGAGAAGAGTGCAAAGGCCCTGAGGCAGGGCAAGCTTGGTGGGTTGAGGAAGAAGAAAGAAAGTTGACATGGCTGGAGCATGGTGAGCAAAGGTGAACGTGTGGCAGCATGCAGCTTACATGGGGCCTTATAGACTGTGGGAAGCAGTTTGGATTTTATTATAATTGCATTGAGAAAAAAATAAACACTGGACAATTTTAAGCCAGGTAATGAAATTTTTTTTAAGCTCTCTGACACAGGTGGGATTTTAGGAAAAAAGTGGAGATAGGGAGCCCATTTAAGAAAGCTGTTAAAGTAAACCAGGAGAAAAATGAAGTGGCCGAGACCAAGGTGGTTTCAGTAGAAATAATGAGATGCTGTCAGATTTAGGAAGGATTTTAGAAGTAAAACTGACAGCACATGCTGATAGAGTGGATGTGGAAGGATACGAAAACAGAGATAAAGGATGACTCCAGATTTAAGCTGAGAACAAGCTGGTGAATAATACTATTAGCTGAGATACAGCAGACACAAGAGGATCCATTTGGGGGGCTGAGGATAAAAGGAGATTTCTATTTTATTTATCTTAAATTTGAAATGACTGTTAGCTACCAAAGCAATGATGCTTCTTGGATATCTACTGCAATTATCTAGGTTAGAAACAGGGAAGCAGCAGTGCGGATGGGGGAGTGGGTGGATTTGAGAAATGTTTGAAGAAGGAATGAACAGGACTTGGTTATCGATGACATGTAAGTAATGGAGGAATGCAAGAGGAATTCCAAGGCCCCTGATTTGAGTGACTGAGTGCCACATTCCCTGAGAGGCGGCACAGGAGCCGGAGCATGTTTGGAAGGGAAGAGGAGGACTTCATATTTAGATAGGCTCTGTTTTGGTGCTCGTGGAAAACCTGAGGCCATGTGCTCTGGGCACATTCTTATTTGAGCTCAGGTAAGAAATACAGTTCAGAAATTTAGGAGTCACCAGTGCTAATATAGTTGTCATTAGAGCCAACAAAATGAATGAGATTACCCAGAAAAGGCCCATAGCATAAAAAACAAAAAGAGACTTTATTTCAGATCAAAAGAAAAAGCTTGATGTGTGTCATGCTGGTGAGCAAAGCAATCTTGAAAATGAGAAAAAGAGAAGGGAGGGAATGACGCAAACATCCTTCCAAATCAGATGCATCATTTTATCAGAAGTAGCTCCTCTTCAGCCAGGACCTGCAACTAGGAAATATTGGACATAAGGGCAAGTCTCACATCCAAAGAGCAAAACCTGCAACCACAGAGCAGGATGATAAAGAACTCAGAAACTGAGACGTTGATCTTGAACTGCGTGTATGAAAGGGGTGGGGTAAAGGACAGACCACTGTATATCCAGGTGATTATTTGGGTTGGGTGATTGTCTACCAGACAGTTGAGGACAGCAGATGACAAACTGGAAGTAATAGGTACAAACCACGGTGACAGGAACTGATAGCAAGGGTGCTGGGCTATTCAAAGAAACCTCATTCTGACTCCAAGATTAGTGAACACTCACTGCCCAACAGCTGCCTTTCTGGAATAATACAAGGTCTGTGTCTGGGAGGAATTCTGGAGATTGCTTGGTGCTAATTTTTAATTTTACAAATGAATTGAATAAAGCCCTGGGAACACCTGCTTTCAGGTAAAGTGTGTGATGATAGTGGAGGCATTCCTGTTGTACCCTGATACTGTTTATGGAGCTATTTTCAAAGGATATGAAACTAATTTTAAATATGCCTCTGGTATGTTGCAAAGCTGTATCTACTTCTGGCGGAAGTCAAGTGTAAAGGGTAAGAGTGCAGGCTCTCGTTTCAAACTACCCAAACTAGAATCCTTGCTTGTCCCTTATGAGTCCTATGACCTTCACCTTTCTCACCTTATATGTAAAATGGAGATAATAATCTTTTTATCTCATAGAGTTTTAATAAGGATTAAGTGAGATAATATCTGCCAAGCCCTTGCCTAATGTCTACCTGGTGGTATGCTCACAATACATTTTAGCAATTTTTTTGTTGCTTTTGGTAATCACCTAATATCACTTGGCTCTGTCTTTTAGCAGCTCAGTAGAAACCATTAGTAACAAACCCTGAGGTGCGTTGTTCTGGCACAGGGTGTGCATAAAACAAATGTTTGTTGAGCAAGTGACAAAAGAAGGAAGAAAAGAAGGAAGAGAGGGAAGGACGGAGGCTGTACTGTTCAAAGACCTTTCTTCATTATCTGGCCCACATTCTGAAATGTGGAAATGTATCGGGTATTTTTATTAGTAGTATTACTCTTTTTCTGATCTATGAAATATGCAGTCAGCACTTTTGTCAGAGTAGAGGAAAGATCAAGAAGGAAGGTGTATGTCTCTGTGTGTTTTGAGCCCAGAGACACTGTCAGGGGTTTGCTCTTGTTTCTACTGCTAAACTCCATCTCTGGACCTCTAAGGCTTCACATACGGGGTGTTTCTGTGTGCCAGTCACAGGCTACAGAGCACAGAG
Source organism: Homo sapiens (assembly GCF_000001405.40). Lineage (NCBI taxonomy): Eukaryota > Metazoa > Chordata > Mammalia > Primates > Hominidae > Homo > Homo sapiens. The sequence goes on along the minus strand of NC_000018.10, from coordinate 27,032,198 downwards.
ACAAAGAGCCTTCCCTTAAGGAGCTTGCAAATGCTAGAGACCAGTGGCACAAAAGGATTTTTAGAGCAACAGAAGCTTTGATAGATCGTGTGGTGTAAAGGTTAGAAGCACAAACTCTATGGCCCGACCACCAAGATTTGGGTCCAGCACTTGGCAAATCTGTGACCTAGACAAGTTATTAACCTCTCTGAGCCACATTTGCTCCTCTAAAGTAGGGACAGTGATGATGCATGCGTGGTAAGGTTAAGAGCAGATGAGTTCATGTATATATAAAGGGCTTGGCCTGGCATGCTGCTCATGCCTGTGCCGTTGCCTTCCTCCCAACGAGCAATGCCTGCTGTAGTTCAGAGGATGGCCACTCTGAAACTGAGAGAAGAAACCATCTTAGATCTTGAAGAATCTATATGAATTTTTCAAACAGAAGGATGAGGGCTGTTTCAAGCTTGGGATTAGAAGTGGCCTATTCAGGGGACTTTCAGAATTTGTAGAGAATTCTGAGTTACACAGGGAAGCAGAGATTGTATTTAATGCAGTTATACTGGATCCTGTAACAGTGAAAGGAAAAAGCAAGGTTTTTGGAGAGGAGTGTAGCATAGGAAAAACAATTTTTAAAACAATTCATTGGATAAATTAAGATGAAAATGGATGCTGAAGCCAGGGATACCAGCTTGCAGACAGTTGTAATTTGATGTGCTAAGGACCTTGGCCAGAATGCTGCAGCGCTGAAAAGCTAAAAAGAATGATTATGAGATATAGAAAGAAAGGATCAAAAGGTGGCTGGAAGCAAGTGTTGGGGAGAGGAGATGGTGGGGGGATATGTCAAAGCTGCATGCCGGAATGGCAGGAAGAAGTGTCCATATAATAGACACTTGTGCAAGTTCAGAGGGGTGGGTGGTTTGGGGACCAGGATTACAAGTTTCATTCAAGTCCAGCTGCACTTGAGGCAACAATGGGACACTGATGTGGAAGCTAGAATTTGAAGAAGCAGAATTGAAGTTCAGGAGAGGTCAAAGCGAAGATTGCATAAATATTTGGAACTGAATCAAGTATAGGTGAGAGTGAAATAATTGAGAGAGAGAAATAGTATGGCAAGATTAAGGCAGGCTACCATGCCAGCCAGTAAGCCCACCATACTTGGGAAACTGTTGTGAGAATTACATGAAGTAACACATATGAGAACACTTATGGGATGGGGGTGGGGTGGACTATTAAATACAATATAAACAGGAAAATCTTGATGATTGCATGATAATGAAGAGCTTGTTTGTTTGTTTTTGCCCTATTTCCTAGAATCTCAAGGCTGAAGTGGACATTAAAGCATTGTATAGGTGAAGGTGAGGGAATGAGGGCTCAGAGAAGCTGAATGAATGGGTTTCCCATGAGATCGCTGAAGAATCAGGCCTGGGATCAGGCCCTCCACCCCTTTTCAGTGCTATTCTCACTTTAGAGGCTGCCTCTTGAGCTAGTCCTGTCTCTCAGACACTCCCCGAATATGATTCGATTTTCACTCTATTTTACACAAAGCGTGCTCTAAAGTGCTGGATTCTCCTGCACAGGGGGTCTGGCACATGGACAAGCACACCCGGCAGCCGGCAGTGCACAGGAAGCTGCCTCCGCACAGGCAAGGCTTTATGCAGGGCATCCTGAAAAGAAGCACTTATTTCAGACACTGATCTTGCATCTCGCCGTCTTTTAAGCTTGTGTTTCCTTTTAATTAACTAATTTTACAATCTTTAAATCATGAAACAAGCCATCTACTCATATACTCTTTACTTGTTTACTCATGTTAATCAAATAATTAATCCATGGCTTGTAATCTCCTTCCAAAAAGATATTTAAGCTGAATTCTATTTTATAAAAAGAAAGTTTTCAATCTCAACCACATCATGGCAATAATTACTTTTATAACCAGATCGGTTAAAAACTAAACAGCTATTTTTCAAAGTCCATAAAAGTGATGACCCATGTACAAACATTTTGAACAATTTAACATAATTTTATTGAAGGGATAGCCATTTGAGAGCTTGACCTTTTTATGAATTCCTTGTGAAGTCATAGAAATCTGAGTACCTTTCAAATTTTCTTCTTGAAGGAAATAACTTGGGAAGTGCCAAGGAAATTAACGGAGAAAGCATTTAACATAAACTGAAATCATTAATACCTAATGGGAAAACATAATATTCTATTCTCAGGCATTTTAAAACAGCTACTACAAAATCCTTTCTAGGGGACTAGGAAGTTCTTCAAAACTGGTGCTTAAATAGTATTACCTAAAGAAGGACTTGATGGAAATAGAACATATGAAACCCAAAGATTAGAAAAAGGTGGATGATGAGATTCAAATTACAATCAGCCCTTCATGTATGTCGGTTTCTGCATCCATGGATACCATCATACGTGGATTTAAAATATTTGGGGGAAAAAACATGGTTGCGTCTGTACTCAATAACTGCAGACTCTTTTTTCTTGTCATTTCCTAAACAATACCATATCACAACTATGAACATAGCATTTATATTGTATTAGGTGTTATAAATACTCCAGAGATGATTTAAAGTATATGGGAGAATGTGCATAGGTGATATGCACATGATATATATCAAGGACTTGAGTATTCACAGATTTTGGTGTTTGCAGGGTGCCCCAGAACCAATCTGCCACAGATACCAAGAGACAACTGTACTTCATTTGAAGTACAGTTGCTATTTTTGGTCACAAATTTCCTTAAGCTTTATCCCACCCTTGGTTCCTTGGTTCCCCATGGGACCATTGCATCATGGGTTCTTCTGTGTTGTTACTGTTTGCTGGAGAGACGCGATGCCCTTTCAAGATTTCCTCAATTTTAGAGTTAGAAAAACCAGTTCTATTAGCAAAATTTGTATGCTAAAACCCTTTTGTTTTGAACCAGTGAGGTACAAAGTCAAGAAATACATGGGTTAACTCAAGGAAAACAGAATCAGAGTGCTCTTCTTTTGCAAGAATTGTCTTTTTTCTAAAACTATTTAATCACTTTGTGGTTTCTTCTATCTTCTTTTGCTCTGTTCTCCTGCTGACCAGGAGAACTGTCTTGAGCCCCCTTTCTGGTCTGCAGCAGCACACCCAACCCACCACAATCATCCCTGTCCTAACGCATAATGGGAGGGAGCAAAAGAATTCTAGACTTGGAGGCCAAATTCAGGCGTCAAATTCTAGTTCCACCACTAGTTTTGCAATCTTGGATAGGATACCTAAACTCATGCTCTTCCTCCTTGTCCTTCCATTTTAAACGTTTTAATAATTTTATCAAAGTAATGAATTTTATCAAATGCATACATAGTTAAAGTATAAAATACAATAGAAGTTACTTTTACTGGCCAGGCACAGTGGCTCGCGCCTGTAATCCCAGCACTTTGGGAGGCTGAGACGGGCGGATCACGAGGTCAGGAGATTGAGACCATCCTGGCTAACATGGTGAAACCACCTCTGTACTAAAAATACAAAAAAAGTAGCCGGGCCTGGTGGTGGGCGCCTGTAGTCCCAGCTACTCAGGAGGCTGAGGCAGGAGAACGGCGTGAACCCGGAAGGCAGAGCTTGCCGTGAGCCGAGATCGTGCTACTGCACTCCAGCCTGGGCGACTGAGCGAGACTCCATCTCAAAAAAAAAAAGAAGTTACTTTTACTGGCCTCCTAAGTGATTTGCCTGATTAAGCAACTCTGTCCGTTCTCTCATTATATCCTATCGACTGATGTTCACAGCCACCTCAGTACCGGATGCCCTCTAGCCCGCCTGTAAACTCCTGATCCCTCCTGTGGAGATGTATGTGGACCAAGCGTCAGTGGTGTTTGTACCCAGATGTGCTGTGCCAGTTTTGCTAGTTCATATAATTATTCAATGATAATTATGTAAACCAATGATATATGGGTGTGTAGAAGAGAACTGCTATTTCTATTAAAATGTTTTGTAAAGACTCAATAAAATTGAGTTACTAAAAATAAAAGGCTATATAGGCCGAGCATGGTGGCTCACATCTGTAATCCCAGCACTTTGGGAGGCTGAGGCAGGCAGATCACAAGGTCAAGAGTTTGAGACTAGCCTGACCAACATGGTGAAAATCCATCTCCACTAAAAATACAAAAATTAGCTGGGCATGGTGGCACATGCCTGTAATCCCAGCTACTCAGGAGGCTGAGGCAGGAGAATCGCTTGAACCCAGGAGGCAGAGGTTGCAGTGGGAGGAGGTTGCAGTGAGCCGAGATCGCGCCACTGCATTCCTGCTTGGGCAACAGAGCAAGACTCTGTCTCAAAAAAATACAAAATAAAATAAAATAAAGGCTATAGAATTATATGTGAGCTAGATAGTGGTAAAATATTGGGGAAAAACTTAAATCTAAAAGGATTCTGCTTTGTGCCTTTTTCAATCTACTTTAATGAAACAGAAACTGAGAAATATACATGATGATTATGGGTGTAGTTTATGTAAGAAAATGCAGAACTGGAAATATGTGGCTATATTCTATATGCAGAAATCCTGGTAGTATTTCCATGGGATTCTTATGATACTAAATTAGATAAGGTTCACATAACGCACTCAGCAGCATGTCTGATATTTAATAAGCATTCAATCCATGTTAGCTGTTATTGTGGTTATTATTCATTTAATAATGGCGCATCCAGGCGATTTTAAAAGAAAAGATAAAACAAAAGGCAAGGTGAGACCAAATCAATCTTTCAAAAGAAAATATTGGGATAAACTTTTAAACCCAGCAACCAAAGGACCTAAACTTCACTGTGATTATTTTTTTCTTTGCATCCAAATATCTGTGTGTAAAATTAAGAGGATATTGATGATCAAATATCTACAAAGTTTAGCTGGAAAAACAAATCCTGATTCATTATTGAAAATAAAGCCTTGGCATTCCAAATGTAACCCTATTTCAACTTTAACAACAAACTGCCACATAGCCTTAGGAAGCTCTCTAACCTTTTCCTATCCTTGTATTCTCAGTTAGATAAGGATGATGACAAACAACTAAATTAATTTATCACATGGCCAGAAGAATTATTTTGAATTCTTTGAGAAAAGTACACCATGGTTGTATTTGTGTTCTCTCACTTGAGTGTGAGCTCTACCTGGCTCAGTGCTGTGTGAAGCTCTCCAACCCTCAGGATAAGGATCAGTGAAATGCTAATTTTTAAAAAAATTAAATTTTCATCAAAGCTCTAGACCTATTCACTTATTATGATGTTTATGCCAAGTTTCAAGAGGTAAAACATGCTTCACCACAAAAAACGATGATCAGAATAAGTTATGGAATGAAAGGCAAAGATCCTATTTTATTTGATTATCTAAATTAAGTCTTAATTCTTTTTCAATCTTCTAAACACAATATAAGAACAGATATACTGGATGTGAGGTTTAAACTCATTAATTTTAGTGGCTCTGGCCAAACCCAATTAATTTCTGTTTGTGAAGCAATCCCCATTGTTGGGGTTTCAAGTTATTTTCACAGTTAACCATGGAAGAATATGCATAGCTATTCAGTACATGATCTTGTAGCTAGTCAGTCAGTCTATATTGATTGTATGGACTGAGCCCAACATCCTACATATTTATTATGTACAAATATACAGAAAAATAACAATGATTTAAAAGATATAGTTAAAGCCTTTAAAGAGCTATATACTATATTACTATTATTGAGATGTGGGAGAGGATACTTTTCCTTAGGAGACAATTCAAAAGATAAAAAATAAATTGTATTTATTTCCCTATCATTTAATCGATGCTTACAGAAATAGCTCTTTCAGAAATTTAGGTTAATTCAATATATATGCATAAGACTAAACTAGGTTCAGAGAAGTTAAAAAGAGGAACCAGACTGGATCATCCCAGTGTTCAATAAGTTTACTATAGTGGGGGAGAACGGCATTTATCTAACTAGTATACTTCCATCCATGATGTGTGGAGGGACAAACTAGACCAGGGAAGAATTACCAATACCTGAGTGTACTCTCATTGTAATGCCCTAATATCAGGTCTCCAGACATCCTTAAGAAATTGCCAGATTTGCACAACCTTCATATTTGAGCCATCATGGAGATGGAGGAAAGAGCCTATCATGTCCACATTTTTTAAGGAAATGACTTGATTGTTATAAGTCAGATAGCTTAAAAGCAATATTTGATGAGAACAATCTCTCATACAATCAATAAGCAACTTACCAGAATATTGTAGGATATAAAGAAGCAGATTTTTTGAATAACCAGTTTTTCCACACCAATTTAACTTCCTTCCTTGATTCAGTGACAGCCTGCATAAATAATGATAATATGCTAGAAATAATCAATTTTGTGTGGAGGAAGATTTTGTTCTAGTCTAAACAATATTCTTATCACTAAGCCATGATAGTGTGACCTTAATCATGCTACCATTACCTGGGTGAACAGGTAAATATAGAGTTGCAATTACAATAAATTGGGTGGGAGCAATGCATTACATATCCAGGTCCAGCCCCTGGGGATCAGTTGTACTGAAGGACCTGTGACTTACTGATGAGCTATATGACTCATAAATACCTGCCTCCAAAATGCAGATATTACTAAATCAAGTAGAATGGCCAGTACCTTACACCAGGAAGTTCATAACAAGACAATTAAAAATGCCCTTGGATATATGCTTTAAATCATTCTAAAAACAGAATAGCATATCATTGATGCAAGTGTAAACTGGTATTTTTTGGCACACGTGAAATTTGCTAAAAAATAACTTAAAAGACAAGTACCAATAAGATTTTTATCTCAATTAGGGTTAGCAAAGCAATATTATAAATGAGTCACACTGAGACTAGGTGATTTAAATGAGGCAGGCTAGCAGGACAGACAATTAATCCTACCATTGCTTAAGCCACACCATCCTTTAGTACTCATTCAAGTTTTAGTCAACATATGTTGAAAGATATTTTTTAAAAGGCATGCAGAGAGCAAAACATTACCTATATATTTATAAAATACAGAATAGAATATATATTAATATATAATATATGTAAGTGTATTATATAATATATATTTCATTATAGTTATATATTATATAAAATATATGGTATGACATATAGTATATATGTTATAATATGTTGTATTATACATATTATATATATACATATATATATATAATGTTTTAAAGGAAAGAAATGGAACCATGTAACCCAAAAAGCCAAAAACTAAGTAGTCATATAATTACATTCTTACTGCTCTGTAAGATTGTTCTCAGAAGGAACTGAGGCTCTTCTCTCCCCATAGGTGACTAGGCCAGAAGAAATATACTATGTTACAGTAGGCCAACTTCATCTGGCAGAAAGATGCCCTTGGTAATCACCATGAAAAATCACCCGTTCAAGGAAAACCTTAAGATTTCTTTCTTATAGCTGTTTACTACAGAATAAACTTTCATTCGTTCTGGATAATTTAAATATCCGTGGGGTTGCTTGCCTCAGAGCCCTCTTTTTTATCCTAGCTTTCTGTTCATTTACTCTTCCAAGCTTCCCAAACTAAGGCATCCAATAGTGGGTCACTAATAATGCCAGGAGCTGTACATGGCATCTCTATCTCAATTTCACCCAAAGACATCGAGCCCAAGTACTCAATTTTACACAAAGATTTTATTAATAAATGAAAATATTATTGTATATTAGCACATTGATCTGTTATGGGATGGAATGCTGAGAATCAAAGGAAATTGTCTTCCTTGTGATGGTCATTTTCCAATGCTACCCACCCCCCAGTCCCTGGCTCCATTTCCCTGCCATAAAGAGTACAGGCTCAAAGCCCAGGCTTTTCTATACCAAATTTTCATGGTAATGCCAGGTTTCCTAATAAGTGACACCAAGCTTAATCAGGCCAGAAACACAGGGGATGACACATTTTATTTCATGACCCTCTCCCTTCCCATCATTTTCCTTGTTACAAATAAAATATGAGAGGCTTTGAGGCATCTTTGTGTAGAAAGTTTTATAAATGTCTTTGGATGTGATGGTAATATATGAATTTCTTTCCTCTTCTTTTTCAGGATGGGGACCAGTGAAGTACTTGCGGCCTGTACCCAGAATCAGTGAGTAACTTCCTCATAATGTTTGAATCTTGGGTAGTTATAGATAAGCAGAGCAACAACTAGAATATCTGAAAACCTCAGAGTGTGGCTTTTAAGCACCTGTTCTGCTGATGATAGCCATCCCTAGGAAGCACTGCCTAGGTGGCATTTTTGGAGTGCGTAAAGTCTTGGAGGGTGGGGAGAAAAAGCAAGCAAACCACGATCCTTGTCCTCAAGGGATTTACAAAGGAAACTAAAGGCTCTGAAGACTGATTTCAGTTATATATAGGATGGTGTTTTCCTTATATGAAAAAGTTTACATATTTTTCTATTTTTATTTTAAAAGTACTTAACACTTTCCTGGCACATTGCACTGTAGTCTATTGTTTAAAGTGTCTTCCTCTATGAATAGAGTAAAACCTCATTAATTCAGATACTGCTAATACAGAATTCTTGAGAATTTGATCTAGACTAAGCTGAAATTTAGCTTTGAATTTTCTGCAAGGAATGGATTTGCTAAGTGAAATGGAATATTTGTGACCCATGTAAAAAGAATACATTGTTTTCATGGCTTTGGCATACAGTGGTCTTTAGGCAAAAAGATTCAGCTGTAAAATAAAGATTATTAAGATCATGAAGTAGATATCCCCTTAGACTTTATTGGCAGGTAATAGTATTGAAAGTAATAAAACAATGTTGCTTTCAATAAATTCTGACTTCCATAATTCAGGCTAGATCTTCCTCTCCTCCTTTCCAAACTAATTATTCTAATCTAATGAGGTTTGCTATTGTGTAACATGTGGATGGAAGCATTTAGTAATAGAAGATGATCAATTCCTATTATCTTAAAAATTTATAAATATAAATTCTAATTTTGGGATGCATATCTGTAATGTTGATCACCTAGATGACAGTAGTATGTTTACTTTACAAGAAAAAAATGATATATTATTCCATTTTCTTTTTCATGATCTCACATGGCAGGTAACATTTGTTTTCATTTAAAACTCAACATTTTTGCAAAGCAAGCAAGTCAGATTCCTAGGGCAATAGCAAAGATTTGAGGTGAGGGAAAAAGACAAAATCAGACCATGCCCTCCTAGGGGTATATTGAAAAATTGGAATAGTAACTGAGTCACCATGCATCCATTTATTCCTTTATTCATTCAATAAACACTTAGCCAAGGGCCATGCTTATTGCATCAAGGGATGTAGAGATAAATAAAATTCCCTTTTTGTCTTCACTTTACTGGTAGCCCATAAGTTGAGACAGAGATGGAGACAAGTGATTTTCTCATGTGATAAGCAATGTGTTATCCCAAAAAACAAAGTGCTTTGGGAATGCACAGAATACACTGTTAAATCTAACAGGAAGAGTTGGGAGAATATTCAGTAACAGTTATCACGCTTGAACTGATTCTTTAAAGAATGAATGGAATTTCTGCAAGTAGAGAAAGGGAAGGGCAGCATTTCAGGCAGTACAAGCAAAAGCATGGAGACATCAAAGCACATGTATTGCCCAAGTAAAACAACGTAGACTTAGAGTTAGTTGTATAGAGCTGAGGGAATGTGGGAGTAGTGTATGGTCTATACATAAAGGTATATTACCAAGAAAAGATACCCTTTAAGTGGTCGAAAACAATAATTGGAGTTTAGAGAAAGAAAGATTTGAGAGTCTTTTGCATAAAGAGTTGAAATGTGAAGAAATGGAAATGAATAAGATTATTCAAGGGCACAGGAGAGAACTTTTAGGAACACACAATAGAATCAACTTCTTCCTGAGACAGGAGAAAAGGATGAGTGGGGAAAAACTAAGATGAGTTTAAAGATGGATATAAAGAAATTTGAGAGAGTTTATGCCTGAAAGCTCCCATTTTCTTGCCACTATACTGTGAACAAGCATGGGATGTAGAATACGAGGACACAAGTTCGAAACTCAGTTCAGCCACCCATGAACAATGCAACATGGGTAGGTCACATAACCCCTCTAAATTTCCATTTTACCATCTGTGAAATGGAGATAATAATAACATGCAATTCATAGGTCAGAGAACTTCATAACACATGTGGAGGCATTTTATAAACTACAATGCACTTGGCCAGAACACATGCTGGGTGACCTCACTGAGCTCTTGTTTATAAAACAGGGACAAGCTGGGCATAGGGGCATGTGCCTATCATCCCAGCTACTCAGGAGGCTAAAGTAGGGGGATTGCTTGAGGCCAAGAGTTCAAGATTGTAGTGTGTGATGATTATTGTACCTGTAAGCAGCCACTGCAGTCCACTCTGTGCAACACAGTGAGACCCTATCTCTAAAAAATCAAATAAAATAAGGACAACAGCACATAGCTTACACGGGTTACTGAGAGCATTAAAGATATGGTATCCACCATGTGTGCTCTATAGATAGGAACCACTGGGTTACTGTCTTCTGTGAGTAAGAGCTTATCTCTGGGGAAAGAGGAAAAAATTCTGCAATGGGGAAGCAAGACAAGAAAGAGACATGGAAAAATATTTTTGAGCGGAATTAAAAGCCCATCCTGAAAACATGAGTTTGCAGGTACAGCCACACCTGTGTACTCTGGAGCAATCAAAAGGAATGAGTTGATGGTCTGGGGTTGGGGTAGATCAAAGCAGGTATACTAGTGGCTGAGAGCAAGTGCCATTGAGGGGACAATTGGAAACGTTGGCCAGTGCAGATCTCAGAAGTTTAGAGGCCCTGTTCTCCGGCCTCAGCATTAGTTTGACAGAATGGCGCCCTTTCTATTCAGAGTCCGCAGCCTGTGATCCTGTGACTTGTTGTTGTCAAGTAAGTGAGTGGCTTGTGCAAAGGGCTGAGCAGCCAGATGCCTCCAAGGTTATATGCTGTCACCATCAGCTAACCTCCAGCCCTGACGCTACTGCTCAGATTTAGGACAGTGGCCAGCCAGACCCCTGCCTGACCCTCCTACCCTCTCACCTCCCACCCTTGTCTCACATCCCAACTGCAGCCTATTCCCAGCCTCCCCTTTCACTTGAACTTTCATTCTTCCCTAGCACATAAGGTAGTAAAAAAGCTGTCCACCTCCTCTGAAATAGAAAGGTAAAGTTTCAGCTAACTATTAATAAAAAGGAGCCAGACTGCATGCTACCTGCCCCTCACACCTTTAGCACCAAGTCTAAACCTCATTCCAGAATTTGCTGGTTGCAACAGGCAAGATTGCACTTCCTCCCACACTTGGAAGTGAGTTATCTCACCATCCACTAGGAAAATGTTCAGCGTCCTCTTAAAATGTTTAATGAGCCTTGGGGACCCCAAGAGAGAGCTGCCAAGATCTATCTTGATAGTTACTAAACTTACCTCCGAGAGAGATTTGAATTGTTAGAGCTTTCGTCCTCAATTTGCCAAATGGCAGTAATAAAGGAAATATAGGCTATATCTTGCATGTTATTGACTCCTATTTTAATTAATATAAGACACATTCCTCATTTGGGAGCATGGTTGATTCCCTCAGTCAATGGCTATTCATTAAATATATCAAATGCAAGGTGCTAGCTCCTAGTCAAGATCTTTGGAGATAATGAATATAAACATCTCCCATGAATAACATTTGAAACATCTGGAAAAACCTATCCAATTGGACAAAATTCCAGGCACCTGTGAAAAGACAGCTCCAAAGACTCATTAGGGGTTGAGAGACCGAGAGTATTTTCTTCTCTCTTCTCAGCCTTGGCTCCCAAAGCCCACTCTTCTGTGACTTCCAACATGAATCACGTGAAATTCACTTCCAAGCACCTTGCTTCCTGTACATTTCTTTCGGTCCACTGTGGTAACCTGCTAATGTGGAGATTGCCCCATGGCACATTACTACCCTCAACCCCACAGGTGGGACTTCCCTACACAGCATGAACCACACTGAAGTGCAGCCCTGCCTTTCCCAGGGTAGGAAGCACCAAGTAATGTGTCTCCTAATATGGTTTCAGACAGGGTACTCTCTCCCATTCTACAAATGCACATCAGTCCTTTCTCCAAGGTGCTTTAATCTCCTAGTGTCATGCCAGACACCCACCCCCGCCAGTGCCCTCTACAACTCCCATTTTATTTCTGCCTGGTTTGTACCCAGTTGCCTGCTCAAGAAAGCAACTCACCACTCATTAAAAACAAATGCAAAGACAAGCATCTATTCATTTTATTTCTTTGACCCTAATTACACCCTCCTTATATTTCCTCCTGTAATCAACATGTCTCCCATTTCTGGGTTCTTTGTGTATGTTCTTTTTCACTCTTGTTTCTATCCTTTACATATCTCACAGATTTTAGTAATCCTTGGAATATGGTCTTTTAGTTTATTTCCCACTTAGAACACAAGACTCACATCCATTCAGTGGCAAAGCCAACATTAGGGAAAGGTGTACAGTGGCATGTCATTAACATGTTTTTCTCTCTTTTTTTTTTTTTTTTTTTTTTGCCATGTAGTGAAACAGTGGTCAATTTGGACCAGTTCTGTGCGTCCTTGACGGCAAGAATATAACCCAGACTAGCATCTCCGATTTGGAGATCTCGATATAGTTCAAAGCAGAATCTAAAACTTGACTCTTCTGACTCTGACTCCTTTACGTCTCTAGGCCTCCATTTACAGGAACTGAAAGAAAATGCTTTTCCTCTATTTTGTAAGTGGAGAGTAATTCAACATCATTTCTTAGGGTCATTGAACTGAGAAATGTTCCTTGGAATTTCATGAAGAATATCTTGAGGCAGGGTTTATGTACCAGCAAAAGGATACACATATTCAAGGATAATACCTTTTTACATATTGATAGCATACTCTCTCTCGGAGTAGAGGGCTGCTTTTGTGCCAAACTGCAGTGCCGTGTGATTTTAAAGCTAGAGTTAATCCTTGCAGGCTACTGTGGGTCCACAAACCGGCACTTGGTGCCCTAGAGCTTTGCATTTGGTAGGCATGTTCTCCTGGGCACGGGTCCTGAAATGGACTATTGTTTACCTATACTCAGTGTCTTTGCCCTCATTTGGCAAAGGGAGGGAGGTACATCGTATTCACAAGCACTGCAGATTGCGGAGATACAGTTCCCAAACATAGGTCAAGACTCCAGCCCAGCACAGGGCGTGGCTCAGGGTATTTTCTGGGGCACACATTGCTAGCTCCTCTGCACTCAGTTTCTCCGGAGAATGAGACAAATTGAGAAGAAGGTGCTATGGTGTTAGAATCAAGGGTGTGGTTGTCACGAAGGTTAGAGGGTAAAGAGGGCCGGTACCCATCTCATAAGTGTCCATATCTGGCAGGCCCATTCTCCTGCTCTCTCTCCTGCTTGCCTGGGGGCATGTTTCCCACCGTCAGCCTGAACATTCTTTTCTGTAAATCCAGGATTACCAAAGTTGGTAGGAAAGGATAGTTAGAGACTTTTCTGCAGCCTTCCTAAGCTTTTGTGAGAATTAAGCCTTACAAATCTTATAAGAATTGATGAACATGATGATATTTTTTAAAATTCAGCATAAATCTTCAGATTTGTAGCCTAACAATCTCAACTGAAAAGCCCTTATCCTGCAGGGGAAAGAAAAAGTACTGTTTGCCAGCCTTATCTACTGTCAGACCAAGCCTCGATTTTCCAACAGTTTGTACCTTCTGCACACACTGGGGCTGTCCTTCTCACATGTATAAAAATAAACTGTGAAGTTGTTGGGTTTTTTTCTTTTGTAGGGAAAGGGCTGTATATGATTATTCTTGTATGAAAATAATTAGCAAAGAAAAAGTGGCACCCTGCAGTTAATTTAGCTATTCTCTTAAATATTTTCCTGGTACCAGAATTACATGAACATAATATTCTAATAAGCTGATCAGCAAGTATTTTTCTCCTTCTCATTGAGGTTCGGAGTAATCTAAAGGGTCAAGGTTTTCAATCTTTTTCTCTTGCATTAAAATGATCTGTCATTTCCATCATGACAACACTCAAAAGTCAATTTTTGGGGCCTTGTTAAAGTGCCCCATAGAATAATTCAGCGGTGATGGAGATGGAGCTCTTCTCAAAGTGTAACTACTCCCCTTGCTGGCATAGTGTGGCAATGACATTCATCTCTGAAATTTTAATCTTGATTCTGGACAAGGCTTTTTGGTTTTGGTTTTTGTAATTCTTTATGTTTTTGAACTTCACAATAAATTGAGGCTTAATCTAAGGAAACTGGATGCATTAATGTTGTCATCATACTTGATAAACTAAGTTGATAAATTTATAAAATACAAGAATTCTAAAAATGTTTCACATGCCTAGAAAGTAGGGAAATATTCCAAACAGTGTTCAGTAATACAATTTTAAACAAAATAATAGAATCTCTTAATTTTAAAATTGATGTATAATTTGCAATAAAATGCCCAGATCTTAAGTATTCTCTCAATCCAGTAAGTTTTGAGAATTAGATACACCTGTGTACCAGCCACCCAAAATAAGGTATTGAATCCCACACCCTAAATAGTTTTCTCTTTGCCCTTTCCAGTCAATTCCAATTCAAAACCTCATCACCTACCTCCCTACCCTTCTTCTACCTTCTCTCTACCTCCCAGGAAACCACTTCTTACATATTTCACCATAGTTTAGTTTGGCCTATTCTTGGACTTAATATAAATGGAATCACACAGCATGTACTTTGTAAAGGCCCCTTTCACATGCCGTAATAATTTTGAGATTGTTGCATATATCAGTCATTCACTCCTTTTTTATTGATGTGTGATATTCTACTGTATGACTACATTACAAATTACTTATCCATTATCTTGTTTTTGACATTTGGATTGTTTCTAGTTTGAGGCTATTATGAATAGGACTGCTATGGACATTTTTGCACAGATCTGTTTGTGAATATGATGTTCTTTGACTTATGATGGGGTTATGTCCCAAGAAGCCCATCATAAGTCAGAAATATCGTTATGTTGAAAATGCATTTAATATCCCAATAATTTGTGATTAACCGTAAATTTTCCAGTGTCTCCTTGGTTTACTCTCTTTTTTCTGAGAAATATAAAGTAGAAATAGAAATTTGAGTGTTTTGAAAATTGTCAGGCTTGAAGTACTAGAAAAACTCAGTGTGAGGTTTGAATGTCCCATGTATGATAATGACTTTAGATAATGATCTTTATATCACAAGTGATTTTATAGCATTATTCACTGTCTTTCAGCAAGGACTTCAGTTCCAGGGAGGCAGAACATATGATTTCTGTTCTTTATCCTCACCTTTGCAGTGAGAGGATGATGGCAAATTATGAAACTCTCCTAATAATATTATGTATTGCATACAGTGATTCAATACTGTAAATCAGTATTTAAATAAAGTCTTTAATATCATATGTGCATACTATATCTGTCATCATAGATGTATACATACACACAACTATAGAAAGAGAGATTGATGTAAGTATAGATATATAAAACATCCTCATCACCTTTATTAAGATAATGTTCTAACACAACCTAGAGCTTAGGAAAGCTCTAACACTATTTCCTTTGATTAGTGTTTATTGACCCATATTGTGCTAGGCGCTGGATATACAGTGGTGAGCAAACGTCCAGGTACCTGACCTCCGGGAGCTTACTGTCTGAGGGGAGAGTTAATCAAGTAAACAAACGTACAGTTTTTGATTTTGTGAGATTTTCTGCAGGGAAGCAACAGAGTGCTATAAAGACAGGAACAGGGGCCTGCCTGTGCAGGTGGCATCTAATCACAGACTTGGATCAAGGGGGATCCAGCCATGTAACCAGTGGAGAAGAGCACTCTGTGCAGGAAAAGCAGCAAAGATGAAATCCTTAGGCAGGTAAAAGCCACGTGTTCTAGGCCAAGGTAACAGGAGAGGAGAGAAACGGGTAGAGTGAGGTAGGAAAGAGGCGGTGGTGAGCATGCTGGTTATGCTCAGGGGTGATAGCAAGGCAGACTGCTCTGCCTTTCAGCAGCTTATAAGCCAAGCCACACTCCTTACAAAAGAAGCATGAGGTGTATATAGCCATAATAAGCCAAAATTAATGCTTTTGTTTAGAGTGCCCAAAAAGTAACTTACATTTATAAGTGGTGACTGATAGCCCATGGCTGGGATGAGCAGGGTCAGAATTCTCAAGACAGGAGGTCTGTAGAATAGTGAGACAGAAAGGGGGATGCTCACCAAGTGGGTTTGAATTTAGGATCCACATCAGGTACATGTGCATGCATATACTGAAGAAGTTTGTAGAAGGCCACGTGTCACAAGATTAGGCTGAAGCAAAGTCTTGAAATTATATCCAGGACTTAGATTGAGACCTTGCGAGGGACCCAAATCTCACAGACACCATCAATCTGAGGCAGGTAATATGGATTGCAGAGAAACAAGAAGCAGAGAATTCTACTAAAAAGGGTTTTAAAGAATTCATAGAAATGATGCAGAGTGATAAAGGAAAAGAAGGCCTGAAACCATGTGTGGAATCCTCTACCCTTTGGTCAGCCTAGTCTATTGGAGTATAGAAGCCCCTACATAACCCTCTCTGTGACTTTTGAATTTTTCAAGCCATTATTTCCTGCTATTAGGAAGTATGTACACATATGCTAGCACGTATCCCTCCACACAGAGTCGCCAGGAGAGGCAGGGGTCTGTGTGACTGGATGCTCCCAACAAGACTGGGGGCAGGCAGATGGATGAGCTGGGTGCAGAGTTCAAAGTCAGTGTCCCCTCCTTGATTCCACGCCCTACACTGGCCAGGCAGCATTTGCTTTCCTCTTCTCAGGTCCCTTCCCCTCACACTCTCCGAAGGATGCGTAGTGCCTGCACACACACACACACACACACACACACACACACACAACTGCCTCTCTGGTGATCATTTAAACTTCGGAAAATAAAAAGTATGTTTCTTTACACTGAAAAATTGGAGAAATGTGCCAGGATGTCTAATCATGGGGCATGAAATTCCAGGCCGTTGAGCTTGCAGCACAGCCAGAATGCACCAGCTACAAGAATATCTTAGCAGAAAACTCTAGGAATTTTAATACTTCTTTTTTGAGCTTTGGGATCACATTAGATATCTGCAAATGACCATAACTAAAACCTAGTTTTAGGAAGAGGCTCAAATGGAAACAAGTATTCATGAAGTAAATCATTAACTTCATAGGTGGAGTCAAAAGACTAAAAATGTAGAAATGAATGAGTAAGGAATGCAGGGCAGAGTCCTTGGTGACCCCCACTAAGGATTGATAAAGAAATAAGCAAAAAAGAGACAATAGAAAAGAGAGAGACCCTAAAAGAATGACAAAAACTGGGAAAGCAAAAAAAGAAGAGTATCACAGAAATAAAGGTCAAGAAAATGTCTAGAATGTGTTGTGAATAGTGTTTACTACAATTGAGAAATCTACCAGATGTAAACCAGAAAAATTCCCCCTTTTCTGGGGGAATGTGTACACAGAAAATATTTTTCAATCAATCACTGTTCAATTTAAATGTTTTTTTTCAGGAGGTGGACTTTATTTCTTATATAAATCCTCCAGTTTTTGATTCGCTGCTTTCAAAATCCAGAAGTAAATCTGTAGTTAAGCTTGGCTGTTTTCTAATGGAGCAGTTTGAGGGGCTCTTACAATATAAAATATATGTTTGTTGAGTTAGTTGCAAAAACATTCGTTTTAACAGATCTGTAATTCTTTTTTTTTTTTTTTTTTTTTTTTTTTTTTTTTTTTTTTTGAGACAGAGTCTCGCTCTGTCGCCCAGGCTGGAGTGCAGTGGCGGGATCTCGGCTCACTGCAAGCTCCGCCTCCCGGGTTCACGCCATTCTCCTGCCTCAGCCTCAGATCTGTAATTCTTTAAAAGGTTTTCCATTCATTGTATTAGATATTTTTTCATACCTCCTGAGGCTAAATTCAGCTAGTTGATATCAACATGGAATTGGAACATAGGAGCATAGAACTAATTTACTCATTTGACTTTTAAATTAGTTTTGTGTGTGTGTGTGTTAACTAAAATTGAAATGTTTCGATTATGAGTAATGCCAAGATGAACTGGTACACTCCATTGACTTTAATGAAGTGCACATGTTCTTGTAGGCTTGTGAATGAGGGCCTGGTTGCAGAGTTCTTGAATCTTGTTATTTAATATTTGTTGCACTCACATATTTTATTTATGATAATACCACAATCATAGCTTTTTAATTTCATTAATACAATTGAACTTAAATTTTATTTACCAACTTTTCCAAAGGTTTGATGTTACCAAAGGTGTGCCCAACCTACTTTTACATAAAAGAAAGAGTTGGCAATCAATTTATTAAATTCAAATTAGTTTACATTTTCTACATTAATATTATTTGAAAGGCACTGTGTCAAGACATTAATTTTCAAGAAATAAATGATCATCTAGGAAATTCTAGGTAATTAGAACTTTAAAATGAAATTTTTGATTTTCTGTGACATAACAAAATGTGTATAATAAGTTAAATACAAAACAACACCTGCTGCTAATATATGCAAAAGAGAGAAGCAACTAGGGAAATTCTCAATAATGATATTAATTGCACAGTACCTTGAGTAAGGCTCTTTGCTAATTTTTTTAAGTCAAGGAGCCCTTTCTTGAATTAAATCTTTAGAAGTTGTTAGAAGAGTAAAATATGCTCAGATACTCATAAGTGTATTTGAATTTCATGTCATGGATCAGGGCCTCGGGCTCAAGCTTTGGCTTTCTTGTTTGTTTAATTATTTTTCCTAATTTTTTCATGCCAAATGATCAATCAAATTATAAAAGAATATTTAAATTAACAACTGTTCACTCAATAGTAGAAAGGTAAATAACATAATAATTCATGAATCTGCCAATGTTGTGCGTAAAGGGCTCTGAAATGGACAGTATATTCAGCGCGTGTAACATGCTCTGAAAACTAGCTATTGCTATTACATGCACAGACTTGGCAAATATTATGCACCACACAAGTTCATGGAATGAGAAACTATGGATACCACTTCACTTGTTGCTATTGGATACACTGCATGTGTCATGAAAGTCATTACTAGTTGAATCATATAATCCTTTATTTCATAAATGACAGAGTTTGAGTGGCCCTACCCAAGCTCATACAGTAATGAAAGAATTAGATCTGGAAGGCAGGACTCCACTGCACCAGTTTGACAGAGGTATATGACAGAGGTGACACTGTACACTACAGGGGTAGCCTAACATTTTGCACACTGTTAGGCCACAGTATGTAAAATTAGATCCTATGTACAGTGTATTAAATTAGATATAATTTAATATCCAGTTTCATAGTTTACATTTGTTGACAGATGGCCACTAGCTATAATTTTTAGCCGCATGTCCAAAACTATTGAGAATTAAATTGACTTATAATTACTGTACCTTTTGTTTTATTTTGGACTCTGAACTTGGAAATATATCACCTGGAGTAGAGTTCTAAGTTCACTACATCCTGTCTGTGTGATTTGGGAAAACTTGTTCTACCTTGCTGAACTGCAGGCATTTGTCTTTTTTGTTTGTTTGTTTATAGTTTCCATTTCCATGCCAAAGTGCTCTGTAAACTGTAAGGAACTACAGTTAACCCTGGGAACAACATGGGTTTAAACTGTATGGATCCAATTATATGTGAATTTTCCTCTGCCTCGTCCACCCCTGAGATAGCAAGACCAACTCCTTCTCTTCCTCTCCTCCTCTACCTATTCAATGTGAAGACAAGGATGAAGATCTTTATGAGATCCACTTCCACTTAATGAATAGTGAACATATTTTCTCTTTCTTATGATTTTCTTAAAAATATTTTCTTTTCTCTAGCTTACTTTATTGCAAAAATACAGTATATAACATATATAACATTAAAATATATGTTAATCGACTACATTATCAGTAAGGCTTTTAGTCTACGATAGGCTATCAGTAGTTAAATTTTGGGGGAGTCAAAAGTTATACTCAGATTTTTGATGGCACAGGGGGGTTGGCTCCCCCCTAAACCCTGTATTGTTCAAGGGTCAACAGTACATAAATTATAATTAACAAATAGGAATGTACTTATGTATTTGTCAGTTTATGGACTTGGGAGCATACTAGTGGCATCAGAGTCTGGGCAGATGCACGCCTCCCCTTTCCCCAGTATCATGTAGAAAGGCTTGCATGGACCAAAGCACAACTAGATACATGTGGGCCTGTGCACCAAAAGAGGAGGAGCTTGCTTCCATGTTGCAAAGGGCAAAGGCAAAGGTGGTCTTGACAGTAGAAGGCAAGCAATCTAAACTTCGGATCCAGTGTGCAGGGAATTGTCAGGAATCACCAGTGGCCAGCACCTGCTGGCCTTGTGGGAACTCTCCTGAAGAGGAGAAACTGGGAAGCAGAAGCCGTGAGTCTAGCTCATTGCCTGGCACTCTAGAGAGAAGCCCAGCTCACTCACTGGTATATTCCAGTCTCCTTGAGACTGAGAGTTTGGAACCTTGTTAAGTAAAATAAATAGATACAATAGACAGCTGAGCAATTCAAGTTCAAAGGCTCCCTGAACTTATTTCTATGGTCTTCTCTTAAAAGATCTCCCCTTTTCAATTTCCACCCGTTCTGGGTAGCCACTCTAGTTTCCTGGTGGGATTTCCTCATTCTAGCAGCCTTCATTCTGCTAACCCTGACTTGGCCCCTCAACAAGTGATTTACTGCATGGTGCTGCTCTTGTCTGTTTTTTTCCCCAGCCTGAGAATGGCTCAAAGTTTTCTTCATGGGGCCCTGGCTCTTCTATTCTGCCTGGGCGGCATCCCTTACCTTCCGCTCACGGCCCTGCACTCAGGGCATTGGTGTGCCTGATTCTATGAACTGTTTGAAGCTTGTCTGTTTACACCAATGAGCACTCTCTGCTCTGTTAAAATAATTCCTGCCTTCACCAAGAGAAAATGAAAGCCACTTCAGTGGTGTTTTATTATAGAAATTTAAATAAATTAATGCATATGATTATAGGCTTGCTATTTTGTCATTCTTTTTTGACTTTATTACTACATTGTCCAGGCCAGACTTCCATGTCACTAATTACCCAAAAAGACCCAGAGATAAATCTTCCTGTGGCTTCAAGTCCTCCTTATTGTTAATCTCCATGCCAGGGCTTCTCAAGCTTGGCTGCATATCAGAAATCACCAGGAGCCTTTACAATATCTGAATACCTGGCCCCACCCCAAGAGCCCTGGCCTCAGCAGACCTGTCACTCCTCAGCCACTGCCTACCAGAGGCTGGTGGTCTGCTGAGTGTATTCACCGCCCTCTCTTTCCTTTCCCCACCCATCTGCCCTTGAGACAGCTCATGGCCATAATTCCTGCAAGTGACTATAGCTTCTGCAGCTGGTGTCCTGAGCCCCTTAGAAACAGTCCCGATCAGGAAATTCCCAATCAGATATCAAGATGGGGCTTCCCATCATCCCTTGAGACATTTCTGCTGATGCCAAAATACACAGTAATGATAGGTACTAATTCTTGAGTACGATGAGAGATGGGAACTCTCTCTCGTTCAATCCTCAGATCAACTCTATATCAATGACATTATTATCTTCATGTTGTATATGAGAAACCCAAGGTTCAGAGCAGTTTCGTTCCTCATCCACAGCCCCACAGGAAGTAGAGGAGGAGTTAGGATACAAGTTCGAGGCTGTAGGGCAGCAGACCTCACACTCCTCCCATTGCACTTGCCCTGTCTCTGTCCTGGTGGAACATCAGATCACTTGAGTTGACTGTAAGACAACAACTGTCTTGATTTCACCCTGACAATTACTTCAAGTCATGTAATATTCATGTGTGGCCAATGACTTACAGTAGACAAGAACACAGGGAGAGGAGGCTGTTTTTTTCATATGTCACTAAAATTGTAATAGTCTAAAAGAAGGAAGTCGAAGTGAGAAAAAAACATAGACCATGAGAGTGACCTCCCTTAAGTCCCCAGGGCTAAAAGTTAAGAATATGAGATCTCCCTTTCAGCTGTCAAGTATCATTTTGTGATCTTAAATAAATTTACTTCATATGAAAAAAATACGTATCTTCAGACATGTTATAAAGGAGAATGATTCTGAGTATGATACAATTATATTTAAGTAAAGAACCTAGTAGAATTAGAAATATTGCAGTCTAAGACTTATAAGCCTTCACAGAAAACTGAGGTTAGAGGGTTAGATATAAGTGAAAACAATAAAACAAAAGTATTACCTTTTTACTTTTGCTGGTTTAATTTAGAAACTATGCCTTCTGGTTTTACCTCCAAGGCTCATGAAGTGTGTATTTCTGATGCAACCCCAAATAATTTACCATGGATATGATTCTACCAAAGGTAAAAGCAGAAGAAAAGAAAGTCATAAAGTGGATGAGAGGAAGGCTTCTTCACAGTTCAATAATGCCAAAGAACTCAGAAGCTTTGTTTCAGAAGATATGTTTTTTATTTAAAGTGTTTGATGGTACCCTTTTCAACAGAGCCACAGAATAATAAAAGCTTATTTAATTTAATTTTCCACTTCATTACTGCCCAAAGTACAGGACCAAGTGAAGGAATGCCCTCACAGATTGCATGCCATGTGTCAGAAATGTATTACCATACTTACTGGCATTACTTCACCCACCTATCTATAATATTTTAATTCTGAACTGAAAGAAGGGAAATTATACTAAGACCCAGATCTTAGCCTGATGATGACTTGGCAAATTCCATTAGTCCAAAGATCTGTGCTTATTTTTTTTAGTAAAGGATCATGAACAACGAATTCAAATTATCCAGCATTCATTAAGCAATAATGAGTGCAGAACACCATTCTAGAAAAATGAGCATGTAAATGCCTGGCCTCCTCCTAGGAAAGAGTTCTTTGTCATGTTCATAAAAACTCTAAGGTCATTATTTTACAGAATGGGCTCCTCAGGACACACACTTAACCATTGTAGGTTTTGTCATCCATAAAATAGAGTGTAGTCCAGGCTGGAGGGGAGATGAAACTGTCTCTACGATCCTTTTCAACATTAAAGACTTGAGATTCCATGACTGAATCCGAGTTACAGATTGTTACAAATTGCAACAAAATATTTAAGCAGAATCAACAGGACCCCCTTTCCTCTTTAAGTCCTTGATATACAGTGCAAAAACCCTACCTGAACTATAGAGGTATATTTCTATATGTGTGAGAGAGAAGAGCACAGGACGAGAGTGAGAGCACTCGCAAGTGATTCCTTTGGTTTTCAATTCTGAGTTTCAGTATTTTTGACAAAGGAAAGGAAAAAAAAAAAACAGAACAGAACAGAACCAAAAAAACAAGAACCTGCTGCAATCCTGTCTCAAGATTGAAGGGCCACTGAAGATTCAACTCTCCTGATGATGGCAGAAGAATGGAATGCCAGTATTCCAGAATACTTCTTGTGAGCCCAGCACTGTGGCAGGTGCTAAAGGAATAAGAAAGCAACCGAGATAGGTAGGGAAAAGAGATAGATACAAGAGGACAGGGGGAGCAGTTGAATGAACGACTGCCTCCTAGCCTCGCAAGGAACTCATTTAACACTTTATGCAATTTATTTTTCCTTTTTCCAATTAAGGATTGTCAACTTAAAGAAACATCTGCTCAATACACACTGTTTCAAAGCCAAAAGATATATTAAGTGGTGGAGAACTACAAACTAGAGAAAGAACTACATTTAAATTGATTGGTTTTAATATAGCATGCTTAGGAGGGACCAAGTATAAGAGGGGAGATAATGCTTTTCAGATTTATATGTGATATGCTATCATTTCTAACTACTTGATTGTTGTTATTAATACAAATGCTTAAAAGTACTGCTTGACCATGCTGAAATTACTTCTTTAGTTAGGTCAGTTCTCTGAAGTAACCATTCCATATCTCCCCTAGTTTGAAATTTAATCTCCCAACCCCATCTTCTTCTCCTCTTCAGTGGATGACTTTCATGTTCCAGAGAAGTTAATAGAAGGCACCTGCTGAGATCTATCTCTGATATCTTCACCAGATCTGTATACACCAATATGCTTTGCTCTCATTGTCTTCTCCTTCTCTCCTGTTACAAGGGAGGAGTGGACCCACCTCCTATCAGTGGTGAGTCGTCCCTCCTATGCTGTGGGTCCTGTCTCTCCGTGTCCTCCCATGAACCTCCCTGATGAGTGACTCACTTTCTCTTCTGGATCTTTAACCTCTTCTCTACTGGATGCTTTCTGTCAGCATTTGCAATGCTCTGTATTCTCCCCCACCAAAAAATAAATCAGTCAGTAAATGATCTTCCTGAATCCTGTATCCTTTTCCAGATACAGCTCTTTTCCTTAGCCATGCATTTCAGAAGAGTTATCTATACCCTTTCCTGTCCCCCCAGACCCTATTTTCTCCATGTTCACCCCAGTCTGGCTCTGTCCCAGCCACTCCACTGATTTGCACTTGCGAATGGTTGATCTCCATGCTGTTAAATTCAGAGGACACTTTATTGTCCATCTGACATGACCTGTCCTAATCTTATTATCCTCTCCTTCTAGAAAAATAGGATTCCCCCTTCCCTTTCTGACTGTTCCTTTTCCATCCCTTTGAGTTTTGTTCTTCTATTGGAATTTTACTCACTGGATTATTCTTGGCTTGGCCTTTTGCTTTTTAATCTATCCTCTTTCCCTCCTACAGTGATTATATCTGCTCTTGTAAGCCAATGTCTCTTCTTCACTTGCTTATCTTCAGAACATGAGAGCCACGTAACCACCTGCCTATTGATATGCCATTAGTGCTACCTGCCTCACCCCTGGCCCTCTTCCAAAATCTCTCAGTTCAGTAAGTGTCACCTCCTTGCTACTGCTGGAAACTTAGGACTGGACACTTTCCCTCTTCTTTAGTCTGCATTTTCAATTAAGGGCTATCTATCAATTTTACCTCCAAAACATATATTGTGCTGTCTGTGTCTTTCTCTCTCAGCCACCATCTCTCACTGACTATGGAAACAGGAGACAGCCATTTTATTAAATAGTTGTAATTGAAAGGGATACTTAAGCAGAAAATGTCATAAAGAGGTAGCATTGTCAACTATTCATATTTTAGTGAATCCACACTTCAGTGGGTTTCTCCACCATGGAGACTTTGATACCAGAGTGGGGATTGCGCCTGTTGAATGTGGAATTTTAGGAGCTTGAAGTAAGCTCCACGGAATGCCCACACACGCATATACACGCACACACACATGCACGTACACATGCTCACATACACACAAGGGGGACTGGAATACGGAAAGCATAATATGTGCTCTCTCCTGCTTTCATGCTGTGTTTGATATTGCCATGACAGGATCACCATCTCTGCCCATTCACCAGTGTCTAGTTTACCTGCACCAAGGCTGTTCAAATGACCCGGCTTTGCTGGCTTTGACTCAATCTATCTCAGGGAGATTGGACTTTTCTCTGCAGTTTTTATGTGACAGGTTGAACCGAAATAACATCTAAAAATTGCAGCAATCCCAGAAAGACTGAGAAGCAATCACATAAATCATTTGAATCTGGAATGGTGGAGGAGGCAAGCAAATGTAGTACAAAAAGAGCTGCAACTGCAGACGGGAAATGGGCTTTAGAAACAAACGATTGTTCCAGCTATCTAGGACACTATGAGGATAAACAACTAATGATCTCTGACATCTCAACCACACTTGAAATCAAGTGAATGGAAATTAAATAATTAAACAGGCCAAACAGCATTATAATAAAAATTTATATGGCAGGGAAAACTATTATAGATTCAGTTCATGACCCACACATTGCTGGAGGTTTTCAGAACAATCAAAGTACTTATTTGTATCAAGTTCATTGGAATTGGTGGACTTCTTTCTATGAATATAGCATACCCTCTCCACACCCAGTGTATAAATTTTAGAGAGCTCTGAAAATAGATTCATCATTGGGCACTTGATGCTGACCAAATAAATAAATAAATAAAATTAATAAAGCCTAGAGCAGTGGACCTCCTCTCTTAGGGCACAGACTGAGATCTATTTTTCTGATTACATCAGAGAGAAAATTCCAGTGGCATACCGATCGTTTTAACTTCATGCTAATCAGTTTTCCTTTTAACTAGCTCTGTAAAAAGGTGATGGAAGTAAGACTATGGTGGTACAGGGAGTGCAAGTGAGAAAAAACACAAATATTTGAAGCTAAAAATTCTGAATAAAGAATTAGAAGTGAGTCTCCTTATGCAGCTATGGGAATATAAATATAATAGACCTAGATTCTCATTCAAAATCAGTTACTAGCCCAGTAGTACCTAACTTTGTTTCCATCCCAGAAGTGGCTAAGAAATTCAACATGCTTACATCAATATTAGTGGCTCAGGGACTGCAAGGGCAGAACTGTTCAAATCTTAAGCTTCTCCTGCCCCTAGTGGAAGAAGAAGGTTCGTAGCTAGGAAGAGCTTCCCCCTCACCTCCAGCAGATGTTGATGCCTCCCCTGGAGACTTGCCCCTTCCCCCATGGAAACCAATTGATATAACCCCTCTGTGCCTCAGTTTCCTCATCAATAAAATGAGGAAAATATATTCCAGGATCTTTTAATGTGTAAAACAATATACAAAGAGAAGTTATAATATCTCCTATTTGCATGTTTAAATTCATAGACAATTTGCTAAATATGGTACACCAGAACTGGATTTGTTGAATGTTCTAGTTAAGCTCTTGAGTACTCAGGATCTAAAGAGAATCTAAAAATAGCATCGATTTGAAGTAAATATCATCCCCACTCTATTTAAAGGTCATTGTGACTCTGCTTCAAAGTATTAAGATCGGTTCCACCAAATTTTAAAGAGAGAAGAAAAGACCCAAGGTTGGCCTCTATAAATTATTGGGCTGAGCATTTTAATAACTATCATTTATTAAGTCCTAAATATATGCAGAGATGCTGCTAAAAGCTTGACATGTAATATCTCATTTAATCCCTACAATAATCTTTTTATTATTAGTAGTAGTATTCCCATTTTACAGACATAAAACTGAGGCTCAAAGAAATTACATAATATGCCCATATCACACGAGTCGCTAAATCAGTATTTAAGCCTTAACATTTATTCTTGCAGTGTCTATGTTTCATGCTAGAATTATAGGAATATCAGAAGTGATCAGGAGAAATCATAACTGGAAAAGTATAGCCTGTCATTCTTCATGTCTGTGCTGCTATTTTGTTGTTTCACAAACTGAATTAAAAGAAACGATGTCAGGAATCTGAGTCTTCATATAACTTAACAGAGGAGAAGGGAATGTGACTACTCACAGTCCAAATAGTTTATTTTGTTAATAGTGTAATTTGGAGAGGCCTGATTTTATTCTAAGGGACTGTGAATTTTTCCAATTATAAATTAATTCATAAAGAAAAACAGTAATTTATTATGGTGTCCTAGACCTGCTCAAGAAACCCTCCTTTCTGCCTAATTAAAATAAATTGATCGAAAGTTGGATTGTTTGTCCCTACGACAGCCACATTTGTACTACGAAAAGGGAAACCGTTAGAACAAAATTACTGTGAAAGAGATTTTGAAATTGGACCTTGTCACTAGGGGGCACTTAGGGATATAAAATCAGCATTGCCAAAAGTACTTTCTGAAATAAAACAATTAGTAGCATATGTCTTTCCAAGAGAGGGAAAAAATACATTTATCGACATAAGGATTCAGCACCTCTCTTGATGGATTATTGTTAGGTGCCAAATGGGTTAGAGAAAAAGGACCATTAAAAGTGGGCACAATTTTGAAGTGAGAAATCTTATCTTTTCTCTGCCTCTGCCTTTTACCACTGGAAGCACAAATGTGTTGTTAAGGAAAGAAATATAATAATAAAAAAAAAAAAGACAGAAAAGAAAAGCCTAGCAAAACGCCCCCGCCCTGCTTGATTCTTTTCATTGCTTTCTTGTGGCCTCTTTCTCTCTGGCCTTTTCCCTCCTTAATCCTCGCCTGAGGAAATTCTCCTTCCCTCTGTTGCTCGCAGTAATTTGCTCTTCCTTTTTACAAGCCTATCTTTCATTCTGTTCTTCCTCCCATTATGCCTGGTTGTGTTCTTCCACTTTACTGTTCTTCTCTGCTTTCATTAGGTGTGAGACTGAGTTCTGGTTTTGGTTTTTATCTCTGTTTTGTGAGTACTTTTTTTTTTTCCAGACACTCATATTCCTATTTCCATAAGAAATCAATAAAATGTGTTTCCAGGCTCTGTTTTACCTAAACGTGATGGTAATAGATAACATGTTATCTGAGGCTAGAGGAGAATAGTTTCTCACACTGATCAAGTAAATGGGGAGAAAAATTGGAGCAAATAACACATTCTTACATTACAGTCTTTTATAGGAAACAATCAAGCAGAAAAACATATTTCATGGTGTATATACAAGACTAAGCCCGTAGATTGAAAAGTGAAAAGTATAGCAAAAAAACTCCCAAAAGCTTGTTTTTGTCCATGTGATACCCAAAAACCAATTTAATTCATTTTCTTTTCCAAATCCACCATTTCTTTTGGCTGTCATGTGCAGGTGTTGTAAAGTACAAAAAAATCACCAAGTGCTATATGTGAGGAATATCAGATGTCTCAGCAACACCTTATAGGAGAAATGGAAGACCTTCAATTGCCCTACTCCTTAGTGTGAGGGGGAAAAAATCTTTCTATATTATACACCCTATCTGCGGAAATTACCCTGCAGTTATAATTAAGAAAATAATTGCAAGTACAATTTACCAGGTCCATGCCCATTATTTCATCCTGTAAATTGAAACAAAGAAAACTTCGCTGCACTTCACCCAGCGACCTAGTTTGTGAGCTTTGGGCTAACCTCCCATGAGTGGTAGATCTAGGTCTTCTTGAATAATGAAATGGTGGTCTGGGACTGGGAATCATGAATATGATTCCTTGTTCCCCTGACTCGCCATGTGGTCATGGGAAAGTCTACACATCATCAGTTTTTCTGGTAGGAAAATGATTAGGATAATTATTATGCAGATTACTCTAGAGCTTTGATTTCAATAAGCCACTCTTAGCACCTCACTCTGCCCTCAACCTTTAAATAAACTTTTCATTCACGCAAACAACAAATGTTATTTCCAATGCCAGTTTTCACACAATTATTATTTTAAAATTATTTTCAGGATACTGTTAACTTTTTTAAATTTATGTAGCGCTAGGTCAAATTATAAGATTTCTATCTAGTTAGCCAACCCATGTGGTTGAGTTACAATGTACAGATAAATTAATTTTAATTTCAGTTTTTTAACTTAGTAAAAGATTTTCATCTTTTCACATTTCTGCCATTAACATTTCCTCCCACTTGAAACTACTCTGCTGACCTAACTTCACAATTTATGTGTTTATTCACACAGTCATTACTTTAACATTGCATAATTTCTTAACATTTTTCCTAGGAAGATAGAATATTTGCTTTTCTGTGAACTGTAATCCACAGATGCTCCTCATCTTATTATAGGGTTACATTTCATTAAACTCATCATAAATTGAGGACATCATAAATTGAAAATGCATTTAATACACCTAACCTACCTAACATCATAGCTTAGCCTAGCCTACAAAACACTTACATTAGCCTACAGTTAGGCAAAATCATCTAACACAAAGCCTATTTCACAATTACGTGTTGAATATCTCATGTAATTTTTTGAATAATTTACTGAAGTGAAAAACAGAATGGTTACATGAGTACTCAAAAGTACAATTTCTGCTGAATGGATATAGCTTTTGCACCACTGTAAAACTGAAAAATCATAAGCTGATCCATCATAAGTCAAGGACATAGGTCTGTATTGCATTTCTATATTGCATTTACTTCCTGGTTTCTAGGAATATCAAGATGATCCATGTTGGCAAAGAGCTCAGTTTTTGTTGCAGGAGGCTACATAATGCAATAAAGGAAATAGCAAGGCTATTGTAGCCTTCCAAGTGAGCAATGAATTAAAAAAAAAAAAATTAAGGATGGTGCAGGCCTCCAGGTAGGATTCTGCAGTTTGTGCACTGCAGGGTGAATGGGGGCTGAAAGCTCACTTACATTGTTTCTCAAGCTGTGGGTCCTGGCCCAGTACTGAATTAGCCTAAAGGAAGGAGTGACTCTTTCTCATTCATCCACCCAAAGGATGTGCCTTTTTTTTTTTACTTTGTCAATCTTGAGTGGGCATTTCTTTAAAAAATTGTCTTTCTGCAGGGGCAGCATTTTGAAATTCACAAAATGTTCTGTATATGCTTGGCCCTGAGTTTAGAGGTTAGGTTGTTATCTCATAATTCCACTGTTCCCTCTGCCTTTCCCCCATCTTCCTGGTAAATGTCTTCTGTTCCGTGGGTGTTTCTGATTCTATGCCATTCCTCACCTGAGTGTGCCAATCCACAACCCATGTTTGTGTTGACATTTTACCCAGTCCAAACTTCTGTCATAAGTAGTCTTATCTGAAATGAGATCCTCAATAACTAAGTTCTGTCCTATCCCTCCTGCCCTCCCACCCTCCCACCATGCATTCTGAGGTCTCTGAGGAAGGGTGTGCCCAGCAAACAGAATCAGGAGGGCATAGTCTTTTTTTAATAATGCCTTTACTCCAAGCCCCATGAAGTCTCTGCAAGACAAAGTTAGAGGCAGGCCAACTAGCCTCCAACCTAGTTAAGCCATGAACCTTCTTTTCTCTCTTAACTAGTTCCACATCCAAATCTCAGCTTGTCTTAAGAGTCTAAAAGTAAAAGCACTTCTAGGAAAGCAGTAAAAAATTGTTTGCAAAACAAACTTCTTTATACTTTTGCTAATGCTTCACCCAAATACATTCTTGGACTAGATGCAGCATCTCAGCCCTCCTTGGGCATGGAATGTGAGCAGCCGAGGGTCATGCCTCTTTTCCAAGGGAATAGAATTATTTCTCTTCCTCCTCTTAATCTACCAAGTTTAATGTCCAGTCCTAGAGTCAGTCTGGCTTTTTATTATTCCCTTAGAGAAGATCAGTGCATAATCTACTTATATGCACACACATCATCACCTCCTACATTATGTTTTGTATCCTCCTCATTTTTCAAAGACCCTGTTTATAAATCTACTCTCCCTGTAAAGTTTTTCCAATTCCCCTAGGGAGTTAGTTGCTTCTATCTCTGTGCCTTCTGATGGTAATCTGTTCACATGCTTTATAACCTTTGGGGGCACTGATCTCCAATGTGGGTTGCTCATATCCCAAGGGGTATGCAAGATCATCTACTAGGGAGAAATGATTAGAACTTCCGTTTGTTCTAAGAGCAAAGTAGATGTGATTAGACAATTCAGAGATGGGGGGGTGAATCTTGAGAGCATGGTTAGCTATATACACAACTTTGGAAACCCACATGGGTATCTGTAATGTGATCCCTCCAGGGATGTGGTAGGAGGGAGTTGGAGATGTCATTTGTGTGTATTCTTTATCTTTTTAAATCTCTATTTTAGGGGAAAGGTAAATTTTATGAGATCAAAATATTCTACCATGGTGGTATATGATAAAGGATGGTTGGATAGATAGAATAATAGATAGATAGAGAGATAGATAGATAGATAGATAGATAGATAGATAGACAAAACAAATAAATGATGGAGAGAAAGTGCTGTACAATGAAAAAGGCTTTAAGACTGTTTCTGTAGGCTGTGGACTGCTAGGCTAGGGCTTCATCTTATGTTTCCACGTCACATATCACTTGCCCGACAAATTAATTTTGAAAGAATAGATATATTATTTTAGATTCTCTACATTTGAGTTAGCTGAAAGCAAGGCATACCTGGACTAAAATTTTGATAAGTCCCTTCGTAAGTGAACACCTTTGCCACTTAACTCATCTTGTTATTCTTGAAAGACTATTCTATGTCTATAGTTTTTTCTTGCTGAAGTTGCTAAAGCCCTCAAACGTCCAACAAATCTAGAGTTCTGTATGTGGAAACTAAGAGCAAAGCAGATGTGGTTAGACAATTCAGAGGTCTGGGGTGAATCTAGGAGCATGGTTAGCTATCTGCACAACTTTGAAAACCGGGGTGGATATCTGTAATGTGATCCTACCAGGGATGGGGTAAGAGGTAGTTGGAGATATCATTTAGAATCTGTTCCCCAAAATGAAAAAAGACAGCCTAGGTCTCTGTATTTACAAGCATGTTACTGAGTTGAATGTGCACATCATCAAGCTGCTTTTCTGTTGCATTTTTATTACGTGGTTCTCTTGTATTTAAGGGGTTTCCCCTCCTATTTTAAGAAATGTGCTTTATAACCAGCTACTAAATAGTTGGCTTTGCATCATTACACACTGTCCCACTTAACGTCTAAGTACCCAACTAAACTGATTGTATGTATTTGTTGTTTTTATTTTTATTTTATCCATAGACTTCCCTTAATATTTAGATAATAATAACTTTACTACTACCAACTCTGTTATATTTTATACATTACAATACTTAAAAATCCCTGAAAGGTAGGTAATTTGGACCTCATTTGTTAGAATTTAGAAAGTTAAAGAGAAAAATATAACTTTCTCAGGATATACAAAATTATATAATATAGTGAAATTCTTTTTCTTTCACCAATTTTTTTATATAAACTTTTAAATGTTTGTTCTATTTAAATTTAAAATTAAATATTGAGTTTCATCTTACAAAACATGTAATTACTTTTGGAAATGCATTTTATGAGACCTAGTAAAGTCAATATCAATGATATGGACTAAAAATCATTATCATGCTTGGAACACAAGTTTTTAGAGCACACTGCATCAGTGATGCTATGTACTTTGAAAAATGAATTATAGCATTATGGACTACATCCTTCCAGAATTGATTTTGAAAATCCAAAGTTGAGTATTTTAGAAGCTATAGTTTAATAGGAATTGAACAGCAAATAGTATTTTTATTTTTAAAAAGTAATAAAAATGATTTCAGAAAGTTGTCACAGTCATATTTATTACCTGCTCCATGGCTCTGAACCATAAATCGACAGCCATATCTGAAGTGTAAGCAAATACTGTTTCATATAAATGTAGTATAAGCATTTTCAAAGCTTGTTGCACAATCTCATTATTGTGATCTGTTATTGCTTTTCTTCCCAAGAGAAAGGCTGTCCATCCTAATTTAGTACTGAATAAGTGATTTTTATTATGTTCTCCCAAGTGAAAAGTAGCTCCAATTCTTTCAACTGAAATGATAACCAGAATGACTTAAAAGGAAATGGGGCTGGGGAATTGTGGAACCTCCTGCTACCCAGAGAAAAACCCATCGGTGCCATGGACAACGCACCTCACTGTCCCCTGAGGGAAAGAGCGTGGCCTCAAAGGTCCTTCCCGGATGCTGCCACATGATAGCCAGAGACTGCCAGCATTGACAGGAAATTCTTTCCCATTTGGTATGAATGAAAAAGAACAGTAAGACATAATAGTCTATCTGGATTTCTTTTTTTCTTTCTTTCTTTTTTTTTTTTTTTTGTTGTTGTTGTTTTGTTTTGTTTTGAGACAGAGTCTCACTGTGTCACCCAGGCTGGTGCAATTTCAGCTCACTGCAGCTTCCGCCTCCCAGGTTCAAGTGATTCTCCTGCCTCAGCCTCCCAAGTAGCTGGGATTACAAGCACACACCACCACACCCAGCTAATTTTTGTATCTCTAGCAGAGACAGGGTTTCGCCATGTTGGCCAGGCTGCTCTCGAACTCTTGACCTCAAGTGATCCTCCCACCTCAGCCTCCCAAAGTGCTGGGATTATAGGCATGAGCCATCGCACCCAGCCCAATCTGGATATGTTTATACTCTCATTAATACTTTTATTTCTTTATTTCATCTTTCATATTATTTATTCTCCTTGTCCATTCATTGATTATCAAAAATTTTTAAATATCTGTTTAGTGTCTATCTCAGTATCAGATCCTGGGATTGCAGAGGCATGGGATTTGTTCCCTCAAAGGGGATACAGGAGTGCAAACCAGTGAGTGAGATCCAGCGATATAGGTGCCACAATAAAATACGAGCAGGGTGCCAGGAGGGCACAACGGAGAGAGCTAAGTCAGACTGTGGGGAGTGTGGAAGAGCTCCATGCCCATCACCCTGTGCTGTGTCTCAAAAGATGAGAAGCTGTTCTTCAGCTGGGATTTGGTGTTGGGCCCTTCAGCAACAGCTGGCTAGGACTGTTGACACTGCTCCTCCTGTTGATTACAGAACAAAAAAAGATGCAAAATTACTAGCTATGCAGAATGGGAATTCAAAATAAAAATAACGCTTCTTCATAGTTCCACATCATATGCTGTGGTTTAGAACTGTGTGCTTTGTGGCAAAAATTAATGGCAGAGAGTATATGTAAATGGCCCTATGCAGGCCCTGACTAGAGGCCTGTGGCAGAAATTTATATTAGGCCCGAAAAATCATGGTTCAGCCTTATTCCCAGGCCTTGAAGACAGTGATATTACCCAAAATGTCTTGTTAGGTAGTATAGTAAAGTGGTTATGTGCTATTATAAAGGGAAAGTGATTCGCAGTTGGAGATTAATTTTGAGTGCTATTCTAGGGTGATGTCGTGGAATGGCCACCAAGCTACAAGATCACATTTATCTTAACCCTTTCCTTATCAAAAGTTTCCAACTCCATTTGCAGAACTCTTTCCCATGGCATTATTGTCTAAGATGCATGTCAAGACATACCTTTTACATGAAGCTTAGCTAGAAATCTTGCATTGTGCAGATAAATCTCATCACTACATAGTGGTTTCTCCTCTAATTCCATGCCATGAGATCCTCTTCAATGAGATTATGTAAGAAGAAGTAACCAAACCCCCACAGATGGCTTAGAAAGATGGATTACATTATACTAATTGTGTTTATAATGGATAATATAGATATTACTGGAGCATTTTATTTTATAGCTCAGGATTATACTACTAATAATAACACTTTCTCTACTTAGAATTTTGTTTGCAGTTATATGCTGGAGAATTACTTATTTTAAGAAAGTTGTTCCACCTTTCTGCATGATCACCAACATTTATTGATTAATAGCTGTGTGTGGATCCTAAGCACTCTATAGCCCTGTCAGTAACATCTGCTGTTATTCCCTTTTAAAGATGCAAAGGTGGAATTCACAGAATGAAACAACATACCTACGTAGCTAGCAAGTGGTAAAGCAAAATTGGAACTCAGGAGGTCAGAATTCCAGACCCATGCTATGACTCATTGTGCTAAGATGTTTAAAATACTAACAAAAAATACTGCATATTTTTCTGATAGTTGTGGGACATGTGTTTAAAATACAAAGGATTATTGCTGACGATAGAGGAAATATGGCCCAAATCAAATTTTCTACTGCTTTTCTCTGACAAGCAGCATAGAGTCAAATTAAGAGATTAGGCATAGTTTAGGTACCTGTATATACACATAGATATAGCATCTGATGTTAGATTACACACATACATGCACACAGCCATGCATTTCACATACATGCACACTGTGGAGGGACAAGAGAGTATTTTGGACAGTAATCCAAGGCAGTACTTTAACTAGAGTCTGTATCCTCAGGCCTGTCTGAAAATTATGAAACTGCCCATTCTCTAACATCCTTTGGGGCAGGTATCCGCCTTCCTGCCTTGCAGCCTCTCCAGCCAATGGAGTTTGGTTTTGTCCTATATAGAAGCACTGCTACCCTAACTGTTAACCAATGATTATAAAAGCACGGAAGAAGAGGCCTTTCCTCTCCCTCATATCCTGCATGTACCACACACTTTTAAACAACCAGATCTCTGAAGAACTCACTCACTATCATGAGGACAGCACCGAGCCATTCATGAGGGATCCGCTCCCATGACCCAAACACCTCCTACCAGGCCCCACCTCCAACGTTGAGGGTTACCTTTCAACGTGGGATTTGGAGGGGACAAAACATCCAAACTATATCAGTGTGTCTAAAGCCTTCCAATTAAAAAAAATGTTGCTGACTTAGAATCATGTTTACAGGGTATAAGTTGTAAGAGCAGAAGTACAAAGAATGAGAGTGTAAGAATGGTGCATGACGGACTACCCTGGGTATCACCCAGGCCTGCCCACATCATCTTGGATGGACAGGGCAGGTGCCTGAGCACCATGAGAAACAAATCATGATGGACTCAGATATTGGACCAGACCCATTCCTGGCTTATAAGACATGTAAGCAACGAGTAAAGAATCTGGCTCTATCATCCAGACGGGCATTTCATATTAACTATATAATTTCTTATTGCTGACACTATTAATTTTGTAATTCTTGAACTTTTAGCTCTCTCTTAAGAGGGAAACTAAAATTGCAGCTGATTTATTTTCAAAATTCAGCCTAAACTAAATTATTATAGAACGAAAATGTAAATCAATTACATTAAGATACACAATAAGCAATTTTGCTTTAATAATAGACAAAGCAAAGCAGTCTTTCTTTTCAGGTTTGTTATTGTGTTGAAAACTTTCATCCTAGGTTTTTCATCTCAATTTATAAGTGTTAATGAAAGTTTTCTGAAACTGATTTTTGAAAACACTTGCTTATTTTTCATGTATCCCAAGCTACAGCTTGAAAAGGAAAATTTGGACTGACATTTGCAGGCTAAGCTTGTATTAGTTATCAACTGCTGCATAACAAATTATGTCAACATTTAGCAGCTGAAAACAGCAGCAGTCTATTATTCCACGGTTTCTGTGGGTCGGGAATCCAGCCAGCTTAGCTAGAAAGTTTTACCTTGGGGTTTTCCTCAAGGCTGCAGTAATCTTTTTTTTTTTTTTTTTTTTGAGACGGAGTCTCGCTCTGTCACCCGGGTTGCAGTGTAGTGGCGCGATCTTGGCTCACTGCAAGCTCCGCCTCCCGGGTTCATGCCATTCTCCTGCATCAGCCTCCCGAGTAACTGAGACTACAGGCGCCCACCACCACGCCCAGCTAATTTTTTGCATTTTTTTTTTTTTTTTTTTTAGTAGAGATGGGGTTTCACCGTGTTAGCCAGGATTGTCTTGATCTCCTGACCTCGTGATCCACCCACCTTGGACTCCCAAAGTGCTGGGATTACAGGCGTGAGCCACTGGGCTGCAGTCATCTTAAGGGTTGCTACTTGCAGGCTCATTCATGTGGCTGTTGGCAGGTCTCACAAGCTCTGCTTCCATCTCAGTCACATGGGACCCTCCGCAGGGTTGCCCAAGACACGTCCACCGGCTTTCCCCAGAAGTGAGCACTCAAAGAGAGAGGCACCCAAGATGGAAGCCACAGTCTTTTCACAACCTAATATTAGAGCTGATGTCCTGTCACTCTGCTATATACTACTTGTTAGGAAAGAATCAATAAATCCAGGCCAGGCACAATGGCTCACGCCTGTAATCCCAGCACTTTGGGAGGCTGAGATGGGTGAATCACTTGAAGCCAGGAGTTTGATACCAGCCTGGGCAACGTGGTGAAACCCCATCTCTACTAAAAATACAAAAATTAGCTGGGTGCGGTGATACACACCTGTAATCCCAGGTACTCAGGAGGCTGAGGCAAAGAATCACTTGAACCCAGGAGGCAGAGGTTGCAGTGAGCCAAGGTTGCACCACTGCACTTCAGCCTGAGCAATAGAGCAAAACCCTGTCCACCCCCCAGCCCCGCAAAAAAAGAATCAATAAATCCAGCCCACACTCAAGTGGATACACAAGGGCATGAAGAACAGGAGGTGCAGACCACTGAGAGCCATTTGGGAGGCTGCCTAACAAACGTGTTATCAGAAATCAAAAGAGAAAAAGTATTGAGAAAAGGTACTGAGAAAATCGCTCTTTCTGGCTCTGTCTCCCTGTGTCTCTTTGTCTTTCTCTCTGTCACACACACACACAACACAGAGTAAGCATTTGGCTGATCATAACTGTTATGTATTAGGTCACTTTAGCCCTCAGAAAAATTATAAGAGAAAAGAAAATGAAAAACACATTTCTAGCATTATCTTTTAAATATATACATTGATGTGTAAAATCTTTTCGGAAACCTAGTGTTAGGAACTGAGTTGTGTGCCCTCAAAATGTATATGTTGAATTCCTAACCCCTTGTACCTCAGAATGTGATTGTATTTTGAGATAAGGCCTATAAAGAGATAATTATGTTAAAATGAGGCCTTTAGAGTGGGCCTTCATCCATTCTGACAGTCATTCTTATAAGAGGCAATTTGAACACAAAGAGAGACATCAAATCTGTAAGGGCAGAGAGGAAAGACCATGTGAAGACAAGGTGAGAAGAGAAAGAGGGCCATCCCCCAGCCGAGGAGAGAGGCCCCAGAATGAAACGTGCCCTGCCGGCACCTTGCCCTTGGACTTCTAACCTCCAGAACCACGAGGAGTACATCTTTGTTTAAGCCCGCAGTCTGCAGCATTTTGTTATGACAGCCCTAGCAAACTAATACAACTTGTTATTTTATGATCAGAATCTCTCTGTGCAATCTCAGTTCACAGTTTCCAAATGGCCATATTTAGAACAAAGTAAGTGTTCTGTTTTGCTTTTACTTTCCTCCAGACATAGTTCTAACTCTTTTATTTTTAAGATTGTGTTTAATTTTCTAAAAACAATTAAATCGAATATAGTCTTTCTGGTTTTCTTTCTTTAGTTGTCTTTCTTTTTACTCATTTATTATATTGTTTCCTCATTTATCTTAAGATAATATTAAACTGCCTTTACAGTGTCTTAGTAGCAATACTTGTGGCTTGACAGAAATCTTGGCTCTATGTTGGTAGTATAAAAAGTCACAGATAAAGAACTTTTCTTGGATTCTTTGGTTATTCTTTATGAGACAGTCATCAACATTAGTTTACTAATACCATTTTAAAACCACCTTCATTTCTGGACCTAAAAGTTCTGATTTTTCCCCAGATAATAAAATTTAAGGTTTCAATTCTCTTTAATTTCTGTGATTCTTCCTATTTTAAAAAAAAGCTCATGGTACCTAAGTGTTTTTACTATGAAGTGGAAGTATTCTGGGTTGGGACAGATTTAACACCTGCCATGCTAAGCAAGATTAACCATGGAGAGCTCTGTGTGGATAGTCTGAGATTTGAATCCTCTAGAATTTACGAGAGACTGGTTAAACCATAACGTGTCCCTCCCACTCCTTCCTATTGGTTGTCATCAACAGCAACATGGGGAGAGGAGAGTGGTGATTATCATGCCTAGTAGACAAATGTTCTTAATGAGTAGTTTGAAGTTATGAGATGTGTTTAAGTATTTGAGCTGCATTTAGGGTGTCTGCCTGCAGATTATAAGGAAATGAAAACTTCAACTAAACAAAAGAGCCTGCAAATGAATACTTACAGAAACTTGACTCACAGTGGATTTACAGGGTATATAGGTAAAAATGCCCACTTTAAACTCAAGCATAATTATTTCTCTTCTTGTTCTTTTTATTTAAAACTATTATAGTGGCTTAATGCCATCGCATTGCTCAAGAAAAAAATGCTATTGTTTTTCATTTTTCTGTCCCGTTCTTCTCCTTTTCCAGTGTTAACGCATCATGTGAAATGTTAAACAGGCCATTTAGTCAATACCAAATATAAGGTCTGATATCAAGGCACACAAAATCACATTCCTTTAAAAAAAAAAAAGAAAGAATTTCAAAGCAATCATAACTTCAGTTCTGTCCCTTTAAGTCTGATTAAGGTCTGCTAAACAAGGGATAGTGATTGAAGTATACCTTTGAAGTGAATTTTTTCACACTCTAATCTGTCAACCAACCAACTAAGTAAAACTAGTCTGTATTCATTTATTTATTCATCACAAATTTAATAAACTTCTGCTTGGTATCAGGAACTGCGCTAGGCTCAGGAGCTTCAGTGGTAAATAAGAGACAGTCAATCCCCACCCTCAGTGATTATAAACTCCTTTAAAGGAAAACATAACACTTTTCTTTTTCTCAAACTTTCTGTGTCTGAAGGCTCACTAGCATCTGTTTCCAGCATAGATGTGGTGTGATTTGTTCTTCATGTCACTCGCTTCTAATTCAGAGTGAGGGGCTGAGGCATCTGGTAGTAGAGCTTCTTGTTCCTGTGCCCCATCTTTGTGGATTCTGGGAAAGTGAGAATCTAGGATGTGTGGGCTCAACCTCAAAGTTGGGATCCCCAAACATAGGAACAGGGTGGGATATGAACAAGAACATAAGTGACAGATAACAACATCAATTTTTCCTTTTTTCGCTGGATCATTCCTTCACCACACAAACATGCCGTTCTTCCTCCCATCCTCAATATTCTCTTCTAACCCTACTTTCCCTCACAACAACTGCCCACTGCTCTGCCTCTTGCAGCAATGCTCTTCAAAGGAGTTCTTCTTGTCCATTCCTTCTCAAAGCCCTTCCACAGGGACTTTCACTTCCATCACTTTACAAAACTGCTCTGGGCCATCAATGAACACCCTATTACTAGATCCAGTGGTCAGGTCTTAGTCCTCGTCTTCATCAGACCTGTCAGAAACATTTGACACAGTTGATCACTCCCTCCTCCTCAGAAAACTGTCTTTGCTTGGCATCTAAGTCACCATCGTCTCCTGCTTTCACTGGCAGGTGCTTCTTAGTTTCCTTGCTGCTTCCTCCTGTTTCCCTAGTTTTCTAACATTGAGGTAGCTCAATGCTGTTTTGTCCTCTTCCCTTCTTACACCGTGGTAATAACCTCAGCTAGTCTCATGCTGTTAATCATCAAATTCATATCCAACCACATCTCTCTCTGGATCCCAGCTTTATATATCCAACTGCATATTTGGCATTTATCATTAAAAGTCTAAGAAGCATAATATGTCCAAACTAAACATGTTTTTCAGTTTTCTTCCCATGAGTCTACAGTCTTCCACATGTCCATTGATGGCATCTTCATTCTTACTTACAGTTGTTTGGGCAATAAAACTTGGAATCATCTTTGATTCTTTTCTTTCTCTCACATCCCATATCTAATCCGTTAGAGAATTAAGAGGATTCCACTTTCAAATGTCAAGCACCACTTGTCCCCATTGTCGCTGCTACTGCCCTGGTCTAAGCCCCCATCATCTCTTGTTTGGAATATGCCATAGCCTCTTAAGAAGTGACCCTGCTTTCTTTCCCTCTTATCCTATACTCACCACCGTCTAATCTCAACAGATATGTTTAAGTGATTATTTTAATATGTAAGTGGGTTCAGAGACTGCATAGGTCCCCCATTTCACACAACCTTACAAATCCCTATCCCCATGCTGCCAGATCTCAGCCCCAAGTTTCTCTCTGACCTTATTACCTTCTCTTCCTTCCTTTTCTCACTCCATTCCAGCCACGCTGGGGAGGCAGCAAGCATGTTGAAGAAAAATAAGATAGGCCTGAAGAGCAGAAGGAGGAAGGGAAGGGAAGAATAAAAGAAAACTGTGGAAAGGTAACAAGGCAAGGAACATGGGATTGCAATGGACTAGAACTTTCTTTTCCTCAACAAATTTGTGTTCATTTATTAAACACAATATTCAACCAGTGATAATGAGCAAGACAGGAGACAGATTCTGCAGGGTGCATGAGGAATGAGACACAAAGGAATGAGGCACACATAGTCTTGCAGGGAAGACACAGCAAACACCTAAATTACTACAGCATGCTAGAGAAAATGATGCATGACATGAAACATAAAATGCTAAGGCCATTAATTAATTGATGGAGAGTTTTAAGGCTCACTACCAAAAAGCCATTGGCTACAGATTATTTTTGGAAGTGAAACACATATAACTTTTAAAGCAAAATAGTTTTTGGAGCATAACATACTTATAAAAAAGTGAATCCTAACAACCCAATACATTTTCATTCATGTAACCAGCATGCAGATCAAGAAACAGTTACTTGCACCCCAGAATCCCTCCAGCCTCCTTCCAATCACTAACACTCAGCTCTATGCCATTAGCTTTTTAAAATAGCTTTATTGAAGTATAATTAATATACAACAAATTGCACATATTTAAAGAAAGAGTTTCCTTGTGTCCCTTTTGACCCTTCCCTACCACCCCAATCACTGTCACAATAGGTCATTTTATATTTTCTAGAGTTTTACATAAATGGAATCATATGGTATGTACTCATTTCCACCTGGCTTCTTTAACTCTACATAGTTATCATGAGAATCATCAAGATTGAGGCATGTATCAATAGTTCACTCTTTTTTTGTGGCTGAGTAGTTTTCCATTGTGTTGGATATACCACAATGTGTTTATCCATTCTCCTGTTGATGAACTTTTTTCTTTATTTTTAAATTTTATTTATTTTTTTACTTATTTTTTCAGACAGAGTCTCACTCTGTCTCCCAGGCTAGAGTGCAGTGGCATGATCTTGGCTCACTGCAATCTCTGCCTCCCAGGTTCAAGCCATTCTTGTGCCTCAGCCTCCTGAGTAGCCAGGATTACAGGCACCTGCCACCATGCCTAAATAATTATTGTATTGTTAGTAGAGATGGGGTTTTTCCATGTTGGCCAGACTGGTCTCAAACTCCTGGCCTCAAGCAATCCAAAAGTGCTGGGATTACAGGCATGAGCCACCAGGCGCAGCCTCGATGAATATTTGAGTTGCTGCCAGTTTCTGGCTGGTACAAATAATGCCACTATGAACATTTGTTTACAAGTGTTTGTATGGACATTCTTTTATTTCTCTTGGGAAAAATGCCTAGGAAGGTTGGATCAAGGGTAGTTATATGTTTAATTTTTTAAGAAGCTGCCAAGCTATTTTCCAGAATGGTTGCACCATTTCATGTTACCATCAAGAATGTATGATATTTGTAATCCTTTTACATCAATGACAATGCAGGTATGGTCAGTCTTTCTCATTTTAGCCATTCTAAATAGGTATGTAGGGGTATATCATGG
The DNA here is from genome assembly GCF_000001405.40 of Homo sapiens. Lineage (NCBI taxonomy): Eukaryota > Metazoa > Chordata > Mammalia > Primates > Hominidae > Homo > Homo sapiens. The sequence continues at coordinate 26,989,370 of NC_000018.10, read as the reverse complement.
TGCTTTAATTTATATTCCTGTGATAACTAATGATGTTGAGCATCTTTTCATATGCTTATTTGCCATCCCTATATCTTCCTTGGTGAAGTGCCTGTTCAAATCTTTTGTTCATTTCTTTATTCTACGGTTTGTTTTTAAATTAAGTTTTCTTTATGTATTCTGATATAATTCTTTTATCAGTGATATGCTTTGCATATATTTATCTTGGTCTATTCTTTGTCTTTTCATTCTCTTTATTTCCTTTCTTCTGCTTAATTTGGGTTCAATTTGCTCTCATTTTTCATGTCTCTTAAAATAGAAGTTGAGGTCATTAACTTGAGACTTTTCTTTTTTTCTTATATAGGTGTTAAGCACTATAAAATTCCTCCTGGGTACTGTTTTAGGGACATTTTTAAAATTCTGATATGTCATGCTTTCATTTTCATTCATTTCAAAATTCATTTCATTTTTTCTTTGACCTTTGTGTTATTTAGATTTTCTAGAGATTTTCACATTATTGATTTCTAATTTAATTCCATTATGGCCAGAAAACATATGTTACATGACTTGAATACTTTTAAATTTATTGAGAGTTGTTTTATGGACCAGACTTATGTTCTATTTTGTTAAATATTGCATGTGCACTTGAAAAGTGTGTATTATCCTATTGTTGGATAGAGTCTTTCTTAATAATCAAGCCAGTTTGATTAATGATGTTTTTCAAGTCTATTATAGCCTTGATGAGTATCTGTCTATTCTATTCTTTATTGGAAGAGAGGTATTGAGTTCTCTGACAGCAATTATGGATTTGACTATTTTTCAATGGTGCCCTATCAGTTTTTGTGTCATGTATTTTGAATCTCCATTTTTAGGGACATAAACACTTAGCATTGTTTTGTCCTTGTGACTTATTGTCCTTTTATTATTATGATATGACCTTCTTTATACCTGGTAATATTCTTTGCTTTGAATATTACTTTGCCTGGCTCAATATAGAAACTCTAGCTTTCTTTTGACTGGTTTTACAATGGTATATCTTTTTTCAAACTTTTATTTCTGTCTTTATATTTGAAGTGCCCTTTTAAAGGCAGAATATTGTTGTGCTATGCTTCTTTATCCAATAAACATAAATATCTTTTAATTGACATGTTTACACCATTTATATTTAATGTGATTATTGATATGGTTAATTTAAATACTATCTCCTTGCTATTTGCTTTCTATTTGTCTCTTGTCTTCTTTGTTCCCTTTTTCCCTTTGTCAGCCATCTTTTGGATTAATCGATTTTTTAATTATTCAATTTTATTTCTTTTGTTAGGTTATTTTTTTTGGTCATTCTTTTAGGGTAGATATGCATCATTAACTTTAGCAGTCTACTTTTCAGTTATTTTATTTTAGTCCATTGTGGCTACTATAACAAAATGTCATAAATTGGGTATCTTATACACAATAGAATTTATTTCTCACAGTTCTAGAGGCTGGGAAATCCAGTATCAGGTTGAGCATGGTCAGATTCCAGTGAAGGGCCTTATCCAAGTTGCAGACTGCCAATTTCTCTTCGGGTCCTCACATGGTGGAAAGGGCAAGGAAGCTCTCTGAAGTCTCTTTTATAAGGGCACTAATCCACTCATCAGGGCTCTGCTCTCATAACCTAATCATCTCCCAAAAGACCCCACTTCCCAGTGCCATTACCTTTGGGGTTAGGTTTCAACATATGAGTTTGCAGGAGATGGGGGGACACATTCAGATCAGGGCAGACATTGTACCACTTGGTGTATAATATAAAAGCTTTATAATACTTCCATTTTCCCCACCCTGTTGTTGTCATATATTTTATTTTTATATACCATAAATCCCACAATACATTATTATTATTTTTGCTTAGTCAATTGTCTTTTAAAAGGTTTAAACAACTTTTTTCGGTTTTTTATGTTTATTGTTTTAGTCAATTTTGTGTTGCCATAACAGAATATCTGAGACTGGGTCATTTATAAAGAAAAAATGTTTATTTGGCATATGATTCCACAGGCTAGGGAGTTAAAGCACATGACACTGGCTTCTGACAAGGGCTTTTGTGCTGCAAAGCATGGCAGAGAGGTCAAAGAGGAAGCAGACACGTGCAAAGAGAGCCAAAACCTAAGGGATGTCTTGGTTATATAACTACTCTCCCTAGAACTAATCCATTCCCTCAAGAACTAATTCAACCTTACTGGAGCTAGAACTGACTTATTGTCATGAGAATAGCACCAAGCCATTCATGAAGGATCGGCCCCCATGACCCAGACACCTCCCACTCTGCCCCATCTCCCAACACTGCCCCATCGGGGATCAAATGTCAATATGAATTTTGGTGGGGAAAAGCAAATCATATCCAAACCACAGCATTTACTCACATGGCTAATAATCCTGTTGCTTTTTATACCTTTGTATAAACACAGGTTTTCATTCAGTATCAATTTCCTTCTGCCTAAAGAAATCCTTTTTATTTTTCTATAAATTATTTCAATTTTTATATGTACACAAACATCTTTATTTAACCTTTATTTTTGAAAGACATTTTTGCTGGATATAAAACTCTAGATTGACAGGTTGTTTTCTTTCAGTACTATAGAGTTGTTACTCAAAGATCTTTTACATGCATTGTTTCCAACAAGAAATCCTGTCATCTTTAATTTTGTTCTTCAGTATAAAACATGTCTTTTGTTCCTCTGGCTGTTTTTAAGATTTTCCTTTTAGTGTCAATTTTGAGGAATTTGATTGTGATGTGCATTGATGTGGTTTTCTTCAGATTTTCTGTGGTTGAGGTTTCTTGAGCTTCCTAGATCTCTGAACTTAAAGTTTTCACCAAAAATATGAAATTTTCAGCTATTATTTTTCAGATTTTTAAATCTTCCTCTCCTCTTTTCAGGTAGTCCAATTACAAAATATTAGGCTGCTTAAAGTTGTCTGATAGCTCACTAATTCTCTTTTCTTTTTTTATATCTTTTCTCTGTGTTTTTGTTTTTGATAATTTCTATTGCTGTGGCTTAAATTTCACTAATCTTTGTCTAATCTGATATTAATCATATCCCGTATAATTCTTTTGTCCCAAATATTCTAGTTTTTATCTCTAACAGTTTAATTTAGGTCTTTTTTGTATTTTCCATGTCTTTACTTAACTTTTTGGCCATACAGAATATAGTTATAACTCTTTAAAATATCCTTGCCTGCTAATTCTCATCTCTGAGTAATTTCTGTTTAAGTTAAATTGATTTATTTATTTTTCTGATTATTGATCTTACTTTCCTGCTTTTTTACATACCTTGTAATCTTTGATTGAATACCAGACTTTGTTAATTTTATCCTGTTTTATATTGGATGTTTTTGTATTCCTAGAAATTTTCTCAGGCTTTATACCAGGATACAGTTAAATTACTTGGAGAGAGTTTGATCACTTTGGTTCTTGTTTTTATGATTTAGATGGATCTAAAACAGTGACCAGTCTAAAACTAATTAACACTGAGGCAGGACCTTCTCGAACATTGGGAAGATTTTTGCATCTACTCAATGCCCTAAAAATTGTAACTTTTTCCAGTATATTTGGTAGGAATAGGCACTGTTCCCACCCTTGTGTAAGTGTCAGGCACTATCCCCTCTAATCCTTTCTAACCCAGGTTCTTTCCCTGCCTTGGGTCATTATGACATATGCATGTACTCATCAGAAATTGCTGAATACCCAATGGGAAGCCTCAGCAGATGTTCAGCATTCTCTCTTTGAACTGCATGCACCTTTCTGGTTCTTTGTCTTGAGAACTCTAGACACCTTGTTCATGGATTCTCATATTTGTCCCTTAAACTCAAAGAGTCTTCTGGGCTCTATTGTAGTTTTCTCTCCTTGTGTTACAACCTGGGAACTCAAGTTGGTAAACTGGGACAATCACATGGCTTGCCTTGCTTGTTTACTATCTCTCAGAAATTACTGTCCTCCTTTTCCTGCTGTTCAGTGTCATGCAAACCGTAGTTAATTCTATTTTGTCTTAATTTGTTTGGTTGGTTGGTTTTGGCAAGAGAATAAATTTGGTCCCAGTTATTCCATCTTGATCAGAAGCAAAAGTCTCTTCTCAACATAGATTCATTTTGACTGGTTTAGAACACTGCATAAATTGAATAGTGTCTGTCTTCTTTTGCTTAATCATATGCTTATGAAATTCATCCATGTTGTTGCATGTAGTAGTAGTTCATTCATTCTTGTTGCTCTGTGGTTTTCTCTTATGTTGATGTACCACATATATTTATCTATTTTACTCTAGCTAGACCTTTGGGTTGTTTCCATTTTGGATCTGTTATAAACAGTATTACAATAAATATCTTTTGGTGAACATGTGCATGCATCTCTTTCTGGTAGGTGTACAACTAGAAGTGGAATTTCTGGGTGATGGGACAGGCATATGCTTTGCTTTGGTTGATACTGATTGCTGAAGAGTTTTCCAAAATAGTTATACAAATTACATTCCTCCATCAGTGTATGAGAGTTTCTTTTCATCTATACCCTCACTAACACTTGGCATTGTTCACTTTTTCATCTTAGCTATACTGATGAGTGTGTACAATATAGACTTTTTTATTTTCCTCATGACTAATGAAGGATTGAGTAGCTTTTCAATTTCTTTTTTTTTTTTTTTTGTCTTTTGGTAATCCTCTTTTATGAAGATTCTCTTCAAATTCTTTGTCATTTTTCTGAGAGATTGACTTTACCTTATTGATTTATGGGAGTTATTTATATATGCTTTTGTCAGATACATGTATTGCAATATCTTCCTATTATTGATAAATTTTCCTTTTATTCTGTTAATGGTGTCTTTGGATAATAAAAAAATTCTTAATTTTAATGTAGTTGACTTTACCAGATTTTCCCCTTATTGCTAGTTCTTTTATATCCTGTTTGAGAAACTGTTGCCTACTCCAAGTTTATGAAGATATTACCCTATGTTTTCTTCTAAAAGCTTTATCATTTACCAATCTCCAGTACTTCTACAATCTATCCAAAATCAGTTTTTGTTTGTGAAGTGGGAGTCAGGATAGAAATAACTAACTGGTCCAGCATAATTAATTGAAAAGACTATCTCTTTTGAGTTAGAACTTTTTGAGCATTGATTATGCTTCAGGCACTAGGCAAGTTGATATTTCATTTTATCTTCACAAAATCCCTATAAATGTTTCCCCATTTTATATATTGGAAAAGTTACAATTAAGTGAGTTAAATTAATTTCCATAGCTCATGGCTAGTCAGGTGTAAATTTGGGTTTTGAGCTTAGGTCTTGACTCCAAACTTGCCTAAGGTTATCTTAAGTCAATGTCAGCAAAAAGGACACTTTTATATTTTTGTAGTGAAAAACCAAGCTGGTAAAGGGGTTGAAAACCACTGGGAATGTGGGAGTGAAGAGGGGTTGACCCTAGAAAAGAACAGGGTCTTGAATAGTGTCTTTTGTATATCAAGACTCAGTAACAGTTTACTGAATTGCAAAAGTTATCCACTTTTAAATAACTGCAAAGCTTTGTTATCTACACTCATGAGGCACTTATAACTTTTATATATAAAACTTAGTGATTTCTTCCTTGTCTAATTGCCTATGGCAGTGGTTTTCAAAGTGTGGTTCTTCAGATCAATAATATCAGCACTACCTAAAACTTGTTAGAAATGCAAATTCTTGTCCCCTTCCAAAGACTTACTAAATCAGAAATTCTGAAGATGGGACTATATTAGGCCATTCTTGCATTGCTATAAAGAAATACTTGAGGTGGGCTAATTTATAAACAAAAGAGATTTAATCGACCCATGGCTCTGCAGGCTATACACGAAGCTGGCATCTGCTCGGCTTCTGGGGAGGCCTCAGTGAGCTGTTTTTCATGGCAAAAGGCAAAGAGGGAGCAGGCATGTCACATGGGAGAAGCAGGAACAAGAGAGTGAGTTGGGGGCGAAATACCACACACTTAAACAACCAGATCTCATGAGAACTCACTGTGGCAAGGACAGCACCAAGCCATGAGGGGATCCACCCCTCTGACCCAAATTCCTCTCAACAGGTCCCATCTCCCACATTGGGAATTACATTTTAACATGAGATTTGGTGGGGACATATATTCAAACTATCAGGGACCCAGAAAACTACTTTAATAAGTTCTGCAGGTCATTCTGATGTCCACTAAATTTGAAACACACTGGTCTAGGACCTATACTTTCTCCAAACATACTCTCTACAGAGGATTCCCCTAACCTACCATGCTTGGTTATACCACCAGTGATTGCTTATTGACAGTGCCTCTTCCTGGACTCCCGCTGTGATTCTTAGCCCGGCTAATATTTACACAGAGGTCAGATCCTCCCTCTCCTTACACAGATGGTCACACACTTAGAGGTCTATATTCAGTTCCTCAGTCCTTCTTCTTGTCACATCACTTTGTAATTGTCTATCTGCTTGTCAATATCTGCCACAAAACTGTGAGGAGCTTAAGGCAAGGGCCGTTGAATTCCCAGAGTGTGGCATATAATTTTTTGAGTATATGAATTTTATTCCATTTTATCGTTGAAGAACTATCACGTGGAAAAGAAATGACTTAATATTTGAATAAATGAATAAGTACTTGAAGGACCATCATGTGGAATCATGGAACAAGGTACAGTAAATGGAGACTTCAAGGAGGTTAGGAACACAGAGATACCTGTTGCATGAGATGTTGAAGAAAAGACTGGAAAACCTTTACTGTATAACCCCTCATCCCCATCCCTTCTAAACTGTGAGCTCCTTGAAGCCAGCAACAGTATCCCATTCACTGTGTGTCCCCCGTCCCCAGTAAGGTCTGGAACGGTGTCTGACACACAATGAATTTACTCTAAGTGAATGGCTGAATGAACCAAAAGGTTCCTTAGTGACATATGTTGAGTTTTGTTGCTACTGTTTTGTTTGCTTGACTGTTTTTGCTAGAGAAACAGCTCAGTTCTAGATCACCCAACTGGCAAAGTTTGAGTATTCTTAGGGGCACTTGCAAAGCAGAGGGCAAAAAAAAAAAAAAAAGGTAAAAGGAGTTTAGCTTTGATAAATTTATCCACAATTTTGTAATCAGAACTGTTTTAAGAAACTATTTTAACTACAACATACATATGTGTTTCATGTTTTATAGTTTCTTCCCTTCTTAATTACATGTGGATGAAGAGACGAGGAAGTAGAAAGTGGATCACTGTAATCTTTTCAGTGTTGAGGGACTCAGAATTCAGCCTCTGGGCAGAGACTACATCATGGGTCTTTTTTACTCTGCGGAGGATTTTGTACTTTATCTTAAAGGCAGCTGTAAGCCATTGAATGATGTTAAGGAGGGAAAATAACATAATAGATTTGCTTTTCTAAAGGTCATTCTGACTGCTGTGTGGAGGATTTACTGGGAAGTGGGAAGGGGAGGATGGGAGACTGGAATACAGAAGACTGGTTAGAAGAAATATTGCAGCTGATCGAGAGAGCTGATAAGAACTTCAACTAGGGCAATGACGGCATGGAGGAAAATGGACTGGATTCAAATTAGCAGTTGACTCAACCCACTAAATTTGCTGACAAAGATAGGGGACTTGTCAGAAATGATTACAGTTAGCTTTCAATTTAATAGTAATAATTAAATTGTCAGGCCTCCGCTTCTACTGGATGTGCAAGTTTATGTAATGGAAGTCTTTGTTAACTACAAAGCACTGTACACATGCAAAGTGGGATAATTACCCACAGAAATCATACCTCCAAATTCCATGTGCCAGAGGCAAGCCCTGAGGGTTGGAAAATGAGTTCGTGTTTATGGGCCATCAACAGCAGGATTGCACATGTATTCCTGAACAACGAACTTACTGTTCATTCTCAAGTGCTCATTACAATGGAAATTAGTAACACTTGAATGATAGATGCGGCTCTGTTCTGAATATGCCACTTAGCAAATACTTGCTGCAGCTAAGTGTCAAGAATTCACACATTGATGGATCCTAGACATGAGTGGCTACTTTTTGTGAATGGAATGAAGGTGGATACCTCACCCTGAAGAGTAAGCATCATGTCTACATGGGTTAGGAGCAAGATTTTTTTATAACTTGGTATTTAGGTGTGGAGGACTTTGTCTGGTTATGCATATTTATGCTTTTGGCCTTGTAAAAAGAAACCCTTGGCTCTTTCTTACCAATATCTTTTTAAGTCAAAAGCCTTTAACATGTAAAATTCAGCCTGTAACCAATTCTAATTTCCCAATCTACTTCTTAACTTGAGAAACTAGAAAAAATGCAATAATCCAACTCTGCTATTAGAGAATGTGAATATAAGAAAAAGGGAGCCTCCTGTGGCTCCATCAACATCACAGAACTCTCCTTACATATTTAATGATCATTTCTATATAGAGGATATTGATCAGCATGTTGAAGAAAAACTGAACAAGTGAAAAAAGCACATATATTCTTTAAGATCACTTCATTTTTACATATTCTTTCTGCACTGGGATTTAGGACATAGCATATTTAGGCTTCGTTTTGGCCGATGGGTTGCTAGGAAATAATCCCATAGCCTCTTTCATACCTCTTTGCTCATTTTCTGCCCTTGGTAAAATATTCATTATGAACTCTTATAAATTATAAAACCTTTTTTTTCCCCAAGAAAAGTGTGGACTTTTTTTAAACAGATTTAGCACTGATAGGACTGCTTGCCTTAGACAGCACTACCAGTAATTAAATCTGCATGCTGAAGTGGTAAACCCTAAGAATTTTTAGAGGAAGGAAACCTGACATATAAAATGGAGTAAAGGCAGGCTGATGGAGAAGGGAAAATTCAGTGTTGGGCAACTTCCTGACTCCAGTGTGTGAACTGTTGAATAATCGAACATTATAGCATGTACTGAACATTAATTCTGTCAAAGTTTCCAGAGTAAAGAATAAATCGGTAGTCTCCTCATCTCTCTCATCCTCCAATTTATGTTTGGTACATAATCATTGCCATTATTATCTTCATTCATGGGTCATTTTTTTTATATAGTTGGATTAAGCACTGGTTTCTTACAGTCAATAAGAATGTATTGTGAATCTGTTACACTTCTAGGCGCTAGGGATTGTAATAATTTATTACATTTGCCTCTTCCTTTAAAGGAGCTCATAGTCTTCTTTGGAAGAAAGACAAGTAAATATATAACCATAACAAAACATCCTAACTCTATAGTGAAGGGTTATATAGAAGCACAGAGGAGACACACCTAAGCTTAACAGGTAGAGTGGGTAGGGAAACAGAGGTGGCTTCCTGGAGGAAAGAGTATCCATCCTGTCTTAATGTAGTCTTGATGAACTCTGGGATATAGCTTGAAAGTGATGAAAGTAGATCCAAGTTCTTTAAAAGCAATTGGAAAATACATGTCAAAATTCATTAAAAAATATTGAGACCTAGAATTTCTCATTTATGAATCTTAAGTTTAAAAACAATCTGAAACACAGAAAAAATACGTTTAAAATGTTAATTGTAGTGTAGTAACAATATGGAAACCAGCAATTGAGGAATTTTTAAGGAAATTATAGTTTATCAACTCAATGGTCTAGAGGGCAGACACACATGATTTTTGCTAAGAATTTATCATAGGAATTGGTAGTCTATTCCACAAATATTTCTTGAGCAGTTTATGCCAAGCACTGATCTGATCTCTGTGTACAAAAAGACAAATAGACGTGGCTCCTACTTGAAGGAGCTCTTGGTAAAATGACAAATATAGACAATTAAATTAACTCTTAGAAGAAGAAGAGAGATGGATTCTAGTGGCAGAAACATGTCATTAGAATGCAGATGAGGCCTTGTAAATCAAATCAGCAAAACATGGGGAGCTACCAAAGGAAGATGAGGAAGAACATGAGTTTTGAATGATAAGAGGGCAGAAAAAAATGGAAATAAAGGAAATTTCTTATTTTACCTTATGTGGGAAACAAAAGCAGACTATAACATTGGATATGCAGTTTGTCCATAACTATATAAAACCAAATATAGTTTTTTTCCATATATGCATAGAAAAAAAGAAAGTGAAGAAATAAACTAATGTTAACAGTGATTGTCTTATGGGTGATGTTTTTCTCACTTCTCCTTTTTGGCCTCCCCCAAATATTCTATTATAAGCATTATTATTTGTAAAACGAAAGAAAGATGCAAGGGGTTGCCAGCAAGAAGATAAAAGGCACAAAGTGTTCACATTTTAGAAGAGAGCTATTTATGGTCAAACTCTCACAACAAAATAGGATGGGCATATTTCCAAAAGGCAATAGCACAGGGTAACATGCTCAAGGATAAAAGACCCTTCTGTGCCCCGACATACCTGCCACAATCTTTAAAAAAAATAAAATAAAATAAAATAAATAAAAAAAACGGAAACAACAAAAACCACAAAAACCACAGATAGGCCTTGTCACATGAGTCACCTAGAAAATTCTTATTGGCTAAGGTCTTGACTCTCCCTTGGGTTCGTCCCTTTGTAGGGAACCCACTCTGTTCAGCTCTGAGCCAGGCATCAAGTCTGCCATTTACTCAGTGCATTAGTGCCTTGAATTTGCATAACACTTTGAAATTTATGAGGCATTTTCATAATGTTTACTTTCATTTTATTTTCTCCACAGCCCTGTGAGGTAGGAAGGACCGATATTATTTTTTCTCATTTTACAGTTGAAGAAACTAAGACTTAGATGAAGTTTCTTCCCTCTGGTTACGAGGCTGGTAAGTGTTAGAAGCAACACTGGAAGTCAGATGTTTTTCTGAACATGTGTTTATCCCTCTGCATCACAAAACTCACATGATAGACACTTCTGTCTTCGCTAACAAAAACAGACGAGTGTTTGTGAGAACAGAGAGGTGTCTTATTTTTCATCTAAGTGGGTTCAGGTGGCTAGGAAAGTTCTAGCACACGAGAGATGCTCTATACATTTGTGAGGGGTGGCAATAAATGAAAAGATTATTAATACTTAATAAACTTAATAAATGAAAGGATTTAAAAATAAATATACAAGTCCTAAATAAAGTATCTAAATAGATATTGTCATTGTCCTTAGCAATCTACTCTGAAGAGCAGCACACACACACACACACATACACACACTCACACACACACATCAGAAAAAGAGAAAAGAAACGGGTTAGTTGGGAAGAGTAAAAAGAAAAATTTTGAGACAAAGAGATTTCTAATTAAATAAAATAGAACAATTTGTTATGAATTTCTGTTTTATTGCAAAAAAAAATCTATTTTCCACTTTGAACAAAATTTTACATTGGGAGAAAAAAAAAAACCACAGGAAAAGAGCAGATGTCTTTGAGAATCATCAAAGCATGTCTTATTTCTTACACATGCACATGCCTGCTCTCTTTCTGCCTGCATCTACAAAGGGGACTCATTTAGCATTCACTGATGAACATAAGAGTATTTCTATACTCCTGCTGAGCCTGTGAATTTTTTTTTTTAAGTTATTAAGGTGGTGCACGCATCATGCCCTAGTGACTTTGGCTATATATGCCCTTTGAAAATCTCTAATGACATGTTGGACACCCTGCATATAAATGTCACCACTTGGAATGAGAGTCAGACTTTTGCTCATGGGAATGTTCTCTGCCTGGCCTCAGTGTAATATCCCTGACCTAATGAAAGCAAATGGTTCTCAGTAACTCCCTCCTAAGTGTAATAATGCATATTCTTTTTCGGATGCTTATAATATGGTGTTGGTAAATAGCTTAGCAATGCACATAGGAACAATTCTACTAATGGATAGGGAAAGAAAATTAAATTGCTATCTGTATAGCCCTAGACCTTTTAGATTATTTTCAAAACTCATCACTGCAGCAATGATTTCTCCCATAGTATTTTAACTAGCATGGCAGCCTTGGCTTTCTACATGTATGAAAGGTATCTTTAAATCCATATTACTTTTTTTCTTTTCATTTTTTTTTTTTTTTTTTACAAGTGACCTTTGGAAATGATTTCCAATAACTGCAGCCAACTTTAAGCTCAAGGCTTGGTAGTGAAAGGTCACTCTACATTTAGACTAAATGTGGATAGATGTATACTCCCTGCAGCAGGCTATTGCTTTAGGACTTGCTATTGTATTTGACCCAATCTTCTTTCTAACCCAAGCATTTAGACAGCTTCCATCTGGGTTTTGTTTAAACTTTTTTTTTTAAGCATCGGTACAAATTAAAAGGCTTTATATATTGGCAAGTAACTTTTTTTCTTTAGAGATGCACATTTTTCTTAGAAATCTAAGACCATAGAAAAGAGTAGGCATGCTGAACTTCTCATAAGAATGACTCCATGAATTTTGCATGAAGGATGCTCCCATTCCATAAAAGGGCCTGGCAAAGTACATGAGACTGCTCAGATCCCTTATCTCTCACTCATGTTTTTCCTGCAAATAACATCTTTCTTTATAAAAGAGGAAGAAACAAAATGAAAAAACCTTGGACTAGGCAGCTATACATAAGCACTGCATAAGACTGCCTGAAGAAGAATGCAAGGAGATGGATTTTTTTCCTTCTACTAAACTCTGAGGACCTTCAGATCACAATTGTCACTGTGATAGCCTTCTCAGGAGCAAAGCAGCCCCCTGTCCCCAGCTTCCTTTCCTCACTGTGGCCTGATGGCTTCCTGTATTCATGTGACTTTGTCACATCATGCAGTCTTTACAAATGAGTCTCAGGAATGCTTTCCTTCCCATCCACGGTAGAGAAGGACTTGAAAAGCATTCAAGAGACTTAGTCTCTCTCCATGTCTGAGTGGGCTTCAAAAATGCTGAAGATCAGAGTCAAAGAAGGGAATGTCTCCCTCACTTCTTCCCTCCTGGATCCCTGTCTGGCCCAGCTAGAAAGCAAAATCGCTTCCTAATGCTGGGCAGGCAGGGACTGGAAAGGACTCTGGACTGAGTGTCCGGAGACCTGACTTCATTCAGCTTCTGTCAATTACCAGTTATGTGGCCTGGGGCTAAATCACTTGTCTGCTAGGCTTGATCTTTTATCTGAACAGAATTAGTTAAAAGAATTAATTCTGTAAATTCAGTGAAACAATATCCAGCTTTGGCCACAACTCCTTTTTCTAAATGACTGTCTTCATATCAGATTCCTCAGGGAGAGAGTCAGATTACTGCAAGTGTGTCTGATTCTGATTTCAAAGAAGGTTCTGGAATGATTCCATTTGTCCTAAGAATGCACCAGAATAAAATTATTTCTTATATTCAGGCAGCGTTTTTAAAATTCTAAGTAGCTTTTGCTTATCCCACTTATTTAGTCCTCCTGTTGAGCGTAGATTTGGAGTACATTGTTGGAGCCCCTCTAATGTGCTTTGCTGCTAACAGGCTGGCACTCCCACCCATGAGAAGATTGCTCGGGCTCACTGGGTCCTCCTTGTTCTCCTGGTTCCTCCCTGTGGTGGGGGACACCTCCTGCTGACTGGCCAATAACAGAAGTATGTGGGAATACAAAAGGCCAACTCCTTTGCCCCAAGGTGAATAAATTCTGAGATGTAATTTATGCTCTGCAGTGCCCCTCCCTCAAAAATCAGGTTGAACTATAGCAAAAATGTAGAATCAACCCAAGTGTCCATCAATGAATAAGATAAAGAAAATGTTATATATATATATATATATATATATATATATATATATATACACACACACACACACATATATACACATATATATACACACACATATATACATATATTTATATATATATATATATATACACACATACATTGGAATACTGTTCAGCCATTAAAAAGAATAAGATCATGTCCTTTGAAGCAATGTGGATGAAACTGAATGCCATTATTTTAAGTGAAATAAGTCAGACATAGAAAGACAAATACTGCATGTTCTCACTTATAAGTGGGAGCTAAATAATGTGTGCACATGGACTTAGAGTGTGTAATGATGGACAATGGAGACTCGGAGTGGTGGGGGCAGTGGGAGGGGCCAGACAATGAGGTATTATGTAAGGAGTACACTGTACATTATTTGGGTGATGTATACCCTAAAATCCCTGACATCACTACTGCACAATTTCTGCATGTAACAAAATTATACTTGTATGCCATACATTTATACAAGTAAAAAGGAAAGTCAGGCTGAGTGTGGGCTCCTTCCTGTTCCCTATGTCTCTTCCCCCCACCCTCACTGGCTTCTCCTGGAAGCAATTGATCACTACATCACTTGCAACTGAAATCTTGGCTCAGGAGAACCTTATCTAATAAAACAGTAGATTTAAACAACAAAGTAAGGTTAGCAGGACACAGTAGGTGTGTTATCAAAAGACCCATGCTTGCAGCTCTGCCGCGTAACAGCTCTCTGGCCTGGAGCAAGGTGCCTAGAGCCCCAAGCCTCTCTTTCCTCATTTGTGAAATGAAAATAAGTACGCCTGGGCTGGGCGCAGTGGCTCATGCCTGTAATCCCAACACTTTGGAAGTCCGAGGCAGGTGGATCATTTGAGGTCAGAGTTCAAGACCAGCCTGGCCAACATGGTGAAACCCCATCCCTACTAAAAATACAAAAAATTTAGCCGGGCGTGGTGGCACACGCCTGTAATCCCAGCTCCTCGGGAGGCTGAGGCAGGAGAATCATCTCAGCTTGGGATGCAGAGGTTGCGGTGAGCCGAGATCGGGCCACTGCACTCCAATCTGGGTGACAGAGTGAGACCCTGTCTCAAAAAAAAAAAAGGAAAAAAAAAAGAAAGAAAATAAGTATGCCTGCTCTGCCTACTATATGCTTGTTGGGAGGACCGGATGAGATCATGGATGATGGAAGAATCTGAAAGCTGCCAGGCACCATGCAAATATAAGGAAACTAATTTTTAAATTGGAAACAAAATTATAACCTAAAGCTAAAGTCACTGATAGGGTTTCAGAAGAAATCAATTCAACAGCAGTTATAAAATACAGAAAACATACTTCATATCTTATTCTTCTCTTCCCTCTTCCTTTCCCACATTTTTCATACTTCCACCATCCAAAATGTTTGCTGTTCTTTTCAGGATTCCACCTGTGTTGGAACACTGATAGTGACTAGAGAAAGTGTTGCATTCACCTCTTTTGGTTACTCGCAGTTTTTCACCTAGTTAACCATCTTTGCCATGCCTGCCTGTGTCCACTGTCCACTCCTGAAGACTGCTTTTCATCTTATTAGTCCCTTATTTCTTTCATTTCAAGTTGCATTGGATCTTAAAACTTCAGGAAGGAAATAGGCATCTCCCTGAGTTGTTATAGGTCATAGTTCAAATGCCATACTTCAGATTGTGTGAGGCTGCCATGAATTGATGGAACACAATAAAATGGAGTCACCAAAATGTATGGCCCAGATGGTGGCTTGATTAAAAACATCTCAGTGTGTCCAAAATATCATGGCAGGCATGCACAATTTTTTTGTCCATGAAGGCCCTACAAGATTCATGATAAGATTTTATTTTTAATGAGGATCTAATTAGAGAGCTCAGCATGAGAGTCTGAACACAAGAGCAGTCAGTATAGTTTGGTGCAATAAAATATTCCTTGAGCCCGTAGGCACCAAGGTTAAAAGGAAGAATAGCACATAGCCCCTGGTGGGGGAAACAGATACAAAAACCAGGTCATTAGAATATAAGGGCCCAGCATGCTCAGAGTGACGGCACCCACTTTTGGGTTCAAAAAACACTTTCCCATTTAAAGGGGTGTCCAGTCTTTTGACTTCCTTGGACCACATTGGAAGAAAAAGTATTATCTTGAGCCACACGTAAAATACACTAACAATAGCAGATACGCTTTTAAAAATTGCAAAAAAACATAATGTCATGTTTTAAGAAAGTTTACAAATTTGTGTTCGGCCACATTCAACGCCATTCTGGGCCGCATGCCGCCTGCAGGCCGCAGGTTGGATAAGCTTGATCTAAAGCAACACCTTCTCCAGCTTTTATGAGACTACTTGAACCCGGGGCCTTCTACGCACTGTTCCGCACCTTCGCCTCCTTGATGCCTTCTCATCCCATGGGACTCTTGACTCATTCATTTTTTTCATGCACACACTTGTTGTGTGCCTAATTCTGCCAGGTACCACTCTAGACACTGGAATTTCCACACAGAACAAGACACAGCCAATCCCAGCTGTCTGATTATGGAGCTTACGTTCTAGCAGTAAGAAATAGACCATTGAAAAGGAATTAGGTAAACTATAGGACTGCAGACTGCAGTAACCACCATGAAGGAAATACAGGGAGTGGTGAGACCAACGATAAACAGGAGAGGCCTCCTTGAGGTCAGGGAAAGCCTCTCCAACGGGAGACATTTGAGCTAAGACATGAAAAAGGAGAGAACATGTTCTAGGTAAAGGGAATGTCCGCGAGGCTGGAAGAATTTGTTGTAATCAAGTGACCAAAAGGAGGCCAGTGTAGCTGGCTTCAGTAAACGAGGAGCGGGGTGCCAGGGGGTGAAGCCAGAGGGTGAAGCTCGGCCGTCTTCTGGGTCGTGGGAAGAAACTGGATTTCATTCTTAGTGCCACGCAGTGTTGGAAGCCAAAACTGCATTTTAAAACACACACTTGAAAGGAAATCTGGTATCAGAGCCCGTGGCAAGGAAAAGCGCCATCCCCGGGTGAGCCGCCTCAGCTCTCATCTGGATCACTGTCTTGCTCGCCGCCGCCCCCTGCCTCCATCTTTACCCTCCCAGAGTCCATTCCCAACACAGATCCTTTATCAAGTTAGTGAAATCGGGTTATTTTTCTGCCTCCAATTCTGACACGGCTCCTTGTACCATTCGCAGGAAAAGGTGGAATCCCCAAGGCCTCATGCCCCAAACTCTGTCGGTCCCCATCTGCTCCACCACACTGGCTTCCTTGCTGCCTAAACACACGGCCATGCTCTCTCTCCCTTTAGGGCTTTTGCGCTCCTGCTCCCTCTGTCTAGAACCCTTTCTCCCAGGATAGCTGCATGACTGACTCTGTCACCTCCTTCAATTCCTTGCTCAATGTCACCATCTATTTTTTCTTCCTTTTTTTTTTTTTTTTTTTTTTTTGGAGTTGGAGTCTTGCTCTGTCACCTGGGCTGGAGTGCAGTGGTGCGATCTCGGCTCACTACAACCTCCGCCTCCCAGGTTCAAGTGATTCTCTTGCCTCACCCTCCCGAGTAGCTGGGACTACAGGCCCGTGCTATCACGCCTGGATAATTTTTGTGTTTTTAGTGGAGATGGGTTTTCGCCATGTTGGCCAGGCTGGTCTGGAACTCCTGACCTCAAGTGATCCGCCCGCCTCGGCCTCCCAAAGTGCTGGGATTGCAGACGTGAGCCACGGCGTCTGGCCCAATGTAACCATCTTAATGAAAACCCCATTCCCCTCCACACCCCTGCCACACCTCCATCACAACCTCCTCACCAAACTCTGCTTTTTTTCCGCCATAATACTTGTCATCTTCTAACATGTTCTACCATTTACTTACCTATCGTGTCTATTACTTATTGTCTGTGTTCCCCTTCAGAGACTGGAATAAGCTCCACCAGGCAGAAATCTTTGTCTGTGGGGAGTCGTGGGAGCTATCCATAGCCGTGGGAGCTATCCATAGCCATGGGCGCTCTGTCCTTCCAGGTCTAGTGGAGGAGTGGATTTCCCTGCCCGCCCCCCGAGCTGGGCGTGGCTGTGTGACTTGCTTTGGCCAATAGAAAGTGAGCAGAAGGGATGCGTGCTGCTGCTGCGGGCAGAGCTCTTTGCAGCCAGCACATCTGCCACGTCCATTCCTCCCTCTGACACAGCATCTGCACCTTTCTAGATGGAAGCTGCTCCACTGGGCTTGCTCCCTGAGTGATTAATTCGAACATTATTCCCCTGGCAGCCATCAAAGGACATAGAGTATGATAAATGAATAAACCTTTCCTTTTAAGCCACTGTGACTTGGCAATTGTTTGTTATTGCAACACAACCTAGTCTATTCTGACTATGTCTCACATGTTCAGGAATGCCTCCTGAGTACTGACAACAATGCCAGGTGCACAGCATATGCTCCATAAGTGTTTGTTGAGTGAATTTCTCTGTCTTTATTCTGAAATTTTTACACAGCATACTTTAAATTTAAATGTGCTAAAGTTGTCACCAATATCTAGACACCAGCTTTATTCCATTGAGTGAGTGTTCTATGACTGACATGGTCAACAATCAACATTAAGTACCTACTATGCAAGTTAGGTCTTTCTTAGGGCCCCAGAGGAATAAGCCACTGTGTCTACCTTAAGGTAGTTTGCAATCTAGTTGCAGAAACAGAAGATGTGCTCAGAATCATCTGCTCCACTGTGTAGTAGTGGGTGATACATCCTAAAACTGTCCTGAGAGTTCAGGGGTGGAAGCCACTAATGAGGATGAGGCTGGTGAGAGAAGGGGATAGGAGGCTACCTGAGCTGGGCCTTGAGGACATAGACAAGCAAAAATAGAGCTGAGAAAAGATTTCTGCCAGAAGGAACAACATTCAATCACACACAAGCAGGAATAGATCTTGAAACATTAGAAGGTAACATATATCACCATGGGTAGAGGCCAGATTTCTTTGATTGCAGTGATGGATGTCTATGTGCTGGCTCCACGACTTTAGATGAGTCAGTTAACTTCCCCATGCTTCAGTTTCCTTATTTATGAGGTGGCAATTATGATGATACCTTCCTCAGCCAGGCGCATTGGCTCACGCCTATAATCCCAGCACTTTGGGAGGCCGAGACAGGAGGATCACCTGGGCCCAGAAGCTCAAGTCCTGCCTGGGCAACATGGTGAAACCCCATCTCTACAAAAAATACAAAATTAGCCAGGTGTGGTGGCATGTGACTGTAGTCCCAGCTACTTGGGAGGCTGAGGAGGGAGAATCGCTTTAGCCCCAGAGTCAGAGGTTGCAGTGAGCCGAGACTGTGCCACTGCACTCTAGCCTGGCTGACAGAGTGAGACCCTGTCTCAAAAATAATAATAATAATAATAGTACGTACCTCAAAGGGCTGTTGTGTAGTTTAAATGAATCAATACATACAGCATTTAGAATTGTACCTGGCAGATAGGAAGCATTCATTTGGAAAGAAGAGTTGAGAGTTGAGCAGATCTCAGATTTTGCAAGATCTTGAATCTGAAATAAAGCAGTCTAATGTCATTCTATAAGCAAAAATACTTTCCATTTGCAGCTCAAAGATTTTGATCAGAAATCTGTATTTTAGAAGCTTAACATCACAGCAGGGTGAGTCTGGGTTGAAAGTGGGAGACACTGGAGGCAGAGACACTGGTTTAGAGGCAGACATGATAATCTCACTGTGGGCAATTTTAGGCACCCAACCATGGTAATGGCCAAGGAAGAAACATGCTGGAGACGCCCTGGAGAAGGTGCTCTGGACCTACCAATGGGTCATGTGGGAAAGGAAACAAAGAAGTAAATGGCCCCAAAATTTCAGGGTCTGGATGACCAAGAAATGTAATGATAACACTGACCAAAATGGTGAAGATCAGAGGGGAACAGATTTTAAGGGAAATATAACAAATTCTATTTTAGACACTAAAGTATCAAGATCAAACTATTTAGAAAGAAATTAGATACGATAAACTGAAGCTTAACTTAAGGCTACGCTCAAATGTCACTCAGAAAATCTTCCCCAAATAACTTATCTAAAATACCTCCCTCCTCCCTCACTCTCTAGCTCATCACCCTAATTTATCTTCTTCATTTCACTTCATGGCACAATAAGACCGTATACATTTGCTTATTTGCTAATTGTTTGTATGCTCCTCCCCAACTCTCTAATGTAAGCTCAGCAAGAACAGGAACCTTTTCTTCCTTATTCATTGCTGTGTGCGCAGAGCCCAGGAGAGTGCCTAGCCCGGTCGGTTTTCAAGAACTATTTTGTGGAATAAACTCATCTTTATCTGGGAGCTTAATTGCCAAATATATACTCACAACCCAAGGTCACCTTCAACCTGTATAGAGACTTCTATCCTTTTATTATTAGGGCTTAACACACACACACACACACACACACACACAGAGAGAGAGAGAGAGAATCAAAAAAGGAAGACTAGCTAGTAAAGAGTATTAAAATATAAGACTGCATAAATTCGTGGCCAGGCGCGGTGGCTCACGCCTGTAATCCTAGCACTTTGGGAAGCTGAGGCGGGTGGATCACAAGGTCAGGAGATCGAGACCAACCTGGCTAATACGGTGAAACCCCGTCTCCACTAAAAGTACAAAAAATAAATTAGCCAGGCACGGTGGCGGGCGCCTGTAGTCCCAACTACTTGGGAGGCTGAGGCAGGAGAATGGCGTGAACCCGGGAGGCGGAGCTTGCAGTGAGCCGAGATCGCACCACTGCACTCCAGCCTGGGTGACAGAGCGAGACTCCATCTCAAAAAAAAAAAAAAAAGACTGCATAAATTCAAATGAGAATGGTCAATGGAACAGAGTGAGTGTAGATAGACTTGAACCCATGTGAGGATTTTGTGTAAGTGAAGTGGTAATCAGTAGAAGAAAGATAGATGTTTCAATCAACATTTTGAGCAAAACTGACCAGCCACCTGGAAGAAAAACATATCTGGATCCTTTCCTCAAACATTAAACCAAAATAAATTTCAAATGTGTCAAATTTTTAACCATAAGGTAAGAAATCATCAAAATAATTGTAAAAGTCATAGAAGAAAATAGCTCATTTTTAAAAAACAGCTGTGGATTGAGAAAAGCCTTTCTAAAAATGGTATGAAATGCATGCACCATTGTAGAATATTTAATGAATATATACATATTAAAGACATCCACACACATGCAAACAAATTTTCATGACTTCAAAAGACAGCAGACTTAAAACTTATTTAGAATTTGGCACACAGGTATCTAATTTCTTTAAAGTGCAACAAAACTATTATAAATAAAAAGTAGATGTGTGGAAAATGGACAAGCTGTAGAAAAATAAACACCAATGGTTAGTAAACATAAAAGCACCGACCTCACTCATGATTTTTTTAAACGTTGGTTAAAAACATGAGATAGCAATGCCAACAGTTTCAAAGTCTGACAATGCTAAAGCCTAGAGGATGTGGGTGAAATAACAAACTCTCATAAATTGTTGGTGGGAGTGTAAATATATATTACTTATATAATATATCTTTTTTGGTCATGTAGCAATAACAACCAAAAATTTCAATTTCCATACTGTATTAGTCAGGGTTCTCTGGAGGGATAGAACAAATGGGATAGATGCATATACGAAGGAAAGTTTATTAGAAGAATTGAGTCACAGGACCACAAGGTGAAGTCCCACAATAGGCCGTCTGCAAGGTGAGGAGCCAGGAAGCCAGATCCAAAGTCCCCAAAGCTCGAAAGCAGGGAAGCCAATAGTGCAGCCTTCAGTCTGCGGCCGAAGGCCTGAGAGCCCCTGGCAAATCACTGATGTAAGTCCAAGAGTCCAAAGCTGAAGAACTTGGAGTCTGATGTTCGAGGGCAGGAAGCATCCAGTATGGGAGAAAGATGGAGGCCAGAAAACTTAGCCAGTCTAGTCTTTCCACCTTCTTCTGCCTGCTTTTATTCTGGCCGCACTGGCAGCTGATTAGATTGTGTCCACCCAGATTGAGGGTGGGTCTACCCTTCCCAGTCCACTGATTCAAATGTTAATCTCCTTTGGCAACACCTCACAGACACACCCAGGAACAACAATACTTTGCATCCTTCAATCCAATCAAGTTGACACAATATTAACCATCACACACACCTTTTGGCCACATAATTCCACTTCTAAGAATTTAACCGATAGAATATACTTGCATGAGTACACAAAGATTACAAGAAGTTTCATTGACAAATTGCTTGTAATAAGAAATTTCTAAACACATACAATAGTTATCTGCCCACAAAATTATAGGACTTCTATTCAGTAGAATACAATGCAGTTATTGAAAACAATGAGGTAGATCTATAGGGACCAACAAAAAGGTGTTTACAATATACAGGTATATTGTAATATACAAAAGCAAAAAACAAGTAGCTGAAGAGCATCTACACCATGGCCCTACTACACGTGTAAAAAGCAAAAAGACAAATATAAATATCCCTGTAAATGCAACATAAACTTTCAGAATGTTAGATAAGCAGTCCCTTATATAAGCAGCTTCCTACATAGCATTCAGAAAGCTTTCATTGCATATACAAGGATTTTTGTATTTGTCTTCTTGCTTTTAAAGACATAGGGGGTGTGACTAAGGGTGAAGTGACCCTTTTGATTTTTGCCTTACACTCTCTCAGTATTGGAAACGTCTTTCATGATGAATATGATTAGTGTTAGAATTCACAAAAGGAAGAATAAAGCCCTCAGTGTTTCAGTCACACTCTCCTTTTGACCCATCCCCCAAAAAGCGTATCTGTAGTGTCTGCCTGAGACTGAAATGACAAGTCCCCAGGCCAACCCGAGATATCTACCAACTGGAACATTAGGAAATCATGTCAATTTCCAGAATCTTCTGAAACTCTGCAAGAGCTTTTTTTTTTTTTTTTTTTAAAGAAAGTAATAATTAAGTATTGTTTTCTTATCTCCAGTAATCATCAAAAACTTAGCCAGGGACAACCAGAAATCCTAAAATAATTCATGTGCCTTAAAATAACCAACTTTCCTTCACTTGTTCAGTTGATAACAACTTGGGATCTTCTCCACCACTGCCAGGGGAGCTAGGAAGCTGAAAGAATGACTGGCAAGGCTGTGTCATGACAGAAAGGTCTGTGGCCAATCCATCTGAAGGTCCAACCATTCTAAACAGCTATGTCACAGGTACACATACAAGTGCACACATGAACGTGTGTGTAGTAAGAGAGAGAGATTCCAAGCCAGTATCATCATTTCATCAAAGACGTTTAAATCCAGAAGTACTATATGTATTATTTATATTCATGCCTTGTTTCAAAATCATTTAAGGCAAAGAGATGAAATTTTTAAAATCCCCAAAGATCTAGATTATTATTCTTGCAACTTAAAATGAGTGTATATTTCTGCTTTGGGGTCTAAGACACCAATAACATATTTTTAAGGCTTTAACTCGCTTTTGCTGTGCCTGATCTTTTCTAAGAATTTAAAAGAGATTTCTTTAGAAAAATGAAAGAATATTTTCAATTATACTTTGTACTTGATTTTTTAAAAGAGCTGTCATATAAAGCATAGTTTTATAGTGTCCCACCTTTTTAATACATCAGAAAAATCATTAAAAGTTGTCAAGATTGGATTTTCCTAACTTACCCTTTCTACACTAAATGATCAATTGAGTCTATCAATTGGGATTGCCAGACACTTTAGAAAGAAATAAAAACAATTAGTTGGGAAAATTAAAAGCAGCATTATGAATAAACTATTTACTTTTTGCCAAACTGTGCAACATTAGGCATAGGAACTGAGGCATGGATCATATTATGTCTATTCTGTTTTAATTGTCAATCTTGTCTCACTGGATGGTAGTCAGGGTTCCAAAGGGTTTTTTTGTTTCCTCAATGTCTACTTCTTTGACACCCTTTCTTGTCCTCCTATGAGATGTTTTCTTCCTGAGTCCCTCACTAGGCCTACCAGTTGACCATGAGGCTCTGATCTCTGTGAGTTTATTCAGCATCTGATGCTACTAGTATAAGATCTTCTTACCCTTAACTCGACAGATGATTTTTGCTGTTGCTGCAGGAGTGAAGAGGAGAGTGAACATGTGTTAAGCTCTTCTAGATACATGGCACACATTATTCATTTAGTCTTCATAGCAATACCATGCAGTAAATTTTATTGTTATCACATCTCTCTGATTTGCAATCAGTGGCTTAGAGATGTTAAATAAGTTGCCCAGTGTTGCTCAGCTAATGGTGGTAGCGCTCAGACTTGAACTTAGGTCTGTGAATTCCAAAACCCATGCTACAGGCCAGGTCAAACTAAAGGGCAAGCCAGATGGCCTGCTTCCCAGGGGTTCTAATCTATAAAAAGCACAGGACATTACTGGAGTAAATCAGTAATGTGTTGTCAGTTCACTGAGGTTCTCATACACAAATCTTCACATAGTTATAAACTGATGGCACTGCTATGGAGCTACACTGCTCCTGCAAGTGGAAATAACACTGCCACCAGCACAAGTACTTGCTACCTCAGTTGAGTATTTTTATGAAACACATTGCAGGCCGCACAGTGCAGCTTCGGGCCATGACCCACCAGCCAGGGGACACTCACATGAGTCTCATAATCCATTCACAGTCGGCTCAAATTCTAAACCCAAAAAATGCTGGTCCAATGCTTGTAATTGGGAATGCATTCAGTTGTAAATAGTTTTCATAATAGCTTCCCAAGAATTTCATCACTTTGGACAACTACAAATAATGAAGGAAAGAAATAAATCACGATTCTGGACATTAAAGCAGAGGAAACCCTCTTATTTTCTAGTCTAAGGCTCCTGCCATCGCCATCTGACCTTCCTTCTGACCACTAGGCAGAAAGACCTCCCATCTTCGCTCCTTTCCCTGTGCATTTGTCCCTCATGTCACCTCTTCCTCATCCTGTTTGCTTCATGCTCTCTTCTTCTGCTGTACTCTGAAACACAGGGTCAATCCTGCACATTTCCTTTAGTCTTGTTCTGGAAGGGCACAGCTCAAAGCTCCTCCTTCTCCAAGAAAGTGTTTTCCATCCTTTCCCACATCACAGCACACATGGAAGAAGGTGGTATTTGTGTAGCACACACAGTGGACAAGACTGCTCTGCTGGAGGTGGGAAGGCAATGAGCTTAGAGATTTGGGCTGGCCCAGGCCCTGACTGGTAGACCCAGAAGCCAGGGGGCAAATACAGAGGCATACCTGTTTACGGCCCACAGTCTGCTGCCTGAGAAGCTCTGCCCTGAAGAACACTAGAACTTCCATAACTGTAAGCTGGGCCTAGATCTGATTTTCTCACTTATTGTAAATACATCAAGAAAAATAAAGCAGCAGATATAAGTAACATGCACTAAATGGGAAATAGGAATTTGAAGTCCTATTTGTTTGAAGTCCAGAAAAATATTTGTTTCTGGAGAGAAATAATAAAACAGGTGGGCGGTTGAGAATGAACATACATTTCATGTAACCAATACCTTGTTAAGGTCGTCAACTGAAAATTATAAGAGCTGCCTCTGAAAACATCCATAAAGTATTGCACTAATTTCTTAGTGGCTAAGTTAGATATGAGCAATAAAATAAAGGAAATTATATGGATTTCTATTTGGTCTCCAATTTTTATAAAGCATTAGAACGTTAATAAATGTTGTCCAACTTGTGTTAGCCACATCAGCGTTCTGCTTCTATTTTTTATTTTAAATGTCTGTGGTTTTCCTTTAAATTAATCAAAAATGCTCTTCTTATGAAACTATAAGAAGAACTATTTGCTTCCCTGGCTACAAATATTTAGATTACATAATCACTTTTTCTTTCCTTCTTAAGGTTGTGTTAAGTGAAAGAGATAATGCATATAACAGTAGTGACTATATTTATTGAGCACTTACTATGTGACCTGCACTACTCTAAGTATGAAACGTGCATGATATCGTTTAGTCCTCATGAAAACCTCAAGAGGTAGGGATTGTCTCTGATAATCTCCATTTTAGAAGGCTAAATCAAGGTTTACGGATGCTAAGGAAATTGAATTGCCTGAAGTCACATGGCTACTAAAATGAAGAATTAGTCCTGGAACCCAGTCTCACTGACACCCAAGTTTGTGATCTTACTCACTACATTCTACTTTTACAAAATATTCTTTGAGTTGAAATAGATGTTTTCATTTGTAGAGACACTGAAATAATTGTTTCCTTTTTTTTTTTTTTTTAATACTCCTTAAAAACAGAAGCTGGAATCTGCGCTGCCCAGCACCCTAGGGCTCTGTGAAGTTTTTCCATTTGAACAGATGGGGGAGCTTGTAGGCAGCTAATCTTTTCATTCTTTGTGTTCTTAAAAATAGACCCAACGGCTCAGTAATAAGCACCAACATTAATGTTTGTTTAGTCCTGGTGATGACTTACCAGGACACAGAGTTTAGGAGTTTGGAGATCCTGCCAAGCTTAGCGGAAAGTGCACATCTAGAAGAAAAGGTGCAAAAGCAGCCCATGGTTCCAGGAAATGGCAGAGGAGTGAGTCCTTCATGTCAAGTTTTGGAAAAATGAGATTTATCAAATGTTTAATAGAAGACAGTTTGAGACAGTGGAAAGAACTCTATGTTGAGAGGCAGACTGACTTGGGTTCACATATGACCCCATGAGTGTTTTTGTTTGTTTCATTCACTCTATGCCCAATACAGTGCCCGGTACATAATATGCCCTCAGTATTTTCTGAACGAATGACTAAATGGGTGAATTAATAACTTACTGAACCCTCAATTTTCTCATCGAAGTAATGGGTGTTCCTCAGAAAATGTCAGCTTTAAAGTTTCAAATACACAAAAAAACTTTTACAAAACTGTTTCTCTGGCTTCATCCCATCTCACGAATGATTTCTAGAGGTCTTGAGTTTGTTCCACCTGACTCATAAACACACCATCTACCATCTATCACCTACCACCTGCCAGTTTTCTCCCCATTTATACCAGACACCTGCGGAGATACTGCCTGAAGCGGCCTTGGATCTCAATACCCAGGTGATAAGCAAACTACCCCAGGCGATGGTGATGCCACCAGCCTTTACTCTACCAGCTCCCAGCAGCTGCACCTGTCCCCAGGTGAAAGGCACCAACTATCAGTAAATGTCCCAAAGGAAACAGAGGCCACATTCAGATTGAGATAAGTTAAAAAAAGATTATATAGAAAGAGACTACAATGCTGAGCGCAGTGGCTCACACCTGTAATCCCAGCACCTTGGGAAGCTGAGGTGGGTGGATCACTTTAGGGCAGGAGTTCAAGACCAGCCTGGCCAGCAGGACAAAACTCCATCTCTACTAAAAATACAAAAACTAGCCGGGCATGGTGGCAGATGCCTGTAGTCCTAGTTACTTAGGAGGCTGAGGCAGGAGAATCACTTGAACCCAGGAGGCAGAGGTTGCAGTGTGCTGAGATCGCGCCACTGCACCCCAGCCTGGGCGACAGAGCCAGACTTGGTCTCAAAAAAAAAAAAAAAGGAGACTATAATTTGGGATAGGAGTAGAGGGAGCAGCAGACCACGGAAGATAGTATAGTAACCCCAGGTTAGTAACAGGAGAGTCATTAACACCCCAGGCTGGAAGAGTCAGTGGGTGTGAACAGTTATGGGAACTAGAAAGGGAAAATTCTGTAAGCTGTGTCTCAGTTTAAAAGCTGGAGCCTTTTGGCAGTTTTTCCTGACACCCCCAGGCCAACTTTGGCCCTCTTCATCTGAATGGAGACTGGACTTTGCCTTATTCCTATGGCAACTCTCACTCCGAATCTGTCCTGTGTGTCTCCCTGCCAGACTGAGAGGAGGGACTGATTATACCCTTTCGCCTTTGTATTTCCAGTAGCCAGCCCAAGACCAACACAAACTAGACTTTCAAACCAGGTATGAATGGTTGAACAAGTGGATGAATGAAGGAACGCCTGTCCTAATGTGCAAAAAAGAAAAGCATATTCAAAGCCTCACCCATGTTTCTTATCCAAAACAGAAACATTGTTCTCTTTAAATTGATGCAGTACCTTTTCCTAATAAAAAAGTTTTGAAAAGCAAAAGCAGGTCAGGCCCAGTGGCTTTCACCTGCAATTCCAACACTTTGGGAGGCCAAGGCAAGAGGATCGATTGAGCCCAGGAGTTTGGGAACAGCCTGAACAATAAAGCAAGACCTTCATCTCTACACATTAAAAAAATTAACTGGGTGCAGTGACGCATGCCTCTAGTCCCAGCTACTTGGAGGCTGAATTGGAGGGATTGTCTGAGCCCAAGAGTTCGAGGCTGCAGTGAGCTATGATTGCACCATTGCACTCCAGCCTGGGCAATGGAGCCAGTTGCTGTCACAAGGGCAAAAAAAAAAAAGGAAACAGATGTGCTTAAATTAAAAGTAACTCTTACTCCTTTCCCACCCGGCCTTAACGTGTAACAAAGTGCTAAAGTATATCTCCTCTGACTTCTTTACATATAATCATATGTACTTTAAAAAACATATTAGTTATACACATTGTTCTAAAAATACAATGGAGGTATTGTTCTCTAGCCTTACATACAGATATGACCTTATTATTTTTAATTGCTGCACGGAGTTGTGCCTTTCCAAGCTGGACACTGAAAGCAGAAACCAGAAAGGAAATGATGTAGGCTCAGAAGTGAGGCTTGAGTTCATCACCTCCCAGCTGCAATTCCAGGCACGTTAGTATCTGTATGCCTCATTCTTCATCATCTGCAATAGCCTTATCCCACAGAAGTGCTGGGAGAACTGAGTGAAGAATGTATCGATGTTGCTGGTATGTTGTAAGCGCTTACTGAATACTAGCCATTGCTATAATATTCTTTTATTCCCTAAACATTGTACACAAGTAAAGGTGAGTGACAAATTAGGACAAATATTCATAAAACATATGATGGGCAAAAATTATTATTACTAGAAGGAAGAGAATACTCCATTAGAAGAAAGAAGTCCTGGCATAGTGGTTCATGCCTGTAATCCCAGCTACTCGAAAGGATATGGCAGAATTGCTGAAGCCCAGGAGTCAGAGTTTAGAGTGAGCCCTGATCGCACCACTAACTCCTGCCTGGGCTCTGCCCTTAACCCATTTATGCTGGAGGTTGCAATTTTTTGAATTTTTGCAATCAGACCTTGGCAATGACCTTGAGCAGTAGGATATAAATAACTCCCATATGCTTAGCGTTCCAATAATGGAATGCTAGGCATAAACAATTCTGTTGTTCTCCGATAAATTCTAAACATTCCTTAGCCTCAGCTTAATAAATAAGGAAATCAGCCTAATTTTCTTCTGCTAAAACTTGCAATTGTCTTTTAACTCCACAACCAGTGAGAACTTAAGCTCTTACACCAAACTTCAAATTTGCTAGTTCCTGAGAATAAATCCTTGTGGTAGCTTAGAGAAGGAGTCTCTTCTTATTCACTATGGATGATGTAAAATTTGCATTCCACTATCTAAGTTGAATAATTTGAAACATCAAATTATTCAAATATAAATAAAATACAACCATTTTCCAAAGTTCAAATCTTGATATTTATTTCCCTTCAACTCGAGAGTCTTCTACGCTCTCTTCT
The DNA here is from genome assembly GCF_000001405.40 of Homo sapiens. NCBI lineage: Eukaryota > Metazoa > Chordata > Mammalia > Primates > Hominidae > Homo > Homo sapiens. The sequence goes on along the minus strand of NC_000018.10, from coordinate 26,960,210 downwards.
CCCCATCATCTCTCTGCAGAAGACTGCCTGGTATTTTCCTGATATCTATTTCTGCCTCCTGTGGGATGTTTTACTGGTATTTTAAACCAAATAAATGCTAAACCGAGCTTATCATCCCACCTCCTCTGTTGCTCACCAAACTTACTTCTTTAAATTGGACCTATTTCCTTATTTTTACCTTTGCATTAATAGCATCTTCTCCCAAGTAACCAAGCTTAAAATCTTGCTCCTCTTTTATTCCTTTTTTCCCCATCCTAACCCCTCATCTGAATCTTCAAATCCATTTTACTCATACAATGTGCCCTACATTCATCTACACTTTTCCATCTCTTTGCCAGGATCCCCCATCCTCAAGGTTAATCTTCCTAGGGTACCATTTGGATCAATCTTTGACTCAAAATTATTCAAGGACTCCCTCAACAAATATTATGTCAAAAAATATTTCTTTAAGTATCTAGAGTCCTCCGTGATACTGGCCCATCATACAATTTTTGCTTTGTCTCTTATTACTTTGCCAATATACAGACCACCTTTAAGTTCAGTGCAACCATTTACTGTTCCTTAGACATTCCCTGATGTGCTTTTGCTCATGCTTTTCCTTCCAGGTAAAATACTGTTCCCCTAATCTGCTTCTGTTAATGTCCTATCCAGATCAAACGCTGTCTCTTCCATGAAGTCTTCCCAGGTTCCCACACCAAACATGAATCCTTTCTTTCTGTTTTTAATATGATTTCAACTTTTATTTTAGATTCAGGGGATACATGTGCAGGTTTGTTACCTGGGTATCTTGTGTGATGCTGAAGTTTGGGATACCATTGATCCCATCACCCAGATACTGAGCACAGTACCCAATAGTTAGTTTTTCAACCCTTCCCCACCTCCATCACTCCTCCCTCTAGTGGTCTTCAGTGTCGATTGTTTCCATCTTTATGTTCATGTGTACCCAATGTTTAGCTCCCACTTATAAGTGAGAACATGTAGAATTTGGTTTATGTTCCTGGATATTAATTTGCTTAGGATAATGGCCTCTAGCTGCATCTGTGTTCCTACAAAGGACATGGTTTCATTTTTTCATGGCTGCATAGTAGTCCATGGTGTATATGTACCACATTTTCTTTATCCAATCCACTATTGATGGGCACCTAGGTTGATTTCATGTCTTGCTATTGTGAATAGTGCTGCAATGAACATATGAGTGCATATGTCTTTTTGGTAGAACAATTTCTTTCTTTTGTATATATACCCTGTAATGGGATTGCTGGGTTGAATGGAACTTCCATTTTAAGTTTTTTGAGAAATCTTCAAACTGCTTTCCACAGTGGCTGAACTAATTTACATTCCCACCAACAGTGTATAAGCATTCCCTTTCCTCCATGGCCTCGCCAGCATGTGCTGTTTCGACTTTTAGTAATAGCCATTCTAACTGGCATGAGATGCTATCTCATTGTGGTTTTGATATGCATTTCTCTGATAATTAGTAACGTTGAGCATTTTTTCTTGTGTTTGCTGACAGCTTCCTTTGAGAAGTGTCTGTTCACATCTTTTGTCCATTTTTTAATGAGGTTGTTTGTTTTTGCTTGTTCAATTGTTTAAGTTCCTTATAGATTCTGGATATTAACCCTTTTGAATGCACAGTTTGCAAATATTTTCTCCTGTTCTGTAGGTCATCTGCTTACTTTGTTGATGGTTTCTTGAAGCTCTTTAGTTTAACTAGGTCCCACTTGTCAATTTTTCTTTTTGTTTTTTTTTTTTGCAGTTACTTTTGAGGGCTTAGTCATTAATTCCTTCCCAGAGCTGATGTCTAGAATCGTGTTTCCTAGGCTTCCTTTCTTTTTTATCTGTGCCAATCCTATGGGAATTTTCATTACTCCTCATTCTTTTAAGAGTCAAAGAACGTAAACAACTATAAGCAAATTTAGTATTTATATCCCTGTTATGCAATAAAGACAAAACAAAAGCCAGGGAAGTGAAGTAATTTGCCAAATATCATATAGCCTGGCAAAGTCAAGACTAGAAATGTCTGAGAATCAGGCGCAGTGGCTCACGCCTGTAATCCCAGCACTTTGGGAGGCCAAGGTAGGTGGATCACCTGAGGTCGGGAGTTCAAGACCAGCCTGACTGACATGGAGAAACCCCATGTCTACTAAAAATACAAAATTAGCCAGGTGTGGTGGTGCATGCCTGTAATCCCAGCTACTCAGGAGGCTGAGGCAGGAGAATTGCTTGAACCCAGGAGGCGGAGGTTGTAGTGAGTGGAGATCGTGCCACTGCACTACAGCCTGGATGACAAAGAGTGACCCCATCTAAAAAAAGAAAACAAAAACAACAAAAAAGAAAGAAAGAAATAAGTAGAATGTAATTTTTCATGTCATAAACATAAAATGTACCTAGGCACTTTTCTACCTTTCTTTTGCACAGGTGTGAGTATATGCATACATACCTGCCTGTTCACCCAACATAACCCACACATACACACACAATCTACTCACACCACAGCTATCTTTGCAAAATAGGTAACTACAACTCCAGAAGAAGATTCTCTGATAGTGGTGAAAATTGTCATTTATTATGACGATGATGATTGTGATTGCTATTGTCGTTATTAAAGTCCAGATCTGATGCTTGGCTATTTTTTTTTTTTTTTGCAGTGTAGTTATAAACAATGAATACAGGGTTTTAAAACAAAGGATCAAGGTAGTAGCTAAGTATGACAGCTAAAAATTCCTATTTCTAAATAGCTCTCAGTAGGGGATAAAAAGCAATTGATAGCTCTCTTTGGGACAAACGTACTGAGATAGCATGTCTACACTATCTATATTAGTACCTGGTCCTCTTAGCCATCTGTCAAAGAAACAGACTGACTTCAACCAACAGTTTCCATAAAACTCATTTTCTAGACAAAGAAACTGAGGTTTGACAGAGAATGAAGTATAGGCTTGGTGAGAGAGCATTCTGAGCTCCGTAATTCACTTAGCCTCTGGGCTCCTGCACCCCTCATCCTTTTTATTCTCAGTGTTTCAGGGCATTGTTCCTTCAGTTTGCACTGGGTTGGTTGGAGGTAGGCACCACAGGTTTGATTGATACAGCAATTTGCATCTCAAGGCATCGCTCGATAAATACAGTGCAATGAAAGGCTACTCTCTCACCAGCCAATTTCCCCCGCTGGGCTGACTTTAGAAGCTCATTGATGTCACTTCCTTCCTCAGTCAGCAAGTGAATTTTCTTTAATTCTCAAGACCAGCTGTCCATGCTGTCAACAGAAAGTTATTAAAATTCCTTTAAAGTGAATAAAAATAGCCTAAAAGCAAATGTACTTGGAAACAGGAAAGAATCAGTATGCAAAGTCCACAAACCTCTGAGCAAAATAATGTTGATCCAACCAGAGATTTCAAACATTGTATATTCAAGTTGCTAGAAAAAAATAATTAAAAGATGCTAAGCCACATACTTCTTAATCTTTTATTAGCAAAGGCTTATATAGTTAAAACATATCCCCCTAAATTTCATTCCGCCTTTTCAAGTATGATTTGAATAAATTTGAGAATGACTTAAGTTTTCGTTAAGTGGGATTCCCTCCTCTTTTCTTGCATAGGCCAGAGAATATTGTCATCTCCACCAGGCTAAGGCTATCCATAAGCAAGAGACAAACATTATCATTAGCAGAATCATAACCACTAGGACCACAAAAATAATATAATTGTGTGTGTGTATATATATAAAAAATTGTATATTATATATATAATTGTATATATGTACACAATTATATTATTTTTGTGGTCCTAGTGATTATATAATTGTGTATATATATATAGATATAATTATATATGATATATGTATATTTGTATATATGATATAATTGTGTGTGTATATATATATATATATATTTTTTTTTTTTTTTTGAGACAGAGTCTCACTCTGTCGCCCAGGCTGGAGTTCAGTGGCGCAATCTCAGCTCACTGTAACCTCTGCCTCTTGGATTCAAGCAATTCTCCTTCCTCAGCCTCCTGAGTAGCTGGGACTACAGGTGTGCGCCACCACACCCAGCTAATTTTTAGTAGAGACAGGGTTTAGTATTTTCAGTAGAGACAGGGTTTTACCATGTTGGCCAGGCTGGTCTTAAACTCCTGGCCTTGTGATCCACCTGCCTCAGCCTCCCAAAGTGCTGGGAGTATAGGCGTGAATCACTGCACCTGGCGCTATAATTATATATTTTAATTTATTGGAATTTTACTAGCTCAAGGGAAGAGGTAATTTTTTCTCATATTTAAATGGCTATAACTCACAGAAATGAACTATGTGGCTCCTGAGTCCCCCTGATCCTCAACTGACTGCGTGACCTCAGTCACTGGAAGATTGCCCTGTTACCTTCTGAATCAGCCCTTGCTTTACCCTTCAGGCCCCCAGCAGCTGAGCTCCTGCCTTCTTTCCTGAGTTGTACATGACCTGGTACCCAAGTCCCTCCAAAGCATGGATATGTTCCTTACCACCAGTAATCACCTGCCTCTTCCTTATTTGGACAGATGTCATGAATGCTGGACTCCCTCTGACCTTTTGCCAAGGAAACTTGTATCCAGCCTCTCTTGTCATCCCCAGACACACCCCAAGCTTGTGTCTTGGGTTCTTCTCCAGTGCCTGGGCTCTCAATTTCAGCCTGCACTTGTGCTGTCCAGCCTACCCAAGGCTTCCTTGCTACACACACTGCACAAAGTAATTAAAAGAAAGTGCATATATTTACCACAGCTGTGCCCCAAAAAAACTATTTGAGTAAATAGTTTAGTGGAAAAATGGTAGAAATTTGGGTAAATTCAAACTAAAAGGACAAGTATAATGTGGTTAATCATCAGGAAAATTGCAAATCATGATCTTGTAAGTTATGTAGAATTAACTCTCAGTCCTTCCCCTCAATTCCCATAATTTGGAGCACACTGTATTCCTAATACAGAACTATGATGGTATAGATGTGTAAAATACAAAAAAAAAAAAAAACAGAATTCTGGTGTAATTCCTGTTATTGAGGTGCTTAAACATTTTGGAAAATCAGTTGGGAACGAATATGAAAAGGGCTGCTATCACAAACAAAGCATTTGATATGGCCCAGAATTCATCAGCAGTCAAACTCAGGCCCTAATATCATCCATCTAAAGATTTTTAACCCATGTACCCTTTCTTTCATGAGCAAACCAGGGCCAGGAGCAGCTGCCCTCAATATGTTGGAGGCTAGTGCAAGGCTTCACCCACTGAGATCAATATATATATTGAACACTCTAGGTGTTCAATACATATATTTATGGAATAATTGATAGTGGTCTCAGTATCACTGAGCTGGGTCCTTAGGATACAATAAACAAAATGAATGTAGTCCCTGGCCTCAAGGAGCTTACATTATAGAATAGGAAACAAGCAAAAAAGTAACCAGACCTGCAAATAAAATAATTGCAAGTTTGTGGTAAGTGCTATGAAAGAAACAATAGGCTGAGATCAAGAATCACAAGAAGAGATGGGGTGACCAGGGAAGAACTCCTGACGTCTTAATATTAAAGTGAGACTTGAAAAATATGAAAGAACCAGACCTGCAAAATTGGAGAGAGAAGATAACAGCATGTGCAAAAGACAAGAGGCCAAAAAGGACCAGAAATGAACATAAGACCAGAGTAGATGGAGGGTAGAAAGGAAGGGAAACAGACAGCAAGGCAAGGTTGTAGAGGTGGTAGGAAAGAAGCAGATGGTGCAAGGCCTACAAGATGAAGAAAGGAACTTGGAGAGAGCCAGAGTGGCAACTGGGAGACCCCAGAAGGCTAACAGCATAGTCCAGGGGAGACATGTTGATGGGCTCAACAAATTGGGGACTGTGGTTAGACAGCATGCATTGTAGATATATTCTGAAGACACTGACACACTGTCCTGCTACCCATGGACTTCTTTGAGTCCCTGTTCCCCACCCTGTCATTGGCCCCTTGAGCTATTTCCTCGTCCTGTGCCTTTTCATAAGCAATAGCTTCCTCTCTATGCTTCTTTGAGAGGTAAGGACAGGGCCCCAGTCTGCTGAATGACCAAATCTGCCCTGTTTCAGATCACCATATTGGCCCTCTTTCCCAGATTCTCAGATTCCTTATTAAAATACAATTTGATGGTGAAAAGAGGGGGATGTGATACTCCAGAACTCCACAGTTCTGGAATATGAAATTACTCTACATGTGCAGATCTATAATGGGCGTATTTGCACCCCAGGAAAGAGGAATAGATTCATAATCTCATCTTCTTTTCCTTGCCCCATTTCAAGACTTCACATGTGGCACCTTCAAAACAGTTCAAGCACCCCTACAGAAGTGGTCATGCTAAATGTAGGTGATAGTACAGAAAGAGACAATGTCATGGAAAAGGGGAGAACAGAGCCAACCAGTTCTTTGGGAGAAAGGAGCAGGCTAATTGGGAGCAATGGTCTTGTTCACAGTTGGGTCTCCAGAACTTTGTACCCATCCATACATGACACCTGACAGCTGATCAAACAGTATTTGTTGGAATAAATGAATGAATAAAGTCAGGTACAACTCCTTCTAATCTTTATTCCCTGTATTCATTTGTTACCAATTTCTTTCAAACATTTCTTCAACAGGCTGTCTTTGATTTTCTTCATTTTCCTTCTCATTTCTACCTCCCTAGTCTAGGCCCCAACCCATCACTTACTTTGTGCAACCCACCAATGCCTCCTAGATATTCTCCAATTTCTCCCCCTACTCTGAGCAATTTATTTACCAGTTTAATGTTCCTTTATAACCCACCTCTGCTGAAAAAACCATAATTGCCCCCCAAATTGTCTATCGCTTTAAACATAAAGCAATTGACCCAGACCTGCCTGGGCAATGCTGTTTCTCTCTAAACCCTCTCCCCTAGTTAGGGTAGTCATCACCATTATTCTCCCCAACTTCCATCCATTTTTGAAGACCTAATTCAAATTCCACCTTCTAATTATTCTGATTCCTGTTACAAAGACAGGTCCTATCTCTGAACTTATTTTTAAGTTCTTAAACTCACCATATCTCTAGAATTTGCTCAGACATGCAAAAGAGATATCCAATAGATAGTACAATACAGATACTTAGATATCCATATTCAAGAGATATTCTTGAACTCCAAGAAGTGAAAGGCTAATAATAAATCAATTAAAATCATGGTCCCTGGTTGTTCAAGACATATTCCTGCATGAGTTAAAAGGGAGTATAGCAGTGATTAATGACAGCATACCTCTGGGAAACCTACTTGTTTCCCAAGACCAATCATATTGGTTTTCCCCATCTGTGTGCCCACAGCTTGCTAACCATAACTCTATGAAAACACTTCTCAGGAGGCACTGCAGTTTATCTTCACTTATTTCTCTCTGCCACCTGACCCTGACCTCCTTGAGGGCAAGCACCCTGCTGTATCATCTTTGCATGCCCAGCACTTAGGAGGTATCTGACACAGTGAAGGTATTATATTTTTTGGAATGAATATACTATACTGTAAGATATTAAACTTACATTTTTAGTTCTTAAGTTAGAGAAAATGACTACACAGCTAATGAGTCTGTAGTTCTGAGGGACTAGTAACTTACCCAGAGAAGCCTACATCCAAGAAATTATTTCACACGTTAGAGCCTATGGTTCAAAATAAACTTTCACAAGGTGGTAAAAGATACACCCAGGTACCAAGTGCTGCTGGATGGACTGGTCCTCCAGGGTTTATACCAATTGTCAGAGCCCCAAATGACTGTTCATTGCAGGAAATAAGATTTCCCTCCGGTAAAAACTATGGTGCAAAGGCAGTCTCTATGTACAAAATCCCCACCACAGACAATTGTTGATGTCCCAATTGCCCAGGAGTCCTACCTGCCTGAGGACATAGTTGGTGGAGTTGAGATCCACAATGGGGATTGTAAAATAAAGGTTTCCAACACCCTGAAAAGCCGACTGGATCTCAGGCCAGCAGATGATGCCAGAAGTCCGGGGAGCCTTGTTTGGTCCAAATGCCAACAGCTTTTGGGAGGTGAAGTCCATCCCTAGCCCTCCTGCTATGATGTGGAAGCTTCTGATATTTGAAGAAACAAGAATGTCTAAGTGGCTTCCTCTTTGCTGTTCGAGTATTGCTCTGTCTTTTTCAGTGGATGCCCCTCTGTCACTAATGTCCTTGCCTAATTGCTAACAATGGGAGAGAGTGTCATGTAATATGATCAGGAACCCACCTCTAGTTTATCTCAAAGTAGCACAGCTCCAGTTGGTTCTGCAGCATTAGGTGATGGGAGCAGATGGTGGCTGCATGCACTTCACCAAGATCTTCCTCTGGCTCCCAGCAACCTAGTCTAGAGGTGATGTGTATGGTGTTCTCTGCCCTGAAGTCTCTGCTCTTGAGATTTAAGACACAGGTGGCACATTATTCCTTCCAGCAGTAGTAGCTTCACTGTTACTGTTTGGGCCTAGAAATTTTCCTCATCTATAAATGTGATCTAAAATCTAAGCCATGAATGTGCTTTATTTATTAAAACAAAAGATTTATGTTGATTTAATTGTAACTTTTTATGTAAGGCACTACAAATTTATGGTTTGAGAGAGTAAAGTTCCTACTGAGATACCTAGAAAAGAAGTATTTTCCAAATCCCTTTGACCAAAAAAAAAACAAAAAGACTTTGAGCAACAGATAGATTCTTGCAGATCTATGCATGGCTGAAGAAGGTCTATTAGCCTCCTGCCATTTTCCCTTTTTTCCTGTGTGTTGGCATTTTTCTGAAATGCAGAATCATAACTGCTCTTAGATTCTCAAAGGGGCCTGTTACCTGAAAGAGGTTTAGAACCACTGCTTTAAACTGTTTAGGCAGCAAAATAACTTTCCCTAGAATTTTAATCAGTTCGGGGTGATTAATCAAGCAACTTACAATGAGAAGAATTAGTGAGTCTCACTGCAAAGTTTGGAGAATTTGAGGCAGTTGTCCTGGAATTATAAATCTTAGAGAAATAGGTCCTTCCCCACCCATGTTGATGATAGTGGGTTAGGGCTGTTTCTACAAATTTTATTCCTGAAGCTCATGAATGCACAGAAGTGTCTCAACACCACCTTCATCATAAGATGAGCCAACAGTGTGCGCAACCTGCCTCTGCAGTTTATTCTGCTTTGTTTTGTGAAGACATAATGAGATTAAAATTTAAGAAATCTGGGATGACTCTCCACTTAATCTGCCGGTCAGACAACTTTGTCAATTTTTTTATTTTTTCCCTCTTTAATCCTCTAACCAAAAGCTGGAGGGATAAGACCCAAATATGAGACAAAAAAGACTAGTTTTATCCTGAAAGTTAGCTTTAAAAAAATTTTGTTTCAATAATTTTTGCAGAACAGGTGGTTCTTGATTACATGGATAAGTTCTTCAGTGGTGATTCTGAGATTTTGGTGCACTCATCGCCTAAGCAGTGTGCACGGTACCCCATATGTTGTCTTTTCTCCCTCACCCTCCCTCAACCCTTCCCTCTGAGTCCCTCAAGTCCATTACATCATTTCTACACCTTTGCATCCTCATAGCTTAGCTCCCACTTATAAATGAGAACATGTGATATTTGGTTTTCTGTTCCTAACTTACTTCACTTAGGATAATGGCCTCTAGCTCCATCCAAGTTGTTGCAAATGCCATTGTTTCATTCCATTTTATGGCTGAGTAGTATTCCACGGTGTATATATACCACATTTTCTTTATCCACTTACTGGTTGATGGGCATTTAGGTTGGTTCTACATTTTTGCAACTGCGAATTGTGCTGCTAAAAACCTGCATGTTCATATGTCTTTTTTATATAATGAAAGTTTGCTTTTCTATGTCTTAAGAGTAGCTATGTTGTTCCTTAGAATGCTGGCTGTCCTTTCACCCATAGACCATGAAAATTTGGACAAGTTTCTGCATGTATTTGAGCCCTGGTCACATAATCTTTAAAAACATAGGAGGAATAATCTCTACTTTTCAGGACATAATGTCTGTGAGGTATGTCGCCTAGGCCCAGGGCACAGCAGTTACTCAGCAGCAGTGTGCTTTCCTCCCCGTACCTTGAGGAACAGCTGAGAAAAAGCATAAGAACTTGTTTGAATTCATTTCCTTTTGCTGCTGTAACAAATCACCAAAAACTCTGTGGCTTAAAACAACACAAATGTATGCATCTTACAATTCTAAAGGTCAGAGTTCAGATGGGCCTCACCAGACTAAAATCAGGGTATCAGCAAGGCTGCGTTCCTTTGCAGGGCTCTAGGAGTCATCTATGTCCTTCCCTTTTCCAGTTTCCAGAGGTTGCCCACAGTACTTGGCTCACAGCCCTCTTCAGCAATGGCATTACTCCGACCCCTGCTGCTACTGCCACCTCGCCTTCTCTCTGCTGTAAACTCTCCTGCCCCTTTATTATAAGGACTCTTATGATTACACTGGCTGTGTCCAGATAAGCTTCCCATCCACAGATCCTTAACTGAATCACATCTGCAAAGTCCCTTTGTCATGAAAGGTCCCGTATTCACAGGCTGATTAGGATGTGGACATGTTGGGGGCCATTATTCAATCTGCCGTAATTGTCATGTCAGCTTCTGTAACCTACAGGTATCTTCCTCTTTATTACAGGCACAAGCCTCACTTATTAACTTCCTCTTCATTTTTTTTCCTTCTCCCATTGTATCTTTTTGTTTGTTTGTTTGTTTATTTTCAGACAGGGTCTCACTATGTTTCTAGGACTGTCTTGAATTCAAGGGCTCAAGCAATCCTCCCACCTCAGTCTCTTGAGTAGCTGGGACTACAGGCACATGCAACCACACCCAGCTAATTAAAAAAAAAAGTAGAGATGAGGTCTTGCTGTATTCTCATTGTATCTTTAATAATGCTATCATCTGCCAGATTCCCTAATAAAAACCTGAGTGTTGTCCTTGCTTCTTGCTCCTGTATTTCCCACATTCAATCAATCTCCAGAACCTACTTCAGAAATACCACCTGCTCCTGGCGTCCCTCCCTTCCCATTCTCACTGCCTGGGCTCAAGCCCGCACCCCTTCTGCCTGGACACAGCACATGCTCATTGCTGTCTTCACCACCCACCTCTACTACCCCTTCAACCCGTCTCCACACCACCACTCAATTCATCTTTCTCAAGAACTGCTTTGGCCACCTCATCCTCATCTGAAAGACTTTTGCTGGCCTCCTTCTGCCTGCAAAGCCTCCAATATCACCCCAAGTCACAATCTCCAAAGGCTGGGCCCCTTCCCTCTTCCCACATTCCATCCCCACACCTGCTAAAGTGTATGCGTGTATTACATAAGCCGCTCAGAACTTCTCACGATTCACCCACACACACCCTACACTTACCTGCCTCTTAGATTTCTTTACTTGTCCTGCCCCAACTCCCTGGAGTGCCCCTCTCTTATCCTTTACCTGCAAAATTCGTTCTTATTTCATTCAATCCTCACAAATTTGGGAAAGGGTGGATATTGTTAACCCTTTGTTATAGATAGGCAAACAAGCCAGAGCATTAAAGTAACTAGCCCCAGTTCAAACACCTAGTAATTGTCAGAGCTGCTATTAGATACCATGCTGTCCTTTAGTCCATTTTCTAGAGTTCAGTAGGCTGCTGCATTATTAGGGTGTGAATATTTTATTGTTTGGCTCTTATTTGTCTCTTCAATTTCTGCAGATTTCTCTTAGTCCCAAAGGAAACAAAACTAAGGTTTTGTAGTGCTGCTGCCACCCCTGACACCCTGAGGAGTCAGTGTTTCAGTTGCCAACCAGAGTTGAGTGGTCTTTTAAAAATGCAAATCTGTGTATGATATTTTTTTTTTAACTTTAAGTTCTGGGATGCATGTGCAGAACACACAGGTTTGTTACATAGGTATAATGTGCCATGGTGGTTTGCTGCACCCATCAACCCATCATCTACATTAGATATTTCTCCTAATGCTATCACTCCCCTGGTCCCCCACTCCCTGAAAGGCCTCAGTGTGTGATGTTCCCCTCCCTGTGCCCATGTGTTCTCATTGTTCAGCTCCCACTTATGAGTGAGAACATGAGGTGTTTGGTTTTCTGTTCCTGTGTTAGTTTGCTGAGAATGATGGTTTCCAGCTTCATCCATGTCCCTGCAAAGGACATGAACTCATCCTTTTTTATGACTGCATAGTATTCCATGGTGTATATGTGCCACATTTTCTTTATCCTGTCTGTCATTGATGGGCATTTAGGTTGGTTCCAAGTCTTTGCTATTGTGAACAGTGCTGCAATAAACATACGTTCGCATGTGTCTTTATAGTAGAATGATTTATAATCCTTTGGGTATATATCCAGTAATGGGGTTGCTGGCTTAAATGGTATTTCTGGTTCTAGGTCCTTGAGGAGTCGCCACATTGTCTTCCACAATGGTTGAACTAATTTACAGTCCCACCAACAGTGTAAAAGGATTCCTATTTCTCCACATTATCTCCAGCACCTGTTGTTCCTGACTTTTTAATGATCGCTATTCTAACTGGTGTGAGATGTTATCTCATTGTGGTTTTCATTTGCATTTCTCTAATGACCAGTGATGATGAGCTTTTTTCATATGTTTGTTGGCTGCATAAATGTCTTCAAGAAGTGTCTGTTCATATCCTTTGCCCACTTTTTGATGGGGTTTGTTTTTTTCTTATAAATTTACTTAAGTTCTTTGTAGATTCTAGATATTAGCCCTTTGTCAAATGGATAGATTGCAAACATTTTCTCCTATTCTGTAGGTTGCCTGTTCACTCTGATGAAAGTTTCTTTTGCTGTGCAGAAGCTCTTTGGTTTAATTAGATCCCATTTGTCAATTTTGGCTTTTTTTGCCATTGCTTTTGGTGTTTTAGTCATGAATTCACAAGCATCCCTATACATCAATAATAGACAAACAGAGAGCCAAATCATGAGTGAACTCCCATTCACAACAGCTACAAAGAGAATAAAATACCTAGGCATACAACTTACAAGGGATGTGAAGGACCTTTTCAAGGAGAACTACAAACCACTGCTCAAGGAAGTATGAGAGGACACAAACAAATGGAAAAACATTCCATGCCCATGGATAGGAAGAATCAATATCGTGAAAATGGCCACACTGCCCAAAGTAATGTATAGATTTAATGCTATCCCCATCAAGCTACCATTGACTTTCTTCACAGAATTAGAAAAAAACTACTTTAAATTTCATATGGAACCAAAAAAGAGCACATATAGCCAAGACAACCCTAAGCAAAAAGAACAAAGCTGGAGGCATCATACCACCCGACTTCAAACTGTACTACAAGGCTACAGTAACCAAAACAGGATGGTACTGGTACCAAAACAGATATATAGACCAACAGAACAGAACAGAGGCCTCAGAAATAACACCACACATCTACAACCATCTGATCTTGACAAACCTGACAAAAGCAAGCAATGGGGAAAGGATTTCCTATTTAATAAATGGTGTTGGGAAAACTGGCTAGCCATATGCAGAAAACAGAAACTGGACCCCTTCCTTACACCTTATACAAAAATTAACTCAAGATGGATTAAAGACTTAAACGTAAGACCTAAAACCATAAAAACCCTAGAAGAAAACCTAGGCAATACCATTCAGGACATAGGCTGTGCATGCTATTCTGATGTCACTACCTGTGCACTTGCCTGAATCCCCTTAATGGTCAGTTTCCCACTGTTCTTGAGAGGATCTTAAATTTCCCAAAAATGGTCTACCTGACTTCTTTGCAGGGTTTCCTGCCTATCTGTGTAGCCTCTCTCACACTATGCCCTGCTCACCTCTCCACACCTGCCATGCTGGCCTCCTTTCTATCCTTGGATCCACTATGCTCCCTCCTATCACATGGCCCTTGTCATGTTCTTCCTTCTGCCTGAAAGTTCTCCCCCCTCTTCTTGGTCAAGTTAACTCCTTTATCATCTTTCAGGTTTTGACTCAAATGTCACTTCTTTGGGGAGCCCACATTTAAACACCAGTGATCTGTAATTTAAAAGGCCAACCTTTTCCCACAAGCCATGTTGTCTCTTCTTTAAACACTCCGCATATAAACTGACAAAAGAAATCTAAAACATATCAAGAGTATCTGATTGAGATTGCCCTTAAAAAAATGAAGAAAATTGATTCTTATTATCTGGCGAGTCTGAGACTGGCCCCAGGCATCAGGCATTTCCTAACAATGACACCATGAAATAGCCCACTCTGAACATCACCATTCAATTTCCCCTATACGCCTTACACTTCTACTGTATCTCATATGACATGGAGCTTGGTACTGAATACTTAACAAAATTTTTAAGTATACTTATTATTGGTTGACTAATTGGCCAGTAAGTTTCACTTGGGACATCTTTTTTTGAAAACAGTTTGGCAGTTTCTCAAACAATTAAGCCTACAACTATTATATAACCCAGCAATGTCACTTCTGGACATTTATCCCAGAGAAATGAAGATTTATGTTCACATAATAACCTGTACAAAAATGTTTATAGCAGCTTTATTCATGATAGTCAAAACTTAGAAACTACCAAGATATCCTTCAACGAGTAAATGGCTAAACAAACTTTGGCACATCCATACCACAGAATATATCAAAAATAAAAAGAAACCAACCACATTGACACACACAGCAACCTGGAAGAATCTCCAGAGAAGTATGCCGAGGAAAAAAGCCAATCCTTAAAGGCTCTATGCTTTATGATTCATTTGTATAACATTCCTGAAATGACAAAACGACAGAAATGGAAAACAGACTAGTGGTTGCCAGGGTTTAGGGAAAGCATGGAGGTGGAGGGGAGTGATGTAGTGTAGTGGACAAAAGGGGAGATACTTGTGGTAAGGAAAACACTCTTTCTATCAATATTAATACCTTGGTTGTAATATTGTACTATAGCTTTTCAAGATGTTACCATTAGGGGAACTGGGTAAAAAGTACAAGAGATCTCTCTGCATTATTTCTTACAACTACATGTGACTCAACAGTTATTTCAATTAAAATTAAAGTTTGTTTTTTTAAAAGGGACACATTTAATAAAATGTTTGTAACACACTAAGGTGTTCACAAACACATAATAACTGTGATGCCACTAAATGTCTTCTCTCTTTTCTTTTCTCATGGTTTGTTTTTTATTTATTACTACTAAGGATTTTATTTTCCTCTACTTAAGACATACATAACGTTGATCACTTTCAGGCTATTTTCACAATGACAGAGAAATATATTATATTAGAATCCTTATTTTTTATGTCCCTTGGTTGCCTGTCATACATTACTCTGCATGTTTTTCATCCTGATCAAGATACAATTTATAGAACTGTTGGTTTGTACTTCAATCTCTGGCAGTACCATAACAACAAAGTATAATATTGCCTTTATCACTTCCCACGTAAGAAATGTTTTTGAAGTAGCACTGCTGCCATCTGCCACCTCAAATCTCCTTGTCCAGTTCTCAGGGTTCCCTGAGCTCAGTATTAGTATTATACTTCAATAGGTTGTCATTGTTTGGAAAACTTTGTTTTGACTGGCTGTTGTTCAAATTTTTCTTCGGTCCTTTTCATCTCTTCATCATTTATCTGTGAAAGTTTAATACATTCTGCTGGTATCACCCTTATTGGATTTCCACTCCATTTTCTGTTATCTTTGCCTAACACAGTTTATTTAGGTTTTGGCTTTTTTTCCCCAGTTATTGAAGTGGTTGTAAACATCCACATTGTGATAGAAATCCTTGCTCAGAGAGTCCATGACCACTTTGGAAGTGTTTACTGTAAACAGAGCAGCATCAGTACCGCATTTTATTCATTTTCATGCTTTAATGTAAAAATTCTTTTTGCTTTCTCTTTCAGTGAGTACAGAAAAAATCCAGGAACATATCACCAACCAGGTATTCTCTCATTTCTCGTAAACTCTAATATAGAATTTTGTTTCAATGTTAATAAACATGTGTAAATATAAAAAAGGCAGGGGGTAATGTTAGCTGTTAGTTATGAGCAATATATATGTTATTGGTTCTGGGGAAAAAAACATATTTGGTCATATGTAGATGACCATGCGCTTTCTTTGTCTCCTCCCAAGCCAAGTCCTTCCCAACCACATCCTATCCAAACAGGAAACAGTAGACTAATGAGACTCTGCCAGTTCTAACTTGCAAGTATCTCTGTGACCTTATTGTGACCTCTGTATTGATACTATCATGGCAGCAAATAGATACTTCCATCTACTTTTCCCTTAACTAAGGTGACTCTCCGTGATTTTCTCAGGTTTTCGTTCAATCAGCTAAAAGTCACTGCCTCCCAAACAGCTAAGAACTGGCCCCCTATATACCACAAGTTGATCTTCCATTCTGGTCTTTTGTTTCTACTCACAGTTGGCCAGCATCTTCCTGTCTGCATCATGGTTTTCTTATCCCATCTTCTTACTGATCTATTTTTGTATTTCTAGGTAGATGGTGTCCTTCTATAGAACTGTTTTAGGAGCTTGAGACCTGCAGCCACACAAACAAAGAGAGGCCTTCCCCAAAAGCATATCTTGCCCCACCCACCTAATTTTTCCCCAGGCCAGCTTAGCTACAGTTTCTCCAAACCCTGCCTGTGCCACTAGAGTCAGAGAATGCAGACATTGACCTGTGGAAAAATATGCTTGGGTTTCACCCATAGGTACACATTTCCATATCTTCCTTCTTTTTTCCTTTCAATGGCATAAATTACAGCTTACCCTTACCAAAGAGAAGGGTGGTAAATCTACACTTATACCAGTCAAAGGTGCATTTTTCAACCTTCTAAGTGCACTCCAAAAGAAATTCCAATTCTAGTTCCTATTGTCAGTCCATCCCAATAAAGTTCTAGTTTTACCCAATCTGTGCCAGATGCCCTGTAACTCATCAAGCTTTCAAAATAGTCAACCCATTTGGCTAATATACTATTTTTCAAATTCAGTAGCCAAAATTTAATCAGGTGCCATTTTGTTTTTAAATACTGTTGTACATGTTGACTTGTAGTAGCAACTCTCTTAATACTTGAAAATGCCATCATTGTGAAATAGCAAAATCATTTGGCCATTTCAAATAGTTCATTTGCCTTTTAAACTTAGTTTCTTTCTTTTTTTTTTAGACGGAGTCTCGCTCTGTCACCAGGCTGGAGTGCAGTGACACAATCTTGGCTCACTGCAACCTCCGCCTCCCAGGTTCAAGCAATTCTCCTGCCTCAGCCTCCCAAGTAGCTGAGACTACAGGCGTGTGCCACCATGCCCAACTAACTTTTGTATTTTTAGTAGAGACCAGGTTTCACCATGTTGGCCAGGATGGTCTTGATCTCTTGACCTCATGATCTGCCTGCCTCAGCCTCCCAAAGTGCTGGGATTACAGCTATGAGCCACCACGCCGGCCCTTAGTTTCTTTATTACTTCATTTAAAATTATTTGTATGTGCTCAAGTGGTTTGGTGAGGCTCAGCAATGGTTAGCCAGTAAAGTTTACTGCTGCTATTTTTATTTATTTAAATCATATAGGAATACTTTTCCTTATAAAAAGCCCTGTTTTCCTTATAAATGTAACAACCTACCTGTTTCCCTTATTAACTTAACAACCTAAAGCAATTGGTCAAAAAATATACTAAGGTCACTTCTCATGGGTAGATTTCCATTTCCTATTTTAGCTTCTTTTTACGTTTAGCAAAACTAACAAAATATGTAGACACCAAAATAGAATGCCAAATATTTACTCATAATCTTAAATATTGATCTGATGCCATATAAAATTATAATGGTTTTCAGTCTCAATAAGAGAGTGAAATTCTTTAGGATTTAACTGAAGAGGGAAAGGTCTTAATATTTTAATTTTACAGTCATTCTCAGAACAGATCGTCGTCTCCTTCAATCATTGCTTATATTTCTAATCCTACAGTGAAATTTCTATTCATTCTTCTCCCAAGTAAAGAAGTGCTCCCCACTCTCAAGAATGATACACTGGCAATACAATTCAAAAAGGTATCTTATACCTCTAATTTATATAAACTCTGGCAGAGAGTCAAGAAATAAAGTCACCTTCTTTTTCAAATCACTATGCCACCAAAATAATTTGGCTCTTGAAAAACATTTTTGAAAACCCACTTTAGATAATCCATACAGTATTTTTTATCAAAAAAAAAAGGCAAAATGGAGCGCTGCTGAGCATTAATCTTGCCGCTAAATCCTTCCCATTAGGCACTATGGATTGTGTAATTAAATTGAAATTGAAAATCGAGTCTTTTCTCCCCCCCACATCAGGCAGGCTATGAGTTTCTCACCAACGTGAGAAATCAGGAGTGGAGGGGAAGCTCTAGCCTGCTGGCCAATATCCAGCCTGTGCTTTTAGCCCACGGCTATTTTACCACACCTGAGCTCTGAGAACAAACAACTATTTGAGTCCTCTGGAGGGAACGCTGGATTCTTTCCTGTGCAATTCACTGGGGAAATTAGTATGCTTTTTAAAAGTAACTTGTTAACGCAGCTTGTTTACGAGAACAGGACAAAAATGAGCAGTGAACTGCTTGGCAGCCTCTGTTCTAGAATGGGATGAATGCATGACCCATTTTTTTTTTCAGCTGTCTCTTTGGCAGTTCAATGCTGCAATCATTTCCTATCTGAAAAATGTTACTTGTAGAGATGAAATCTTCTATAGGTTTTCTAAATAATTTTTATGATACTAGATGAAAGATAATACTTTAAAATATTACCAAAAATGCTTTCGAAATCAAATTAAAATATGGTCAGCATGAGAATGGGAAAACTAAATGTAAAAATCCTAATTTAATTTTTGGAAACTGCCTTATTATATAAAAGACAATTAAAACCTTTTATGTTTATGCCTTTTTATATAGCAGATAATTGAAACCCTTAGTGAATTAATACCTTGTGTTTGTGCAGCTAGATAACAAAGAGGAACACCGAATATGAGGCTCTGTTTCTGGTGCAGAGGATGTCTATGCTGTGGAGAACATTCATAGACAGGTGCTGTCTACGAGAAACGCTTGCCCTCACTGATGACCCAGTGCAGAGAGAGGCAACACCAGTGCAGGCCATTACAGCTCTGTATTCGGTCCCTAGGGCTGCCAAAACAAAGTACCATGAACAGGTGCCTTAAAACAACAGAAATGTATTGTCTCACATACAAAATACGGGGTCAGCAGGGCCATAGTCTCTCTGAAACCTGTAGGGAAGGATCCTTCCTTGCTCTTTTTAGCTTCTAGTGCTTGCCAGCAATCCTTGACATTCCTTGGCTTACAGCCACATCACTCCACTCTCTGCCCCTGTGGACACATGGCTGCCCTCCCTTTGTGTCCCTCCCCTTCTTATAAGGATCCCAGCCATCTTGGCTTAGGGCTTTCCCTCAATGACCTTCTCTTAACTTAATTGCAGTTGCAAAGACCCTATTATCAAACAAGGTTGTATTCTTAGGTACTAGGAGTTAGGACTTCAACATATCTGTTTGGGGGACATAATATGACCCATAACAAGCCGGAAACCTCAGAGTCATCCTCGACTCCATCACTCCCTCTGAGCACTGGGCACTTCTGATGGGATCTCCTGTTGACCTCTCCCAACCAGCTTCTCACCTCCACCCATAACCCCTGCTTCATCCAGGCCCTTGTCTCATTTGCTCGGTGATTTCCTGAGGCTCTCCTGTTAGCCTCACCACCTTTCTATTCATCTTCCATTCTCCTGCAGTTTGCTTTTTAAAATATCATCTTGCTGAGAAATAAAAACTAAGTAGAAAAACCTCCCCTATTGTTAACAGTGATTTTAACCCTGACTGGGCATTATAGTCACCCCTGAAACTTGTTAACACAGATCCTGAGACCCCATCTCCAATCCTAACCCCAAGACATTCTGGGTCAGTAGCTCTAGACTTGGGTTAAGACACAGCACAACCCTCAGACGAGACCAAGAAAGGTCACAGGCTTTAGGAGTCTCCAAGCATCACAAACACAGTCATGCAAAGACAGGTTTTTTTTTCTGAGTCTCATGTTTTAAAGTTTCATGACCAATTGAGAGCACACAAAACATGGAAAGGAACATAGCAGCTGAACTGGGTCATCTGGGCAAATGGGATAGACCAAAAAAAGAGTGAAATCCCCTTATTGAGAGAGGTCAGGCTGTGTGGGCCCTGTGAAATCAAAGAAAGAAGGGATGCTTTAGTTTCTGGATAGCCACCCAGTAGCCCCTGAAGTGGGAGGATATATAGGCAGACTGTGTTCCCCAGGTAACTGTACTTCTACCTTCCCCTCTGCTTGGGGAGGGGGTATGGAGTGGGTGAGTATAGTTTCACCTGGTGCTTAGAACCTCCTGGTAATCTGGAATCAGAAAAGTAAAACATGAGGTAGGAGAACCTTTTCCTTCAGTAACCAGAAGACCTGGACTGAGTCATTTCCATCCTTGATGGGGGCAGATGCAGGCCCTGCCCACGAGTCCCCAGGCTAAGTCCAGGGTCCGTCCTGTTTCCCCCGTGAAGTTCCAAGCAATGAATCAGGCCTCTAGTGCAGGATGGCCTTGAGGGACAGCAGGGCTTCTTAAGCCTCCTAGTCCCAAAGCAGTCCCTTGGATGGGAACAAGGACCAGGTCTTGGGTGCAGCTTCCTTTAACACTTTGAAATAGTTCGACATATAGTATGTGGACCTCCATTCATGCTCTTGCTCTAGGCCCCACAAATGTTGGGAATGATCCTGCTCAGACATTTGCAATTTCAAAAACTCAATATGTGATTCTGATGGAAAGCCATACAATACGTTTCTAACCTTGGAGTATGAAATACAAAGCCTTGGGATCTTGTACTCCTTTGGAGAGGATTCTCCCCACCTTCCTAGACTTATTTCCCATTCTACTCCTTTATATAAAACTGTTGGTTCTTTATAAAACTATTTCATCAACGTACTAATCCCCTTCTCTTCATGTACAAAATTTACTCATATAAGACCTAACTCAAATACTACCTTCTCCATGAAGCTTTCCTTTATCACATAGCCAAGAATAATCTCACTCTCTTCCATGACCCCATTTTATTTTCTCTGCCCTTTTGCTATAGATATTTTCTACCCTATATTCTAATCATTTATATCCCAACATGATTTTTGAAACTACCTAGTATTGCCCTAAAGGGAAGAGATTGTGTTTGGTTCATTTCCATGTCCAACGTTGGGCCTTGCATATCATAAGAACTCGATCAACTGCTGGCAGAATGTAAATTCTTCAGATCACTAAATTCTTATTCTAGTAGCTAGAGGGGCTGCTAAATTTAGAGTCTACTCCCTATACACCGGAATGTTCAAACCTGCTGTGTCATTGATTCTTATAAGGCAGGAACAAGGTATCCTTCCTTCCCCTCCCAGGTAAGGATTCTAAACCAAAAACAGAAGGAACAAGCCAAGACTGCACATGGTCATTATGAATAATGGTCACACAGTCAGGAAATGAAAGAATTGAAGGGCAGGGAGATCCAGATCTTCTTTTTACCTGTATGTCCATATCCATATTGCCTGCAGAACATTAAATGGTTTGCCTGGTTCAAGACTTGAGTACCTGATTCTTTCCTCTAATGTAAGCATGGCAGTGCCACTCACTGATGACTTTTCAGTGTAGTGTGAACTTTAGAACTTCTAAATTTAAAGTGGGATTGCATTACCTTGCACTATTCTTATCAAAATGGCCACGCACTCAAGGAGACAATTTTGACTTAAAGATAGTTTCTCTTTGCAAGTTTGGCACTAATGGAGCTAGTAAAGATCCCACATGTCCCTAATTCCCTTTTAAGATTACCTTCAGAATTGAGAGAGTTGCACTTTTAGAAAAGCTATCCAATTTACGAGTCTTTTTCAAAATCCTGAAAGAAGGACTGAAAGGATCGAAAAGTGGTGACACTAATGGTGGTTAACAAAGAAGAATTTATAAAAGATGTCTTTTTTAAAGGTCAGATGGCTTCTACCTAGAAAATACTTAAGTGTAAATGTCGAAGTGCTGGGCTTTGCCTCTTTAATTGGAAGCCAAGAAAGTTAAAATGTGAAGGGTACCTGTGGAAAGGTATCTAGATTGACAAGACAAAGCAAAGCTGAGAATATGGCCTTCAGATGTTTTAAAAGCATGACCACCAAGAAGAAAATAGTGGTTGGAATAAACACTGTGAGAACTATTCACAATCAAATATACAGACAGCTCTCATTCAAGCACTCAATGCTTCTGAATAATTGCCATCAATAATTGTGCTAATCACTCAGTGCTCCATATCTCATGTTTTGTTACAACAACCCTGTGAGGACCAGGATTTTAATCTCCACTTTATACAGGTGGAAACTCAGGCTTGAAATCAGATTTAGTAATTTTTCAGGTCCTGCCACATTTAGCACGACATTAGTAATAATAATGGTCGGTATTATTATTAAATGCTTGACAAGCTTTTTGTGTGTAGGCATTATGCTAAATTTTACATTAAATTATCTCTCTTAAACCTCACAACAGTGACCCTGCGAAGTAGGAACAAATCAAAAGATTCATCTTAGTGAGGCGAATTAGTTCGTCTAAAATCATGCATGCATAAGTGGTCATGCCAGGATTAAATAAGGCAATCCAATGCTATCTACAGTGTGAGCAACAGCCACTATTCTGGGATGCTTTAAATATCTTTCCTTAATGGCACTCCGCTGATGAGTGGCAGCCCTCAAATGTGAATCCAGGTGTATCTCATTCTGAATTCCTTTCTCTCCACAATTATACTACACTCCCACCTCTTCTGGAAGCTGTTCTATTAATTAAATGATCTCACTTATGACCACCCTAATTAATCCCCCAATTCTGACACCAATACTGAAGCAGTCTGTTCTGAGACCCTGGAATACAGATTTTTATGATGTGGTATGTCTTTTTTCAAAGTGTTTTAACCATGAAGATGAGCATACATATACTCCAGGGTCCCTGTTGAGCGGTAAATTACTTTTTTAATTAAGTAAGTGAAAAATAAAGTGAATCTGGTCTAAGAGAAAACTATTTGTCACCTGAAAAGAGATTAAAAACTCAGAGGGGAAAAAAGTATACATTGGCATAATCCGTTGCCCACTGCCAGTTTTCCTTGGCAGAGCCCAGGCAGAAATATCATGGAAATAAAAAGAGAATTTGAAGTAAAAACCTTCATTTTCACTCACTATAAAATGTTTTCTTTGTGTTTCTTAGAAAAGCATGTTACTTCTAAAAACTCTCTTACAAGTTCTTTATTGTTAGTAATAACAGTGTCATTGTGTATGTACCCATGTGAGAAAATATGGAATACTGAAACTCCGTACTGAAAATGTACCATTTATGAAAAATAAAAATAGTTAATTTACCATTTAATGTAAATTAGCATTAACCACACCACCTAAGATGCTAACACCCAATAGGCTGGTGAAATATATTCCATGAATAATTTTCTAGTCAATCTTTTTCTCATCTTTTTCCTCCTTTCTGTTGAGTTTTTCAAATCATAACCTTCTCTGCTTGCTAGCATCTGTACCAGAAGATGAACTGAGTAACTGAAATGTTTCAGCTTAGCATATTTTATTAGCAAAATGGTTAGCATCATCATTTGAGATTTTTCTCTCAACACATAGCAACGAAAGGCAGTAGCCAAGTTCTAATAGCCAAAAGCACAATTTAGTAGAGCCGTTCAGTATTGAGTAACTCATCACCTCCGTATAGAAAGACACTCACTTCATAGGTTAAAGCTATTGTCAATATGAGCCACAGAGCCCACTTGTCATCATGTTTGAATATGCATTCTAAAATACAGTATTTTTTGGAATATGTTTGAATATGCATTCTAAAATACAATGTTTTGTTTTTTTTTTGGCTACCTTTAAACCATTTTATCCATGCTATTCTTTCTTCTTGTGATAAAGAACTTGAATTAAGGACTCAAATGAAAACTTGATATTTTCTGGCGATATGCAAAAGAAGTATTCGAGTAGTCATCATCTCAGATAAAAGTTGCTTGGTAACATAAAAGAGTTATGTTTTAAGAAACAGTGATCGTGAATACCAGGCTAATTCTGTGGAATTCGTGTTGTATATATGGTCTACATCCCCTAAGGCAGATCCCTCAGATATCTATCTACGGACTTCTCTTAAATTTGATGCATCCTTTTGCGTATGTCTGCATTTTGCAGAGGTAATGTTCCTTGGTGCTCACCAGAACCTCTGGAGTGAATAAAGTCACCCTGGAGAGTTTTCTACCTCCCACTAGAGATAGAAAGTCACTAGGCATTCCTTTTATTATGCATAAATTGAAACCAATTTTATTTAAGCTTTATTTGACAAAGTAGCACTTGTTTTTCGCAGAAAACAAATTTCCGGGAAGGAGAAGAAATGCGGACAAATAGTGAAAATTCAGAGTACCAGTAAGGATCCAGTGAAAACTACCTTGTCCTTATTATCCTTAATGTTGAAAAAATTCTTATACACAGAAGTGTTATGTTATATTCTGTGGTCGATCATCAAACAAGGATGGAATAAACAAGATTCTTCCCTGTTTCATCACTGGTATATGCCTTGCTCAAAATGTATTAAAAGGAATATTTTTATCATTACTGGATAATGCAATTAGGCCAGTGTTCTGTGGATGTGGAATAATGTAATTTACTATGTTGAATGATTAGCCAATCAGAATTCTCTCATTTTCTAAAGCAGTGGATTGATTAAAATGTGACCATAAACAAAATAGATTTTATTAGGCATAATCTACTTTGTAAACAAATGAAATTAATTCTTTGCCTGACCTAAAGCTTTGAAAATGAAAAACCAAAATTGAACACATGCTTCCAATTTTGGTTCTGTTACTAAGATGACACTTAATATAAAAGTTACAATTTAACTTCCCCTCAAGTATTCCATACTTGAGACTAAATGACTCTTAGAAATATGTTCATCAACAGATGGGAGCCACTTATGGCCTCATAAACTCTAAAGCAAGTGAAATTATCTCAGCAAAATAGAAGGAGATTACAATAAAGCCTCATCTGGTTATCTTCAGTGATGATTAATGCATTGTACATTGGTTCAATGATGCAATGAATATTGACAGATAATCACCCTTCTTCATACAAGAGAAATACTGAAGATACAAATGCCAGTGATATATGCTTTTAATCAATCAATAAGCAATTTCCACATGTGCCCTGTGTACAGAACTTTGCTAAGTGCTATGCAGGATGTGAAAGAAAGTGCCAGCCGAGTTCCTACTCTAAAGGGATTTTCTATCTTGAAAGAGAAAACTAAAAACCTGAAACACTGCACAGAATAGCAGAGGGTGTGTTATTCCTTGCTTGCTTATTAATGATACAGTATGGATCATATGGGAGTTTGAAACAGCCAACCATCAGTGAAAACTACAGTGTTCAGGGAAGGATCGTGGAAGGCTTTAAAAACCGAAGTGATGTAGACTTGATTCAGCAGGAAACACAATGTGGTGACACTGAAAATGTTCGAGTTCAGAAATTACCTCAGGAAATTGGTATGAAATTTTTCCTGAAATTGTATCCTGTATTTTCCTTTTTGCTCCCTCTCCACTGGTACCAGCCACCAGTCTCTCTCCAGGATCTTCGGGTTTCCTCCTGCTTCCACTCTTAAGAGGCCCAAGTCTGTTTGCCACTTGGCTGGCAGAGTACGCTTTAGAAAATGTAAACTACGGCCGGGCGCGGTGGCTCACGCCTGTAATCCCAGCACTTTGGGAGGCGGGGGCGGGCGGATCACAAGGTCAGGAAATCGAGACCATCCTGACTAACATGGTGAAACCCCATCTCTACTAAAAATACAAAAAATTAGCCGGGCGTGGTTGCGGGCGCCTGTAGTCCCAGCTACTCGGGAGGCTGAGGCAGGAGAATGGCGTGAACCCGGGAGGCGGAGCTTGCAGTGAGCCGAGATCGCGCCGCTGCACTCCAGCCTGGGGGACAGAGCAAGACTCCGTTTCAAAAAAAAAAAAAAAGAAAGAAAGAAAATGTAAATTACTTCTGTACCTGTCTAAAACTCCCCATGGCTTATACTGCACCCCTGTAAAATCCAAAGCCCTGACCATGATCTGATATTCCTATACGGTGTGGTCCCGACCTCCTCTTTCATCCCATCTTGGGCCGTTCGCACTCACAGGGCAACCACAACAGCCTTGCCCTCTGTCCTTCCACCTGGCCAGGCCCATTCACGTGTGATGGCCTTTGCACCCACTGGCCATGTTCAAAACGCTCTGCTTCCAGCCCTTGGGTTCCTTGTTGTCATTAAGATCTCAGCCCTAGTAGCTTCTCCTCAGAGAGATCTTCCTTGGACATCTATTTAACGTAACCTTCCCACTCTCCCTCTGACATCTTCTATTGCATTACTGTTTTAGTGTTTGCATCATACTTGGCACCACCTAAATTTTTTGTCTGTCCAATTTTTTCCTTGTTTGTTATCTATCTTCATCCATATAAATGTGAGTACCTTGAGAACAGAGACTTGTCAGAGTCGTTTGCCCCCTAGCCCCAACACCAGAAAATAATGCACATAGTAGGTGCTCAGTAAATACTTCTTGGGTGAACGTGTTGCTTATTAATTCTTCCAGCTGAGGTAATAATCTGGACATGAAAACAAAATGTGTTTAAGCAAAATCTTGATCATGGGAATGAACATTTCAAGGGGAAAATGAATGGAGTTTGGTGTCTAAATATAGGAAAGGAATGAGCAATCTAAGACAAGCTTAGCGCGAGGTTCTCACGGTTGCTGCAGAAAGGTGATACTCGGCAAAAATATAAAGGTTGTGGTTAAAAGCCACATTCAGTGAGTATACACTACATGTCAGGCATTACATATTTTTCAGAACCCCATTGGGTGGGCATCATTATCTCTTACAGATAAGAGATTGATTCAGTGACCCCAAGTTTTTCAGCTGGGTATCCTATTCAAGTGATTGAGGTTGACTTGGTTAAAAGTACTAATTTAAGATCAACTTACAGTTGCAAGCATGGATGGGGGTAAAAATGTACTAAGTCTGGTCTTCAGAGCTACCTCTCCCCCATTTCCCAAGTTACTGGGCTGAACTGGATGTGGGATATGCATCTCACAACCTACGTTGGCTCACAGGTTCTTTTGCAAATTGGTCTATGCACGTGTAGATTCCTCCAGGTGTCCTCCTCATTCTGAAACAGTTCAGGGCGGGCAACTGGAAATACCTTGAAGAAGACGCTGAAGAGAAAAGTGCCTGGATAAAGGTAGGGGAACCAGATTAATAGAGCAGAATGACACCTGTTATTTTGGAGACAACCACCTGAAGGGTGATAAAACCCCAGAGAAAATAACTGAAATGCAATACATGAATGCTTTGCTTCCATCGTTTTGAACATCCATCTGATAAGTTACTACCTAGAATATGGAAACTTGACTTTGCTAAAAAAGAGTTCTATAAGAGAAGCCCAGAGAAGACAATGCTACTGATGGATCTGGGGAGTTGAAGATACTGCAACTGAACACTCAGGTGGTCTCTTACTGGTGGCAGGAAATAAATGTTCTTCTTCAATGTAGAAATCACCATGGAGATGGCATTATAGAGCTAGCATCTCAGTGATAAAAAGCCATGGGGACCAGGTTCCTTGGTCCCTGGGAGTTTATCAGGGGTTGAAAGGTACTTCAGCTTGCCCCCCTTCACCCCTGATCCAGCTAACACACACAGCTCCACAAGTGCTGGCTTGTTCTCCCAGATTTTTTGCAGCTGTGGAAGTGCCAAGATTTAAAATAAATTTTCTTGAAAAAAAACAACATTGATGGAGTGAAGATATTATTACTCCATAACCACCAAGTCTCAGTATATGTGTTTCTAACAGTAGTGTGGAGGCAGAAGTGAAGATAAAGATCCCATGAAGATAAGGAGATTTGTTGCAAGGCTGACATAAAAGCTGAGCAGATGATCACAATCTCTGTGTGGTTTATGCTACCTGAGGAGAGACCCAAAGTCCAGGCAGTGCTGACTTATATCATTGTTGTCCAGGAGCAAGAGCCTAGTACTTTGGTCATTCCAACAATGATGTTCAGTAGAGCTTCTTGGTACCCAACATATATTATTTTAAACTGGAGAGCTGAAGCAACCAAAGGTGGGATGATGTCCTCATTCATTCTAACTAGAGTTGACTCCGGCACATTTGGCTACCTCAAGGTAACTCGGTACAAAGGATTGTATTCATTTGGATCTGATAGCAAGGAAACACTCCTATAGTTACAGATGTGATGTCACCGAGAGGAAAGCATGGGTTAGGTAGTGAGAGACATACCATTTTGGAGCTGGACAAGACTGGATTTTAATCCCACCTCCAGCAATTAATTGCCCATTATAAAATGCTGAGTAAGTTTAATAAAAATATGATCTCAACCACCTGTCAGAGCCAGAGTGAGGATTAAATTCAATTATTTTGTGCAGCATCTGGTGCATGTGAAGCCCTCAGTCCATACTCATTCAAAGCTCACTCTTACCACACAGCCTCTCCCTCCAGCCTTGCTTCAGGAGGTCTCCTGTAACTGAAGGAGAGTGGAGCCCTGGCAGGAGTGGAGACAAACAAATGGACTTTCCTTGCCCGTTGAAATAAAGACAACCCTCTTTGCTCAGGAGGAAGCAGGCTCCAGGGACTTGGGGATCTCAAAATATGGTCATGAGTCACAGGTGAGACAAGAGGGTCTTCCCACAGGTCTGTGAATTAATCCAGAAGGGCAAGTCTTTTCTTTGGTTTTTACAGATGAATGGTACCCAAATCCATACACTTTCAACTTGCTACAGTACTGGCTATAGGTGAGTTACTATTGGCCTAAAATGATGGAAGGCCCTAGGAAAATTCCTTGTGTGGCACTTGAGACTTCCTTACCCCTTCAGTGGACAGTCGTTATCCCTTGTGTGGGGAGTAGATGGAGTTAATAAGCTGTGATACTATTTCTGGGCAAGGTGCAATAAGACGTGTTTGTTCCTCCCAAGGTGCAGATTACAGAATTGTAGTGAGGGAAGGGGGTAATGATACAGCATCTAAGGAATGTGTAGAGAGTTATACTTGCCTGCTTTATGATATGTGTATCTCTAGAGAAGACTAGGTAGAAGCCTGTCCATCAACATCTCAATGTAAAAGAGCATTGCAGTTGGATGCATCAACAATCCCCTTCCAGGTCCCTGCAGCTATTGTGGTTAGCATTGCTGTTCCCATGGCTCAAGTGGCTTTGGACTAGTAGGTAATGGGTGGGGGCAGAAACAGCTCCCCTCTCCTCCCCCACCCCACCCCACCCCACCCCATGTATATTCTGCTTCCTGAGACTTGGGCTATGCCTACAGGAAGTAACAGAAAGGGTTGGTGTGCCCCCAGCTCCCTCCCCTCTGCCAACTGCACATTGCACTTACTGAGGCTGGGCTGCTGGTGGCAGGTGCCCCTCTGCGATCCTCCCATGGCCAGAGGAACTCATTCTACACCAGCTCTTGGGAGTAAAGTTGTACAGATACTGAAGACTTCCATCCTCAGGCCAAAAGGTCAGGATCAGTGCAACCTATACTTGCCCTCACAAAGAAAGGGAACAAAAGGAGAGGCTGTGGCCATGGCTGCCTCCAGTACCCATTTAATTGATATCTTGAATCAAGTACAACTGTTTTTAGGAGAGGTAACCCATTTTGGAAACCCCAAAAAGCTGCAAAACTTAGAGTTAATGAAATAATATTCTAAAAAATAAAGATGATAAAATGTATCTGAATGCATGCATACATAGACCTTGCAAATATCCATTTGATGCTCGCTTAGTTTTGTTAGTGCTCTATTCACTCTGACCTCATCATATGACAACCCACTTGACTCCTGTCTTCCCTTCTGTCCTTCTGCTTTGCTGCTAGTGTAATTCTATATTCTTCCTTTGCATTCTTTCTCAGAATGAAATCCTGAAAAGAAACCCCACTCAGCATGGACTCAGAATCCCCATGGCATGATCTGATACCACAGGCAATCTCTCTTCCTAACTCAGGGCCCAGGTAACACATGGTAGCACCAGAGTGTGAGCTGCCTGCTCTCCAGTGAGGGTTAGAGCAGGCTTTGGGGAGCTGTCTTAAGTATAGCTGAGTTGTCAAATATGCAAGTGACATAAGCCAGAGGGGCGTGTGTTTCACTCAAAGGTGCTGACACAGGCCAATCTGATCTGGGACCAGTAGATGCTTAATCCAGTGAGACGAATGGAGTGCATTCCTGCCAGTGCCCCTACTACTCTCGCACATGGCAATGCTGCTCCCAGGACTCAGGTGGCTTTGGACTAGTAGGCATTGGCATGTTGGGCAGGGTTGGGGGCAGGTATATGCTGCTTCCTGGAAAAGGAGTGTCACTTACGTCATAGCCCCCAGCTTCACCTTATCTTGACTCAGATGCCCTCTCAGACTCCTATTCTGCTACTTTTGTGCCTCCTCTTCTCTCTTCATCTCTCTCTCTCTCTCCTCCTACCCCGTAATAACTGGCCACTCTCCATATTTTCCAGTCTACAGCCCAAAAGGGAGATGGACACATTGATTTAGCTAGTTACTCTCTACCCACTTGGACAGTGTCTTTTGCTCCAGGTCCCCTCATTGGTTGCTCACTGGCCTATGGATACTATTAATTGAATTAGCATCCACCTCTGTCAACTGCTTATGCACACAGGGACTGTTCCCATGGTCATCTTAATCTGAAGTTGGGAAAGCAGCGTTATAGATGATATGCCCGGTATTTAAAGAAAATCAGAGAAGAAAGGCATAGAGACAGGATGCATTCACATTTTGGAGAAACCTACTATATGGCAGACACTATATGTCAGGTACTGTACTAGGTACTTTATAACTGCATTTATCTAGTTAATTCTCTAAAAGACTTACCTTTTCCCAGTATCAGAGTTTGAGAATCAGAGGGCTGATATTTTGGCATGGCTCTTGGTTAAAGGGTCCAAAGAGACCTCCTGCCCAAAGTTAGGA
Organism: Homo sapiens; assembly: GCF_000001405.40. Classification (NCBI taxonomy): domain Eukaryota; kingdom Metazoa; phylum Chordata; class Mammalia; order Primates; family Hominidae; genus Homo; species Homo sapiens. Next base: position 26,929,245 of record NC_000018.10, on the reverse strand, counting down.
TTGCCTTCTCTGAGCAACAGAATTCCCACAGATCTATATAGTCTTAGCTGAACAGGATTAGGGTTCCATCTAGTTGTAGGGTGTTCCTTTTCTCAGCCTTGTTTGTGTGCATAGACACAAACATACACCATGGACACTTCCAAAGGAAGAGTGAGTATAGGAAGACAGAATTGAGACCTCTTACTATGGTAAGACAGAGTGTTTGGGGTCCTGGATCCCAGCCAATGCCTTCACTTACATTTCAACGTTTCCAAAATAGTTCTTGGAATTCCCACTTTAAAAATGAGGAAACAGACTCAGGAATGTTAATGGACTCTCTGTAAGAGTGCTAGCTGTGCCTTCCCATATTTATTCATCTCTTAACATTCTTTTGCACTCCAGCCAGACTTCCAACCAACTACCCACACCTGTGACTCTGCCTGAGTGAGTCCACCCTGCCCGCCTGTAGAGCAGACTGGAATTGCCAGAACTCGCCCTGCAGAAACCTTTAACCACAGCTGATAGGATTGTGTGGAATAACTCTGGGGAGATATGCTCTACATTTGTTCTGAGGGCTCCTCAGTAGAATTCAGCTCCTATTCCCACTGTGCTAACTTGCTCAATAATCCACCCTATATTCTGTGCCTTTCCTTTCTCAGTTCCCTACTCTCCTGCCAGTGTTTCCTGGAATCAACACTAAATTAATAACTTGTTCTCAACCCTTGACTTAAGGTCTGATTCTAGGGAGCCACAAATGATGACATTGTCCTAAAATCACCCAATTAATAGGTGGAAGACCTAGGCAATCTGACGCAAAAGCTAATGCTCTTCATACTTTGAAGATCTATCCAGCCACCATGCTCCTGACCTCACAACAACTTTCTTCTTTCTTGTACTTCCAGTCTCCATCTCAGGGGAGCATTCCAACTCCCGTCACCAGGGATGACCCATGTCTCTGGCCCCCTGGTGCACTCAAGCCAATCCCCTTTTCCAGTGTCATCTTATGGACTCATCCCCCTTGCCTGTGTGTGGGGAAAAGAAAGAGAAGTCAGACTGTTACTGTGTCTATGTAGAAAGAAGTAGACATAAGAGACTCCATTTTGCTCTGTACTAAGAAAAATTCTTCTGCCTTGAGATGCTGTTTATCTGTAACCCTACCCCCAACCCTGTGCTCCCCGAAACAAGTGCTGTGTCGACTCAACGTTTAATGGATTTAGGGCTATGCAGGATGTGCTTTGTTAAACAAATGCTTGAAGGCAGCGTGCTGTTAAAAGTCATCACCACTCCCTAATCTCAAGTACCCAGGGAAATAAAACACCACGGAAGGCGGCAGGGACCTCTGCCTAGGAAAGCCAGGTATTGTCCGAGGTTTCTCCCCATGTGATAGTCTGAAATGTGGCCTTGTGGGAAGGGAAAGACCTGATCGTCCCCCAGCCTGACACCCATAAATGGTCTGTGCTGAGGAGGATTAGTAAAAGAGGAAGGCCTCTTTGCAGTTGAGATAAGAGGAAGGCATCTGTCTCCTGCTCATCCCTGTCATCCCTGAGCAATGGAATGTCTCGGTGTAAAACCCTATGGTATATTCCATCTACTGAGACAGGAGAAAACCACCTTAGGACTGGAGTTGAGACATGCTGGTGGCAATACTGCTCTTTAATGCATTGAGATGTTTATGTATATGCACATCAAAGCACAGCACCTTTTTCTTTACCTTGTTTATGATACAGAGACATTTGTTCACATGTTTTCCTGCTGACCCTCTCCCCACTGTTACCCTATTGTCCTGCCACATCCCCCTCTCAGAGATGGTAGAGATAATAATCAATAAATACTGAGGGAACTCAGAGACCATATGCTGAGCGCGGATCCCCTGGGCCCACTTTTCTTTCTCTATACTTTGTCTCTGTATCTCTTTCTTTTCTCAGTCTCTCGTACCCCCGCCCCCCGACGAGAAACGCCCACAGGTGTGGAGGGGAAGACCTCCCCTTCACCTGTGAAAATCTTTTTCTTGCCAATCCATGGCCATAACACACACACATAAAAAGAAAACTTGACATTTTGAAATTGCAACACAAGACAGCTGGTTCCTTCCTCTTCACCACATTCCAGAGAACAAGAAGAAGAACTCTGTCTAGCAACTGTATACTTTAGAACAAGGTGTCAGAGTCAGGGTGCACCCCTCCATTGCTCCTCCAAACCCTCTTGGACACACACATTGTTGTTGGCATTAACCTGAAATGCAAGGGGAGGGGAGGCTGGCTGACCAATACTAATTTCAGACAACTAAATACACGGAAATATTAAAGAGCCATATCCCAAATCCATTAGATATCTAAAATCCAATGAAATGTTTAAATCCTAATAGTGAAAACACCAACTTATTCTACTTCTTTCCTGCCAAATATAATTTATTGGGTTTTGCTGTTCCCATCCACATTTAATATGTACAGACACAAACCTAAGAAATAAAATAGGGCCAAACATTTTGAATGTATTTCATTTATCAAGTTGCAGCTCCTCATTAAGGCTTTGAGTTTCTTTAAAAAAACAAGATATTCTGCTAACTAATGTTTACTGGGTTAGAATTAGAGAACTGGACTACATTCCTGACTTCTCCATTCATTTTCTAGAGTGACCTTGTGCAAGTTATTACACAAGTCTGTCTTGATTTATTTATCTGTAAATTTGCAAACAAAAGAGTCATCTCATTTTTCCTACAAAACTTGGAAGGAAGATAGAATGATAAATCTATAAAAGCATATTGAACCCCTTGGGGAGTAGCCTTATCTACTTATATACATTAAGGTTATGTCAGTTTTCCGCTTCTGATGGTCTTGTCAAACCAGAGCACTGTTTCCAATAGAAACTTCTCCTTGACATTCACATTATGTTATGTCCTCAGTCCTCATATTTTAAGCTTGTTTGGCTTCAAGCAGAAAAAAAATAGGAATTAAATCCAAAAATGGAAAGAACTGGCAAATAAAACCATAGTTTCAATCCTTGAATCCAAGAGGACCATAGAAATTAGCTTTTTGGATCAACTTGAATAGCCTCACAACAGAAACAGCTGGTTTGTGTTGAAGCAGTTTAAATATTTTAAAGCTCATAGCTTGGAGAAGACTGTAATTCAGTAGTTTCTCTCTTTACCCACTCTCTTCAAGTGTTCACTGTTCCTCCCTGTTACCCATAATTGTGATTTCTTTTCTTCTGTTTTCTTTCTTTGCCTTTGCCTCCACTTAATTTTATCTTTTCTCTTTCCCATTTCTGTCTCTCAAGTGTCTTATCCTTCTCTTTTTTTCTCACTCATTTTTATTGCCATTGAACATTTAACTTTGCTACATGTTGTGAGAGAGAAGGAAGAGGAGAAAGAGATGAAAAAAGCAGAATAAAAAACAAATACTTACCTAAAAACTGCTTATCATATAGAAATTGCTCAAAAATATTCAGCGCCTAAATCAATAAAAAAATCTAATATTTATGGAGAACATATTTACATTAAGGAATCTCTACAGGCATTTCCTATAATCCAACAAGGTAGATGTTGTTATTATCTTCATTTTCCAGATAAGGAAACTGAAGCTCAGAAAAACAAAATAAGATAACCGAGGTCACCCAGAGAGAAAACGATAGAAGAAGACACATAACCAGTTCTGTCTGACTCAAAAATCCATGTTCTTAACGACCATTATCTCTTGTAACAGGCATATGCCTGGTGCTTTCCTGACATCAGTTCATTTAATGGACATTAAACAAGAAATAGATTGCTTGATATATGATGCAGCTGAAAAAAGCCAGGCATGACTAAGACAGAGATTTGAGACACCAGCTCCAGCAATAGCTGTGTTAACTTGGCACATTATTTAAATTCTCTGAGCTCAGGTTCTTAATCTGTAAAATGAGCTTATCTGCATCTACTCTTCTGTTTGATGCAGTGATTAAACCAGCTTGCTCCATGCCCCCTAGTCTATTAACTAGGCAAACAAAATGGAGAAGAATATTCAAGAGAGAGGAAATAAGTCACAGAGACAGGAAATGGAAATGATTCTGCCTGGCTCATAGTTTCTCCCAGATACCCTCCCTCACCTGCGAGCCAGGATTCCTCTTTCATGTTTTCCTGTGCCAAATTTTTTTTTGTCCTTTAATGCACCAAGTTTTTTCTCCATCTCATTACCTCCCATAAGTATAACTTTGGTTTTCTTATTTGTATCTCCCTACCCCACCCTGACCACAAGGATGCTCCGTAAGATCAGGGACCAAGTCTGTCTTGCTAGCTATACCACCAACGCACAGCCCAGTACCTGGAGCACAGTTTGTGCTCAGAAAACACGTGTTTAATGAATAACTGAAGGTGGAAGGGCAAAGGGTGAGGATGGAGAGCGAGATGGGGCAGATGGCACTGGATATTAGGACTCCGTACTCACATTCTTCCCAATTGTCCTCAGGGTCTGTTGGAAATGCAGTCGCAGTCTTCACCCCTCTCATAACTATGCCATCAGCTTCTGAAGCCCTGGAATCAAGATTTAAGAGGAGTAGCTGTGGCACAGAGGGACCCAGGAGAGACACACTGACCTGTGTCCCCAGAAAAGACTGACTTTTGAGCACCCCACCCTCTCCCATCATTTATCTTATCAATGACTGGAGACAATTAGGTCTCCTTGATGGTGTGAAGAAATATAACTGCACTTCTATCTAGATTCAAGGTAAATCACAAAAGATACATTATTAAGAGTAATATTATAAATTACTCCCTGGGCAGTGCCTTCAAGGCCCATGAATCCAGCTGCACCTCCACCAGCCAACAACTCCTGAATCTATACCCAGCTTTTCAGTCCTGCTATCTACCTCCAGCTCTCTAAGGCACCTTAAACTCAAGAGGTCTGAAATCGAAGATAGTGAATGCCCACACCCACCCCAGGGCCCCCATAAAAACTGCTACTTCTATTTCTTCTCTCAGAGAGGAAATGGGGAGCCATTCTTTACACTTCTGTCACCCTTATGCTTCGAATCTGAGCAGTTTCCTAAGTTTGTCTCAACTCCCTTTTTCTTCATTCTTACCCCATTGTCTTAGTTCCTCTCCTAAGGATTCCTGATGGACAATCATAATCATCTTCCAGAAGATCCCTCTGCCCCCAGGCACACCTCCCCACTGCCCCAGAATGTTTTAAATCGTGAATCTTGTCACGACCTTATTGAAAATCCCCATCATATATATGGTAAAGTCTGACTGTTTATATCAGCCCAGGCCCTCCTGGAATGACACCCAACCCCTCCTGCCTCTCCCTGTCATCTGAGTCTGGCCCCCAAGCAGACTCGATGTCAGGATGTACAGCCCTTGCCATCTCTGGCTTGTCCACCTGGTAGCTCCTCAGTCATCTTCCCAGGCTCATCTCAGGCATCACCTCCCTTGTGAAATTTGCCCCCAAAAATCTCTCCAGAAAAATTAAGCACTTTTTTCTTTGTTTTCCAAATACCTGACCTATCCTTTTATTATAGCAATTGTCACATTTTTTCATAAACTGCTTATTTTCATCAGATCAATTAAACTTTGGTTTCCTTGAAGGGCCACAAATTTTATCTATCTCATCCTTATTTATATAATGCTTAAAACAACATACAGTAGTAATTCCATATATGTGCATTGATGAAAGAATGATCAAAGTCTCAAGTTTTATAGTTTCCATAGGATCCACAATAGTATATAAGGTCCTACAAATGTACAACACTTATCAACAGTATAAAACCAATGTGAATTTGTTGCCTGAATAAGGAGCAGTGCAGGAATGATATTCTTTGCTTCAATCAAATTCAAACATATGTTATTAATGCAAGATAGTGTTCTTGATGCTAGTGGGGGTTATATAGATTTAAAAGAGTGCACACTGACATTTAATGAAATTAAAATAGAGAGATCATTACCTAAACAATTAACCCTAACAACTACCTAGAATAAAATAAAACACAATAAACAGAGGACTTAACACTCAAACTGGGCCAGTCTTTTCTTTGTATCCTGGACCCCCATTTCTGCTCTCCCAGCTTCCAATAGTATCTTGCTGGAGCCTTTGCCACTATGGTAATAGATTAATTAATTGTGCAGTTATTTGCTTAATATACTTTTCCCTATGAGAATACCAACTGTATATGAATAAAGTCCGCACTTGTCTTATAAACCCCACCATCTCTGGCATCCAGCACAGAACCTGATGTATAGGAGGTGCTCAACAACTTTGACGGGGAGAAAGAAAGTATAATTCATATCAGTGTTGAGGATCGATAAGAATTCACAGAGGAGATATGCTTGATACAGAAACCCTTAAAAATAACAAGAATTGGCCAGGCGCAGGGGCTCATGCCTGTAATCCCAGCAGTTTGGGAGGCCGAGGCGGCTGGATCACCTGAGGTCAGGAGCTTGAGACCAGCCTGGCCAACATGGTGAGACCCCGTCTCTACTAAAAATACAAAAATTAGCCGGGTGTGGTGGCATGCGCCTGTAATCCCAGCTACCCAGGAGGCTGAGGCAGAAGAATTGCTGGAACCCAGGAGGCAGAGGCTGCAGTAAGCCAAGATCATGCCATTGCACTCCAGCCTGGGCAACAGAACAAGATTCCATCTCAAAATAAATAAATAAATAAATAAAAATAACAAGAATTAGGCTTTCAAGTTTATTGCAGACTTAATGAACATTCCACACATTTTTCCATATTTTTTTTAGATACTCATTTTTTTAAATCTGTAGTTACATGTCTTTCAGCTAACTCTGCAATATCTACTCTTTAAGGATATTTATGGAAAACTATAGCTTTCCTCCATAGCTTACAATTTAGCTGCAGTTAAAAGAGTTTTTCCAACAAAACAATCAAATAACTGTGGAAGCTGGAATAAAATTACTTTCCTCACAGGAAGTACAGACTAAGTGCTATAGTCATTTCAAAGGGAGTAGAATCACTCACTGGAGACCTGGGTGGTTGTCATGGAGAAAGTAGGATTTTTACATCAAACTAGAAGATTTTGAACGTCCCAAGAAAGGAGGAGACCATGAGTTGGGGCTGCCAAGAGCCCAGATAAAAGCAAGTGGAGGACAGGGCATGTGTTAAGAGAGAAGCAAAAAAAGCAAAAGGAGAAGAGGCTCAGCAGCACCAGGCTGCAAATGCCAGCAAAGGAATGGGGACGTTCACTGATACTAGAGGATCCAGTTCAAAATGTTAAGAAATAAAAAACAAAATGTTTGGGGAAGAATAATTTAGTAATAATTGCAGGGACACTAATTAGGAGGATAATGAATATCCAATTGGGGGTAATTAATTTAGAAAGATACAAAAAAAGAAGTATTATGAGATGTAAAATAGCCAATTTACTTTCCCATTGTTAAAGCATCTCTCAGATTTTGTGAGTGGGTGACAGGAAAGTAATAGGACCTTTTCAAAAACGGAAAATAACACAGGGGGAGCCACTCTTGAAGGCAACAGGATAATTTTGGCTTTATATACATGTTTGCCTCAGGGACAATCAGAATAAAGTGTCCCAAGGAAAATGGAGATGTAAGATTTTACTCTTTTATTATTGTTGTGAAGATGATGATGATGATGATGATGATGGGACTTTGTTGGTATGAGCTTTAAATTTGAAATGTCATTAGCTATGATTTTAGTAATGCAAACCCCTTAGTCATGGAGTCTTTGCTGTGATTGGAAGAAAATGGAGTTAGATGGGGGCTGGGAGGGATGTCATCAAACCCGAATAACAGCTTTTATAAGGTGGATGACATTGAGATGAGGAGTTCCAGGAGAAGGTCTGGTGGCCACCCTTGTGGGTTGCTGGTGCCATTACTTTAGAGAATTAACCCTTTTCCCATATCTCAATTTGGTTAGACTAGAGGAAACTTACTAGCACTCAATAAAACAGGAGGACACTAATTTATATTGAGTGGTGAACCTTTCCCTCATGAGGTTATCTCCCCAGCTAAACTAGTCTTTAGAAAGTTGCTTGGAGATCCAAGACTTCCAGCAACGAGAAATGGATAAACAAGAAAGACATTGCATCTAGTCTGCATGAGGGCTCATGTGACATTCCTACTCTACATCCAAGTTATTTCTCTTCTTACTGAAATATTCAAGTCCACTACATTTGATGTCTTTCTCCCCCAGATAGGATGAAAGGAACTTTTCAAGGCTTGTGCCTTTTTTTATACTTTCCTTTCTTATATTCTAGTTCAGTAGTCCCCAAATGCTATGACTGCCACTGGAGTACCTGGGGATCTTGTTGAAATTAAAGTCAGGGGCCTTACACTCAGACATTCTGATTCAGGATGTCTGCAGTAAGGCCTGGAAATCCGGATTGCTGGCAAGCCCTCGACAGGTTTGGAGACAGCGTTGAGTGACTTTGAACTGATCTGATTTGGCAGGCAGGTTAAACACGAAGCCTCCACATCTACTTTACTGCAAGCAGATTCCCATGTGCTTATTTTATTTGTTTTCTCTTTTGCCAAAGGTTTATTTAAACACAGATTCTCATCACCTTAACAAGAATTGGTCAATTGTTTATTCAAGTTTAACTTGACCTTTTGGTCAATGTTGTTTTTCTTCAACAAGGTCATAAAACAGTTGTTTAGAAGACCACTATTAAATTAGAAGCACATTTACTTATTCAAGAATTATTTCCTTAACATCTTCTATGCGCCAGGCAGTGTGCTTAGTACCACAGAGAGCAAGAAAGATAAGACCTCTCTGCAGTTATATTCTAGTGCAATGGAGGTAGAGTGGGGTGAAAAAGACAACAGAGAAGGAAATAAATAAAATCATTTCTCAGTGTGATTAGTGCTATGAGAAAAATAAGCAGGGTTCTGCAGGAAATATTTTGAAAGGGAGGGAAATAACCTAGACAGGGTGAATAGGGAAAGCCTTTCTACAGAGGTGACTTTCCAACTGAGAGCTGAAGAATGAAGAGCCAGTCATGCTGGCTGTTAAGACCTGGGTAACAGTGAAAAGTGGTCAAAGAATTGCAAACCAGGAAATAACACTGAACTGGAAGGTGAGACAAGAGTGGTCAGAAAGATGGTGGGAATAGTAAAGGCTCTGGTGATAACCAAGTTTGATGTGAAGTGGAGAGCTCCTCTGTTAAAAACAAAGTGGTCAAGGAACTGAGAGTTGATTGGATGTCAGAGTCACTAAATGTAATGACAGGAGCTGAGTTAGAAGCTGGAGTGTGTAAAGTGGACAGATCAGTGATAAAGGTAGATGACAACAAGAGGAGGGGGAAAGGGAGACTTAAGGAGAACACATTGATTTCACAGAAGCAGAGGGCTTTGCTGGGTGATGTCCTGGAAGCAGCCGTGGGCTGCAGGGAAATCACTCCCTATCTTCTGGCTGGAGAGACAAGTAGTTCAAGGAAGTCAAGTTTCACCTACTTGAGAAAGTGCAAGAGACACAGAGTGTTGGGAGTCAGCCAAGTTTCATTTACAGAGAGTCTTGGAAACAAACATTCCAGAAACCCCTGGAGATTAAAGGGGAATTTGATGGCCACAAAGCAGAAAGTCCAGAGGCCACAGGGGAAGGTGGATTTTGTTTTTATTTCTGATTGTCAAGCAGAGAAGAGACCTGGTGAGGGCATATGTAGGGACACACAAATTATAGTCTGAATAATAATGGACAAATGGGGAGGCTTTAAATTCACCAGGTCCCTGGGATTAAAGTACTATAACTACTACTACTGCTGCTGCTGCTAAAACAACAATAATAGTAGTTATTATTTATAGCAGTGTAATAGTATAAATATCATGGCAGTTTTATATTTGGCCTGTGCTAAGTACTTTCCATGCATGTGCACCCATAACCCTATGGTCTGTCAAACCACAGTCAAATTTTATATTTTCAGTGACAACTTTATGTACTACAAATCACTGATCAGAGTAAAGAAGCACAAAGGGCTTTGAAGTAATCCTGGCAGTCTCTGGAGAAGACAGCAGACAAATGGTTTTAGAGTTAAAACTCCAAATAGACGGTCCAATGGTATGGAAGATTTGGAGTGGCCGTTTCAGGGGGTGATATGGTTTGGCTGTGTCCCAACCCAAATCTCATCTTGAATTGTAGCTCCTATAATCCCCACGTGTCATGGGAGGGACCAGGTGGGAGGTAATTGAATCATGGGGGTGGGTTTTTCCCATGCTGTCCTCGTGATAGTGAATAAGTCTCACAAGATTTGATGGTTTTATAAAGGGCAGTTCCCCTGCACACTCTCCCTCTTGCCTGCCACCATATAAGACAGGCCTTTGCTCTTCCTTTACCTTCTGCCATGATTGTGAGGCCTCCCCAGCCATGTGGAACTGTGAGTTCATTAAACATCTTTTTCTTTATAAATTACCCAGTCTCGGGTGTGTCTTTATTAGCAGCATGAGAACAGACTAATACACGGGGCTATACACGGGGCTGTACACGTTGGCATATGGTATTCAGGGGGTTATTCACACAGTCCTCTTGCACTAGAAAAAAAAGCAGTGCCCTTCAACCTCAGCTGGTGGAATGACCATGATGTCTGGAGGTGGCTCCATGAACGGTGCTTCATTCCTCTGTTCTATTGCTTAATTTGCTAGAAAATTACTAATTATCCTTGAAGACCTAATTCCATTCATTCATTCACTTGTTCATTCCACAAATATTTGAGAGAAATTATTATAGGCTGTAGACCATTCTAGACACTATTGGGGATACAATGGTTAAAAATTGTGTATACACACACACACATATATATGTACTATATATATATATATGCAATCATGTGTATCATGTATATATATATTTGCAATCATGTTTATATTCCCTAGGAAACTTTCCCCACCACTCCCTCCACCTCTAGGCTGATGACACCATGCATTATGTCCACAGCACAGAATTTATTCATTTACTTTTCCAATAACATGCTGACAACCCTATATGTATATATCCAGTCCATTCCTCTCCACACCATCCTTTTCAAGTCTAAGTGAGATCATGTTACTTTTCTACCCAGAGCCCTACAAAAGTTCCCTAGTTTACCCAGAGTAAAAGCCAAGGTCCTTAAAATTTTCATCCCTACCAGAGGATGCCACCTTGTAAATCCCGTCTTCCATGTCTTCTTTTACTGTGAGAGTTGTAGGAAGGATGTGGCAAGATGAACAGTATGTGGTAAATGGACTCATTCATCCTACTGAAAAGATAACTACATTTTTGCTCTACCTTGATACAGTTTTATAGAGCAGGACGTCAAGTAGACTTTTCTGGATTCCTTAGTCATTCTTCACTTGGGAAAGAGGGAAGGTCTCATATGTGAATGAGATTGTATACTATGATCATAATAAATTCTTAAATTATTGTGATAAATGCTTTAGAAAAATAAAACATTTTCCCAGGAAAAAAAAAATACATGATTTTTGCAAGCACTTAGAAAACTGAAGTGGTCATCGAGATTTATAATTAGCCTTGCCAAAATTTTAAGTTGTAATTTATGATTTTGAACTATTCTGTGCATTACAGAGTGCTCCCTAAAAACAATAAAAGTTTCAATCTCAAAACATCTCCATTTTGTATCTACATTCAGGTGCACAAACTAAAACAGTACTTGAAGATGACATACTTATTAATATCCCAAAAGTCATAGATGCTCAGAATGGTTGAGTTACATCCTATTGCATTACAGGCAAAGCCAGGACAAAAATCCAGGGCTCTTTCCTCCCTATCCTGTAGATGCCATTTCTCATTGCTACATTTTCTGTGAAGAAGCTCACTACAAAATGTATGTTCAGCATGCCTTGCTAAATTGTTCTGGCAGCTTATATGAAATATGCTCTCCTTGATACTATTTTAAAACAAATATGTGAAGTTCCTTATCCAGTATACCCACACTCGTGACTGTGCTTTCAACATTTCTCCTTCTTTATTTTAACAGAACCCCAAGTTTCACATGCCTGAGGATGTACGAGAAAAAAAGGAAAATCTTCTACTCAATTCTGAGAGATCTACTAGGCTCTTAACAAAGACCAGTCATTCACAAGGAGGGGATCAAGCTTTAAGTAAGTCCACAGGGTCACCAACAGAGAAGTTGATTGAAAAACGTCAAGGAGCTAAGACTGTTTTTAACAAGTTCAGCAACATGAATTGGCCAGTGGACATTCACCCTTTAAACAAAAGTTTAGTCAAAGATAATAAATGGAAGAAAACTGAGGAGACCCAAGAGAAACGAAGGTCTTTCCTTCAGGAGTTTTGCAAGAAATACGGTGGGGTGAGTCATCATCAGTCACATCTTTTTCATACAGTATCCAGAATCTATGTAGAAGATAAACACAAAATCTTATATTGTGAGGTACCTAAGGCTGGCTGTTCCAATTGGAAAAGAATTCTGATGGTACTAAATGGATTGGCTTCCTCTGCATACAACATCTCCCACAATGCTGTCCACTACGGGAAGCATTTGAAGAAGCTAGATAGCTTTGACCTAAAAGGGATATATACCCGCTTAAATACTTACACCAAAGCTGTGTTTGTTCGTGATCCCATGGAAAGATTAGTATCAGCCTTTAGGGACAAATTTGAACACCCCAATAGTTATTACCATCCAGTATTCGGAAAGGCAATTATCAAGAAATATCGACCAAATGCCTGTGAAGAAGCATTAATTAATGGATCTGGAGTCAAGTTCAAAGAGTTTATCCACTACTTGCTGGATTCCCACCGTCCAGTAGGAATGGACATTCACTGGGAAAAGGTCAGCAAACTCTGCTATCCGTGTTTGATCAACTATGATTTTGTAGGGAAATTTGAGACTTTGGAAGAAGATGCCAATTACTTTTTACAGATGATCGGTGCTCCAAAGGAGCTGAAATTTCCCAACTTTAAGGATAGGCACTCTTCCGATGAAAGAACCAATGCTCAAGTCGTGAGACAGTATTTAAAGGATCTGACTAGAACTGAGAGACAATTAATCTATGACTTTTATTACTTGGACTATTTAATGTTTAATTATACAACTCCATTTTTGTAGTTTGCATTCATTTTCTAAAACCCTGTATATACTTAATGATGATAAGTTCAAATCAGCTGTAATTTTTCTATAATTCTCTGTATGACAGAAATTTAACCAAGTGCAGTTGTCTTGATTTAATGTAGATTTTTACCAAATAGTATGACACCAATTGGCACAAAGTTATAGGAAAATCACCTACAGGAGATGTAAACAACTTGAGTTGCTCTAAAATGTTTGGAAAAGAGCTGCTTTTGCATTATGAATTATATTGTTGAAGCAATAACCTAGCCAGCTGTTGCATTAGCTAAAGCAGCCTCTTGCAATGGTAGGAAAAAAGGATCTCAAATAGCATGAGTGTATGTCTATATCCTGAAATTTATTGTCTAAAATGCATGAATATATTTTTAGCAGTCTGTGGCATATTAATCAAACTGTTGAATTGTTTTCTTACACCCTGGAAATCTTTCTATCAACTATAATGATAAATCCATTTTGAAGTGATATTTTGGACTTAGGCATTTTACTTTAGATTGGAAGGCATTATGTGATTTACAATATGAGAATATAGCAGAAAAACCAGATGAGGCTGTGGCTTTTTATATTCAACAGCCAATAAAAAATGCACAACATGCTAAGATCAAAGCAACAAAACCAACCTTCTTCTTCCAGAAAAACTTAAGGGAATTGATTCTGTTTTCTTTTGAGCCTTCCACAAAGAGACAAAATGAACACAAGCACTAAAGGTCTACATTTCTGAAGCAGGCAGTTGAGAAGCTTAAGTCTCATCAGATATAAATGTGCTCCTAATTCTGGTTTAATTGAGCAGGGGGGAAATTGTTTCAGGATGGAATAATCATCAAAAACAAAAGTTGCCATTCTGAATATGGAACTCAAACAATAACAAAGTTTTATAAGTATATTATTTGAATCAAAGCATCATGTGCATAGCTTTATATGTGGAATACACCCTAAGAATAGCTTTTGTTTTCAGTTTAATTATTCAGCTTAGGAATGACTTTTTAAAAACTAATATACCACTTCAAAGATAGGTTATGTTCTAGAGAATAAACATAAAAAGAGCCCCTAGAAATGTGTTTAATAGGCTTATGCATAAGTAAATTAAGGTATTTTCTTTTTAAGTTTAAATATTCTATACTAACAAAGTCAGATACCATTGCATTCAAATATTAAATCAAAGTCCTTAGAAAAATAGGTCCATGTGTCACCCTTATGAATAGTTGTAATGCATTTTGGAATTTTTTTCCAAGGGATCCTAAATTAGATCCCTTGGGGAAAAAAAAAGGGATCATTTTGGATGGGAAACATTTGGATGGGAAACCTACTTTAATTGGTCGACTTTTACCCCGAGTTAAGAAAATCACAAGTCTTTCAAACCCTGCTTAAATGCTTTTCCTGAACATCTTCCTCTTCCTAAGCTATCATTTTTTTCTTATCAGTAAATATTCAGTAATGGCTTTCAAAGAACAGTAGGTATTAATAGTTGAATGTTAATAGACCAAGATAGTTGCAGTCATACTTATTTCATTTTGATTTTCTATTTCATGGCTGAGTATTCATGAATTGCTTCGCTCCTTACACACACCTGCCGTGTCCCATCTGTGTCTCCTAAGGAGTAAGTAAACTGCAATGGGCTGAGAGATCAAAAGTATTAAACCTTCTAATCCAACCTTTTACTACTTTTCCATGCCATTAACTCTTGCCTCTAGACCATACACTTAAGCTGTGCTCTCAGTTTTTAAGACGTTTTACTCTGGAGTAATCTAAATTACATAATTTAAAATTTTGCTGCACCATGTAGAGTAGATTCCTAGTAATTTAGGGAAATTGAAATTATCTTTTTATGGAGAGAGAAAATAAAAAATATTCCAGAAGCCTGAAATTTTATTCCTAAGAAACACAAAACTTGCTTTATATGAAATCCACTATAAAGAATAAAGGCAATTTCCTCAAAAGTATTCCTAAAACTATATAAGGAACAGACAAAGAACTTTCAATAGCTTTAGAAGGAAAAAAATGGAAACAACAGTCCTACCTCTCTTATTGGCATTTGTAATGCATTGGGCAGGGTGGAATGCATACCTATATAAATGTTTGGCTTTGATGGTGGAGAGGAGGGATGAGTGGAAGAAAATGATACCCAGTGTTCTCTACGGAAAGCTGTATTGTACCTTTTGCTGTATATGTTCCTTTCCTGACCCTTTCCAACGAGCCCGTGTCACCATGGGTCATTCTTTTCCTAAATGGGCTCTATGATGCCAAGTGACACCCTGTGTAGTTGCAAGTTCCAAAAGCCATGCATGTCTTTGCCAAGTAAGAACAAACTTTTTATGTACCTGCTCTTCATTTTAGATGGCTTATTTTCATGTTAGGACCAAAGAAGCCAGTCATCATCCTGGATTACTTGTGAGTTTAAAGCCAAACTCCATTTTTCTCTCCTGACTTATTTGGCCTTGCAGACCAGCTCACATTCACCTTTGTCATTTCTGCCTGTGCATAAATCCAGGTGGGAACACCACTGTTCTTTAGGACCATCACAATTTCATGAATTTAATTCCTAAAGGCAAGTGACCAAATCCAGACTCATCTTCCAGATGTCCAAAGTTCCCATTTTAACATTAGGTGCAATTATAAGTCCTCCAATTAAACCCTAAGGATCCTATTTGTTTTTATAGGCAGCAGTAACACAATGGGCAGACCCCTTCGCTCTGTTATTCCCCTGTCTGGAATTACTATCAGGGTAACAAGTTGGCAATTAAATCCAAAACCACAGTTATGTAACCTGTAAACTATCTATAGATGTGCAATATTGATGTGATTGTGCCCAGAAACTGCCATAAACTTCAATGGAAATGTATGTACAGGACATCCAGTTTTCGGATTTTCTCAAACATTTGGAAATATCCATTAATTCAATGGAAATGTGATGCCACTTGCTAGATGTCTATAAAACATTCTGTAACAGAAAATAATAATATTATTATCATTAGGGAATTAGTAGTTCTAATTCAAGAACTACTTGTATGTCATTTTTAATTAGAAAGAGGAAAAATACTTTTACATTTTATTGATGTATTATTATTCTTATCTCCTAAAATGTATAGTATTTAGCAGAAGGTATATATAAGAAGATGCAGAGAATTTTGAATATTAGAGTGCCCTTTGAAAAAATCACTTGCTGAATTAATAGAACTTGGGATTAGGCTAGGACTACAGTAAACGTCTCCCTCCTGTGCATTCTCATGTGGCCTCTCAGGGCATCCCAGCCTCTAGGCCTTCATGGGGCGTGGTGAAGCAGATGTTTTGCCCAGGGCTAACCCTCCCAAGATGCTCTGATACTTGAAAAAGGATTGGCCAAAGGCGTTTAATTATAGCTCAACTACCTGAGAACCTTAGGCCAAGGCTAATTCAATTTAGTCCTACATTTAGGCTCATACCTTCTCAATCTCAATCATGATCATTATACAGTAATCGTATGCATGATCCTAGCTAACATTTATTCAATACTTACTGGGTGTCAGGCACTCTTCAAGTAGTTTACATGCATTAATTTAATCTCCATAGCCAGTCTAACATAGGTAATATTATGTAGCCCTCTCCCTTTCCATCTATCATAAAGGAAAGTAAAGCAGACTATAGCTGAGTAACTTGCCTAAGGAGACAGAGATGATAAGTAGGTCAGAAGCCAGGATGAAGCCAAGCAGCAAATACCACTACCAAACTCTTTGCTTAGAATATTACAAACCAATATTTACTTTTGCTTTCCGTTACCTCTATTCAGGATAGGTAGAGGCAAAAACAATATATTGGAATCCTGAAATTTTTTCCATACAAATATGGGTGTCTGTGTGTGTGTGTGTGTGTGTGTGTGTGTGTGTGTGTGTATTTAGCTAGTTAGTTATCACATTTCAAATCAGCTTATTTCTTTATTCCTGCTGAGTTAAACTGACAGGTTCAAAGACTTTGGAAGAAATTAGGTTTCCTCCCCACAACTTTTTTGTAATCCTTAGTTAATCATGGAAACAATGTTTTTAAGAAGAAAAAATAGTCCCTGGAACAAATTTAGCCTTGTGAAAACAAAATATCATTTCTTTGACAAGAAATTCCAGACAGCTACAAGACCAGTCAAGGATAAGCAGAATCTAAGAGGAAGAAAGTTCAGGCGAACTTTCCACACATAGGCCCCTGACAGCCACTGCAGATGGTCACGGTTCAGCAAGCTAGTCACACACAGTGAGAACCACTCCTGCTAGAAACAGAGCAACTGTGCATTATCCCCTTCTTCCTGAGTCTCCTTCCCTAGTACTAGTTTGTAGTCAGATTACCCTGAGCCTACACGGGAAGACTGCAGAAAAGAATAGAGGAGCAAGCTGACTTAAACCGACTGAAAAAACACCATGAAACCAGGTGAAAATAAATAAGCTCTTGCTAGAAGATGGCAGACATTTCCCAGGCCTGTGATCATTACCTGAGGAAGGCCAGGTCTGGGGAGTTCAACAGAACATTGCCTCATATCATTTCATTCTCAGAATTTCCTAGTCAGTCACATCTTAGTTTTTCACCAGGATCATATGCTTCCAGGCAAAAGTATTTAAATCCATTTAAGCAGTCATCTTTTTCCATCCCTAAACCTCTCCTCAAGTCTCACACTATATTTGGAATGCTCCCCTCTCTATATATCTGGACATTCATTTCTTGTTAACTCACCAAGGAATCTCTTGAGATTATTCAATTTCAAAATCTCATCTCTTTATGAGCTCCCTGATAGGCAGAAAAAGACAGCAGAGTTTTCCCCTGGTGTAACATGCATCAGATTATTCTCTTACCAATAAATGCAGGCATTCCTTTCCTCGATTTTTTTTGTCAGGGAGGTTCGTTAATTTATTTGTTCATGTGCTATTTATCTCACTTTTTATGAATATAAAATATCTGTTGTTGTCATTGGAATGTCTTAGGTCTTCCAAGAGGAAAGGAACTGTGTCTGTTGAATGCACTTTGTACCATGTCTAGCAAGGCACTCAGTGGAAAGCGTTACTTTAACAGATGCTTTTGATGCTGTTGTTTAAAGGTTCCTGTACAACTTCTTTTAGTGTAGAATTCGTATATTTCTGCCTGTGACCTTCAGGCATCTATAGGACCAGAGGATCTGAAAGGAAGGTGCTAGAGCAGGGCAGCTGAGGGAAGGGAGCTGAGCCACACACCTTTTCTACACTAATAGTCATCCCTTGACCTGAAGGATAGTTGCAGACACAGAAATCTTTTACATTTCTAAGAAATAGCAGTTGCTTGATTGTTTGGGGAAGAAAATTTTGAGAAAAATGCATGATTCTGGTCAACATAAGAGCCATTTACTGAGGATCTACTCAGTAGCAGACACGGGAAAAATACTTTGCATACATTCATTTAATGACATGAAGAGTAAGTCTAACCGTTTCCAAAAGTAGCTTTCAAAAAAATCAAAGTCGAGTATTTTTCCACCTATCATTTCATGAATGAGAAAACTGAGTATCAAAGAGGTTTAATAACAGTCTCTCTGGCTCCAAAGCTGAGACCATACATTGGCAGCCCACGGGGTAGATCTGGCTACAGATATGTTTGGTTTGGCTGACAGTGCATTTTATTTAACATCTGAATTAGCTGCCAACATTGGGCCTCATTAATGACAGGGGATTTGTTACCCTACATTCTATATGCCCACCTGAAAATAGTTGGACAGAGGCAAGGTCAGTCCCTTTAGATGAGGTTGGAGATCTCTAGTTGTTCACACTCTTCACTAATCCACCATCACTCATTCACCTTACTTGCCTGGCCCCTAAGCATCTCACTTTTCAAGTCCTGCTCTGAAGAGTGTATTCCTTCCCCCGCCAAGCTTCCAAAGGAAATCAACTCCTGAACATTATCCTTGACCCTATTTGTGTTGTGCAGGTAGTGAGGTTATCCCATTCCGGGTTTCCATATCCTTGCTCACAGTGCTGCTTGCCCTTTGGTCCTATATCCAGTGGGATCTCCAAACAGTATTTCATTGTTTGGGGAAGTCTCTTTTGACCAATGACAAAGATGTTGGGAGAAATCCAGTACCTTTTTTTGGCATCTTTCTGTCGTAGCCACTGGGTCCCCTGGCAACGACATTCCTTCCCACCTCTTTCTGCAGAGATGAGTCATTCTCCCAGGCTCTTGGAGCTCTAGTATCTAGGGACAGAAACTGGCTCCCACTGCTGCCTCTAGACTGCTGTTCTATAACCTTCATCCAAAAATCTCTTCTGTTTTGCAGGTGTGCCCGCTTCCTCAACTCTAAAAATCACCTGCTTCCCAGCCTTCTCCGAAGATTCTTCTTTCTGATTTATAACATGCCTCTCCACCCTACTTCCTGCTATTATCTGGGTGATTGTAGCACCCCCTGTAACATTCTACTCTCTTGCTTCTTAATGCTCTGACAACCTCCTCCTCCTCCTCTTCCCTCCTCTTCCTCCTCCTCCTCCTACTCCTCCTACTCCTCCCCCCACTTCTATACTTAGAGAGGTGGAGAAAACAGGAGAAGGGATAACTACGACTTTTGTCCTCAAATACCAGGAAAACTAGTAAAACACACAGTATCTCATTTTATGCATTCATTTGCTGAAAATATTTCCAAAGTTTAGAAAAATGATTTTTGGATGTACTATATAATAAATAAAAATGCACTCAGAATGCTAGAGTGTCTACCAACTTAAAAGAACAATATTATTTGTTTGACTGTGATTATCCTTAGGAAAAAATAAGCCCTGATTTAACTTATCAATTTCTGAAAAAAATAGTGTATGGACGACCTGTATCAGAATTAACCTAATTTTTGTTAAAAACATATTCCCAGACCCCATCCAAGATACACAGAATTGGAATCTCTATGAAAACCACCTGAAAATTTCCTTTTTAATAATCTCTTGGGGTACTTCTCGTGTGTGTGTGAATTTTTTAAGTCCTGGTTGATTATAAATGATAATACAACCTGCTCTTTTCATTCTGTCACTGTGTTGAAAAGTTAACAACTCTCAGCTCAGAGAATTGTCAGTGGGTATTGGTACCAAAGTCCTCTGTGGGATTTTGACCAGCACTGAAGCAGAAACTTGGCGTCCGAAGTCTGCCAAGTGCAAGAACTAGAGCTGAAATGATGAAGTGAGGGACGGGGACAGCACTGGGCACTGCCCAAACTTTTTGAAAGCTTTCAGAATGAAATGGGGAAATGGAAACTTTCCTCTGTTTGAAATATAAAAGACAAATGTGTACTGAAGGCAATTTTGGCAACTCAACTTCACATTGAACAAGTGAAGACAATATGAGTTTCTCCAATAAAAACTAAAAAGCTGTTTTCAAATTGACCTAAGATGATTGAAAATGGAAAATATTTGCTATTTGGTTATTAGTTTGAGAGCAAGTGCCCCAGGAAATATTTTGCAATTTAACTTAAATGGTTATAATGTATATTTTCTTGAACTTCATTAAAGGATTTGTCTCTTTTTGCCTTTCTATTAGGTTGAACCATATGACATTGCCAACATTTGACTGACTCTGACATATAAACACAGCCCTTTCATGTGGGTCCACTAACAGTTCTGCTGCTACCTACCCAATTCTAACCACATTGGCTCTCCTCAGAACTATTGGAAATAGCCTCTGAATAGAAGTCCTGCCTTTTTTATTTATTTATTTAAAAATTACTTCTTTTCTCTTTGCATTTTTCTTCTTTTGATATTTTCAATTGTGGCAAAATCCACATAACATAAAATTTTATCACCTTATCATTTTTTGGTATCCTTTTAATGAATATTTTCCTATCCCTCCCCATCTTACCTATTTTTTTTTTTGAGACAGAGTTTCACTCTTGTCGCCCAGGCTGCAGTGCAGTGGCACCATCTCTGCTCACTGCAACCTCCACGTCCTGGGTTCAAGCTATTCTCCTGTCTCAGCCTCCCGAGTAGCTGGGACTACAGGTGCACAGCACCACGCCCAGCTAATTTTTGTATTTTTAGTAGAGATTGGGTTTCACCACATTGGCCAGGATGGTCTCGATCTCTTGACCTCGTGACCCATCCGCCACAGCCTCCCAAAGTGCTGGGATTACAGGCATGAGCCACCATGCCTTGCCACCATTTTTTAAGTGTACAGTTCAGCAGCATTTAGTGTAGTTGTGCAAGCATCACCACTATCCCATCACATACCTTCCTTCCTTGTGAAAAATGGATACTCTGCACCTATTAAACAACTTCACTTTTTGCCCTCCCCCAGTTCTGGCAACCATCATTCTACCTTTTGTCTCTATGAATTTGATAACTTAAAATACCTCATATAAATGGAATCATACAGCATGTGTCTTTTTGTGACTGGCGTATTTCTCTTAGCATAATGTCCTCAAGGTTCATCCATATTGAAGGACGTACCAGAATTTTTTTCTTTTCAAGGCTGAATTGTATTCCATTCTCATTGCCTGGCCTCAATCTCTCAAGACTATAACCCATTCCCAGCTTAATCACCTGATAGCTGCATCAAACCCACTATTATCCAGCCACATGGAACCATTACATTCTCTGAAAACACCTCTTGCTTTTTCCCCTATTTTGCTCACACTATTACACGACCTGAAGTGTCCTTTATTCCTCTTTAAGGACCTCCACATGGGTGCCCCCTCCAAGAGTTGCCTGCCCCGCATGACCATCCCACATTCAGCTCGCTCTACCCTCTCTGCTTGGGGACTCTCTTCCACTCTCCTTGCTTTAGCTCCACCATTAGGCTGATGGTTCCGAAATCTTTTTCTAGGCTATGTTTCTATCACGAACTTTGATTCAGATTCCCAGTTTCTTGTGGGACTGCTTCATCTAGATGTCTCACTGGAGCTTCCAACTCAACATGACCAAAGCTGAACTCATCACCTAACCCCCAAACCTGCTTTCTCCTTATTTGGTGGCAACACCATCCATCTACTCCATCTTCTGAGTTAGGAACCTAGAAGTCAACCCCGATTTCTCCCTAAGCTGACTCCTCACAGCCACAGAATTCAGAAAGCCCATTAACTTCACTGCCTGACTTTTTCTCAAGCTTCTCCTCTCCTCCCATCCATTCTGCTAATATCTAAGTTCAGACTCTCACCTTCTCCTGTCTACAACTCTACGATAATCTTGAACTTCTCTCCCACTCTCATTTCCCTCAATGCCATCCTCCATACAGCTGCCCTTGTAATCACTTTAAAATGCAAATCCAATTCCAGTTCTGTTTCCCACTATACATTCTATATCCTGCATGATCCCAATTCTTCTCCAGGCATATTTCTGGCCATTTTCTGCCTCCTGGCTTAATCTCCAACAGCCTAGAATGGACATAATACCCTAACATTGGATAGTTTTCTTCCTCCTGGGTCTACTCAGCTTGTCCCTCTATTAGGGCACCCACCTACCCCCCTTCACCTCCCCAACACTTCCTAATCCCTAAACTAAGCTCAGGGAGGCATTTGTCATCTCTGCCTGGCTCAGATGAGATGCTCTGCCCTGAGTACTATGAGAGATTGGGAAGCAGGATTCTATGTAGGATGGTTAGGAGCCTGGGGCTTGTCATGAGTAAGAACTGGGTTTGAATTCCGTATCCTCAACTTTCAAATGTTGGGACCTCTGAAATTGCTTTAACTTCTCTCAGTGCCAGTTTTCTCATCTGAAAACTGAGGATAGAATACCTACCTAGTAAGGGGGGTATGGGAAATGCATGTAAAGTATTTAATAAGTGCTCAATAAAATAAAACCATTGATTTATCTCATCATAGCCTGTGCATATTTCTATCTCTGTGCTTAAAGAATTCTAATGATTTATGTATGTGCCTTGCTTAGTAGAATCAATTCCTTGAAGTTAAAGTTTGTGTCTTGTTCATCCTTGTAACCCCAGAGAAGATACTATTTAAGTATTTGTTGAAGAAATGAATGCAGGAACAAATCCAGCACAGGTGTTCCTGCATTCATATGGCACTCTGTCTTTCCCTTAAGGTACATTCTGACTTGTATTATAATACTACAAAAATGTGTCTTATCTTTCCTGTCAGACTCTAAGTTATCTGAGGTCAGGAATCACATCTTACCCAATAAATGTACATACATCAAATTAAATTTGAGGCTTTCAAATGTGGATTCTCGAATTAATGGTTTAGAATAGCAGGCTTCCTAGCCAAACATAGAAACAAATAAGTAAACTAAAAATCACTTTGTTCAATCATCTTTAACCCTTTTCTTTCCATTAGTGCTACACCCTGACCATGATGAACTTTTGTCTCCTCAAATAAGCTATGCTTTTCTCTGCCTCAGGGCTTTCTATGGGCTGCTCTCTGAGCCTGGAATACTGTCAAACAACCTAATACATCACTGTTTTCAGAAAGCCTTTCCTGGTCCACAGATCAGGCTTATTCATTCATAGTTACATTCCCACTGCAAGATGAGATGGTCCTCTGGGTCAGGGAGAGTGTCTCTTAGGTTTCTTCTGTTTTTCTCAGCCCCAAGCGTGTAGTCAACATTCAGTAAACTCTGTTGACTGACTAAATAAATAAAGCTCTGAGTTTCAGTCTTCCTCTTTTCTAAGACATTGGCAAATGCTAGACTGAAACGGATTACACGGGAGTTACTCCACCAGAATTTACTTAAGACTAAATTCCTAAAGACTGCATTGCAGCAACAGAAGCCAGGACAGTATTAGTGCTTTGCTCTATAGCAGAAAAGATTGGGGAAAATTAAAAGGTGACCTCTATGTTGACCAAAAGCATTGACTAGTGTAATTTAGCTTGGCATTAACATGGTAGTGGAACTTGTTCAGTAATTTAAATGAGCAGGGGAAGACTTGAGAACAACTATTCTGTTCACACAGTTGGTCAGCAGTCCATCTGGATCCAGAGCTCTGTCTTGCTGAACCCCTGATGAGCAGTGTTTATTTCTGGTGTGGAGTCTGTAGAACGGGTGCCACTCCTTCTAGGCATTGCTTGCCTGTAGAGGCTTTGCCATCCTTCCTCACTCATGTAATCTACCGAACTTTGGTACACCCCTCCCCACAAAACTCAATGAGGCTCATCATGACTGATACTTTGTACTCATGACAAAGACAAAACCCCAATCAACCCTCCACTAATTCAAGTGATTTTATGAAGTCTATAAAATAGGACCTTAATTTCTGATTTTCTATTCACTCAGTGGTGAATGAAAATAGTATTTAATAGTTTAATAGAGTCTCATAAGTGGACCTTCTCCAGGTACCTTGCATAAGGCCACTTTGGGAGAAGAGGTAGACCACTGGCCCAATGGTCCTCAGCCATAAGGACTGTGTTATGGTTTGGGTGTCTCCCCACCCAAATCTCATGTTGAATTGTAGTTCCTATAGTCCCCACATATCTTGGGAGGGACCCAATGGGAGGTAATTGAATCATGGGGGTGGTTATCTCCATGCTGTTCTTGTGATAGTGCGTGAGTTCTAACAAGATTTGATGGCTTCATAAGGGGGTTTTCCCCACCTTCACCATGCACTTCTCCTTGCTGCCACCATATGAAGAAGGATGTGTTTGCTTCCCTTTCTGCCATAATTGTAAGTTTCCTGAGGCCTCCCCAGCCATGCTGAACTGTGAGTCAATTAAACCTCTTTCCTTTATAAATTATCCAGTCTCAAGTATGTCTTTGTTAGCAGCATGAAAATGGCCTAATACCGTAAACTGGTACTGGTAGAGTGAGGTGTTGCTGTAAGGATACCCAAAAATGTGGAAGCAACTTTGGAACTGGGTAACAGTCAGAGGTTGGAACAGTTTATTCCAACTGTTCCAAGAAGACAGGAAAATGTGAGAAAGTTTGGAACTTCCTGGAGACTTGGAGGGCTCAGAAGACAGGAAGATGTGGGAAAGTTTGGAACTTCCTAGAGACTTGTTGAATGGATTTGACCAAAATGCTGGTAACAATTTGGACAACAAAGTCCAGGCTGAGGTAGTCTCAGATGGAGATGAGGAATTCGTTGGGAACTGGAGTAAAGGTCACTCTTGCTATGCAAAAAGACTGGTGGCATTTTGGTCTGGACCTGGAGATCTGTGGAACTTTGAACTTGAGAGACAATTTAGGGTATCTAGTGGAAGAAATTTCTAAGCAGCAAAGTGTACAAGAGAAAGCAAAGCATAAAAGTTTGGAAAATTTGCAGCCTGACAATGTGACAGAAAAGAAAACCCCATTTTCTAGGGAGAAATTCAAGCCAGCTGCAGAAATTTGCTTAAGTAACAAGGAGCCAAAAGTTAATCACCAAGAAATGGGAAAAATGTATCCAGAGCCTGTCAGAGACCTTCATGGCAGCCCCTCCCATTACAGGCCTGGAGGCCTAGGAGGGAAAAATGGTTTCCTGGGTTGGCCCCAGCGACCCCCTGCTCTATGCAGCCTCAGGACATGATGCCCTGTGTCCCAGCTGCTTCAGCTCCAGCTGTGGCTAAAAGGAGCCAACATAGAGCTCAGGCTGTCACTTCAGAGGGTGCAAGCCCAAAGCCTTGGCAGCTTCCACATGGTGTTGAGCCTGTGGGTGCACAGAAATCAAGAATTGAGGTTTGGGAACCTCCGCCTAGATTTCAGAGGATGTATGGAAATGCCCAGATATCCAGGCAGAAGTTTGCGGCAGTGGCAGACCCCTCAGGGAGAATGTCTGCCAGGGCAGTGTGAAAGGAAAATGTGGGGTTGGATCCCTTACACAGAATCCCCACTGGGGCACTGCCTGGCGGAGCTGTGAGAAGATGGCCACCATCATGCAGACCCCAGAATGGTAGATCCACTGACAGCTTGCACCATGCACCTGGAAAAGCCACAGACACTCAACATCAGCCCATGAAAGCAGCTAAGAGAGGAGCTGTACCCTGCAAAGCCACAATGGTGGAGCTGCCCAAGGCCATTGGAGCCTACCTCTTGCATCAGCATGACATGGATGTGAGACAAGGAGTCAAAGGAGACCATTTTGGAACTTTAAGGTTTAATGACTGCCCTATTGGATTTCGGACTTGCATGGGGTCTGTGTCCTTTTGTTTTGGCCAATTTCTCCCATTCGGACTGGATGTATTTACCCAATCCCTGTACCCTCATTGTATATAGGAAATAACTAATTTGATTTTGATTTAACAGGCTTGTAGGTGGAAGGAACTTGCCTTGTTACAGATGAGACTTTGGACTTGGACTTTTGAGTTAAAGCTGGAATGTGTTAAGACTTTGGGGGACTGTTGGAAGGGCATGATTGTGTTTTTGAAATGTGAGGACATGAGATTTTGGAGCGGTCAGAGGTGGAATGACACGGTTTGGCTCTGTCCCCACCCAAATCTCATCTTGAATTGTAGTTCCCATAATCCTCACATGTTGTGGGAGGAACCTGATGAGAGGTAACTGAATCTTGGAGGCAGTTATCTCCATGCTATTCTCTTGATAGTAAGTGAGTTATCACGAAATCTGATGGTTTTGTAAGAGGCTTTGCTGCCACCCTTCACTCTGCACTTCTCCTTGTTGCCGCCATGTGAAGATGGACATATTTGCTTCCCCTTCTGCCATAATTGTACGTTTCCTGAGGCCTCCCCAGCCATGCTGGACTGTGAGTCAATTAAATCTCTTTCTTTTATAAATTACCCAGTCTCAAGTATGTCTTTATTAGCAGCGTGAGAACGGACTAATACAGACTGCCAGGCAGTTGGTCCCTCTGCCCAGTCAGCCACAAAGGCAGAGACAGCACAGCATACAGAGCAGGAGGCTGAATTGGAGGCCGCCAGGACAGATTCTCAGAAGTCGCCACCCTGCACTTTTCCTCATACCACCATGCCTGATGTGTCTGTTCCTGGCCGGCTGGCTCTGAGAGCCATTTCCTCTCCTTTCTCTGCAGTAAAGGACACTTGTAGACTCTATTTCCAAGTCCCCTGATGCAGCTGGCTTCTAGTTGGGTTTAGACAATGAAAGACAATGGCAGGAGATTGGAGCTCAAGAAAGGGAGCTACTAGTGCATTTTTCTCCTCTCTCTTCTCTGAATGATGCTCCCACACAGATTACCATAGTTCAGACATCCCTGATGAAAACAGTGCCAATGAATGTACACCTTTTAAGTGGAGGTGACTTAATGTCCCATGGGTAAACTTTTAATCAAAGGGAAATGTGACCATGTGGATATATTATTCCTCCTTTCTCTCTTAAATAGACAGTATAAAAACATTGTTAACGTTCTTTCTTCTAATGGTTCTGTAGTTTAAGGCAACCAACTAGATATTGCATCCTCACATTGGCCATTGTCTCTTCCCTGATCACTGCCCTGACCCTCTCTACTGATTCCTAATACAGAAGTATTAGCATGTAAGGTGTAATAGCACATAGGAGTAACCACATATAAGATCTCTGCCTCAAATGCTGCTTTCTTGGGAACCTGGGTGTGTTTGTTTCCTAGGGCTGGCGTAACAAAGTACCACAAACTAAGTGGCTTAAAACAATAGAAATTTATTCTCTCACAATTCAGGAGGCCAGGAATCTGAAACAAAGCTGTCTTCAGGTTGATTCTTTCCAGGAGCTCTGAGGAAGAGTCTGTTTCATGCTTATTTTCTAGTTTATGGTAGTTGCTGGCAATCCTTGGTGTTCCTTGGATTGTAGCTGCATCCCTCCAAGCTCTGCCTCTGTTATCACATGGTGTTCTTCCCTGTTTAGCTCTGTGCCTCTGTATGTGGCCTTCTTATAAGGACACCAGTTGTTGGATTTAGAGCCGATCGTCATCTAGTATGACCTAATCTTAACTAATTACATCTGCAAAGACCCTGCTCGCAAATAAGGGTGACTTCTGAGGTTCCAGGTAGTCATGAATTTGCCAGGGGGAAGAGGACACTCTTCAAATCAGTAGACTGGGCTACAACATTTGGAGACAAGAGTGAAATTATGGGAACCCCTAGCAAGGAATGGCATCCCAGCTACAAAGGCTGTGGTTACTACCTGTGGTTAGTCAGGATGAGGTTCAAGTGGAAGGTGAGTCATTGGAATATGCAGAATCTGGACTTTGATAACTGTAAGGATTGTGGAGTGGGTTGGCTTTCTTTAACTGTATTTGAAACATTGAAGGAAGAAAATGATAGGCTCAGAGTGGCCTACTGATGACACAAGGTACATTGTTAAAGCCAGAGCCTTTTTTACAGTTGTCAAGTAGACTCTCAACTCCTGAAGCAGCAGGGTGGATTGTGCTGGAAAATCAGGCCCAGGATCAAATTGTAGCATGACAGAGCTGAGTGCACAGCCTCCATAGATCCTCTGTGTCAAGGTCAAGGCAGTGATCAGAAGAAAATGGGACACTGAAACCTGGGATGGGGGTCCTTTAGATAACAGAGTCTGAGAACTTTGAATACCCAGCCTGGGGAAAGCAGTGCTATTCCCCTTGCCAGAGAAAAGCAATTTCACCTTCCATGAAGATCACACAAAAACATATCTGAGGCAGGCACTTCATAAAACAATGTTTGCTTTCCTCAATATCTTCCCTCATTACCTCCAGATTGATAACTAGGATAAGCCCAAGAGGAGGAGTGCTGAAATAAAATAGTTTGCTTGCTAAAAACTATTGTAGGACATCAACAATATAAATCAGTAGAAATTAGGGCAATGCATGTGAAAGAAAAATGTGAAGGTGTTGTATAAATGGAGACGAGGCAAAATATTAATGTATGATAGGGCACAATTTATTGACATGTTGATACTTATCATGCTTGAGACTCAAGTTCTGGCAAGAGCTTCTGGAGCAAATCTTAATAGCTGGTTGGGAGGGCTCCTTGAATCTTGGGTATGATGGTCACTGTCTTAGTTCATTTTGTATTGCTATAACATAATACTACAGATTGGGTAATTTATAAAGAAAAGAAATGAATGAATTCAAAAGAGCTCCAGAAGGCCAGGCGTGGTGGCTCATGCCTATAATCCCAGCACATTTGGAGGCCCAAGTTGGGTAGATTGCTGGAGGCCGGGAGTTCAAGACCAGCCTAGCCAAGATGGCAAAAACCCATCTGTACTAAAAATACAAAAATTAGCTGGGCATGGTGGCACATGCCTGTAATCCGAGCTTCTTGTGTGGCTGAGGCACGAGAATTGCTTGAACCCGGGAGGCAGAGCTTGCAGTGAACTGAGATTGTGCCACTGCACTCCAGCCTAGGTAACAGAGCAAGACTCCGTCTCAAAAAAAAAAAATTGAACTCCAGACTGGGAGTTGAGAGACCTGGTCCCATCTAACTTGTGTGTAATTTTGTACAATTCGCTTCCCCCACTGGACCTCAGTTTTCTTCTATGAAAAATCACAAAGGAGGATTTAGTTATGCCTCAATTCCTTTTCAGCTCTAGAAAGTAAAGAAAGGCAAATGGCAAGAGATTTTGCAATAATGAAACCTTAAAACAGGTGACTCTTCTATCTGTGGTTTGCTTTACTATAGAGAAATTTAAAATGTGACTAAAAGAAAACATTCCTTTATGGTGTTCTCTAATCCCATGGGAAGTCTTTTATGAACAAGTAGTCCAAATGACTTAGTCTCATGCTATCTCCATGATGTTATCAAGCAGTTTTAATAGCAATAATGCCTCCCTTTATCTATATACATTCTTGAACAATTATTAAGTATTTGTGGGAGTTACAAAGGAGCCACAATGGTAGGTAGGCATGCAAACCTGGCAAATAGAGCCCAAGACAGCTCTCAGTCTCCAGGGAATGGTAGACAAGCCACCACAGAGACTCTGTGCTGTCTGTTCCCCTGAGCTGCAGAGAGCAGACAATGGACCTAAGGAGCCCTCAGGGGTAAAGATGACTCGAAACATATAGACCAGTGACCAGAGACACTAAGATGTGTTCACAGTCATTGCAAAGATGCCAGAACAATGACAGGCATCAGCAACCAGAAATCACAGTGGACCTACAGACAGCTCAGAGGTGCCAACACAAGCCAGAGGAAGACCCTGAAGTAGGCACTTTCATCCAGAGGTCATGAGGCAATGTAAGCTGCCCAGAAGTTACAGGTCACCTTGGAAAGGAAAGTGGGAAAGAATGACCCCTATAATTGGCAGAGGTGATCTATGATCTATGAAATGCTGAGAAAACCCTAAGTGAGTGAGTTTACTCAGGACTGGTAGATAAGCAATTAAATTATGCTGCAGAAAACTAAAGAAATGACAACTTTGTGGAAAGAAGCCATGTGTAAATGCAAATGAAGACATTTACATGTAAACTCTACATTATATGGTACACAGTTATTAAAATACTGAGTATTTCAAAATTAAAAAGAGTGAAACATGCACTGCTTTGAAAGAATGGAAAATGCACTGAACATTGCCACTTGGATTTACCAAAGGCCTTTGATCTCTATGCTAGAAAAATGCATAATAGAGCACACATCTCTCTCTTCCCACTCACTTGCCCACCTTAATGTACTCTCACCCCCACAATCCCAAGGTCACTGCTTTTTCTCAGGCCATCACTGTGTCTACCTAATTGGTCCTCCTCAAGAGATTTCTAACAGCTTCCCCTGATTCTCTCTCTTTTGTTATTAGAGTACTTTCTTAAAACATAAACATCATTTTCCTGCCTAAACCTTGCTGATGGAAGGAGACACAATAAATGAACTGAGTGGCATCTGACCAGTAGAATACAATACAACCTCCACAAATCCAACTTGAGAGGAATATTTCATGACATTGGAAAGTGTTCATCTCTTTTACACTGCTGGTGGGAGTGTAAATTAGTTTAACCATTATGGAAGACAATGCAATGTGGCAATTCCTCAAAGACCTAGAGGCAGAAATACCATTTGACCCAGCAATCCCATTACTGGGCATATACCCAAAAGAATATAAATCATTCTATTATAAAGATACATACACGTGTATGTTCATTGCAGCACAATTGCAAAGACATGGAATCAACCTAAATGCCCACCCATGATAGACTGGATAAAGAAAATATGGCATATATACACCATGAAAAACTACATAGCCATAAAAAGGAATGAGATTATGTCCTTTGAAGGGATGTGAATGGAGCTGGAAGCCATTATCCTCAGCAAACGAATGCAGGAACAGAAAATCAAATACCACATATTCTCACTTATAAGTGGGAGCTGAGTGATGAGAACACATGGACACGTGGCAGGGAACAACACACAATGGGGCCTGTCAGAGGGTTCGGGTGGGGAGAGGGCGAGCATCAGGAAGAATAGCTAATGGATGCTGGGCTTAATACCCAGGCGATGGGATGGCCTGTGCAGCAAACCACCATAGTACACATTTACCTATGTAACAAACCTGCACATCCTGCACACGTACCCCTGAACTTAAAATTGAGGAAAAAAAAAGTGTTTATGATGAATGGGACAAGTCAGATTACAAGTGAGTATGTACAGTAGGATTTCAATTTTAAATGTTGTAAGTACGTTTTAAAATATGTGTATGTACTGAGAGAATGTTTTTGAAACACAGTAGGATTCTTGCGTTTCTGTTTATTTGTCATGTCTGTAGTTAGCCTGAGTTGGGGATGGGGGTAGGCACCTAAGATTGGACCTATTGTAGCAGTGGTTCTCTAACTTTTTTTTTTTTAATCTCAGAACCTCTTCACAACTCTTGAAAATTGTTGAGGGCCTCAATAATTTCTAGTATTTTAACTACTGAGAGATATTTGCTTATGTGTATTATATCTATTAAAACTTACCACATTAGAAATTAAAACTGAAAAAAATTTAAAATATTTATCAACATACCTAAAATAATAATAAATCAACTAAATTAACATAAATTACATATTTTGTGATATAATATTTTAACCCACAAAAAAATGAGTAAGAAAAGAGTTATTGTTTATATTTTTGCAAATCTAATGTTTGACTTAATGGAAGACAACTGTATTCTCATCATATCAATGGAAGACAACTGGATTCTCATCATATCTGTTTATAGAATCCATTGTGATATGTTGTTTTGATTAAAGTATGGGGGAACAAATCTACTCTCACACAGCTTGGAGCTGGAAAAAGAAGTATTTTAATAGCCTTTTCAGCTAATTGTGAATATTTTTCTTTGATGCTACACCAAAACTCAAAAAGCAATGTTTCTTAAATGCTAGTTACAATATGCAATTTGAAACCATATAACTGAATGTTTATACTATTACATTGAAGTCCATCTATCTCACACTCTGAAAGGATCTTTTATTCGTGCGTGATTTTGAACACAGTGCATTTATCGTTTGGGAGAATATTAGTTTTTCTGAGTTATGTAGATTTTCCAAATGTTGGCAGATTTTATATAACATCAAAAAGTCACATCGGTTACCATCATCATAAATCTCATTTTTAAAAAAAAGTCTTTAATTATTGGGAAGCCATCAAGTTCATGGAGTTTTTCACACTTCTAAATTTTGGTTGAAAGCTCAAATTTTACTATTAGCAACAAATACTTTCAGTTGTTATCCTGGAAATGACAGGGTCACATCATTGATAAAATGTCCACCAAATATGCAAGTCTGAATAATCAGTATGTTTGTTTATTAGTATTGTTCTTTTAAGTAAGAATGATATTCCTTGGGGGAAAAAAAGCTGCTAGTTCAGCTCACAACTCAAATAATGGCATAGGTGTCTTTCCTAAAACAACCATCATGCTTCAATATGAATCGGGAGTACTTCATTTGTACTTCACTTGCCACACAGACTATAAAAAAAGATGAGTAATCAAAAGTTAATATTTCACTTTGGGAGGCCGAGGCGGGTGGATCACGAGGTCAGGAGATCGAGACCACGGTGAAACCCCGTCTCTACTAAAAATACAAAAATAAGCCGGGCGTGGTGGTGGGCGCCTGTAGTCCCAGCTACTCGGGAGGCTGAGGCAGGAGAATGGCGTGAACCCGGGAGGCGGAGCTTGCAGTGAGCCGAGATCAAGCCACTGCACTCCAGCCTGGGCGACAGAACGAGACTCCGTCTCAAAAAAAAAAAAAAAAAAAAAAAAAAGTTAAGATTTAATATAATTAATAATTGTATTGCTTTACCAAGGATGTTCTTAAGTGAAACTAGGAGGTTATTCGTGTCTTGACTTTTTTTGTCTTTTGGGGTTTAGGGTGTCTGTGTGTATGTGTGTGTGTTTACTCTAAGCGTGTGGTGTTTAAGAATGCAATGACTTCTAGTAGAATTCAGTGTTACCACCTTGATTAGTGCTAAGGAGCCAGCAGTTTTGTCTACACCACTTTCGCATCATCAGCGCAAGTGCCACACAGTAAAAAGGGGAAATAACTTCTCAGTCCTTTTTTGAAAATAGTTTTGATCTCATGGACCCCCTGAAAATGTCTCAGAGACTCCCAGGAATCTGTGAAGCAATAGAAACCACTATAGAAAGTAGTCATTAATGTGAATAAATTTATAAGACTAAAAAGACATGTGTTCAGTGTTACCAGTGGTTATCTCTGGGTAATGGAATTATGCATGGTTTCTATATTTTCAGGCTTATCTGAATGTTATTAATTTTTTTGTAGTAATAATTATTTTAATAATAAGAAAATATGTGGTTATTTCCTGAAAATTACTGTTCACATTTCTGACCCTGGTTGAAAAATGCTCCTCTTCCTGCTGACTCTACTTCACCTCCTCATCTTCCTCTCCCGAAATCCCCCCACCAAGTGACTCACTGCTTCCCATATGGAAAGCTCGCTCAGGGTTTTTGAAGAGTTCCAGCAAGATATGCACACTTAACAGTAAATGGAGAAATGACCTCTATAGCAAAGGGTAGGTCGAAGCTCACAGAACAATTTGTATTCCCCCCAAAATATCTTCGCATAATAAAGGGGGCATTAGTCACTTTCACAAGCTTATCTGGTTAGCTAATATTTGAAAGAGCAAAATTACAGAATAATAAAAGATGAATTTAGCAACCTTTTTGAGCTGCACTGTTTAATACAGTTCCACTTAGCCACGTGTGGCTGCTGAGTTGAGTACCTGAAACGGGGCTAGTGCAACTGAGAAATTGAATGTTTAATTTTATTAATTTTAATGAGTTTAAAACTAAAAATTGCTACTCATTTCAATTATTAGAAAATTTTTAAGTATGTTTATATATCTACTTTTTCAACCATAAATTTTATGACATCTGAATACAAATCAAGTATTTCCAATGAAAACTTAGCATCCAAATGGAGAGATGTTGTAAACATAAATTATAAATTTCATACAGTAAGATTAAAAGTAAAGTATTTCACTTCTAATTTTTTATATTGATTATATATTAAAATGATAATATTTGAGACATTGATTAAACAAAATACAGCATTAAAATTAATTTTACCTGTTTGTCTTAACTTCTTAAATGTAGCAAGTAGAAAATTTTAATTACATATGTGATTCACAGTGTATTTCTGTTGGACAATGTTGCCTTCAAGTTTTATGTGGTAGAATTAGACCAAAAATAATTTTGTTTGCTATACTGCATATTTTCTACTTTTGACTGTTACTATAGATCTACTTAAAATTCTTCTAAATCTTAACTGGAAATAGTATTCTTCTTCTTCTCAAAGATCGTTTCTCATAAGTACTGTAACCCCTTAGCAACCTAACAAGGTATTTGTAGTGTGTGAAAAGATTAAATACTTATGACAAGTATGTACTTATGAGAGCTACCATTATGTTATTGCAATACAGCTGCAACTATGTCTCTTTAAATCTAGAAAGTTCTGTCTTTCTTTTAAAACCCAGGCTGGTGGAAAGTGGCTCCAGACATTGAGTACTTTTGTCTTAAAGCTAACAGTACTTTTATTTTCTATTTGCCATTATGACTTGGACCACTTTGTCTTGGCTCTGTGGCAAAGGATTGGACAATTCAAATTTTCCAGAGGTCCCTTTTCTTAATTCTTAACAAAGCCATAGCAAATGCTTCTGTCTCTTACTTACAGCCATGGTTTTTGCCTTTCAATGAGAAAGTAAAACTGAGAATAGTTTCCAGAGCTTTCAGAACTTTTTCCATTGAAATGCAAACACCCCCCTGGCGCCTCTGAAAATTCTGAGAAATTGCTGGGTTTTGGCGATGTTTCCAGAAAACCTGGCTTTCTTCTGTTCATGGCTGGTTTAAGTTCTTCCCTTTCCAAGTACGTTCGACTGAAGTCAGTGGTTGACTGTCTCTTGCAGGGCAAACTCCCAACTCGAACGCTAAACAAAGAGTAACTTTTTCATTCCAAATTTGGAATTGTTACCAGTAAACCTCTGAACCCTACCTTTGTTACATCTCCTCTCCAAATGTGATTTAGTTTCTCGACATGTACCCTTCTCCTTAACCCTGTCCATGACTTACCACAGCCCTGTAGGAAGCTTACATAATGACAAGGTACACACAAAAATCAGTGTGTATTGTAAAGATAATGGCAGACATTGTCTTGGATTCTCTAATGTAGCCATCCTAACTGGTCTAAAAATTATCCATCCGCATTTTAAAATATTTTATGCAACCCATGCTCTCTAACCCAAAGCATCAGTGTAACATATAATAAAGCCACCAATCTTTTCTATCTTCATTTCCTCAATAGGATAAGTAATCTGAATGGGTAAACTAAGAAAGCAATTGCCAAGTGTTCAATTAACACATCACCAGATTCTGATCTTAGAATCAGCTCAGATATGTCTTCCTTACTTATTGTCTATAATACATAACCTTGATACTGTAGTGCCACCATACACTGGTAACCTGAAAGATGATGCATTCCCCACTGTTTCACATGAGCTCATCTTTTGGGGAGGAATCGTGTCTGGTTTTACTTTCGTTGTTCATAAATTAAACTCAGTGAATATTTATTTAATAACTATGTGACCTAAGAAAAAACTTATCTCATGGCTCCCAGCAAATTCATGCTCAGACAGAAAAGAAGCTCTATCTCATCTGGAGTGGAGCTAACAGTGGCTAACACATGTGGAAGAAGAGCAAGTGAAAACTAAGAAGGAATAAACTGTCCTCTATTACTTGCTCTGCAAATCTGGTAAATCATCTGCAATCTCCATACCCACAAAATATCATATATTCAAATATCATAATACACCCCAAATAAAAATTCTTATCAAAAATTAAGTATAAAATTCAAGTTAAAAACACAACTGTCAGCTGGGCACAATGGCTCATGCCTGTAATCCTAGAACTTTGGGAGGACAAGGCGGGCAGAGCACCTGAGGTCAGGAGTTCGAGACCAGCCTGGCCAACATGGTGAAACCCCCATCTCTACTAAAAATATGAAAATTAGTCGGCGTGGTGGCACATACCTGTAATCCCAGCTACTTGAGAGGCTGAGGCAGGAGAATCGCTTGAACCCGGGAGATGGAGATTGCAGTGAGCCAGGATCGTGCCACTGTATTCCAGCCTGGGCAACAGGGTGAGACACCATCTCAAAAAAAAAAACAAAACAAAAAAAAACTGTCTAATTTAGTAATAAACTTCTCTAAGACTCTGTTTCATCTTCTGAGAAGTAGAGTCTTACTATTATTTCAGTGATTCTACAAATCAGTCATGGGCCTTTACTTACTGAAGTCTTAAGTAAAGCTTTGCAAGCCTATGACCCAAAATAAAGTCAAAATATCAGTACTCATCTTTAACAATAAAATTTACATATACAGGTAATTGTGATTTTCTCAAAAAGGAAAACATTTTAAAAACCAGGTGGCAGAAGAGACTGAAATACAAAACAACTTTTAGCCATGAGACTATAACTACAATTCACATCTAGACACTAAGAGGGCTCAGGCACAGTACTGGCCATGCAGTATATGCTCAAGACATTTTTCTCAAGTTATGTAAATATATTCTAGAGCACTCCCTGAGAACCAAAGTAGCAGTTCTGCAAAACTGCTGATCAGCCAGCACATCTTCTGGATGTTATGAGAACAAGAAGAAAATGGCATCACCCATGTGAGCCATATTGACCTTGACCTTGTGACCAGGAAAGGCACTGTCTTGGACCTCTCCTCTCAGCCATATATCCCACCAGCTCTCCATTCCACTCCATGGCTGTCCAAGATGTATTTTTCTGAACATATTTTATACACTTTTGCAGGCTCCAGGAGATGAGATTTTTTGGGAGGGGCTCAAACTTGAGGCTGTAACTAAAGTTCTAGTATTAATAGCAAGGTTCCTAAATAGGATTTTAAATAGCAATAAATTTAACAATTGAAAGTACTTTAAAACTGTAATTCACAAGGCAAAATTTGTTGATTGGAAACTCTCATTAGCAAAATAGATTTCTCTTTTATTATGGACACATAAGATTTCTCTTTTATTATGGACACAAATGCACACACACACATACACACACACACACAGTCTTTCCATATTAAGCTAATAATACAAACATGAGGACTGGGGAGATGTGTGGACGTTATCAATTATGAATGTTTATATTCTAAGAAATGCAATGAACTTACTATTTATCACTAGAAGAAAAAAATGCATTTTTCTTACAGTTGAGGGATTGCTGAGGGAAGTATAACATATTAGTTAGAAAATAATTTAAACTGGAAAATAAGATTTTGAGTAGGTGACATACATATGCAGAAAATGGAGATTCTTTAAAAGCAATTTGCTCAATCCTTAGAACTTTCCAAGTGACCAAATTTACAAAGGAATCAGTACAATCACTTTACTGGGGAAAAGAATACTGGAAAGAGAATCTTCTCAGTTGAATCATAAATTCACTCAATTTTTACTACTCTGCCGCCTGTCTCCTATTTAGAATGCCATTCTGGGATTCTAATGTATGGCACAGAAAAGTACTGAGGACCACAGGATCCAGGGTGGCAGAGGCAGGGAGACATAGGGAGAGAGCTAGGCTTAGCAACACACTGCTTTAAATTAGCTCTTCTGTTACGTAGTAAACATCGAGATGTGTCAGTATGCAAAGAAACAAAATGAAAAATTGCTTTCAAAGGCCTCAGAATCGTCCTTGCTTTGAGGCATTGGAAAAAAGTTGATTTCAATAATTGAAAGAGAGTTTTGCAGTGCATGAACAATCAGCTCCCCAGAAGGTCCTGTCTACACAGCTCACTGACTTCCACGATGTCCGAGTTAAGATTGTTCTATACCCACAAACTAGCCAAGAAGACTAAAATCTGTGTCTCCTTTTCCAGGTTCCATTAAACATGTGAAATGTAAAAGTTAGTAATTGAAATGCCAGTTAAGATCTGGAAATGATTGCTTCCCAGATATGGCCATATTACCAAATGAAAAATTAGCCCAGTCTGGGTTGAAGTTTTTTCACTTGATAAAGGAAACCCTGTCACAGACACCCATACTTTTCCACCACAGCACAGGTAGACAAATCATTTTGTTTAAAAATCTATTTTTTCAATTCTAAATAATGGAATTAAGTTCTCATTTATTTTTCTACCAGTGGAAGCCCAACTCAAAACAAAATTTTAAAATACTAAGTTTGATTTCACATCCCTAAAATCAGGAAGGGATGACCTTATTTATAACCCTGCTTCCAAACAAGGCCACGTGGAAAATATTCCACAACAGCCAAAATAATTCAATCAATTGTAATGACCTTTCAAGATGATCAGATCACTACATTTTATCTCAGTCATTCATTCTGGAATTGTCAAATCTTTTTGTTTGTTTCATTTTTAAAAATTTGTTTACCTTAAATGACAAATAAAAATTGTATATATTTATAGCATACAACATGATGTTTTGATATATTTATGTATTGTAGATTGGCAAAATTCAGCTATTTAACAAAGCCCTATCTCAAATACTTATCTTTTTTTGTAAAAAGAACACTTAAAATCTACTTTCTTAGCAATTGGCCATTTCCATGTCTTCTTTGGAGAAATATCTACTCAGATCCTTTGCCCATTTGTAAATCAGGTTATTTGATTTCCTGTTATTGAGTCATTTGATTTCCTTATATATTTTGGATATTGACCACTTATCAGATGTATGGTTTGCAAATATTTTCTCTCATTCCATAGGTTGTCTCTTCATTCTATTGATTATTTCCTTGCTTGGGCAGAAGCTTTTTAGTTTGACATAATCCCATTTCTTTATTTTTGCTTTTGTTGTCTGTGCCTTTCGGGTCATATCCAAAAAAATCACTGTCCAGATCAACATCATAGGGTTTTCCCTTATATTTTCTTCCATAGTTTTACATTTTCGGGTCATACATTTAAGTCTTTAATCCATTTTGAGTTGATTTTTGTGTATGTTGTGAGATGAGGGTCCATTTTTATTCTTCCACATGTGGATATCCAGTTTTTCCAGCACTGTTTGTTGAAGAGACTGTCCTTTTCTCATTAGGTAAGGAAAGTCTCATCTCTGGGCTGGGCAGGAGGCATGAGATCATAAGAGAATATGGGGAGTATTATCACCCCCCTCTCCTCCCCTGGATATTACAATCCATATTGCAGGGGGGTGGGCACCCCCCTGCAATATGTGGAGTAATATCACCCCCATATCGTGGATATTATGATCCACATCGCAGTGGGGTGGACATTCCCCGCGATATGGGGAGTAATATCATCCCCATCTTGCCCCCTGGATATTGCAATCCACATCGCAGGGGGGTGGGCACCCCCCACGATATGGGGAGTAATATCACCCCCCTCTCTTCCCTTGGATATTACGATCCACGGTGGACCGACAGCTTGTTTATGATATTGTGAGTAATACCATCTTCCCTTCTTGAAATTATGAACTATTTCCAGACAAGTGTACACCCTCTGCAGTATTGGCAGTAATATCGTCCTCTCCCCACCCT
Organism: Homo sapiens; assembly: GCF_000001405.40. NCBI lineage: Eukaryota > Metazoa > Chordata > Mammalia > Primates > Hominidae > Homo > Homo sapiens. Next base: position 26,889,504 of record NC_000018.10, on the reverse strand, counting down.
TGATATTAAGAACAATATCACAGGAGTGTTTTTACTCTCTGCGATATTAGGTGTCATATCATCCTCTCCCACCTTGAAATTAGGAACAATATCACTGGGTGCGTGTACACATTCTGTGATATTGAAAGTAATATCATCCTCTTCTATCGTGGATCATGGGAACAATATCACTAGGGGGTGTACACTTTCTGCGATATTGGGAGTAATATCATCCCCTCTGTCTTTGAATATTAAGGACAATCTCACAGGGGGTTGTACATTCCCTGAGAAATTGAGAATAATATTATCTTCTCCCCCCACCCCCCCGCTTATTAAAAAAAATCACAGAGTGGCTGTACACCTCCTGCGATATGGGGAGTAATATCATCTTCTCCCCTTCTGGATATTAGGAACAATATCACACGGGGGTGTACACTTTCTGCGATGTTGGGAATAATATCAACCTCCCGGCCTTTGAATATTAAGAGCAGTATCACAGGGTGGATGTACACCCCCTGCGATATTGGGAGTAATATCAGCCTCTCTCCTCCATGGACATTAGGAACAACATCCCAGGGTGGGTGTACATCTGTGCTATGAGGGGAGTAATATCATCCTCTCCCTTCCTGGATATTAGGAACAATATCACAGGGTGGGTGTACACATCCTGCGATACTTTAAGTATTATCATCCTCTCCCCCTCCGGATGCTAGGAACAGTATCACAGAAGAGGTGTACACTCCCTGCGATATTGGCAGTGATATCATTCTCTTCTTTTGTGAATATTAGGAGCAATATCACCGGGTGGCTGGACACCCCCTGCTCTATTTGGAGTAATTTCATACTCTGACCCGTGGATATTAGAATCAGTATCACAGGGCGGGTGTACACCTACTGCGATATTGAAACTAATATCATGCTCTCCTGCCCTGACTATTAGGAACAAAATCACAGTTGGGTGTAGACCCCGTGCGGTATTAGAAATGATAATAGTGATAATGTCATTAGTAATCACTAATTATTATTATTAATTATTGATAGCAACTAATACTGATTTCTAACATAATGGTATTATTAATTATTAATACTAATACTAGTTATTAATCAATATAAATTGCTAATGTTTTATTTACTATGGCTCTTATTGATGTTATTAACATTAATTTCATTGTAAGCACTTTAATTACTAATAGTAATGATTGATATTAATTAGCATCATTTTATTAATATTAATAATTGATATTAATTATTAATATTAATATTATTGTTCCTGATATCTGGGGGAGACGATGCTATAACTCCCAATGTCGCGGAAAGCTTACACCACCTGTATTGTTCTTAATAGCCAGCGGGTAGAGGATGACATTACTCAAAATATCACAGTGGGTGCACATCCCTTCTGTGATATTGTTCCTGATATCCGGGGGGGAGAGGATGATATCACTCCCAATATTGCAGGGGGCGTAGACCCCTCCTGTGATATTGTCTCTAATATCCAAAGGTGGAGAGGATGACATTTGCCCCAAATTCGCAGGAGGTGTACACCACCCCTGTGATATTGTTCCTAATATCCAGGGGGCAAGAGGATGATACTAGTCTCAGTATCACAGGAGGTGTACACTCCTTAGTGATATTGTTCCTAATATCCAGGGACGGAGAGGATGATATTACTCCCAATACACCAGGGGGTGTACACCCCTTCTGTGACATTGTTCCTAATAGCCAGCGGTGGAGAGGAAGATATTACTCCCAATACCGCAGGGGTATACACGCCACTCCACCCCCGTTATATTGTTCTGAATATCCAGAGTAGGAGAGAATGATATTACTCCCAATATCTCAGGGGGTGTACATCTTCCTGTGATATTGTTTCTTATATTCGGGGGGAAAAGATGGCATTACTCCTAATATCGCAGGGGTTGTACACACCTCCTGTGATATTATTCCTGATGTCCAGAAGGGGAGAGCATAATATTACCCTCAATATCGCAGGGGTTGTCCACCTTCCCTGTGATATTGTTCTTAATATCCATGATGGGAGAGGATGATATTCCTCCCAATATCGCAAGAAGTGTACAGCATCCTGTGATATAGTTCCTAATATCTAGGTGGGGAGAGGATGATATTACTGCCAATATTGCACAAGTGGTAAAACCCTTTCGAAGTTTTTCCTACAATTCGGGGGGAGAGGATGATATTACTCCCAACATGGAAGAAGGTGTACACCCCCTCCCCACCCCGTGAAATTGTTCCCAATATCCATGTTGGCAGACGATGATATTACGCCCAATATCGCAGGGGATGTACACCCACCTTGGGATATTGTTCCTAATATCGAGAGAGGGAGAGGATGATATTACTCCCAATATTGCAGGGGCTGTACACCCACCCAGTGATATTGTTCTTAATGTCCAGAAGGGAAGGGATATTATTACTCTAGATATTGTTCCTAATATCCAGGGGAAGAGAAATGATATGACTCACAATATGGCAGAGGTTGTACACCCCCTCCATAATATTGTTCCAAATATCCCGGGGAGATTAGAATGATATTACTCCCAATATCACAGGGGGTGTACACGACCCCTTTGATATTGTTTCTAATATCCAGGGAGGGAGAGGATATTACTCCCAATATCGCAAGGGGTGTACATCCCCCCCACCAACATTGTTCCTCATATTTAGTTGGGGAGAGGATGATAATGCTCTCAATATCTCAGAGGGTGTACACCCTTTCTTGGGATATTGTTTTGTAATATCAAGTGGGGGAGAGAATGATGTTACTACCAATATCGCAGGGGGTGTACACCCCCCTGTTATTCGGTTTTGAATATCCAGGTTGCGTGAGGATAATATTACTGCCAGTATCGCAGGGGTTGTACACCCCACCTATGATATTATTCCTAATATCCAGAAGAAGAGAGAATGATACTACTCCCAATAGCGCAGGAGGTGTACACACCCCTGTGATGTTGTTCCCAATATCCAGTGGGGGAAAGGATGATATTGCTGGCCACATCGCGGGGGGTGTAGACCACCTCTGTGATACTGTTTTTAATATCCAGGGGGAAGAGGATGACATTACTTCCAGTATCGCAGTGCGTGTACACCAACTATGTGGTATTGTTCTTAAAATCCACGGAGGGAGAGGATGTAATTACTGTCAATATCGCAAGGGGTGGACACCCTTTCTTTGATATTGTTCCTAAATTCAAGGGGGAGAGCGTGATATTAATCCCAATATCGCTGTATACACCCCTTTTTGATGTTGTTCCTAATATCCGGTGGGGGGGGCGAAGTCTCTATTACTGGCAATATCACAGGGTGTGTACACCACCCCTGTTATATTGTTTCTTATTTCCAGCAATGAAGAAATTAATATTACTCCCAAAATGGAATGGGCTGTACACCTCCCATGAGATATTGTTCCTAGTATCCAGGGGGGAAAGGATGATATTACTCCCAACGTTGCAGCGGGTGTGTAATCTGCCTGTGGTATTGTTCCTAATATCTAGGGGGAGTGAGGACGCTATTACACCCATTATCGCAGACGGTGTACACCGCCCTTGTGATACTGTTCTCAACATCCATGGGGGCAGAAAATAATGTTACTCCCAATATCGCAGGTTGTGTACACCCCCCCACCGTGATATTATTTCTGATATCCAGGTGAGGGGAGGATTATGTTACTCTCAATATCGCAAGTGCTGTACACACCTTTGATATTTTTCCTACTATTTACGGGGAGAGAGGATATTACTCCCAGTATCGAAGGAAGTGTACACGCCCCCTGTGACACCGCTCCTAATATCCAGGTTAAAAGAGGATGATATTACTCCCAATATCGCAGGGGGTGGGGTGTACCCTCCACCTGTGATATTCTTTCTAATATCGAGGGGAAGAGAGAATAATGTTACTCCCAATAGCGCAGGGGGTGTACACACCTTGTGAAATTGTTCCTAATATCCAGGGAAGGAGCCGATGATATTACTGGCCTGATCGCAGGGGGTGTACACCCTTCTGTGATATTGTTCCTAATATTCAGTGGAGAAGATGATAACATTAATTCTAATATCACAGAAGGTGTACAGCCCCCCTGTGATATAGTTCCTAACGTACAGGGACAAGAGAATAATATTACTCCCAATATCGCAGGGGCTGTACACCCCTTCTGTGATACGGTTCCTGCCATCCAGGGGGGTTGTGGATGATATTACTCCCAATAACGTAGGAAGTGTACAGCCACCCTGTGATTTTCTCCGTAATAACCACATAGGGAGAGGTGACGTTACTCCCAATATTGCAAGGGGTGTACACCACACCCGTGATATTGTTTCTTATATCCAGGAGGGAAGAAATTAGTATTACTACCAATATTGAAGGCATGGACACTCACCATGTGATACAGTTTTCAATATCCAGGTTGAAAGAAGATGCTATTACTCCCAATACAACAAGGGGTGTACACCCTGCCTGTGATATTGTTTCTTATATCCAGGAGTGGAGAAGATACTGTTACTCCGAATATTGAAGGGATGTACACCCCCATGTAATATTGTTCTCAATATCCAGGTTGAAAGAAGATGCTATTACTCCCAATATAACAAGGGATGTACACCCCGCTTGTGATATTATTGGTAAAATCTAGAAGAGGCGAGAACGATATTACTTCTAATAGAGCAAGGGGTGTACACCCCCCCCCGTGATATTGTACCTAATATCTACAAGAAGAGATGATGATATTATTCCCAATACCCCAGAAGGTGTACTTCCCCCTGTGATATTGTTCCTAAAAACTAGTGAGGGAGCGCATGATATTACTTCTGCTATGGCAATGGCTGTGCACCCCTGTGATATTGCTCATAATTTCCGGGGGGTACAGTAGGATGTTACTCCCAGTATAGCAATGAGTGTACACCCACCTTGTGGAAAATATGTCTCCCAATATTCAGGGAATCACAGGATGATATTACTCGAAATATCGCAAAAAGTGTACAGTCCTTTTGTGATATTGTTCCTAATATCCGGAGGGGGAGAGGATGACATTACTTTCAACATTGCAGGCTGTGTACACACACCCTGTGAAATTGTTCCTAATATCCAGGATGGGAGAGATGATATTACTCCCCATATAGAAGGAGGGTGAACACCCCCCATGACATGGGGAGTAATATTACCCCTTCTCCCTCTCTGGGTATTAGGGTCTATATCGCAGTGGGGTGGACACCCCCCGACATATGTGAAGTAATATCACCCCGTCTCTCCCACTGGGTATTACGGTCCACATCGCAGAAGGGTGGACACCCCCTGCGATATGGGGAGCAATATCGCCCCCGTCTCTCCTCCTGGTTATTACAATCCACATCGCAGGAGGCTGGACACCCTCCGCCATATGGGGAGTAATATCACCCCCCTCCACCCCACTGGGTATTATGATCCACATAGCAGGGTGGTGGACACCCCCCGCCATATGGGGAGTAATATCACCCCCCTCCCCTGGCTGGGTATTACGATCGACATCGCAGTGGGGTGGACACCCCCCAAGATATGGGAAGGCAGGCAAAGTGATTCCAAAGCTTGGTAAAGGTTCTAGAAATTTGTATTCAACTGCTTCAGTGTATACATCTTGGCTTCTTTGTCAAAAAACAATGGATTGTAATGTGCAGATTTATTTCTGTGCCCTCCTGTCTGTTCCATTAGTCTGTACATCAATTTTTACGCCAGTACTATGCTGCTTTGATTACTATAGCTTTGTAGTATATTATGAAGTCAGGTAATGAGATGCCTCCAGCTTTGTTCTTTTTTGCATAAGATTACTTTGGCTATTCAGAGTTTTCTGTAGTTCCGTGAAAATTTTAGAATTTTTTTTTATTTCTAGGAAAAATGTCATTGAAATTTTGATAGGGATTTCATTAAATCAATAGATCATTTTGGGTAGTATGGACATTATAACAATATTAATTTTGGAACTGTCAAATCTTTAAAGCTGAATTTCTCATACTGAACTTCATCCATGTTCAGTATACACTGAAGCAGTTGAATACAAATTTCTAGAACCTTTACTAAGCTTTGGAATGACTCTGCCTGCCTTTCCATCTTACACAGCTTGCTGATTCTCTTATGATCACATGCCTCCTGCCCAGCCCAAAGATGATCCATTTAAAGACTTAAGAACAGAAACTGGCATATAGTAAGAGCTCAAAAAAATTTTTTAGTGATTATGATGATGATAATTAGCCCAGGCAGCAAGGTCAGCCACTTCAATATTTAAGTGGGTACTGTGCCAAGCTTGACCCAGTTCCCTCCACCCGTTCATCCTGCTCCTCCTCCCAACTGCAGAGCCTTACTAAGGAAAACTATAGAATCTTGATGACCTCCCTACACATCCATGCTAGCTTCAAATGTGCTGCTAGCTGACCAAAACCTTATTATTTATATTACGTGCCTTCCATAGCACATTTTCCAAACAAATTACTCCAAATCTCTATGTTAAATCTTCTCCACCTGTAGTCTCTCTCCCACCTGATTCCTGCAGGAATTTATTTTCATGCTATTTTATTAACACCAGAGCCTTCCTTAATATATGAAAGATAGAGTTTGTTCAATACATATGTATCTGATTGAAACCAAAACCAACAATACTTGGTGTCATTTCAATGCTAACTTCCATTTTCTTTTTTCCTGAAGAATTGGTGAAAATCTTAGCCCAGTGCAAGTAAGGGAACATTTCTGTGCACAGCTCATGCAGGGCCTTTTTGTTGTCTTGTTTCCACTCCTGTTGCTGTTCTTCCTCTGTGTTCTACATTGTCCTGTTCCAATTCAGTCTGTATCAAAATGGCCACAGTGAGGATTCTATGAATCTAGTCTTTGGTACTAACCGCACACAGCACTCTATCTCTTGGTCTGCTTGTTAAAGTTTCTTATTTATTTATTTATTTTTCTTTTATGAGACAGGATCTTGCTCTGTCACCCAGGCTGGAGTGCAGTGGTACCATCATAGCTCATTGTAGCCTCAAACTCCTGGGCTCAAGGGATTCTTCCACCTCAGAGTAGCTATGACTACAGGCGTGCACTACCACGCCCAGTTAATTTTTTTTTTTTTTTCAGTAGAGACGAGGTATCAAACTCCTGAGCTCGAGGGATCCTGCCTTGGGCTTCCAAAGTGCTGGGATTGCAGGTGTTACCCACCACATCCAGCCCCCATTTTAAATAAAGTCTTCCTCACAATATTTGCACAGCTGTGGATAATTCTAATTCCTACTACAAAGTGGTAAGAATGTGCAGAGGATGGAACTTGCAGGGCATGTTCTCTTTGAACTGTCTCTCCTGTTCCCTGAGAATTGCTTCTCTCTCTTTTGCTCAGTTCTCTGAGTCTGCAGTAATCAAGTTCTTTCCTAATATTTACATGACTGGGTCCCTCCCTTTTCTTTCCACCCATGGCTTTACTCTGCAGCACAAGGAGCCTAGCATATGTGTGTGTGGACACCTCAGTCCTAGGTCCACACACACACACACCTGCTAACTATTGGCCACCAGCTGTCTATTGGCCGTCACTGGAACCTAAGGTTGCAGACAGAGGCAATGTAGTTCAGGTGGGGAGAGGGAAGCAAAAGAAGAGACAGGTCCAGTCTCTAAGAGCAGAGAATTCCAGAGTCCTAGTTATGGAGAGTGTGGGTGTGCCCAAGAAGGAAGGTGGTGTATCCTGGGAAGGAACAGAGCATCCTCAAACAGGAACCCAGGGCAGGGGTCCCGAGTGCCTAGGTCTAAGGCCAGGACTACTGCTGCCTTCATCCTTCGCTGCTCTGCAGGGGACGTACTAACAGACAGCAGAGCCCAAGTCACCACTTGAAAAATGTAAAACCTCTATTCTGGAGTAATTAATTCTCTAATGATTTCTGTGATGTCCTATCCAACATTCCTTGATCTGTACTGCCTGAGGGGCTAACCACCTTTAACCACCTTCAAATGAGATGCACACAAATCTTCATCTCCATCTTAATATAAGGCATTTCCTCCTGAATCCTCGTTTTCTTTCCTCCTTTCTCAAAAACAGTGTCATTCCTCATCATGGAGGCAGCATATGGGCCACTGATGGTATGCAAGATGCCCTTAGGTGATACATGGAATGGATTTTCCTGAAAGTATATATATTGAATTTAATATGCATTTTAAAAATATAACTAGCGTGTCAAACCTGTGGTATTGTTGCATAGGTTGATGCTAAGTAAAAATCAGAGTTGAATATGTGTGTTGATACACACACACACACGTGTACATATACATACACACAAAAAAATAATAGTAAGGAGCTGACTTCAATATGGCAGAAATGGTGAAGGTGGCACAGAAATGAAAGCAGTTTGGAAAATGCTGTGGAAGGAGAGCTCATTAGGAAAAGCTAATTCAGACACGTTCCTCGTCCTAGGTCTTCCAGTTCACAACTGTACAAATCTGGCCCCTATGAAATCAATCTTCCTCATCTGCGTATCTCAAAGCCATTAGTAGGATCAAATGAAAAATATACAGAAATGCTATAATGTGGTTCTCCAAGGCTGACTTCTCTGTAATCCCAGTTCTCACATTTTCTAGATTCTGGCTTTCTCAGCTGTACCTTTCTATTCAATCATTTTGTTTTTTTCCTATCCACTGCTATTGGCTCATTCTCTCCCTCTAACTTGATTCTAGTATCCTAGAAATAACTAGGATACTAGATTCCAGTATCCTAGAAATAAAGGCCTCTCCCTTATTTTTAGTGAAGCTCACTAAAACAGGGTGGTTTAAACAACAGCTATTTATTTCTCACAGCTCTGGAGGCTGGAAGTTCAGGACTAAGGTACCAGCAGGATTTATTTCTGGTGAGACCTCTCCTCCTAGCTTGTGGATGGCTGCTTTCTCAGTGTGGAGAGAGAGAGAGAGAGAGCGCACATACTCCAGTGTCTCTTCCTCTTCTAATAAGGACACCAGCCCTTTTGGATTAGGGCCCCACCTGTATGATGTCATTTAATCCTCATTATTTATTTAAGGTAAATACAGTCATATTGGGGGTTAAGGCTTCAACATATAAATTTGGGGGGAATGCAATTCAGCCCATAACACTTCCCCTAACCTTACTTCCTTCATTGGTGCACCAGCCAAACTAATAAAGTGATGGACATACACTAAAGATTTTCAACCAGAGGTTCAGTTATCTATAACGCTTTTCAAAATTACAGAATCCCAGGCCCCATTCCAGATCTACTGAATGAGAAAACTGCAAATGGTGCCAGGGTTAGTGATTTGTACATCTGTGCAGGTGAACTGATGTGCATACCTGGTTGAGAACCACTGAGCTGTATATATTATGCTTCACCTTCAACCTCGATTTCTTCACTATGCACTTTCTCCTCACTCCGTGATTTTTATCTTTATTCAACTGCAACAGTTCTTTTTAAAACCACAGAATTATTTCAAAATCACATGGCATTTAAAAAATTTTTATTCCCTTTAATGTGTTTGCAACTGTTGGACCCCAGGGTATCCCTATTTTATGAACTTCCCTCTTTTTGTTTCCATAGCATTGCAGCCACATGAATTTCAACTCTAACCCATGTGTTTTTCAGGGTCCTTCATAGGCTCTTATTTTCCCATTCCCGGAGACATTTTTTTCTTCTTTCTCCCATAGTGTCTAATTCGTTCCAATGACTTCAAACACTATTTCTGTGAAAATAATTCTAAAATCTTTAGACCACTCTTGAGAGCACTTTTCCCCATTAATGACTTCCAGATACATATCTCAGGAAGGTCCCATTCGTTCCTCACACCCAGTATATTTATTATTCATCAAATATTAAGGGACATGGATTCCAGGCCCTGTACCAGATTCTGGGGGTGTAAGGTGAAACTCAGACACAATCTCGCCATCTGAAAGCTAGAACTCAGAGAAGAAATGTAAGCCAGCAACTTCAATGCACCATAAGACAATACCACAAGGGAGGAAGCTCAGGGCACCAAGGGGCACAGCTAATCCAGATTTGGAAGTCAGGAAAGGCTTCTGGGAAAGAGCAGTATCTAAGTTGAGTCTTAAAATATGAGTAGGAGTCAGTGAAAAAAAAAAGAAGAAAGAGAAGAATAAATCCTAGTGACCATTTATCAATTCTGAATGAAGTAACATCCAATTATTCTTTGGCTTGAGCAAGTCCCTTGGGTACAGGCTTAGGGGTACCTTCCAGAGCTAAAGGATACAAACAACCCATTCCTCAGTATGGCAAAGGCAGGGGCTGGGTGTGCCCATTACTTAGCCATGGCCAGTTAAGTAACCTTTCCCAGGACTTTTGCTATAAGCAAAGCAAGAACGTGGAACAAGTGTATTTTTTTTCACATACAAAGACCTAGAGAGGAAGGAAAATAAACCTGGAGAGTGGTACTGTGGGAAAGGGAAGTGAGTGTTTCCAAAAAGGGGTATATTGTGGTTAAGGCCTCTGGATCTGGGGTCATGGAGAGCTGACCTTGAGACTCTATACTTCTACTTGTGACCTGTATGACCTCGGGCAGTTTTCTCAGTTTTCTAAATTATAAGATGGAATAACAATCCTAGCTATATCACCAGGTTACCGTGAGGATTAAATGAGCTATTTCATTTAAAGCACTTAGCAGAATTCATGGCACAGATTGTGATGAACAAAGTGGTCAGAGGGGTCAGATGCTGCAGAAGGGTCAAGGAAGGTAAGGACTGGAGCATGTCTCCTGGAGTCACATGACAGGAAAGGCCCTTGGAACCTAAAAAGAGCAGTTTACAGAAACAGATAAGGGAATAAATGAGATTGGAATGGGTGTGAAAGCATGGAAGACGGGAAAAGCAGAGACAATAAGTGGAGATGATTCTTTAAAGACATTTGGCTGTAAAGGGAAAATAGATTTAATGGTCTTTGGTGAGTAACTTGGAGTTACCTTTAAAGTTTTTTTCTAAGTTGGGAGACATATCAGCATGCTTAAAAGATACAGACACAATATGAATTAGAGAATTAAGATACAAAAAAAGGAGACAATCAATTAGATCAGTGGGTCTCAAAGGGTGGCCTACATACCTCTAGGGGTCCCAAAAACCTTTTCAGGGAGGCTGAGAGATCAAAACTGTATTCATAATAATAATAATAAGATAGCATTTGCCTTTTTCACCATGTGACTTTTGTATTATCAGTGCAAAAGCAATGGTGGGTGTATTAGTCCATTTTGTGCTGCTATAATAGAACATCTGAGACTGGGTAATTTATAAAGAAGAGAGATTTTTTTTCTTGCAGTTCTGGAGTCTGGGAAGTCCAAGATCAAGGGGCTTGCATCTGCCAAGGGCCCTTTTGTTATATCATCCCATGGAGGAAGACTGAAGAGTAAAAAAACACAAGACAGAGCAAGAGGAACGGAGTCAAACTCATCCTTTTATCAGGAATCCACTCCCACAATAACTCACCCACTCCCTCGATATTGGCATTAATTCATTTTCTGCCCTTATGACCTAATCACCCCTTAAAGGCTCCACTTCTCCACACTGTTGCACTGGGGATTAAGTTTCCAGCACATGAATTTGGGGGGACACATTCAAACCATAGCAATGGATAAAACTGCTGGCCCCATGGCATGAATCAAGGTAGAGCCATCACACCATCATGGCGGTCATTATCCTCTTCACCACCACACACAGTAAGATCAACACCAGTTTCACTTAAGAAAGTTCTTGGTGACACACACAAATTTTAATCTTATTATATCTTGATTCACAGTCCATATCTTTTTAGCATTCAATGTGGCAAAATGGAAAGTGCATATAAAGCACTTCTCCTGTAGACCAAGTGTGATGGCTTTTTTTTTGGGTCTATATAGTTGTGAGCTGAACTAACCCCTTTTTTCATGAAATACTATTTTTACTTCAAAGAATGGCTAACAAACCATGGCTATTCAAATTGAATGTTTGGAAGATATTTTCTTAAAGTAAGCAAAATGAGCCTGTCACCTCAAGAAAAACTGATGGAATTTGTTTCCAATATTAATATTTGAGCTTTTAAGCAAAAATTATAATTTTGGAAAATTTGTATCAGCCTCATGAGTTTGACAGCTCTCAATGCTTAAATGCTCTGATGTCATTGGTCATATTAATGAATGTGGTATTTTTATGTTATAAAATAAAATATGCCAACATTTGGATGGTCTGCACACCTCAGTGAACCAATATTTTTCAAAACACCATGAATAATGTTAAAAATCATGCCTTAGTAAAAAATTAGTTCAAAGTGTAAATAGATTAATGGATTTTAAAGTAACAAGATATTAAAAAATCATTAATATACTTTCAGATTCCACATTGCAACTAGATTTAAGAAAGTACCACTTGTTAAGTTTTGGTATAGTATTAAAGAAAAATATCCACAATTATCTGAACAGATTGTTAAAAAAAAGTCCTCCCTTTTCCAACTACATATGTGTATGGGGTAGGACTCTCTTCTCATACTTCAACTAAATAACTATTTCACAATAGATTGTATACAGAAATCCAGGTGATTTCTACTAAATCAGACTTAAAGGGATTTGAAAAAATATAAAACAATGCTCTCTTTTCACTAATTGTTTTTGTTTTGAAAATTAAATTTATTTTTATTTATGAAATAAATGTGACTTATAAAATAAGGTGACTCACACCTATAGTCCCAGCACTTTGGGAGGCTGGGGCAAGAACATCACTTGAAACCAGCCTGAACAACACCAGAAATTCAACACCAGCCTGGCAACATAGCAAGACCCCCCGTCTCAACAAAAAGTGTTTGCAAATTAGCTTAGCATGGTGGTGCATGCCTGTAGTCCCAGCTACTTAGAAGGCTGAGGTAGGAGGATCACTCGAGTCCAGGCGTTCGAGACTACAGTGAGCTGTGACAGCACCCCGGTACTCCAGCCTGGATGGAGCAAGACCCTGTCTCAAAAACATAAACAAATAAATAAATAAAAATTCAATTTAGTTAACATATATTGGGTTTATTCTTGATATTTTAAGAAAATTATAACATATTTTTAAAATTTTTCTGCTTCAGTTCCTAGTATGATGTCAACATATATAGTTCAATTTGAGGACTGCTGGATTAGAGAATGGTACTAGAGGAGGTAGGAGAGGGCGGAACCCATAACAGAAGTGGAGAAATTCATCTGAGATAAGGGAGGGATATTTCTCCAGTAAGAAACAGAAGGAGGGGATGACACAGATGTGGAGACATTTTTAGATTTGGTGGCAGGAATTTGAAGGATTTCCCTTTGAAGGTTTCTTTTCATTGTGATGTAGGAGTTGAAATCACTGGCTAAACATAAGAAGAAAGTGCAGGGGATACCAGGAGTTTGAGCAGCCAGGGGAGTGGCTCTAGGGTACCTATCAGAGCCAAGCAAAGGGAAGACGGAGCAGCATCAGAGCCCCCAGGTTGGGGGGAGTATTCCTGAATCATGGATAAATCTTCAGAGAGCATTACCCTGCGGAAGCAGCTGGGCAGGAACACTGAGCATAATAATATCAACCAGCATTTACGATATGTATTTAATTTCTTATTTATTTAATATTTCAACCATACAGAAATAGAAAGAATGATATCTCAAACACCTGCCTGTCCACTCCCAACATTTCAAGAATTTTAGTGTTTTGCCATAGGTAACAAACTGAATGTTTAAACTAATTTATTTCTAGGTGTTTTAAAGTGTCCTAAAATACTTTCTTAGTTGCTTAGTCCACTCTTTATCTTCTAATTTTATAAATGTTCAGTTATTCAGTTCTACTTCTGCTGTTGATTTTGAAATCTAACTCTACTAGATGGACAACACACTAGGAATTGTACACAGTACACACACCTCGATCAAGATTTCAAGATTGAGGTGCTCACTGAAAGTGACCACCTTGCCATCTTTAGCTTCAGAGAGCAAACAATTTTACTGGGAAAATGGTTAAATGGATCTGTTTTCACTTTCTCTTTTAAAAGATACAATATGGACTGTTGACTCCATGTATTATGTAGTGAGGATGTGATGCAACCAAGAAGATCAAAGTTCAGCTTCCTTGTTGGAGTGAACAAATTACAATGGTTAGAGCTAAATCTTCAGAACCCTAACTCGGGGAATAGTTCATGTGTTCTACTACTATGTAATTTTGACAGACAACTAACCATTAGAACTTTAATCTTATCAACTATGGAAGCACTTGTTCTTCTTTCACCAAAATTAAAGGTTTCTGGGATGACATAATACTTAGGAGTGTCTGAGGAACTATATTCCCATATTCAGCTGTAGTTAAACCTAATGATCTCAACTGAGGCTGAGGCCTTGAGGCACTCATGAGTTCTGGTTCTAGCAATTTCTTTTGGCCTCCCTAACATCTCACGAGCCACAAGGCACTTGGGGCAGCACTTTCTCTACTCAAAATGTTGTGCAGTATGAAAAGGGTAATATGAGGTTTTATACTTATTCTGTGAGATCTCCAGTGTAATATGCTTTCAAAGGGTAAAGTGTTGAAACTACGAAGGCACTATAGAGTTCTTTCATTTATTCCACACAACAATTCTTCATCTTTAAAATGGAATTATTAGCAATAAAAAGAAATAAGAATCACATTGCTCTTGAAAGCTTATCAGGTGATTTTCATATGCCCCTTTGGTCAGTTACAAAGACTGTGCACAAAAAAAAATGATTACAACAAAAATATTAAGTATATACTGAGTATGTCTATGAAACCATTCAGACTTTGTTACAATGTTCTATTGTACCAATCACTCTCAGATATCAATACAAATCATAGTTCATTATGTCAGTACTTTACTGGTTTATTAAATTGTTTCTCAAGAAGTCTCTCCCATTTGAAATAAAAATTTATTTTTTTACTCTAACCAGTTAAACAGTATAGGATTCTGTGTTTGGTAAAAGATTTTATCAAATGATTCTGAAATTAGCCAATTTTTCTACAAACTTACTCTATTTTCAAGGAAGACCAAAGTACAACCATAAATTATGGAGCAGTGTAATTATAACACAACCCTTAATTATAACTAAAGCAGCCCTGTGTACAATTCCTAGTGAGTCATCCATTACTGGTGAAAAAGGCCTTTGATTCTTATACCTGCTTACTGGGGCAACTCATGTCTTTTGGGGAGCAACATGAAGGGGATCTGATATTTATATGCTTGGAAATAGGGAGGTATGAAGCTATTTTGGAAGGGTGTTGTGGGAGAAATAAAGAGAAATGACATCTAAATAAAATTAGAGGAACAGGAAAGGTTTTACAGAAAAAGTGAAACTTAAATTGAATTTTAAAGGATGAGATATAAGTTACCTAGTCAGGGAAGGGAAGAAAGAATGTGTAAGAAGCCCTAGGACTTCTGTTGGACAGGTCCCTGCTATGCACTGCATTATGTCCTCCTCCAAGTTCAGATGTCAAAAAGAACTCATCAGGACATACAGAGAGATACCAGGGATGTGCACACACAGAGAAAAGGACATGTGAGGGCATGGCAAGAAGGCATCCCCTGCAAGCAAGGGAGGCCCCAGGAAAAACCAAAGTCACCAAATTACCCTTGATATCCAGTCTCCTGTGAGAAAATAAATGTCTGTTGTTCAAGCCCCCCAGTCTATGGTACATTGTTACGGCAGCCTGAGCTGACCAACACAGTCCTGTGTAACTAGAAAGAAAAGTGGGTGTCAGGATGGTGGGAGCCAAGTGTGGGGAGAACCTGCAGCCAATGATTAAATGGCAAGGGTCAGCAGTTTGAGATCTACCTGGAACACAAGCAGCACCTTTGAAGGATTTTAAGCCAGAGGGTTGCAAAATCAGTTTCAGGTTGTGTGTTAGAAAGCTTACTCTCCAGCAGTTTGGGAGGCTGGGGCAGGCGGATCGCTTGAGGCCAGGAGTTTAAGATCAGCCTGGCCAACATGGCGAAACTCTATCTCTACTAAAAATACACACACACACACAAAAAATAGCTGGGCATTGTGGTGCATGCCTGTAATCCCAGCTACTCAGGAGGCTGAGGCAGGAGAGTCGCTTGAAACCAGGAAGTGGAGGTTGCATTGAGCCGAGGTCGCGCCACTGCACTCCAGCCTGGGTGACAGAGTGAGACTCTGTGTCAAAATAAAAATATTAAAATAAATAAATAAATAAATGAGGTTTATTCCTGAGGCAATGATGGGTTAGAGGGGTACAGGGCTATGGGAGGGAGACTCTCTAGGAGGCTAATAATCCAAATGTAAATCATTAAGGTTTGACCTAAGAAGGTGACAATGGGGTAAAAAGAGGAGAAGAATGCAAGAGATATTTACGAGGTGAGAGTGACAGAATCCTGTGATTGATTGGGAGTGTGGGTTGAGAGAAGAAGTCAGGAATGACTCTCCACTTTCTGACGTGGGGTAGCTGGATGAACGGAGATGGCATTTGATTTGAAGAGAAAAAATACAAAATTTTCTTTTGGCTACAGAAATGTTAGAGGCCATGTGTGTAGGTGAAAGAGAGCAGTGGACAGAGTGCTTGGGTGGAAGGCCTCTACTTTCCCAGTGAAGAATGAGGCATGTGTTCTATGCAGAACTGGGGTAAAGGGAGACAGGTGGAAGAATGGTGCAAAGGGGCATTTGCTATTTTTCAGCTGCCTGTATCAAGCCTCCTGCTGAGTTGCCTCCCAGAGTCCTCTTGAAGAGGCAGCATGCTAAAGTGATAAAAAACTAGAACTCTGGAGTCTGATTGCCACAGTTCGAATCCAGCTTCACTGTACACTGGCAGTGTGACCTTCAAGCAGAGTCTGTCATCTCTCTCTGCCTCAGTCTCCTTATCTGTAAACAGGGACAGCAATAGTGTCTCCTTCAAAGGGTTGTGTTAAGGATTAAATGAGATCGTACAAAAGAGCTGCCATCATTATTACCCCTCACCCACTGAGTGTGGCCTTGGGAGGAGGATAATGCCTGATGACTCTCTCCCTCTATGGAAGTCATCTCTCTCCCTGACCCAGTATCAAATGCTCACTTCTGCAATTTTGCTTCTGAAGGCAGCAATGCCAGAAAAGGAGGAAGGCTGGAAGGCCATCCATCCCAGCAGCTGATGTGCAGGTCCTGCCTCCAGCTTCCAGAGCTACCTGGGGTGTTGCCACTTGCAAACTGGTTCTCCATCCTCCCCACAATTCTTTGAGCCTCAATATACTTTCAATAAACTTTCCTTTGCTTAGGGAAGCCAGAGTCATTTTCTGTCTCAGCTAGGGTTCTGACTGGAGAATGAGAAAGACAGATGACTCTGAACCCATATAGGATTGCAGGGTGACACTGAGGAGCACCTTTACTTTAGAAACCATAATTTCACCAAGTTACTGATTCTCCACGGTGTTATTCGCAGCAGTACTCAGTAATGTCATTTATTATCAACCACAAAGAGTTAATAAGCCAATGAGGAGATGATATACTAATCAGCTTCTTATTTTTTAATAAAATTTGCAAGATATTTTTTATTAATCCATAAAACAAAGTAAAGTTTCAAAATGTATTACTTCTGCCTTAAACTCTAAAATGTAGCCATGGAATTATCTATATACATTTGAAGTTTATGAAATTTTATCGTTAATGTTTATACTCTACAGTTACCTAACTTCTTATTTTAAAAGCAATATGCATCCATTAACATGGATCCTTACCTATGCTAGAAAAGATTTATTATTTCATTCTGTAATTTGGATAATAAGATTAAGAATGCATGATTTTTTTCAAGGTTTGACATGGATAAGTTTCTTAACTCATAAGCAAATGCCTTTTTTATTTACTTATTTATTTTTTAGCAGCAGTGTCTCACTCTGTCACCCAGATTGGAATGCAGTGGTGCAATCATAGCTCACTGCAGCTCCAAACTCTTGGGCTCAAGCGATCCTCCCACCTCAGCCCCCCAGTGGCTGGGACCACAGGTGCATACTATCATGCCTAATTTTTAAAAAATTGTCTGTAAAGACGGGTCTCTCTATGTTGCCCAGGCTGTCTTGAACTCTTGGCCTGAAGTGATACTCCTGCCTCAACCTCCCAAAGCACTGGCATTCGAAGTATGAGCTGCCACACCCGGCTTGAATGCCTTTTTTAAAATCATGAGCCTCAGCATCATCCTTACTCACATTTATTAACACTGTTTGCAAAGCATTCCTGCTGATACTGCCTTATTTGAGCCATATTCACTTGTTTACTCCACAATTCTTTTTAATCTTTACAATGTGACTAATTAGTAAGATGACTAAGAGAGTGTTCCCTACTCCCGTTGCCATCACAGGCCAGTGATGGAGATAAAAGTAAACAAGTGATTCCAGCATGCTAGACACAACTCTACAATGGAATTCGGGAGCCCAAACTATTATGGAAGCATATAAAAGTTGGACTCAAACCAGAATGAGGTGAGAAGGACACCTTGGTCAATTTTTGTATTATTATAAAGAAGTAACTGAGTCTGGGCAATTCAAAAAGAAAAGAGGTCTATTTGGCTCACAGCTCTGCAGGCTGTATAAGGAGTATGGCACCAGCATCTGCTTCTGGTGAGGGCTTCAGGAAGATTCCACTCATGGCGGAGGGGGAAGCAGAGCTGGCATGTGAGAGGAGGAAGCAAGAGAGGGAGGAAGAGATGCCAGGTTTTTTTCAACAACCAGTTCTCATGGGAACTAAGTGAGAATTCAGTTACTCCTGCAAGAATGGCACCAAGCCATTCATTAGGGATCCACCCCAATGACACAAACACCTCCCACCAGGCCCCATCTCCAACACTGGGGATCAAATTTCAACATGAGATTTAGAAGGGTCAAACAGGCCAAACCATCACAGAGGGCATCATAGATTTCCCATAAATTTGCAAAAACACAGAACAGATAATCATCTATTCCATTTCAGATGATGAAAACAGAGCTCAAAGAGGTCAAGGGTCTACAGCCAACAGAAGGTAAATGATCGAGCCAAGACTGCCAAATCTTACCCTTCTCCTTCCACTACACAATGGTATTATCAACAAAATCATTACCATCACTTTATCATCATCATCATCAACACCAACACAGTAAGAAATTTCACAGGACATATATTCCCATAACTACAGCTTATATTTTAAAAGAGAGATAAGGTAGCATCAAAACACCAGTGAATGAGTCAATATATTACCTAGTTATAACTGTAGAGTATCACATAGGCTTCCGGTTGTTATGGGTTTTTTAAGTGACTAGAACCAAGCAAGTTTGCGAAGAGCAGATTTCATGAAGGAGATAAATACTGAGGAGTGTTTGAAGAAGAATCAGAAAATCCTGTGGCAGTGAGAGAAGGGAAAGGGATTGAGGATAAAAGAATCACCTAAGTTGGCTCCAAGGTGGGGCCTGACAAGGTGTGGTCGCAGCATACTCCCTGCAGCAAAAATACAGGCCAAAGTGAGGCAAGAGATAAGAACACCCAGGAAAGGTAAAACCAGTAATGCCAAGACTTGACACTTCTAAGTCCCTGTGAATTTCAGATGTGCTTTCCTGATTGTATGAATGTGAAAAAAAAAAAAAAAAAGCACAGAGGTTAAAGAGAAGGATGTATGATCACTTAGGAAGGAAAAAAAGAAAGCATCTGAATTATTAGAAAGGTCATCGAAGGCCATTCCTAAATAACTTGACTGTTGAGATCAGTCATTTCTTTTTGTGGTCACAGATTATGGCCACTTCTGCTTCTTTAAAAAGTGTTCTGTTTCTAGCATTATTCTGAAAGCATTTTTTTTAACCACCTAGTTTTTTGGCCTACTCTGCCAGTCATACCCCATGTGTACAGAATTTTAAACACCTTTTCTGTCCTTGAAGCTGGAAACATCTTTGTCAGTCTGCTAAAAATATGGGTACTCTGAGCCCTTCTGTAATGATCACTGTGTAGATGACAGAGGTTGCTGAGTGAGAGTGGTCACCAAAATGTTGGCTTAGCTTTTAATATATTCAAATTTAATTTAAATTCTAAAACAATTACTAGTACAGGCTACACTTAGACTGTTAACCATTTCAAACATTTTGTCCAACCCATTAAATCCCGAAGTCCTTTGCTTCCCGGAGAACTGATTGTCTACTATGGACGTCTGAGCTGTTTTTTTAAATGCCCAACCAGACTCTGAGCTGTCATATTAGCTGGGTAAGAGATAAGGTGTAAGAAAAGTATCCAGTCATCCAACCACATTTCTGGTTTTTTGTACCAGCTTCAGATGAAATACAGTCACTCAATAAAGTCCTTCTGTTTTCTCTTTCCCTCCCTCTCGTTCTCTCTCCTTATTTGCCTAGTGAGGGGAACCCTAAACCCTTTGGAGCTTTTCCAGCAGCTCCAAAATAATCTCTTGATTATTTTCCCAGGGAATTCCTGCCTTAAATGTCAGCAGAGTACAACTACCCCACCAAAGCAGTCCGCCTGGATCTGAATCAAGAAAAATGTGCCTGCTACACCAAACATAAAAACCTGGATCTGTGGGGCGTGGGGCACAGAGAGAGATTTATGGTGTTTGTGAAAGGTTCAACAACCATTGGAAAGATAGGTTTTCTCCAATTTACCTCACTAAGGAGCAGGAAGCTAAGTTAAACACTCTGATTCCTTGCTGTATTTGATCATTATTTTTATTTCACTCTTTCGGTGGTGAACTCTATTTCTGGAAGCCATCCTGAATTATAACCATAAGGTAAAGCTTCCTTGAAAAAGGAACAAAGCCCCATTAAGCCCTTCGTCGTGATGGTTGTGGTTGCGGCTGCTGCTGCTGTTGTTGTTCTGTTTATTTGTTTGTTTTTAATGAACATACTGATATATAAGTGCTCTGGGGGAATTCATGATGCTGAGATTCATGAAAAGCAAAGTAAGATTTATGAGTTGCGATTGAATCTGCCCCTACCAGCCTGGAGACACTTCCCGTCTGGTACTGAGGCATTGCTGGCATGTTTAGTGCTTTTGTTTCAGTTTTCAATCTCTGAACACATGAAGAAATATTAAAAGTTCTGAGGGCAAGGATGGGAGAAGGAGTCCACAAATCCCAAAGATATACAACAGCACCCAAGGAAAATAGTATGGCATAGTAGATTAAAAATTCAGAAACAACAACAAAAAAAGCGTGTCAATTAGCTAGTGTTTGCTAAGTACTTGTCATTTTCACTTACGCTTCTCTCTGGTTCCTCATGTGTTACTGACCCACAACTTCGCAAGGCTATTGAACTAAAGATTCACAAGGTGGTCTGGCATAAAGACCAATTTTAAATCAATATGCCATGTAACTATCCTCCCCCAAAAGTTCGTAACACTATACAATGAGAAAGTCAAGAAAATATAATAAATTGTTATTCAATTTTTTAATGAATTGCGCCCTTTTAAACATACCAGTGGTGTGGGGGGTGGGGGGCAGTTAGATTCCAACTCTCACTTGGATCCAGGTCCACATCAAAACATTTCAATGTAGAAGGTATTACTCATGTTCACCAGAGCTTCCCACCTCCTGGTGGTCCACCACCACTACAAGCACATTATAGCTGCTTTCCTTCATTATCGCATTCTGCATACAAAGCCACAGACAATCGTGTGGGAAATTTCTGCCCCTAGTCCAAAGAAAAGCCAGATAAGTAGCTGATTATTGCATAGAGCTGACAGTATCACAGGAAGATCAGTAGTAGCAGCTCAAGTACAAAAAGGTTAATTAGCAATACTTAATAAGAAAAACTACCTCTGGCAGGTGAAGAGTTAATCCCTGGTCAATTTTAAGCTACTCTGCTGAGAGTACTAATAAGTGTAGGGGTTGGAGCCAATGAGGGTGACCCCTTCCTTGATGGGAACAGTCATCCCTTAGGAACTGCCCTGGAAAGCATCAGCCAGCCAGAAAACAGGGAAAGAGGCTGAGAAACCGTGGTAACCAAGTTTTGCTGGCACTTTGTAAAATGGTAACTGCAACTGCCGAGGCTGTGCAGAGAATGCTAATAAGCCTAGGACAACCTGTAAAGAGTGGACCTAGAAAATGTCCACCCACCGACCAGACCGGTAGCCCTAAAGAGCCCCACTCTGTAGATTCCTGAGGATCTGCCCACCGTACTCATTCACAAGGAAGCCCCTAAACATGGCTACATTGTGCCTTAGCTTCACAGCCCTCAAAATACTTCTGACTCAAATGTCTTAGGGTCAGAGTAATGACATTTAGCACATCTGCCTAGAAACTCACAGTTTTCCAATTTGTAACAAACATTTTGCACCTTTTAAAAATCTCATTCTAAAATCCAAATGGTAAACAGCTTTAAGAATCAATATGAAATGTTTTAAGTGTTCTCTGTGGCTTCATATAAATTCTCCCTGCCCCTCTCATCAGAATTTATTCTGACTTTCAGGGAGCATATTAAAGGTAGAAACCACTGATGTACAATAATAAGTGTGCAACCATATTCTTAAGAATCTAAATTCAATCTTGGTTAGCTGAGAATGCTTGAAACAGTAATAAAGTGCTCCTCTGAAAGTCACACTCAAATTTTGAATTCCTCTTTCTAATGAGAGCTCTTCACCCATTCCCATGTCTCAAGTACGCAAATGAAAACAAAACAAAAAAACTGTAACTGGGATTTAAAAGTATAACAGTCTTTCTTCTCTCATGTATTTCTTTCTTGTCATACTTCATTCTGGAAAAAAATAATCCAATCTGAAATATAAAGTGGGAAAAGGGAGGCATCCGTAGGTAATGTGAGTTATTATCATTGTTCTAGATGTTGGGTTGAGTGGTGGGTTCATAGATGTTCATTACATTATTTAAAAGCCATTATAATTAACTATTAGAAAATAAGAGGGCCATACATGCACGAGTGATGACAGAGTGTCATAAATCAGGAATTCTGATTATTCCAATCCCATGCACCTAAGATCTGTTTAAAGAAAAAATAATAATGAGATGGTGATGCAGGTAGCTAATGGTTAGACCCTTCTAGAGTTCACCAAACTCCTTCGGCAGGGACGTCTTCATAAGCATGCAGCCTGCGCAGCTGCACAAGGTCCTGCCTTTAGGAGCACCCAGCCTTTATTTATGCTCTGCTGTCGCAATCTTGAAATTTAAATAGTGTTTTACCAAGGTGTCCTGCATTCATTTTGCACTGGGACCAGTAAATTATAAAATCAGTCCTGTCCCTAAGTTTCCAGAGGTTAAATTTACCTACAGTTCCCCATAATTTCGTCCCCATCCAACTTTGATATTTTTTAAGTTTGCTACTTCTTATCCCCAGATTATTAATGTAACAGTCAGGTGAGCACCCTAGAGCAGTCTTTTTTCCTGTATTTCCTATGTTTCCTTATTTTTATTGTCCAAATCAGTGCTGCCTGTGCTATAAATGGAGCTGCAGTTATATATTGTTCTTATAATGCTTCTTCTCAGATCAAAAACTTCAAACAGAATTCATTGGCTAAAAACTAAATGCACTGAAGTCTCTATCTAAATTCATGTTAACTGCTGGATTATACAAATTCATTTTCTAATAATTGCCCAATTTCAACTACAACATATAACCAAACAAGACAAATTCTGAACAATTCTTCATGGTAGAAAGAATTCAAATAAAGATTTAAGGAAATCCTCATTTTCAAAAATTACTGTCTCAAAAAAAAAAAAATTAAGTAAATGTTTTTGCATTCCTGAAATGCCCTGTGTCTACAGTGATCAGGTACAGAAAAGCTACTTCAAGTTCAAATATAACTTAGCGATTGCCACATGGTGCAGAATCTTTCCACCCCTAACACTCCAAAAACCCAATCAGACAAGTGGCCGTAATCTGACTCCCAGCACACAGGGAGCTGCGGGGCAGGCAATGAGAGCTGCACTCTGGCTGGGGAAGGCATGAGTGACAGACCCACAGCAAGGCGGTGGGGGTAAGTCCTTCTTTGCCTTAAGGGAACAACGCTTAGGGCCAAAAGATGAAACTGTCTCTTTTATTATAGATGTTTGTGCCTTCTTAGGCAGAATCTGGAAGGCAGCTATAGGGCAGGTGGGTGGTTCTTTTAGATCTGAGTACTGGGCATTTTCAGAAGAGAGGCATAGAGAAGGTAGAAGAAAAGGGATGCTTTTTAGCCAAATCCTCCATATGTTTCAGATCTGCAAAAGCCCAGGAAAATTACCCTATGGAGGTGAATCTAGCTATAGTACATTTCTTCGGAAAAATTACTCACCCAGACGCTCAGCTGTCCTGGAGTGGATGAAGCTGAGTGTTCAGCTAGAAAGTAATGTGTCCGATTCAGTACATCAACAAACCCGCTTTGTTCTGGGGCAAAAGAAGCAAATCTAATTGTGTTGATCATTTCCAGTGACTGTGAACATATAAGGGAACACTGACAATAAAAGCAGGGTGCTATGGGTGACGCTAGGGTGAGCCCTCATAAGGCCAGAGATATGTATATGCTGCCAGCAAACTTCACGGTTCACAGCCAAGTGAGGCTGGTCCATCTGCCTTGGAAGAAGATCAGATTTTTGTGGATTTAAAAAAAAAAAAAAGCTAAAAACATTCTTAAAGAGCATGTTTATGTTTTGTGTTGGTGTTTTGCACTGTTTTAAATTTCTCTGGTTGATGAATATTTGAAGCTGAAAGAGCAACTACCTCTGGAGAGGTAAACAGGTGCATGACAGGCCAAGCAGGGAGAGAACTCCGGAAATGGCAGAAGTGAGAGGTGAAGGGGGTGAGCAGCGGGGCTGGCCTTTTCTGGGTCCCACCTCTTCTGGTGTCTCCTGCGGGGCTGAAAAGGACGTTTCCTGCCCACCTAGCTTCCTTAGCCTACTGTTTTGTCCTCCTCCTTCTCCCCTAACCCTGACCACAAACGACAGCACCTATGATCGCATTTTGCCCCCTTTGCCATCCCGGCTACAGCCCTGGGCTGCCGGTGAGTTCAGAAGTGACTCTCCTAACTTCTTCAATATGTGACTTTTCTGAGTTTACCGTCTTTGGGAATATTTTTAGTGTCTCCTCCAGGGTGCCCTCCCTGCCCCATTGCAACCATCGTTTTTGTCTCTTTACATTCTTTTCCTCTAGAGAGTATGATGTCGTTGTCATCCCACCTGGGGTTTTTCATACTTCTGAGATTCGCTTCACTGGGGCAGGGGATGCGTGGGATGTGGCTGGCCACCCCCCTGTGGAGCCAGCTCTTCCTTTATCCTGCCACCCGGGCCTGGGCAAGAAAGGGTTTTTCTCTCTCCACCTCTAAAGCAAAGCCCCATAGCAAACTAAGGGCTAGGCTGAGCTGGAAATTCCCCTCACCCTTTTTGGCACTGCATTTCCTCACTACCCACGCAGAAAGCAGGTTCCCGGGAACATTCAGTGACATGGGGAAATGAGGGCCCCGCAATTTGTCAAAGGGAAAGCCACAATAATACTAATCTCTTAAAGTACTTGGCTTTCTTGCCTAACCCCTTACGTGGTCCTCTGCAATTAGATTCTCTGGTAAATACTCTCCATACTTCTTGGCTCTCATGACTATCACAGGCAAAGGACAAGGGCAAAAGTCTTAGATGATAGGGTAACTGGGGTAATTGCCCCCCCCCCCCAAAAGGGGAATCCTAGCCATTTCCTGCCAGAATGAGCAGTTGGCATCAATATCGTCAAACCACCCCTTCTCTGCTCCAAAGATCTAATGACAGCAAGAGGGATATAGACGGGAGGAGAAGGCGTCCTCCCTCTCCCAGACTCCCTGCCCACCACCCTCCCCAGAGAAGCTCCACAAGGTGAGACACACTGTCCTATAGGCCCATGTAACAGAAAGCCATCAAAAAGACCGTAGAGAAAAGCCGTTTTCCATAGAGCCTTCTGCTCAGGGGCCCACAGTTTCCCTAACCACACCCGCTTTTCCTGACTTCCCGAGCTCTGCACCATGAAGGCAGGAAAGGTACCGGGGCATTGCTGGCACACCCCAGCCTCCAGGCTCCCTTTGGCAGGTTTATCTGCATTGTACGGTCAGGGTCAAGGGGTGAGAGAGGGTCGGGCACGAGGAGAGGCTGTCCTTCCTCCCCTAAAAGCATCCCCCACTCCCATCTCTCCCCACCTCCAGCGGCCAGGATGCACCGGGCCGGCGGGCAGGCGGGCGAGCTCGCGGGGCCGCTTCTGCGTGTGCACCTGGCCGCCGCCCGGGAGCCTGCCACGGGCCGGGAATGGCCGCTGCTCCGCCCTCTGAGAGGTGCTCCAGGCTCCCTGGGGACGGAGGTTTACACGTCCCCGTGCCGCGCTCCCAGATCTGGGCGGTGCGCGTGTCCCTTGGGCAGGCTCAGCTCCCGGACTCCTCCCGCTGGCAGCCTGCTCGTTCCTGGCGCAAAGGAGAGGGAGGGAGTGTCGCTGTCCCAGCTGAGGCCCTGCCTGTTCCCATCGCCCTTGCTAGTCACCAGAAGCTCCTCTCCCCTCAATGAGTTCACTTTCTCAAAAGACAGCCTTCAGCACCCTGGTTTCCTAGAAGGCTTCCCCCTAATCCAGAGTCTGGGGGGAGGGGGAGATTTTCAGAATGCCATTTCAAAGCAATCAAATGCAAAGCTAGAAAAGACGACCCCCCCCCCCCACGCACACCTTGTTTTAATGCTTTATGTTCGAAATGTAAGTAGCATATAAAATGTACTCGAAACTTAAAAACTTGCTCTAAGGGAATTAAGTACAAGGTAAATATATTTTATTCTTAATATTTTAAGGAATTTGATTTAGACATTTTTCCTTTCTAGGGACAGTTTGGATAATTTTCCGTGAAACTGGATGATCTTTGAATATTAAATGAAAGGAGACTAGAATAACAGTCTCTTGACTATTCATGAAGGAGCTTTAGCAGAAGCATTCTTTCTTGGTGTGCAAATCACGCCTGGCAGCCCCTGCCCACAGTACCCGAAGATGGCAGGCCTTGTTCCCTTCACCTAAATTCATAAACCTGGGTGTAGTGGCTTCTGATGCTGATTTGTTTCTCTTTTCAGTAAGTGTGGACCTTTGTGTACCAGAGAGAACATCATGGTGGCTTTCAAAGGGGTCTGGACTCAAGCTTTCTGGAAAGCAGTCACAGCGGAATTTCTGGCCATGCTTATTTTTGTTCTCCTCAGCCTGGGATCCACCATCAACTGGGGTGGAACAGAAAAGCCTTTACCGGTCGACATGGTTCTCATCTCCCTTTGCTTTGGACTCAGCATTGCAACCATGGTGCAGTGCTTTGGCCATATCAGCGGTGGCCACATCAACCCTGCAGTGACTGTGGCCATGGTGTGCACCAGGAAGATCAGCATCGCCAAGTCTGTCTTCTACATCGCAGCCCAGTGCCTGGGGGCCATCATTGGAGCAGGAATCCTCTATCTGGTCACACCTCCCAGTGTGGTGGGAGGCCTGGGAGTCACCATGGTAGCATCTTTAGCTATTTTCAAACTAGGACTCCAAGCTTCTTGCAAACTCTTTGCTAAATAATGCCTTGGTGGCATGAGGCACATCCCTAAAATAGCTAATTTACTCCTAGGGAATTTTTGATGATTCTTAATAGTGTGAAAACTGATTCTGGCAGTATTTAGGTATATCTGTAAGAAATCATTGTTTGCTCTTGAGTGCCTTAAAAATAACAAAATCTAGGTGGCCCGAAAATTGTGTTGGTTTTTTCCTCCCCTTCTCCCATTCCAATTACTATATTGACTTTATATTTAGCTTAATGCATTTTCCTTACAGTTATTTGTTCACTAGCAGAAAAAAACTATTTTCTTGTCATGTTCATAAGATGTACAATGATCTACATAAAGGGTTATGCTTAAAAAAATAGACATCCGATCCTAGTTTTGTTCTTAGCTGATTAGGAGTATCAATTGTTAACTCAGCACCAGGGCTGATTAAAAAAAAACACACATGGCTTAAATTTTAATTGAAATATATATTAATTAATTTAAACCTAATTAATGGATTTAATCATTGCCTTATAAAATCACAAGGCTCTCAAGAAATTCTTTTACGAGTTAAGTGCTGCAGTGGCACATTTTGCTTCCTTTGTAGAAAAGGACATTCAGCACAAACTCCTGTTTGGTCGTTGTAAGAGTAATCACAGTCATCTGTGATGACCCAAAATGAATATAAATTTATTCCTTCTTTTTGGGGGGTGAGAGAAGGAAATTCTCAGTTGAAGGTGGGGTAGAAGACTTACCTTTACTTTTTACACAGATAAAATGTGCCTTTCACAATGATATTAATACATTGTCATCGAAAATACTCTTGCTTCAATTCTGATGGAATATTTTTCTTTCTCTAGGTTCATGGAAATCTTACCGCTGGTCATGGTCTCCTGGTTGAGTTGATAATCACATTTCAATTGGTGTTTACTATCTTTGCCAGCTGTGATTCCAAACGGACTGATGTCACTGGCTCAATAGCTTTAGCAATTGGATTTTCTGTTGCAATTGGACATTTATTTGCAGTAAGTTTCCAAGTCCATTTAAATAATCAATCCCACCTCATTTATCCTCACTCTAGCTGGCCTGAAGATGTTGTGTTTTACAGCAGTAGCTCTTTAGTATCCAGCCATGACTGTCCATTTTAGGTTATAATTTTTCCAACTGCTCAATGAGAATGTTGATATAGCTGCTAATATCTTGAGGTTCCTCTAAGTGACAAATGACAGCAAATTGCAATGAATGATACTTGCTAGTAGCCCTGTTTCAGCAATGTCTGAAGTTGTTTTCTTGTTTCCTATAGATCAATTATACTGGTGCCAGCATGAATCCCGCCCGATCCTTTGGACCTGCAGTTATCATGGGAAATTGGGAAAACCATTGGGTAACCCTCATATTGATAGTTCCCATCTTCCTACAGTTGAGGACAATTACCTGTGGGGCTCTTTTATTTTTCATTATTTTGCCTACTACTTTCTCTTGCATTTCTCCAACCTTGACCCTCACTTTATTACATCTTTCATAAAGACTAGGGAAAGAATAGCACAGATCTGCTGTAAAAAGATAAGAGATGTAAAACATCTCTAACTGAAGGTTCTAGGCCTCCAATAATAGTCTTTTCCTTTTTTGAAGCACTATTTTAGACACTGTATCTAACAGATTGCAGCAGAATACACTGTATATAGAGGTTGCCTATGTGGAACAAGTTAAAGTCAGCATGGTGTAGTGAATATGGTGTTTAAATAATTGAAAGTAAAGTCTTCCCAGCTATAATGGAAAAAAATTGCAAAAAAAAGAGAAAGAATGAAATACTTAAAAGCGCTGCCCATAGCAAAGATATTTACCCTTTTTTTGTTTACAAATGCATGAACTCAATTAATAGTATGTAAGTTGCAAGTATTTGAACTGCAGATGGTGTCGAATAAATAGTGCAAAGGTTTATGTTATTATCACCATAACTGTTACCGGAAAAATAAATGACTCACAGAAAAGGCTCACTTTTCAGTCTCAAACCTAAACTATTATAAATAAATATTTATTAATGTAGTGGCAGTGCTTCCAGAGAATAGCAGTGTCCATTTTAAAATATTATAATTAATTTTGTTTCAGTTGTTTCTCACAGCAAAGGAATTTAAATCCTTTAAAATTAAATAAGTAATGCAGCAGTTGTGAAGGCCACCAACATGCTAACTTACAATAGCCAATAAAAATATGAGACCTGTAAGCCAGCTTCAAAGAGCGCTAGCTTTTATTATAATTTATATATTGCAAATGTCACTTACAACTTTAAAAAATTCATGAATATAACAGAATATGCCCCTTGTGTTTATTCAGACAGTGATTACCAACCTAGTCACAGCCATTCATCTATGGTGTACACTGCAAATGACAAGAAAATGCACCGCTGCTATGTGCATTCACTTCTAAGAAAAGTATACCAAATCTTTAAAAGTAATCTACAGCATTAAATAACAGAATAAGAGTCAGCGTTCAAACCAAGACTTAGCCAAAAATGCCATCCATGAGATTAGTCATTTTGTCACTGATACCTCCATTTATGTCTCAAAAACTGTTACCACATTAACAGAAATGGAAATTTTTAGTGAGTAGTATATGATTTTGTTTTCTTCTTTTTGAGATGGAGTCTTGCTCTGTTGCCCAGGCTGGAGTGCAGTGGCATGATCTCGGCTTGCTGCAACCTCCTTCTCCTGGGTTGAAGAGATTCTCCAACCTCAGCCTCCCGAGTAGCTGGGATTACAGGTGCATGCCACCACACTCAGCTAATTTTTGTATTTTTTCATAGAGACAGGGTTTCACCATGTTGGCCAGGCTAGTCTCGAACTCCTGACCTTAGGTGATCCACCTGCCTCAGCCTCCCAAAGTGCTGGGATTACAGGCGTGAGCCACAGTGCCCAGCCCTGATCTTACAATGAAAATACAACTTTCAGTTCAACATATTAAATTGAAACTATTTTGTCATTAACAACTTTTAGTTAAATTTATAAGCACTTGAAAATGTAGATGAAAAAATATATTTTACTAATTACTTGTCAGTTGCAGTAAACTAGTTAAGATTTAAATAGTAGGAACATTCTTAGCTTGTTGATTAAACTAAAAGTTGCCCCATGTTATATTATACCAATCTTAATTCTACTAAAAATAGCAATGGTTGTATGAAATTTAGAACTAATTTAAAGTATATTTGTAGGTAGAAAGATTAGGAATAACATTAAAATATTAATTGGGTTTTTTGTATAGTGTAATGATATTATTTTAGTTTTCTTTATACTTTTACACATTTTCTAGATTTTTAGCAATAAAGATTCTTTACTTTAAAGTACATATGACTTCATTTTGAAATAGCAACTTGACACTGAGATTTGTTTATTTTTGAGAACATGCAGCTGGGTATCTTATTCACAGATGTTTTGGAAAGGGTAGTAATTATTTTGCTGTTCTAGTCTCCCTTGTGGGATTTGTAGCCTGTGGAATAGTACATGTCTAATGAGACCTTACTAACAAAGAGCAAAGACATTTAGAGGAGGGCTCTCATTTCTCCTTTAAAAGGGCATAGAGAAGATAAAGGCTCATATGGGTTTTTTCATGTTCAAGAGAGGAACTTGATTCTTCCAGCCACACTAGCAACAGTTTCCCCGTAAATGTTATGTCTTCAGCCTCAGCTTAAATTTTGAATTTTATTTAAATCTTACAATGAGGATGCAAACTGAGATTAATTTGCAGAGGGTGTTTTAAACAAAAAGCATCCATCATGTTTTTTTTCAAATGAGTGTGTAGTACAGTGGAAAACAGTATACTGCAGTGTTTGGAACAGTGTTTCAAAAGAGAGGTTTTCATTTTGTTTGTTTGTTTTTTTCTTTTTTTTGAGACAGGGTCTTACTCTGTTGCCCAGGCTGGAGTAGAGTGTCACGATCATGGCTCACTGCAGCCGAGACCTCCCTGGGCTCAAGTGATCCTCCTATCTCAGCCTCCCAAGTAGCTGGGACTACAGGTGCACACCACCAAGCCCAGCTAATTTTTTTTTGTATTTTGTAGAGACAGGGTTTCACCATGTTGCTCAGGCTGAATCGAACTCCTGGGCTCAAGCAATCCACCCACCTTGGCCTCTTAAAGTGCTGGGATTACAGGTGTGAGCCACTGTGCCCAGCCTCAAATGAGAGGTTTGAAGTCAGACAGGTCTGAAATCTCAGCTCAACCATTTGATAAGCACAAAATCTTAAGCAAGCTTATTACCCTCTCAGAGTGTCACTCTTCTTTTCATAAAATGGGAAGAATAATAATATTTATCTCATTGGTTATTGTTAGAATTAAATGAGATTATACAAGAAAAGTGCCAAGTACGGCTGGCCCGGGGACAGTGCTCAACAAGCAGGGTTTCTGTTGCCCAAGTGCGTCTGTTAAATAAATGTCTAATATTCTACAGCACACATGTGCTCTAAAGCAAATGTCTGCACTTCATTCAAACTCAAAACTTTATTCTAGGGGCATAGCTAATATGTAATAATAATTTCCGGCTGGGCACGGTGGCTCACACCTGTAATCCCAGCACTTTGGGAGGCTGAGGCAGGTGGATCACGAGGTCAGGAGATTGAGACCATCCTGGCTAACACAGTGAAACCCCATCTCTACTAAAAATACAAAAAATTAGCCAGGCGTGGTGGCGGGCACCTGTAGTCCCAGCTACTCAGGAGGCTGAGGCAGGAGAATGGCGTGAACCCGGGAGGCAGAGCTTGCAGTGAGTGGCGATCGCCCACTGCACTCCAGCCTAGGTGACAGAGCAAGACTCCGTCTCAAAATTAATAATAATAATAATAATAATAATAATTTCCATTTATTGAAATCCTATGGAATTGCTACTTCTCAACTAGCCATAAACTCATATTTTTTCACCAAGCCATCGTGAGAACCGCATAGATGAAAGCTATCTGCACAGTAATGAACACGAGGTTTTCATTTAAATCAAATCACCAAATTTTGGAAGCCTGGAATGGAGCAGATTACTACGAGCTAAAAACTATCAAGTACTTTACAAGTATTGTTGCATTTAATCCTTTTACCCCGTGAGGTTTGTATTATTATAATCCCCACTTTACAGATGAGGAAATTAAGACTTGGAAAGTTACGTAACTGATACAAGCACTCATAACTCTGCTAAGTGGTGGAGCTGGGTTGGTTTTGATCATGCTTACCTGAATAACGGAATCCCCAAAAGATAAAAACTGTGTTATGATCATGATTGTGCAGGAAACCAGTGTAAAATGGCAATATTGAGAAAATAAGAGAAGGACTCTCCAGAAATTTTTTTTTTATTTTAGTTAAAGAATTCTTAGTGCGCTTAATTTGTAGTACCACCAAAGAGGATCTATCTTTACATTAACGATTATCATAAGATGGAAAGAACATAATTAATGAAAAGAGGATAGGAGATGAAACAGTTCTTTTTGTTTTCTGTTCAAATGCAGTTTAATAATTTATGGATCTCTGATGAGGCTTTGGTGTGTTTTCTTATTTCCTCTCCAATTCCCCTCTTTTTGATGCATGACACAAATACACTCTTAATTTAACCCAGCTAGATTCTACATTCATGAGCTGCTCAATGGAATAGCTTTTCTCTACTTACACTCTATCCTCTTCCATCTTTTCCTTAGATATATTGGGTTGGGCCCATCATAGGAGCTGTCCTCGCTGGTGGCCTTTATGAGTATGTCTTCTGTCCAGATGTTGAATTCAAACGTCGTTTTAAAGAAGCCTTCAGCAAAGCTGCCCAGCAAACAAAAGGAAGCTACATGGAGGTGGAGGACAACAGGAGTCAGGTAGAGACGGATGACCTGATTCTAAAACCTGGAGTGGTGCATGTGATTGACGTTGACCGGGGAGAGGAGAAGAAGGGGAAAGACCAATCTGGAGAGGTATTGTCTTCAGTATGACTAGAAGATCGCACTGAAAGCAGACAAGACTCCTTAGAACTGTCCTCAGATTTCCTTCCACCCATTAAGGAAACAGATTTGTTATAAATTAGAAATGTGCAGGTTTGTTGTTTCATGTCATATTACTCAGTCTAAACAATAAATATTTCATAATTTACAAAGGAGGAACGGAAGAAACCTATTGTGAATTCCAAATCTAAAAAAAGAAATATTTTTAAAATGTTCTTAAGCAAATATATACCTATTTTATCTAGTTACCTTTCATTAACAACCAATTTTAACCGTGTGTCAAGATTTGGTTAAGTCTTGCCTGACAGAACTCAAAGACACGTCTATCAGCTTATTCCTTCTCTACTGGAATATTGGTATAGTCAATTCTTATTTGAATATTTATTCTATTAAACTGAGTTTAACAATGGCAAAATACAGTATGTCACAGTCATGCACATTCAAGAGAGAAAATATAACAAGTTCTTTTATGAGCAATCCCTTATGCATAGACTACCTTGGCAAAAGAGCATTAGCAAGTGTCACTGCTCATCAGTTACTTCCTTCCATTTATATCACAAATACCCAAGTTTCAATTCTAACTTCATTTCATGGTATTTCTTCCTCCTCAATGCCCAAGGTAATGTGGGACTAAAGCCCAGAAATTTGAAAAGAATATTCAGAAATCCTTCCCAAATCATAAGGGCACCTATTGAGATTCAAGACAAGCAGACTCGTAAAATCTTGTAGAGGCAGAGGCAAAGTTATCATCATACAAAAATCACAAACAAAAAGGAGATCTGTATTCGGGTATCAAACGGTTGATCTGTTTTCAGTGCACACCCTCAAATGCACCACACCAGTTTTACGATCTAAGCTTTTAACCCCTTTACCACTTTGCTTATTTTTAAAAAATTTATTGGCAAAACTGGGGATTTTGTTTGTAACTTTGGTTATCTATATTTAAACATTAGCTGAGACATATTTTTGATAACAAGAACTTAGCTAGTTGAGTCCTGGCTTTTTGTTG
Organism: Homo sapiens; assembly: GCF_000001405.40. NCBI lineage: Eukaryota > Metazoa > Chordata > Mammalia > Primates > Hominidae > Homo > Homo sapiens. The sequence continues at coordinate 26,855,192 of NC_000018.10, read as the reverse complement.
ATTATTAAGCTGTGTTCACTCTAGAAGGTGTAAAGGCCCTGTCCCAATCTCTGCTCTCTCACTTCTCGTGACATTTGTTGATAATCTTTACTGCAAGTGTAATGATATTTGAGTGAATTAAAATGCATGACAGACAAGGTACAACATGGTTGCAGAATAAAAGGGTGAGGACATCAGATCACTCTGTATTCAAAGCTTACTAGACGAACAATCTTTCATTTCTGGATATATTGTAGCTAACCCAACACATTTTTAAACTATTTTTGTTACTGACTCACTTACTTGTCAAAATAATTGGTTTTTCTGTCCTGCTTTGCCTTTTGTCACTAGAATGTTCTCCAGAAACCCCAGTTTCTGTCATCTTAACTGTCTAGTCTAGCCGTTAACTTAGACAAAGAAGTGCAAATGTCAATTTCACTAAACAAAAGCTATTAGAAGTAAAGCAGAAACCTATCACTGCAAGGAGTGACTTGTAAATAACTGATGATCAAGGGCTGTCTTCTCTCAAGCATGGTTCCAACTCTGTGTCACTTTTTAGCGTTAATGGCAGTTGTGTGTCTGTGGCAGTGAGATAATGGACCACTATTAAACCTGATTCTCTTCGGTGCTAGGAAAGAGTGATGTGTGAGATTCCCAGAGAGTCGTCACACCAGTGTTATGCCTGGGAGTGCCACTGGCATACCGCAGGTGCCTAAATCCCAGGCCCCTTTCTCAGGGGGCGTGGCCACACCACACACTGCGCCAGTGACACATAGTTACTTCCTGGCTGGGACGGCACCTATAGAAACTAGGGTACAAATCTCCCAAAGATGGTTTGCACCGTCATTTCAAATGTTTGCACAATATACCACTTAGAGGCTTAAAATCAGGGTGGTTCAGTTCAAAAGGTAATATCAACCGTCAGCAAACATGTCAGTTTAAAAATAAGTTCGGTTAACAAGGAAGTGTTAAGCAGATTTTTTGAATACACTTACAATATACTGGCTTATAATCATTTTTATTCTGCCATATGGTTTATTTCATATACACTCACTTTTACACTCACTTCCAATTATAGCATTCAATAAGTTACGGTTAAAGAAAAGTGAATGGTGTTTTTGTAATTTGTTTTCTAGTAGCTAGCAGAGAGCCTGGCACATAGTATGTATTCAAAACAAGTGTGTTAATTAATAAAAATATATAAATCTCATTTGAGATTTAAGAATATAAATAATTTTCTTTTAATCTTTATTTTGCTCAATATTTAATAGGAAGTATGATTTCAAGGACTACTAAAGGAAGGCAATATACATGTGAAAACCATAAAATACATTTTTTGCATTCTACTATTTTTAGGGGCATGAAATGAATGAAAGCTTTAGCACTTTTTTGCCCCTACATATGAGACAACATATTTTGTATTTCACTCAAGGCTCTGCCAGTAAAAAGTAATGAAATTGTACCTTTCTAATGACATCTATGCAGCAGGGGTCTATCGCCTTGTGGATGGCACCAAATTATCCAAGTGTATTAGGAGACTGGGGCTTTTTTCTTTAATCCCTTCTTATTAATGAAGTGCATAGTGCTGCTCCCAGGAGACCACTGCTGACAGATACACAGAGAAGAGATCAGAGAGGAAAAACTGGGAAGACATAAATGAATTATACCCAGCCATGAAACAATGCCAACTGTCTCTTCCCTAAGGAAGAGTACAAGTACCCTAAAATTGAAAGGTGGTCCCTACACTGAAAACGCACATAGTTTGTCAAAAGTGTACAAAAGGGAAAGAGTCTTATTTTAAGCTTTCAGGCTTTCTTAAAAACTTGGGGACCAGAATTTCAATGTATGTTTCCATTGTTGAAGATAACATTTTCTTCAAAGAGCCTTAACCTTTTGTACTGGAAGGAAATATTTTCTGGACTTAAGTAGTTGCCTAAATTTAAGATTCCTACACTTTATTTCTGCCATTGATGCTTTTCCTAAACCCTTATACTATCTTTTTATTATCTGAGCCTTTTCCTAATGCAGCTCATAGGTGCTAGCTAGAGCTGCTGCTCAGTATTGAAGACTTTACAAGGAGATTAGAAATCTTTGGAAAACATATGTGATGAAATTGAGCTATATGATTTATCAGAGATCTGATTCCAAAGAGCACAGAATACTGTTCTCAGACCATGAAACCAGACAACACATGTATTGGTTTAAACTCGATAATGACAGGAAAATTCCAAACTAGAGCAGTAAATTCAAATGGTAAGATGAATCCTAGAAGGCCTCTGATTGCAGCATGTTGACACCAACCTCACGTTACGAACAATTCACAGAGAATTTGCCTTTGTGGCAACTGAAGATGGAAGTCTGGGGGGCACAGACAACCTTATCAAACAATATAAAAGCCAATATAAATTCTCATAAGCACTATAGAATTTGCAAATTCAGAACATTTTATACCTAAAAGTAATTCTGTCTTTCCTAAAGTGTTTTTAACATGAAAATTAGTAGGAAGATGTGGTTACTATTTGGAAAGTGTAATGTAACAAAACTCTCTTTTGTTACCACAAATTTTGTGAGTTTAGTACTCTACAGATTGCCCCATAAGAGCAGTAGCTTTTGAAACTCATAATTCTCTGAAATAAATGAAAGACATTTAATTCAAGGATCAAAAATTGTGGCCATCTTTGCAAATGACTACCTATAGCCTGTGAAAATACATTTCAAAAAATGTTATGTGCAATGAACACTAAATTTAAGAGCAGTTACAGTGTGACTCACTCATGTTTAAAAAAAATCGAAGAGCTAAAAAATACGTCTAATTTATGTAACCCATTGGAATGTATTTCTAGGTTCTCTTCAGGATTAATTAAATAAACATGCAATTTATGAAAACATATAAACAATTATTTATCACTTTTATGACCCAAATCACAATAAAATTGTCATTTAGGATAAACTGGGGAGAATAGACTGAACATATGGTTATATTCACAGTTATTTATTAACTTAAATGTTATTCCAACATTAGAGCTAATGTTAAAAAGATTTAAACTGTAACGTCTAATATTTGGAATAATATATTAAAGTATTAGCACTGTGGTTGATTTTCTTGAATTATGTTGCATCTTGTACTACTAAGCTTGTGAAAATAAACATTTGGATGTTTTAAAAGGTAAACATTATGTTTGATGAAGTTAAAAATTCATTTGTAGTTAGATCTTAAGTTCATCCTTTAGAATGATCAGCAGGTTTAGATATTTGAGTATAATCAACACCAAAGGAAATGGTGGTAAGCCCATGAAATCAAATGCATTTTTTGAAAGCCTGCAGAGTATACACCATGGGATGCCCTGATAGAGATAGTGAAAATTGTGTTTGTACAGGCTTAATTCAAAATGTCCGCATCTATGCAAAATAAACCATTGGTTATCAGCTATCATTATGGTGAATCTAAAAGTGAAGACACAAACAACTGCGACTGGTATTGCTAAATAAATGATCCATCCTCAGGCCATTTGGCAGATTCCGCCTACCCAGATGGATAATGTAGGCTCAATGAGTACTGGTTTAACTCCCTGGGTTCTTGGTTTGAGGGGCTTCTCAATTTTGAGAGGTTATACACTCTCAGTGGAAGACTAAGGACAATTATATATGTAGTGTGCAACCCATCAGATGAGTGGTGAGTGATGCCTTAGGAGCCAGGTGGATAAGTACCACACTTATAGCATTGGTCACACTGTAGTGAAATCATTGGTGTAGGTGTCTATCTCCTCCACTAGATTCTAAACTCCTTATTGTGTCTTATGTATTCTGTATCTTCCCACTCCCACCTCCAGCCGTTGACACTGAGACGAGGCTTGACTTTTCACTCAATAACTGCTTGTTGCATGGATAAAGAAAGAAATTAATTAATATCTTACAATCATTAGGAAATGTTCAATCTAGTTGGATTTTGCTGCATAGATGTGTGCTAAATATTTGAATTCTTATAGTTTCAGGTAGAAGCCCAAAATTAGCTCAACACTAAAGAAAAAGGGAAATGCACACAAAGAATAAAACACTAATTGGATTTCTAAAATTTATGCCTAATGTGTAGGCAACTAGACATGTTTTCATTGCTATATTTATACAATAGCCAGATGTTAGATGAAATTTAGCTCAATGAGTACTTCAGCAAAAAGAAAGTATTTTAACAAGCATAGAAACCCACAGATATAAATATCGGCTTGCTTTTGGATAATTATCCCATTTGGAAAATGTCCAAAACAATGTCACCTGAATTAATTCTTACTATTTTTTCATTTTTCCACTTCTTCAATCTCTGGGTTTAAGGCAACATTAAGAACTCTAAAAAGCTGAGTTGAGTTCTTCAATTTCCACATGTTCAGAAATCTCTGGGAAATTATTATGATGTTTGTAACCTTTTGACATACCACATGGCTGATGCTCAATAAATGCAAGATGGATGCATGGATGGATGGATGGATGATGGAGGGATGGATGGATGGATCATGGATAGGTGGATAGATGGATGATAAATGATGGATGGATGGATGGGTGGATGACAGAAACACTCTAATCTGGAGATACTAATCTATGAGCAAATGAAAATCATAGCCTGTATTCCTTCTATCTTTTCAAGGACTGCTTTTCACAGAAGAGTTATAGAATTATGAAAGCATCAGCCAAGGGTATCAAGGGAAGAGGAGAAATGAATGCATTAGAATAATTATCAATTGTGAGCATATATATGGGAATTTTGAATTTATAAATATTATTCTCAATTAATTAATATTCAAAGCTCATTGTGGGGCAAGCAATATTATCATTCCCATTTCCAAAAATGAGGAAATCAAGTGTCAAGGAAATTAAGTAAATTACCCAAAATTACATTTAAAAGTAAAGCAAAAACTGGAATACGGATCCCAATTAATCCCAATCACCACACAGTTCCCCTGAATCACACAAAGTTCTCCCATTCATCTATCAGCTTCATTTCCCATTAGCCATGTTTCCTTTAAGTGGCAAAAAATAAAAACATGTTCTAGCTATACTATGGGAACACCTCATGTCAACGCCACCAAAGGGCAATAAAGTAAGTACTACAGGGCTAGACTAAGTATTGCAGACCTTACAAAAGGTCTCAAATAAGAGAATAGCGTTAACTGCTACAATGGGTTTAATTTAGGATACTTTGGATAATTTAGGAAATTTTTGGTTGTTTTATCCTTAGGAAAATGTTATAAATCCCACTATTTGAAACGTTTTTCATTTAGTTTAGAAAAGACAGTTGAGGATAACTGCAAAGTTAGTGAGAAGATCTTCCACATTTCAATATGAATAATAGTAACATTAACTTTGTATTTTTGTGCACTTACTCAAGCTTTACATAAGTTTACTTATTCCTCATAGAAGCCTTACGAGGTAGGTCCTGCTACTATTCCCATTTTTCAGGTAAAGAAACTGCAGCTAGGCCAGGTACGGTGGCTCATGCCTGTAATCCCAGCACTTTGGGAGGCCCAGGTAGGTGGATTACCTGAGGTCAGGAGTCCAAGACCAGGCTGACCAACATGGTGAAACCTTATCTCTACAAAAAATACAAAAATTATCTGGTTACAGTGGCGCACACCTGTAATCTCAGCTACTAGGGAGGCTGAGAGGGGAGAATCACTTGAACCCGGGTGCCGGAGGCTGCAATGAGCAGAGATGGTGCCAGTGCACTCCAGCCTGGGCGACAGAGCGAGAAAAAAAAAATTAAAAAAAAAAACGGAAAGAGAGAGAGAGACAGAGAGAGAAGGAAAGAAGGAAAGGAAGGAAGGAAGCAAGGAAGGAAGGAAGGAAAGAAGGAAGGAAGGAAGGAAGGAAGACAGGAAGACTGCAGTCTAAGGATAGCAAGTAACTTGTTCAAAACACACAGCTACTAAGCCATAGAAGTAGGATTTGAACCCAGACAGTCTTTCTGTAGATCTCTGCTCTTAGCCACTGCCTGTGTTGTCTCTTACCTGTGGTGCTTTGGGGTTCCACTAGTTCCAGCTTTCATTATCTGCTTTTTCCAAGCCTTTGACTTTTTCATATCCAACAGAGATTGCAGTGCATTGGAACTCTTCAGTAGTTCCCGACTTAATCTATAATAATCATTTTGACCACCTCTGAAGGAAGATTTAAACACTCAAGTGCAAATGCCATGAAGATAAATCGGCTAAACTTACAAAGTATTTTTGAAAGGGACTTTGAATGGCCAATTAAACTCTTTATTTAATGAGCAGGGGGGGTGACAGAAACCTCTTATACAATATACCTTCCACTTTTTGGCTCAAATTTCCTTGTTAGTCTTTTTTTTATTATTATACTTTAAATTTTAGAGTACATGTGCACAACGTGCAGGTTTGTTACATATGTATACATGTGCCATGTTGGTGTGCTGCACCCATTAACTCGTCATTTACATTAGGTATATCTCTTAATGCTATCCCTCCTCCCTCTCCCCACCCCACAACAGGCCCCAGGGTGTGATGTTCCCCTTCCTGTGTCCAAGTGTTCTCATTGTTCAATTCCCACCTATGAGTGAGAACATGTGGTGTTTGGTTTTTTTGTCCTTGCGATAGTTTGCTGAGAATGATGGTTTCCAGCTTCATCCATGTCCCTACAAAGGACATGAACTCATCATTTTTTATGGCTGCATAGTATTTTGTGGTGTACATGTTCCACATTTTCTTAATCCAGTCTATCATTGTTGGGCATTTGGGTTGGTTCCAAGTCTTTGCTATTGTGAATAGTGCCGCAATAAACATACATGTGCATGTGTCTTCATAGCAGCATGATTTATAATCCTTTGGGTATATACCCAGTAATGGGATGGCTGGGTCAAATGGTATTTCTAGTTCTAGATCCCTGAGGAATCGCCACACTGACTTCCACAATGGTTGAACTACTTTACAGTCCCACCAACAGTGTAAAAGTGTTCCTATTTCTCCACATCCTCTCCAGCACCTGTTGTTTCCTGACTTTTTGATCATTGCCATTCTAACTGGTGTGAGATGGTATCTCATTGTGGTTTTGATTTGCATTTCTCTGATGGCCAGTGATGATGAGCATTTTTTCATGTGTCTGTTGGCTGCATAAATGTCTTCTTTTGAGAAGTGTCTGTTCATATCCTTCGCCAACTTTTTGATGGGTTTGTTTGTTTTTTTTCTTGTAAATTTGTTTGAGTTCTTTGTAGATTCTGGATATTAGCCCTTTGTCAGATGGGTAAATTGCAAAAATTTTCTCCCATTCTGTAGGCTGCCTGTTCACTCTGATGGTAGTTTCTTTTGCTGTGCAGAAGCTCTTTAGTTTAATTAGATCCCATTTTTGTGGTCATTTCTCTCTGCCTTTCATTGAGACTTAAGCTCTCATCTCAATTTCAATTGTCAATATGTATTTTAATCCTTATTTACCTATTAATCACCCAATTTATATGTGCTTGAGTGCCTATTTTGTTCAAAGATCTATCACAAATTTTAATAAGTTAAATTTATTTATTAAATATTTATTGATTTTATTTTATAAAATGTGAATAAGAAAATCAGTAAGATGGTGTTCAGCAATCACTTGAGCTAGTGTTTGATCACTTACCCTAAATCAGCCTATAGAGTTGAAAGATGGGCTTTTTAAAAATAAAACAAAATAAAAGTGGTGTGTGTGTGTGTGTGTGTGTGTGTGTGTGTGTGTGTGTGTGTTTGGGCCAAACTGTAACATTGTTACACTGCCAACAGCTTCGGGGAATGATTGGATAGAATGACTATTTTCAGTACTTTCTCTTTCTTTCAATAAGAGGACCAAGATTTGCATTTATAAAAATAGGACTGATCATAACTATCACCTTCCTGTTTCCAAACTACCGGATTGTACCCTAAGTCCCCAAACATTTTGACTTCAGACTCTTGGAAGAAAAAATATCTTTAAAAATGTGGGAAAAAATGTACTACCAATGACTGTGGAAAACTATTTTTTAAATTTGGGGCCCCCAAAAAGGAAAGAGAGGAAAAGAGAAGAGGGAGGGAAGGACAGCACTCATCCCACAGTAGCAGCAAAGTAGGTGGAAAAGGGCTCCCAGCTCTTCTGCCCTCGATTGACTGCAGGAATCACTAAGACAGCCGTTGCCCCTGTACGGAAAAAAGTCCCTGTGCTAAGTCAGCATGTACCTGTCATCCTATATTGTAATTAGTGCCCCAAAGAGAACCGGGCTATGCATTGTCTTTAACAAACTCAAGCCCATACCTCAATTTTAATTGCCAAAACGTCACTTTAAAGGGAAACAGATTCTTCTTATGAAATGAAAAGACTCACTTGATTTCATCAATGAATGCAGAATAAAAGCAGGATTTTTCCATTTCTCTCATCTAGTCTCTAAAATTTATTTCTTTAAAAAAATGAGTCTAAATTTTAGTACTTGGCTCCTGGAAAAGTTTCACCATATTAAGCTACTCCAAGATTTCAATGTCAAAACTTATCACAAAGGACTTGAGTTTTATCTTGTTGTTCCAAAACCCGATATTATGGAAACAGTCACAGAACTGAGGAATGAGAGCAGCTGAGATTTCTCCAGTGACCTGCAGTAAGGAAGACTTGAGAAATTCAGATATAGATTATTCAGCCCTGTGGTGTTAGTATGTTGTGGTTAAATCATTCATATTCTTTGAACTCTAATAAAAAATTCTCATCAAACAATGACATTTTCATCTCATCAAAGTTTAATCACAAGAGTATTGTAATTCTGATTTTCTTCACCTCAGTTCAAATTGAAAGTAATTGTCAGACATCATTTAATTCTAACCATTACATCCATTCTTATCTGTTCTCCCTCACATTATTATGGTCCATTGTGCTCTCCAAGAGGCATGTCATGTTTTTTCTATTATTCAAGCAGTTTTAAAAGAACTTTGTCACATACTTACAAATCGTACACTTAAGGCTCATTTTTTAAAATAATTTGAGATAACTAACATGAATGGAAAATGTTTTCTTGAAACACTAAGAGACATGAGGGGCAATGTAAAAAACCACTTAATTGCCTGAACTTTTGATTGTTTCAAAAACATTCTTAGCAACCCCCAGAATGATGGACTTAAAATGCACAAAAGCAAAGAGGAAAATACAGCTTGTTTAATTTTCTTCCATGGATGTTTGGGAAAAAACTCTCTGCTCTAGTCCTGAAACATCCTGGGATCTGGGTTAAGAAATGCGATAAAGTTTACCCAAGTGGAGACAGAGAGGATTGGCTCCTTCCTGGTGGTGGCCTGTGAGTCCTAATCACCACTTCCAAGATATATGGAAAGCTAAAACAAAATCCAAGAGGACTATAGGATTTGGGGATAATATACATGTTGTATTTTCTATGTTTTCCACAACAGACATGTAATACTTTTAGAACCAGAATGTAAAAAAAATGAATGATATATTAAAAGAGACCTAAGAGGTCCGATTTAAATATACGTGCCAGAGGGAACACAGGATATAATGTGGGGCCTTTTAGATAGTAATGCTTCTCATGTTTGTATCTATTTCAAAGCCAGAAAGCTTCAACAAAGGCAGGGGTCTTAAGCTCAAATTCTTGCAGGGGTAGGTAGGCAAGCAATGGAAAGAATCAAGAAGGCCTTGGAGAGACTGGGACAAACTGGGGCAAACTCAACTCTGCAGATTTTTGCCACCTGAGTTCTTGGGTCCAGTGTAGCCTGATCTGATTTTTCAGACGAACTTAAAATTAAAAATTGTATACGAAGTCTCCAATTCTCTTCAATTCTATCATTTGCCAAATCAAAGACCTCTTAAATTATTTTTGCCTCCATGCCTATTTCCTCTACCTTGGTTCAGACCATTGCAATAGATAACTGCATTAGCCTCCAGCCTCAGTGGTTATCAAGAAAGGGTGACCTTGCCCACAAGGAAATATCCAAAATGTCTGGAGACAATTTTGGTTGTTTCAATTCAGAGTGAGTTTCTGGTATCTAGATGCCAGCAATGCTTCCAGACGTTCTATAATACATAGAGCAGTCCCCCACTCCCAACAAAGAATTATCTGGCCTAATATGTGAATAGTGCTGAGGTTCAGAAGCTGTATTAGTCCATTCTCATGCTGCTATAAAGAACTGCCTGAGACTGGGTAATTCAGAAAGGAAGAGGTTTAATTGACTCACAGTTCCGCGGCTGGGGAGGCCTCAGGAAACTTAAAATCATGGCAGAAGAGGAAGCAAACACATCCTTCTTCACATTACGGCAGGAAGGAAAAGTGCCAAGGAATGAGGGAACAGCCCCTTACAAAACCATCAGATCTCATGAGAACACACTCACTATCACGAGAACAGCAGCATGAGAGTAACTGCCCCCATGATTCAATTGCCTCCCACTAGGTCCTTCCCACGACATGTGGGGATTATGAGAACTACAATTCCAGACGAGATTTGGGTGGGGACACAGCCAAACCATAACAGAAACCCTGCAACTGATCTACGTGCCTTCAATTTTGCTTCACGCCAATTCATCTTCACACTGCAATCAAGGTTATATCTTAAAAATGAAATAACCTTCCTTTAGTAAAACCTGGGAGATACTATTTATTTCTCTACCCAGATCCCACACACATACTTGTTTGCAACAAAAATCATTTTGCTTCAGAGAAAGATGTGTTCTCAGTCCCAGGGAGTCAATCAATCCTTATTAAGCTTACTCAATGAGAATAACTTTATTGTCCTCCCCAGTGACTGATTTAGAAAAGGGCTTGAGAATAACTCATTGACTGTGATTTGAGACAATATTTCTTACTTAAAAAGGGGCTCCGATAGGTTTATTTGCAAAGATGGCCATAATAATGTATACCATTCTTATGTGTGTGTACCTTTGAAATATGACTTTGCTGTTTTTCCCATCATGTGGTAAAATCTATTCCTAATTCCTCGAATTTGAGCTGGCCACTGGCTTTAACCAACAGAATGGAGCCAATTGGGTATTGTGTGATTTTGAGTCTAGGCCTCAAGAAACCTTGTAGCTTGAGCTCTCATTACCTTGGAACACTGCTTTGAGATTGCCATGTGAAGAAGCCAAGCCTAGTCAACTGAGGGATGAGACCACATGAAGCAGGGAAGCCAGTTGCCCCAACCATGCAGCTGAGGCCCCAGACCTATAAGTAAGGCTATCTTAGAACAACACCACCCCAGCTGAGCCACCAACTGACGGACTGCAGGTGAATGAGAGTCTAAGCAAGAGCAACAGAAGAACAGCCCAGCTGAACCCAACCCACTCTGCTGAGTCCCAGAATCATGAGCAAGTAAAATGGTGGTTGTTTCTGGACATTAAATTTTGTTGTGGTAGGTTTCAATGTAGTAATAAATAACTGATACAGAAACATATGGATATTTCTACCCTTTGGATGCTGTTGTGTAATAAAAGCAACATCTGGCTTTTGCAGCTATTCTGAGGGACATACTTGGCACCTGAGAAGAGCAGGGTAGAAAAAAGAAATGATCCTGATCTTTTATGTTGCCAAGGAGCTGCCAAATTAACAATCCTACCTCCAGACATTTATTTATTATTTATTTATTTATTTATTTATTTAGACCAAGACTCACTCTGTCACCCAGGCTGGAGTGCAGTGGTGCAATCTCAGCTCACTGCAACCTCTGCCTCCCAGGCTCAAGTGATTCTTCTTCCTCAGCCCCCCGAGTAGCTGGGACTACAGGTGTGTGCCACCATGCCTGGCTAATTTTTGTATTCTTAGTAGAGACAGGGTTTCTCCATGTTGGCCAGGCCAATCTTGAACTCCTGACCTCAGGTGATCTGCCCGCCTCAGCCTGACAAAGTGCTGGGATTACAGGCATGAGCCACCATGCCTGGCCTATTAATTTATTTTTTAATAGACAGGATCTCACTCTGTCACCAAGTCTGGCATGCAGCAGTGCAATCATAACTTGCTGTAACCTCAAACTCCTGGGCTCAAGTGATCTTGCCTCCTCAGCCTCCTGAGTAGCTAGGACCACAGGCATGCACCACCATGCCTGATTAGTTTTATTTTTTATTTTTCTAGAGGTGGGAGGGGGGTCTCACTATGTTGCTCAGGCTGATCTCAAACTCCTGGCCTCAAGCAATCCTCCCATCTCAGGCTTTCAAAGTGCTGGGATTACAGGTGTGAGTCATCAGCCTAGACTTCTTGTTATATGATAAAACATAGTAAAATGAGATCCTTTATTGTTTAAGCTACTTTTGTTAGAGCTTCCTCTTCCTTAAATGTCAAAGTGTTCTTCAATGTGAAAGTGTTCTTCTTTGGATTTTCGTTGTCCTTAGAATAAAATTAAAGCCCATTCATGATCTAGCCCCTACTAATCCTCTAGCTTCATATCTCATTTCTGCCCTTTTCATCATCCCTACCACTCCTCTGCCCATCACACTTATATTGAACTTCTTTTGATTCTTCATATGAGCCATTCTCTCTTTCTCTCTCTCTCTCTCTCTTCCCCACCCCCGACCCCAAGGACTTTAACCCAATCACCACAATGCCATCACCTGAACTTTCTCACCTTTTAAAAATGTAGTTCTTCAGAAAACCAAACACTGCCTGTTCTCACTCATAAGTGGGAGTTGAACAATGAGAATACATGGACAAAGGAAGGGGAACGTCACACACTGGGGCCTGTCGGGGGGTGAGGGGCTAAGGGAGGGATAGCATTAGGAGAAATACCTAATGTAGATGATGGGTTAATGGGTGCAGCAAACCATCATGGCACGTGTATACCTATGTAACAAAACTGCACGTTCTGCACATGTGCCCCAGAACTTAAAGTATAATAAAAAAAAAAGAAAAAAATGTAGTTCTTTTATACAGAATATATTTTAACAGCTCTACAAAAGTTTGCCCTACTGATAATGCCCTACTCTTTCCACTCATTTTTCCCCTCTCCCCTAAAGGCAATCACTTTCACCTATTCTAACTATATATTTTGGTAATTACCTCTATGTTTCTAAATAATAGATTTGTGCTGCCACTTGCTGATTTTGTTAGCTCTGGGTTTTAGACATTTATCTATTGACTTGACACTATTAAAGAAGAAGATTTATTGTGATTCTCTCCCTTGTTTCCGACACGCAAATATATACATACACACTGAGCCATGGAGTTAACCTGGTTTCTTTGCTTTTCTTGCATGAATTTTTCTTTTTCCTAAAGTTAATAATAATATTAATTTTTGTTTTCTTAATTTTTTACGTATTTATCAGTTCAACCTGCAACTCCTTCATCAGTTGTCTACATTTCCTCTTTAAGTGTTTGGACATAGCAAGCATTCTATCAGTTTCACCTTCCTAAAGAAACCTCTCTGACAGCCTTCCTGCTCCAACCTGGACTGTTGGAGCTTCTCACCTGGTAACTGTCTGTCATCCTAGAATCTCCCGTCACCATCATCTTGGGGATTCCTTTTACCCCTCTCAAGTGTTTCTCATGTTCTCTACTTTCCTCCTTCTTTGTTTATCCTGAAAATTGATTTGTAGTTTTGCTGAGTATGGAAATTGTGAAGGCCTCTGGCTTCTAGTTGATGAGAAATCTGATGCCATTTATCTTTCTAATCCTGGATCCTCTCTCTCTCTCTCTCTCTAGTGCATTGAAATTTAATAATGATATGTCTTGGGTCTATTTTTATTCATTTATTTTGCTAGGCATTCAGTGAGCTTGTCAATATAGAACTCAAATCCTTTAATTCTGAGATATTTACTTGAATTGATCCTTACATCCTACTTTGCATTTTATCTACCTCTCTTCTTCAGCTCCTGTTATTCCGATATTGGGCTTCCTGCACTCTGTTAGACGCTTTACTCAGACATCTGATTATCCTTGGCTGTCTGCTCACGTTTAAGTGGCGTTGTGGGGGGACCAAATCCTTCAAGCGTAAGTGTGTGTAGAACTTATGAACTGTGAACTTTAGGGTAATTGATTGGGCAGTTTCCCCAGCCATCAAAGTGGGGAAGCCTTGATGTCAATATTTGCAGGTCTTTGTTCGTGGGCTGGTCAGATTCCTCAGAGAAAGCTCTACTGCCCCCTGCATGGAAGGTGAAGACCTGGCTGCTGGACCTCTGGAAGCTGAATGTGGGAAGGAGGCTAGGAGATGCTCTCAACATCCAGTTTTGTATACGTGCATTTTATCTCCTAATTTTTTTATGGTATCTCCATCTTTAACTGAGTCCACTGTCTCTAGAAAAAATAAATCCACCTTCTCCTGCCAGGGTTGGGAAGATCTTTTGCATGGCTTTATGAAGCTGGCAAGGTGATCTGGGAATCTGAGTACTTCAAGAGCTTTCCGTCAATCCTCCTCATGTTAGTCCTTCTAAGTAGCCCACGTTTGGAAGTGCCACGTGCTACTTATTTCTGAGCTGTCAATCCTGAGGAGTAAAGTGTGTTGGATTTCATCTTTCTCTACTTTAGCTTAGACTTCCATTCTCTCTGGTCCTTCACTACTCACCCACCTACTTTCCAGGTTACAAAACTTTGCAGCTATTGCCTCCTTTTTTGTTGTTCTTATCCTTTAGGGATTAAGACTTTTTTTTTTTTTTTTTTTTTTTTTTTTGAGACGGAGTCTCGCTCTGTCGCCCAGGCTGGAGTGCGGTGGCGGGATCTCGGCTCACTGCAAGCTCCACCTCCCGGGTTCACGCCATTCTCCTGCCTCAGCCTCCCAAGTAGCTGGGACTACAGGCGCCCGCCACCACGCCCGGCTAATTTTTTTTTTGTATTTTTAGTAGAGACGGGGTTTCACCGTTTTAGCCGGGATGGTCTCGATCTCCTGACCTCGTGATCCGCCCGCCTCGGCCTCCCAAAGTGCTGGGATTACAGGCGTGAGCCACCGCTCCCGGCCAAGACTTTTTAAAAAATCACCATATAGTTGTTTTGTGGAGACCTTGGGAGGGAGTGAAAGTGTTTAACTTGCCAACCTTGCACAGAAATCCTCTCATCGCTTCTGCTCTTGGAATAATGTTACTTCCTCTGAGAAACCCCCGAATCTAGGAAAAATGCCTCTGCAACATGCCCCCTGTTAAAACCTTGTGTTCCTCCCACAAATATGTGGATGTGGATGTGGCTGGGACAAAAACACAGATTTATATTTGTCTATTTGTGTCCCTGTAAACTTTTGTTCAGTGATGATAATCTCCTCCATCTCTGTAAGGAAAGTTGGTGGATCCCCACAATTTTCTGCTTACATGAAAAAGAGAGTCCTATGATCACATTAATTCACAAAACTTGATTCACTAACTGGAATGTGTTCTCCCCAAAATATTAAGCAACTCCTCAATATTCCTTCAAAGTTAATTCTTCCTCTCTCTCTTGCTTAGGCCTACATTTGGCAGCTGCCTGCTGCCAGAGAGGGGTGTGACCAGCTTCTGCTCTCTCCCTACTCTTTCACGCTGGACAGCAGCTCATTCAGCTATGGACAAGAAGGGAAGGAAGCAAACAGTTGACCGATTTAGCAAATAAAAATAGTGGTTAGGTGGCTTTGAGCTATCTGGGTCAAGCAACTTATTAGAGCTGAACTCTTACCCTCATGAGTTGGTGTTCTGTTTTCAATTTTTTGGAATTCTCATCCTTAGGGACTCTCTTTACCTGCAATTCTCAAGATGAGAAGGGGAGGGGATGCATTGATCTTTAAGTCCTACCATCAGCCCTCTCCCTTTGCTCCACAGCAGGAATTAGGATGGTTCCAGTTTGGCCCTTTCTTCCATGAAAAACACTCACATGTCTTCTGATAAACTCTAGGCACGCAGGCTGATCCCTGTGCAGCATCAAAGCAGTGTATCATCCTTTCTGTCACCTTCTGGATTTCCAAAGGAAGAGTGAGACCCCAGTGCAAGCTTCCCCCCATTCCTAAAACACACAGAGCTCTCCAAGTGAACCTATTAAAGGATTGAGGGAAAGAATGTGGTGCTCTCCTCCCACCCTACCCCTTCAGATAGAAAATTAGAGGCTTCTAAACATCATTTCCTCCAAGAAAATCTTCCTCAAATCCTTCTTTCTGCTCTGCAAGCTTGTACAACCTTCATCTGGATGAGGGGTCCAAACTTTAATGCACTAGTCCTAGTGCATTCATTACCTTATAAATCCTGTGTCACAGGGAACTTATTTCACATTGACTTTGGTTTCCCATGTCCATTATGTCAATGTCTTGATCAAAACACAGACAGAAAGAGTTCATTTTCAAAATTCTTTTTTATTTCATTGCTTGTTGTCTCCACCTGCTAGTCTATAAAACTCATTAAGCATAAGGACTCGTAAGAGCATCTGTACAATCCAGCATGTGCATAGCACATAGATGGCAATCTATAAATATATATTGATTGAAGACTGAATGAATGAATGAGTTGGTCTTTACTGGTTTTCCCCAATGGGCTGTTATGCAACAAATGGTCAATTACTTCTCTGTTCCCTGCCCAATAGAGGTATGAATTTTGTCTTCAATTTGCAGATGTAAATTAAACAGAAAAAAGAGAAATGCTAAGTCTTGAGGTGAGTTATTAATGAAGGTCTTTAAAATACCTTTTTCAAAAGATTTTAACATGGAATCAATATTCTTCTATTTCAAGTAGTTCAGGTGTTGCCCTGAGTAGAGGGTCAAATGAAATACCGAACTGCTGAGATTGTCCAACATCACAATGCCATAAAAATACAATTTTGTCTCATTTCTAAAAAGAAATTGTGGCCGAGTGCAGTGGTTCACGCCTGTAATCCCATCACTTTGGGAGGCCGAGGCAGGCAGATCACGAGGTCAGGAGATCAAGACCATCCTGGCTAACACGATGAAACCCCGTCTCTACTAAAAATACAAAAAATTAGCCGGGCGTGGTGGCGGGCGCCTGTAGTCCCAGCTACTTGGGAGGCTGAGGCAGGAGAATGGCGTGAACCCAGGAGGCAGAGCTTGCAGTGAGCTGAGATCGCGCCACTGCACCCCAGCCTGGGCAACAGAGCGAGACTCCGTCTCAAAACAAAAAGAAATTGAAACTCAATTAACATAAAATTAAGTTGGTCAGGACTCTTATTGCTCACACCAAGTGAAACATGAAAACTAAACAAATTGTATCCTATTCTAAAATTTTATGATGCTATGATATGAATAGTGGAAAATAATTTGAACTTTTCAAATACTTCCAGCAAAATTTTGCAATTTCTAGTTAGCATTTGATACATAATTTATATTAGAATTTCCATAATAAATGGTTCCCACCAGAATACTGAATTTGCTTTTAGTTATTCAAAAAGGAGTGAAACAGTCTATACAGGATCATAGGGAAAATTTTGGATCACATAAAGTTTACCTGAAGTAAATATCACCTAAAATGTGTTTTCTTTCTATTATTTGGAATTCATGCATTTATTATATGTGTCCCCGCCTACTTCCTAAAAGGATTTGAGGTAGATTTCAAGTTTTAAAAAAGATATCTGGGTACACAGGATGAAGATAAGAAATAACAAAGAATATAGACAGAAGGATGATACAGAGTCAGAGATGAGATATTTGCTGCACTTCAGCACTAAATTTAGCTCTAAAATTTCTGATAATAAGTCAAAAGAAGAAATGTAGTGGCCTATAGTAAATCTACCATAAACTAAAAAATACATATACCAGCTCTTCAAGAGTTACTATTTTAGTTTTTCTACCAAATTCCAGGAAGAATTTGTCCCATAAGTCCTTATAAAATAATAGCTAACATATATTGAATATCGACTATGTGCCAAATACTCTCCTAAACTCTTCATATGTATTAGTAATTTAATCCTCATAACAGCACTGTAAGGTAGATTATTATGCCTGCTTTACAGGTTAGAAAACAAAGGCACAGAGAAATAAGTCACCCGTGGTTACAGCTAAAACGAAGCAGCAATAACCTGGGCCCAGGCAACCTACTTCCAAACTCCTGCTCCAAATTGCCACACTGTGCATAAAATCCTTTTCAGTGGCTCCACAGATGACCTAGAAGGTCTCCATTTCTTAAATCAACACTCAGAGCCAAGGGCATAATATTGAACCTAAAGCATTTTCACCATAAAAACTTAGCTAATAGAACTATTGGAACTTAGCTAACGACACACAAATTGTTCATTACTCAGTCCACTATAGGACTAGAGAACAGCATACCTAAAGGAATAAGAATAATTATTTAACTCAACATTTATTGAATGCTGACTATATAGCAGGCACTGTGCCAAATAGCTTAGATGCATTATACAATGCAGCCCTCAATCAAGCTTACAAAGGAAGTATCTATTTACCTATTCACTCAAAAATATTGACCGCATACCTTCTTTTTTTTTTTTTTTTTTTTTTGAGACGGAGTCTCACTCTTGTCACCCAGGCTGGAGTGCAGTGGTGCAATCTTGGCTCACTGCAGCCTCCGCCTCCCAGGCTCAAGCAATTCTCCTGCCTCAGCCTCCTGAGTAGCTGGGATTACAGGTGTCCGCCACCACGCCCGGCTAATTTTTGTACTTTTAGTAGAGACGGGGTTTCACCATGTTTGGCCAGGCTGTTCTCGAACTCCTGACCTCAGGTGATCTGCCTGCCTCGGCCTCCCAAAGTGCTGGGATTACAGGCATGAGCCACCGCACCTGGCCAATCACATACCTTCTATGTGACAAATACTATGCTAAACTGGGCCACAGTGGTGAACAAAACTGGAGCCAATCATGATCTCAAAAGACACAATTATGAACACCATAGTTCCAAGTGTTGAAGTCCTGAAAATATTATCATGGAAAAATAATTTTAAAAATTATTTTAAAGATATTTACTTAACATTTTTAAAAGTGACTTTATTTGAGAAACATAAAAACATGACAATACTTCATAGGCCACTCTACACAATAAAATAGGCAATAATAACATAATATGTTTGCAAGCATAAACATTCAGGTATACTAATGATAGTCACATGGGTATAACAGTTATAAGCAGATAAACCACATTCATAAAGAAATAGATAAGTGAAATACACACATGCATACCATGTTAAAATCAAAAGATTTTAACATGGAATCAATATTCTTCTATTTCAAGTATTTTAAAGACCTTCACTATGATAATTGTGTGCACTCAGCTTTATAACTACAGTCAGCTGAAGTACTATGACAGACAACCTAAGTCTTTCGATGAGATCAATCAAAACCTGTGATGGGTCACCACCACATCACCAACACACCATTCACCCAAAGAGCCAAGAGCTCAAGAAATTTTATCTTTCACAAATGCAGATGCACAAAAAGGACACCTCTTCATTTACTGAAGAAGTTTCAATGTTTTTATTTTAGGTACATGCACAATGCTTACAAACAAAGCCAACGCTGTGATAATGCATCTTTGTGGAGTTAAATTTGCAAAAAACAAAAATGCATAAAATGAATGAGAATTCTCTAAAAATCTTTAGACAATTTATAGCTCCAGTATTGGAACGATGCAAAGATTAAATGCATAGCATAGCGAATTGTAAAAAATAATGTGGACAATTTAAAATCGTGGAAAAAAAACTTGAAAAAAGATAAAAGCTAGAAATTAACACCTATAAAAAGTGTATTACAGGGATAAATTATGGGCAATTGCACAGAGTTAGTCTACAAAAGCCGGCCGACTTTCACAATCATTGACTATATTTTGAAGTCTTGCATTTAGGTCTGATGGGTTTTTTGGGGAGTTTTTTTTGTTTGTTTGTTTGTTTTTCTTTTAGGACATGGCTGTCTTCAGTGAATACATTCACATTCATTTTCTCCGTGGCTCTGCCCTTTCTGGAATTCTTCTATAATTTTATATACATTGACATCAGCATTCCTATTAAATTTTCCCATCTTCTGTGCTCTGCCTCTCTGTTGTTTTGGGTATGCAGAAATCCATTTTACATGCACTCATATACAGACAAATGTGTTGGAAACAATACCGTGATCCAACAGCAACACCGTTGCCTAAGTGTCTTCTTATCTTACTGTGCATATAATTATTTCCTAGCCAGTCAGTAACTTCTCTGGCTTCTTCAGCCAAATGTGGCTTTAATTTATTAAAAGTTCCTGCAATGTCATCAGGCGGAAGAAATGCCAATACTCAAAGATGACAAATTTTTAAACTAAAGTTTTTGTCCTTGCCATATCATATAACCAATCTATTCACTTGAATTTTCCACCAAATGCATTGAGCTGAGTGGGAAAGACAAACTTTATTTTTAACAACTAGAAATTCACTTTTAGTAGCTTTGAGCACACCTAATTCCAAATCTGTGATTATGGTTTGGAAATTCTATTGAAATTCATTTTCTTCTGCATAAAGACAGTAACAAGGTAATAGTTCCACCCAACATGTGACTGTGATTTTCAGGATTTTTAGACATTAGGGATTTTAGACTTCTGGGAGTTTGGTCTTTCAGAATTTCAACATTCGGGATTTTGGCTTTCAGGATTGTGTCTTTTGGAATTATGATCCAAACCCAAACAAAAAAGGGTAGTGCTGGAGGCACGCATAAATTAATCACAGATACACACAGAACTAAAATAGAGATGCTGTGAAGAAAAGGCACAATGTGTTATGATATCATTTTCATTATCATCTTGAAGGAGCATTTGAAATGCTATCTGAGAGCCAGGCGCAGTGGCTCACGCCTGTAATCCCAGAACTTTGGGAGGCTGAGGCGGGTGGATCACAAGGTCAAGAGATCGAGACCATCCTGGCTAACATGGTGAGACTCCGTCTCTACTAAAAATACAAAAAAATTAGCCGAGTGTGTTGGAGGGTGCCTGTAGTCCCAGCTACTTGGGAGGCTGAGGCAGGAGAATGGTGTGAACCTGGTAGGCGGAGCTTGCAGTGAGCCGAGATCATGCCACTGTACTCACTCTGCCTGGGCGACAGAGTGAGACTCCATCTCAAAAACATAATAATAATAAAATAAAAAATAAATGAAATGCTATCTGAAATGCTATTTGAAGGGACATTTGAAATGCTGTGTGGGAGGTAAGTAGGTGAAGAGAGAGGAGGAAAAGGCTCTGGGACCTGAAGAAGCATGAAAAAACCCAGAGAGAACAAGAGCAACAGTGAAAAACCGAGGCAGAGATTAACTTGCCCAGCATCAAGAACTATTAAGGGAGAACGCCTGGATTCAAGTCCAGATGTCCAACACATCCAAGTTCATGCTATTAACCGTCACACTACGGTGCCTCCAATGCCCAAGGGTGTCTCTCTTATATAACCTTTGAGAGCCTAATGGCAGTCAGCTCAAAACAGAGTTTTTGAATAGCACTGGATGTGTACTTTGAAGGTGTTCTTTGGGTATTTGAAAAAGATCTCTCCATTGGGGTTGCATCATTCTTTCACTTAATTTTCACTAATTCAATTACATGCATAGGCACTAAAATTTTTTTTAATGTATAGTTAACAGTAAAAATGGCTTCACCTAGCATTCCACGCTAAGTATGAATGTCTTAGAATGAAAGTGAAATGGGCAACGTGAATCACTCATCCTGTCAGTTTTACCCCAGCCAGCCTCTCCTGGGGAGAGCCTCTCATTGAGAGATCCAGGGCTCTGGGGGTTCTGGACACACATTCTGCAACATTTTCCTTAACCATAAACTGCATTTCCAGAACAAGCACTGTCCTTTCCACCTCCGCGCCCAAGTGCAGGCCTCTGTGCCCTCTACCTGGGCGGCGCCTCCACCCCACTTTGGCCAAGCAGATTCTCTGAACTTCTACCCGAGGGCTGCTTTTCCTCATCGCTGTTCATGCTGTGTCTTTATCGGTCTGCACAAACTTGCTGGGTTACACGTTTGTTCCCACACTAGACCTTGAGTTCCTCAAGGGCACAAATAACACTCTAGAAGTGTGTCTTCCTAACACCCAGCAGATAGCAGGTCTTCAATAAATGTCTGTGAATTGGTGAGAGAAAAGGTACTTACATTGATAATCTGTTTATCCAGGGGATTCATGGCCTTTGTGTGGGCCAGGGAGAGACTCTGAGTACACCGGGCATGTTGACAATGAGCTTTCTTTTCCTATCCAGAAAAGATTCCAGTGTTGAAAGGAATTGCTTGTCTGTTAACAAGCCTCTGGTCAAAAGGCTCACAGGCCAAATTCTAGACTCTGGTTAGAGCCTGAAAGCCTGCACCCACCAGTGTGCTTCCCATGTAGGGGATGGGCACACACAAGGGACTGCACCGCCTCACCAACCACAGCAATTCCCAGGCTGCAGTGTGGGAGGGGCAGGCACCAGAAATGGCAAGGCATTGCCTGAGACCCCAGAACAAACATTTTGGAGTTTGCTAAGAATGGGCACTCTGGCCAAGTGTGGTGGCTCACACCAGTAGTCCCAGCACTTTGGGAGGCCAAGGCAGGAGGCTCACTTGAGCCCAGGAGTTTCATACCAGCCTGGGCACATATCAAGACCCTGTCTCTACAAAAAAAAAAAAAAAAAATTTAATAAGCTGGGTGTGGTGGCACGTGCCTGTAGTTCCAGCTACTTGGAAGGCTGAGGTAGGAGAATCACTTCAGCCCAGGGGTTTGAGGCTGCAGTAAGCCATGTTCGCACCACTGCATTCTAGCCTGGGTGGCATAGCAAGACTCTGTCTCAAAATATATATATAGAGAGAGAGTACACTTTTTGATGAATTTTATGCTTAAGGAGATCTGCATTCTGATCTTTTAGAAGTCAAGGTTAAAAACAACACACTGGGGTGGCGGCGGCAGCGAGGACAGCGGTCGGCAGGGTGCCTTTGTCGCATTCCCTGAGAGAAGCGGTGTCTGTGAGGTGGTGTCCATCATGTTCTCTTTCAACATGTTCAACCACCTAATTCCCAGGGTCTTCCAAAACCGCTTCTCCACACACTACCGCTGCTTCTCTGTGTCCACGCTAGCAGGGCCTAATGACAAGTCAGATGTGGAGAAAGGAGGGAAGATAATTATGCTGCCCTCAGCCCTGGACCAACTCAGCCAACTTAACATTACCTATCCCATGCTGTTCAAACTGACCAGTAAGAATTTGGACCGCATGACGCACTGTGGCGTGCTGGAGTTTGTGGCTGATGAGGGCATCTGCTACCTCCCACACTGGATGATGCAGAACTTGCTCTTGGAAGAAGGCAGCCTGGTCTAGGTGGAGAGTGTCAACCTTCAAGTGGCCACCTACTCCAAATTCCAGCCTCAGAGCCCTGACATCCTGGACATCACTAACCCCAAAGCTGTATTAGACAACGCACTTAGGAACTTTGCCTGTCTGACCACCGGGAATGTGACTGCCATCAACTGTAATGAAAAGATCTATGAACTCGAACTGCGTGTGATGGAAACCAAACCCAACAAGGCAGTGTCCATCACTGAGTGTGACACAAACGTGGACTCTGATGCTCCCCTGGGCTACAAAGAACCCGAAAGACAAGTCCAGCACGAGGAGTTGACAGAAGGTGAAGCCGACCACAGTGGCTATGCTGGAGAGCTGGGCTTCCGTGCCTTCTCCGGCTCTGGCAACAGACTGGATGGAAAGAAAGAAAGCCCCTCCCCAATCAAGCCTGGAGACATTAAAAGAGGAATTCCCAATCATGAATTTAAACTTGGTAAGACACCTTTCATCAGAAATGCATGTCCCCTTGTCAAAAAGTTTGAAGAGGATGAAGCTGGAGGCAGATTCGTTGCTTTCTCTGGAGAAGGACAGTCGTTGAGTAAAAAGGGAAGAAAGCCCTAAGTGAGGACTGTTGGCTGATTGGAAAATAATAAAAGAATTAATTGCAACATCTTGGCTTTTAGTTACTGGCACTGAAGGGAGGAGCCTCATCAGAGAATACCCTGTTACTCAAGATTTCTTTAGAGGTACCTAAGAATTATCAACTTTGACTTGGAAGTGGAGCAGCAGGACTTTGTAGTTGTATGCTTGATTTGGGGAAAGACAAAGATCTGTCCCTGAGGACCTGGAGGCAATTGCCTCCTCACCTCCTCATGCTTTCAGCTTGAGTGGGGCTCCCATTGCCTCAGCAGGAGCAATTCTGAGTCCCTAATTATGTCAAAACCAATGAAGGTGACTGAATTGTCTAACATGAAGTGTTCTTTCTCTTCCTTCCTTTATCCTTTCTTTTCCTAGGTCAATTGCATAGGTGTCAGTCTTTGGCCTAAAAAAAGGGTTTAAATAGACATGTGTTCTATAAGTAGTGGCTGTCCCACTACTGTGGCTGCAATTTAAGTATTTGACAAAGAGTGTTTCTATTTTTATTTTACATATTTTTTTCAAAAGCACCACTCCTCAGAAGAACCTGATCTCAATGAGTTTGCACTTTTATTCTCATTTCACATGGACATAATTGGCTCCTTAGTGAACCTGTTCATAGTAAAACAATTCCATGGAGAAGCAAACATGTGAATGTTAGAATGAACAAATGCTAAAGAGATGTTCCTCTTTTTCCTTCTGCCCTACTCCTCCACTCCCAATTTTAATTTATTAAATTATCCAAGCTTCAAAAAAAGAAAAAAAAAACCACACTGAGAGCTGAACTAACCTGTTACCAAGAGAAAGAGAAAAGGAAAATAACTTAAGCATTTAAATTCTTTCTTCTCTCAATGGACCAAGACATGGAGGGAATAATGCAATCTTTTCTAGCAACTGAAAGACAAAGATGGTGAGAGGTGGATCCTGGCCCTGGGGCAGGAGGAAATGTGACCGAAAATCTAGGCTGGGAGTGATATTTGTATTTGATTCAGCTACAAACTTTGCTGCTGCTGAGTTAGAATCAAGGAGCTGACTAGGCCTCAAGCCCCATGATCCCTTGAAGCTTCTCCGAATGTAAAGGACACTCCAACCTGGCTGGGCATCAGCAAGGACCACATCACAGAGGGGAGGAGAAAGGCTGGAACCAGGCTGGGTGTGGTAGCTCACGCCTGTAATCCCAGCTCTTTGGGGGGCAGAGACGGACGGATCACCTGAGGTCAGGAGTTCGAGACCAGCCTGGCAAATGTGGTGAAACCCCGTCTCTACTAAAAAAAAAAAAAAAAATTAGCTGGGTGTGGTGGTGCACACCTGTAATCCTAGCAACCCAGGAGGCTGAGGCAGGAGAATCACTGGAACCCGGGAGGCAGAGGTTGCAGTGAGCCGAGATCATGCCACTGTACTGCAGCCCAGGTGACAGAGAGAAACCCCATATCAAAAAACAAACAAAAAAATAGACTGGAACCAAACAGGAAACTTCCTGCCCAAGATCCTCCTGGGCAGAACAGGCAACCCCAAAGCAGCAGTGGTTGTCTACCCCATGTGGTTTAGGCGCATCTCTCCCACGTGGTTTAGGTGTGTCTCTTCCGCATGGTTTAGGCACGTCTCTCTCGCATGGTTTAGGTTTGTCTCCCCCACGTGGTTTAGGTGTGTCTCTCCCACATGGTTTAGGTGTGCCTCCCCCGCGTAGTTTAGGTCTGTCTCTCCCGCATGGTTTAGGTCTGTCTCTCCCGCGTAGTTTAGGTGTGTCTCTCCCGCGTGGTTTAGGTGTGTCTCTCCCGCGTGGTTTAGGTCTGTCTCTCCCGCGTGGTTTAGGTCTGTCTCTCCTGCATAGTTTAGGTGTGTCTCTCCCACATGGTTCAGGTCTGTCTCCCCTGTGTGGTGTGTCTACCCCATGTAGTTTAGGCGCGTCTGTCCCGTGTGGTTTAGGTGTGTCTCTCCCACTTGGTTTAGGCGTGTCTCCCTGCATGGTTTAGGTCTGTCTCTCCCGCGTGGTTTAGGTGTGTCTTTCCCATGTGGTTCAGGTCTGTCTCCCCTGCGTGGTATGTCTACCCCACGTGGTTTAGGTGTGTCTCTCCCACATGGTTTAGGTGTGCCTCCCCCGCGTAGTTTAGGTCTGTCTCTCCCGCATGGTTTAGGTCTGTCTCTCCCGCGTAGTTTAGGTGTGTCTCTCCCGCGTGGTTTAGGTGTGTCTCTCCCGCGTGGTTTAGGTCTGTCTCTCCCGCGTGGTTTAGGTCTGTCTCTCCTGCATAGTTTAGGTGTGTCTCTCCCACATGGTTCAGGTCTGTCTCCCCTGTGTGGTGTGTCTACCCCATGTAGTTTAGGCGCGTCTGTCCCGTGTGGTTTAGGTGTGTCTCTCCCACTTGGTTTAGGCGTGTCTCCCTGCATGGTTTAGGTCTGTCTCTCCCGCGTGGTTTAGGTGTGTCTTTCCCATGTGGTTCAGGTCTGTCTCCCCTGCGTGGTATGTCTACCCCATGTGGTTTAGGTGTGCCTCTTCCGCATGGTTTAGGCATGTCTCTCTCGCATGGTTTAGGTTTGTCTCCCCCACATGGTTTAGGTGTGTCTCTCCCGCATGGTTTAGGCATGTCTCTCCCGCATGGTTTAGGTCTGTCCCTCCCGCGTGGTTTAGGTCTGTCTCTCCCACATGGTTTAGGTCGGTCTCTCCCATGTGGTTTAGGTCTGTCTCTCCTGCATAGTTTGGTAACCAACACAATATTGTCTTGCAAAGTTTTTTGAAAAAACAGCTGCCAAGGTTCACATTTTGGGAATTTTTTAATAAAAATTAGACCTTTAAATTCTTAAAAATTGGGTAATGAGGCCACACTGGACCTCCATCCTCACTGGCAGCCATCAGCTGGAGCCCAGTTGCTTGTGGTCCCTTTGAGTAAACTGTGACTCTGGACACATATTCTGTCCCTCACTCCACACTGCCTCTTCCACCAGATTCCCTCAACTCGTGTATGTCACCTGCCAGGTTCCTAGAAGCATCTGAGATTGTGTTCGGTGACCAGGAGGCAGTAAGGCAGGGCTTTGAGCACTCAGTTAGAGCAGCTCTGTTGCCACCAAAACATAAATTAACATTTGGTTTTGTCCTTCTCCCCTTTGAGAAAGAGTTTGTGGAATTGATTTTTTGCAGGTGCAACAAATATATCTACGTGCAGACTAAAACCAAGTGGGGAAACTAGAATTCCTTTCAGGGATGGCTGCCCTAAATGAGACAAAAAGAAGAAATTCTTCAATGCACCAGGAAGAAAGGGAAGAATGGGAGTGAAAGGGTGGAGCTAGCAGACAGGGGAGGAAAGGTTGTGCCCTATGATATGACTCCTCCCAGTGACCCACCAACTCAGCAAGGTTTCCCGAAAAAGTGAAAGGAAGGTGGGAATGAAGGAGGGAGAAAGGAAACAGGAAGAGAAGGAAAAGAAAAGGAGGGAGAGGAAGTGTGAAAGGACAGGCTAGCTTGATATAAGATAGCTAAAGAGGCCAAATTCTGCATTTAGGGTTTCACTAAACCCAGCAGAGCAGCCAGCATCCACACAGGAGCCCAGGGACAGAAGGACACACAAAAAGACAGCTGAAGAAACTTGCAGAAATTAATATGATGCTTCTGGATTCTCATGGCCTCGGAGGTAGTGTTTCGAGTCAAGTCTAAGTCTATCTCAAAAGCACAGGGCATCCCAGTGTTACACTAATTCATAAGGCAGTAACTCTTACAAAGGAAGCCTATTCCCCTCTGAGCCTCAAGGAGGCTCACAGGGTCGACAGCAAGTATGGAAAAATCAGTGGATAATAGTCTCAAACTATTTTGTTCATCTCTAAACAACCAGTTTCCAACATTTCATGAAAAATTCCTTTAGCAATGTTAGAAAGCTTTAGATTCATAATTCCCCTCTCAACCCACCAACACACACACACAAATGCACACACACTTTCCTTCTCTAAAAACAAAACAGCAGTATTGACAACCATGTCTATTTTGGTATCATGACAAACTTATCTACGTATATTCTGGAAGGATTACAATGACTGATGGGGAAATTTTTTTAAAGAGAAACTTAAACCTGATGTAGGATAATTGCACCTCTGGTAATCTCTTGGGATTTGCATTCCTTTTTTTTTTTTTTAACTTTTCAACTGTTTTGAGGAAACACTCCCCAGAGGCCAGGTGTTTAGGATCAAGATCTGACTAACCGACAGTCAAAATGATGTTGATGACCATAAGCAACAATAGTAATCAGAAGAAATAACTGTGATGATAGTAATAATCCTGGAGGTGCCATCGGAGCCAAATGTTGCCATGGAAACTGTGAAAATGAGAGGGGGTGGGAGACATAGAAAATATTTTACGATGGAGTGCCGTGTTCCTGGAACTTCTGAGAATGAGCTCATGTATTGTATCCTAAAGAAGATTCAGATAAATAGCAATGTTTCATGGTTATACACAATAGAGTTAAGGACAAAACGACTTGCCAAGATAGGAAAGGACGTGCTGGGGTGATGGGTATTTGGGGTGATGGGTATTTGCCTTCAGGGTCTGCCTCAGAGAAACAGCTGCACACCATCTTTTTACAGAGAATTTAACCAGCTGCACTGTAAGGAATGTACAAAACAAAAAGAAAATGTTTTGAACATGGTAGTTCTTTCCCATCTGCACAGCTGTCCAGAGCAGTTCAAGTTTAATAGTTGCACACTTCACTCTACAATATCAAAACTTTCTGAGTCCCAAGATTGAAATCTGAATGGCTATAAAAACCTCTCCAGCTATTTCCTAAGAACATAAAGAAAATGCTGGTGCAGAAAGACGTCAGAAAATCCATCTGGATTGCTTTTGAGCTTGGCAAGTCTATCTCTGATGTATTGTTTTGTTGTTTAAAAACACTTATCACGATGTTATACAATTATATATGAAATCATTCTTCATGTTAGGAAACACCCTGGCTACTAAAACTTGCAAAGAGAATCACTCTCATTTGCTGGGATAGCCAGCCTGTCTACATGTCCGCCCACTCTCAAGCAAGCCCTGGAGAAGCTGGGCCACAGAAGGTGAGCCAGGTCCTTCCAGCCACGGTGCTCACATGCAAGAGGACCAGAGGACAACCTCCCTGTATATGGTAGCTTCACCAAGCACAGCTTGCCATAAGCACCCAGATATGAATGTCTAGAATGATCAGTAATCGGGAAGTTCCTTCACTAACAAGAATAGTCTTCCCTTCTCATTGGCTGACACTTTGTGTCAGTATAGAATGTTCTCCATTCTCCATTCTCCTTCCTACATGTGAGACAATAGCTACTAATTTATCCTCCTTTCCCTGAATAAATATATTGTGATGGTAGAGGTATATCTGGTTACCAGCATGCAAGCTAATCTGTTAATAATACGGTACCTAAAAGTATTCATCTTTTTATTTTGCTCTTCTTCCCAGAAATTTAAGAGGCTAAAGGGAATATTATGTGCTTACGTTTCTCTAACTCAAAGTGCATAATACTGAATAATTCTTCCCAGTGACACTCTGAGAGAGTTACACATGTCTCCTAGTGAAAACCGGTTTGGAGAGCCAGATAGAACTGTACTTAAATCCAATCCCAGCTTTGCCACTTACCAGCTGTGGGAACTTCATCTTTCTAAACCTCATTTCTCTCCTTCACAGAAGAAGGATGATGAAATCACTAAAGCTATTGAGAGAATTAAAGGAAAGCACATATGCACCATCCCTTGTCCATAGCAAGTGCTCAGCGTTTTTATTATAGGTGACAAGTAGATACCTGATAAGTTGTTATAAAACATTTGTTCACCCTAATGGAAAGAAGAGTAAGGCAGCATGATGCAAAACTATAGAGTTTTGTGCTGAAAATGCCTTTTCTAATCATGAGGAGTCACTTCCACTAGAGCCGGAACAGCAGCTTCCGAGGGTCTGCAGACAGGGAAGTCGGTGGCACCCAGAGGGTCATCCCAGTGCGGATGGGGGAGTCTTCTACCCTTCCCAGAGGGTCACCCCAGTGTGGATGGGGGAGTCTTCTACCCTTCCTACAATAACCCCTGGAAATCTCCAAAAACACACAGCATTTCCAGAGTTTTCCCCAAAGTAAGAAATTGAAGAGAAAAAAAAAAACACCCTCTAAGGACAACAACCCACTCTCATTTGTTGGCGCCCTGAGGCATCTGACAACAATAACAACAACAACAAAAAAAAATAGCCATAGCCATCACCCCAGTTTGGAAACATTCTTCAACCACAGACCTGGCTCCAGGTTGCTTCTGAGGTCTCACAAAGTGACGGCTTTCTCTGAGCCCTTTCCTGGTAGTGATTTAGAATTCTGCAAACAATCTAGAATACAGGCCTCAGCCCTCTTCATCACTAACAATTCTGTTTTCACACTTATCCAGCCAAGTTGCGAGAGAAACCCCTGAAGTAGTCTAAAACACATATTCAGTTATCAAAATTTTTGGTCCTCAAGTCACTTTGATTTTACTAAAAGCAATCATTTGAAGGACATCTTGTCAGCTGGAATCCCAAACAAACAGACGAGCGTGAAACAGGAGTAAGTGATTTGAATTCTAACAGTTTTCCCTTGAAATAAGCTTTGTAGTAAAGGTTGTGATGACAAGAAAAGATAAAAGAGAGCAGAGCTGCAAATAGAGTTCAGGATGACTTAAAAATCAAGTATAAACATAAAATGCTAGGAGTTTAGCCAGATGAGCACGCAGGAAAATCTCAGCCCTCCCTTCTTTCATTAAGATTTCTATTTCATATACTCTGAAGGTTGATGTCAAAGGGTGAATAAGCACCGAGGAACCCCTTGGGAAAGGTTCAGAGGGCTCCTGGTCAAGGTTAGCCCTATCATTAGGCAAAAGAGGCAGTAGCCTAGAGCCAAAGAGTATTAGGAGCAATGAAAACGTGTAGTGACTGGATACCCTTTGGCTGACTTCAGGCTTGCAGGCATCACAACATTTTCCAGTGTACCTAGGGCAACAAAAGTCTTCATCTCCACCTCTCAATTCAATCCAGGACATACAGTACTGATTTCCAACATTAAATTACATTGAGGGTTTTTTACTATTGTTGAATATAGCTATTTCCCATTGCTTATAATGCATATCTCTTTTAGGAAAAAAGAACAGAAAAATAAACGTGAAAGAGCTACATAATGTGAGATACCATCTACTCAAAAGTGTTTTAATAAGCAGATTTTGTTGATTTATACATTTCTATTGCGTGAATAGATTCATTGGATCTGTAAAACAACACCGGATTTTAAGGGATTTTAAACTACATTTGCTTAAAGACACGGGGCATTATCCAAGGGCTGCCATTCTGTATGTTGATACAGCTGTTGACCTACCAGAACCTACATACTTGATGATAATAACTCAAAAACTGTCTCTTTACCAGCCTTTAATCAAGTAGGAAAGATTTGTTGGAGCTCTCACTGCCTTCTATAAAACCTGCTGTTTGGTACCCATGGAATACCAAATTCTCACAACTGCTAGGCCACTCGCTAGTGCTGTATATCCATACAATTCTGTCCCAGACCCTGCCTTGTATGCCTAGCAACATGTGAAGATTTCTATTTCTAAATCCAGTCATTCCAGTTGTACTTATTACTGTCATTATGCAGTCTCATTAAATATTATTAAAAGCAATTATTATGGATATGAAGAACAAAAGATCTACTTCCTCTACAAAAACCAAATCAAATGCATTGAAAAGAGACAATAAAGTCAGGTCACCTTAAAAATAAATACTGTCATCTTAAGTTTGACCAAGACAACCATAAAAGATTGAGGAAGGAAATCAGATCATTTAAAAATGGGAAGAATAGTGGTCTTAGATTGCTTTGTAAGTTTCTGTAAGTTCCTCCTTCACCTAAGAAACTGAAGCTTCACATGGCCAATGATGCTGTGTAGGTGTCACTTGTCTGTGAGAGCCAATGAAGAACATTAATCAGAAGAACCAAACTCAAGAACAAGGTCATTTCCTGCTTCACAAGGTTGGTGAATTGGTGTATAATTATGGGTTTCTATTTATTTATTTATTTATTTATTTATTTATTTATTTATTTATTTATTTTGAGATGGAGTCTTGCTCTGTAGCTCAGGCTGGAGTGCAGTGGCACGATCTCGGCTTACTGCCACCTCTGCCTCCCGGGTTCAAGTGATTCTCCTGTCTCAGTCTCCCAAGCAGCTGGGATTACCGGTGCCTGCCACCATGCCTGGCTAATTTTTTTGTATTTTTAGTAGAGATGGGGTTTCAACATGATAGTCAGACTGGTCTCGAACTCCTGACCTCAAGTGATCCACCCGCCTTGGCCTCCCAAAATGTTGGGATTACAGGCATGAGCCACAGCACATAAGATTTGTGTAAGCTATTTTTACGCTTCTGTACGTTAACTGACTTTTTTGATTGGGTGATCCACTAAGGGTTTTATTTTGGTCAAAGAAGAATAATTGCATTTTATTACACATGAAATGATATTTTGGGATGGTACTGAGGTAGTTTCTCCTTTTCTATTGTCAGGGCCATCTTTACTTTGAAAGATACAGAAAGACTGTGTATATCCTTGCTTGTGATCTTCCCAATCAGTAGCATCTGTTTCTAGGTCAGATGGCATACAAGTTCCTCCTCTGCTAAGAGTTACTGCTTTTGTGCCTCCCCAAAAAGATATAATAAAAATAAGATTGAATATGGTCTTTTAATCTTGGAGTCATAAAAGAAATGTTGAGGGGCAGGGGCTCAAATCACTCCCAGATGAGACACCACAACTTGAAAAGTGATAGAGCATATGGCTTTGCATGTGTGAGGCTTCCTCTTGGAAAACAATAAAGGCAAATCACAGACAGGATCGGGAACACTGATTATTGCTTGGGTGTAATTTATTATATCTTAGATTCTGGAAAACAAAACATAGCAACATGCTTCACTCTTGTCATGCAGAGAATCTGTGACTATTTCTCTGTAGATAATCAGAGCCCGGATAATGGTCCTGAGATTGTCTAGGTGCCACTGTGAAAAATGCCTCAACCACAAATGGATTTCTAAGTAGCCAGACCTAATGGGCCACCTTTAATGATCAACAGAGCCAAATCTTGTTATTTCATACTTAAGGTAACTGGAGCAGGTAAACCACATATGATCTGATCAGTGTACTCATTAAAGAAAAAG
The DNA here is from genome assembly GCF_000001405.40 of Homo sapiens. Classification (NCBI taxonomy): domain Eukaryota; kingdom Metazoa; phylum Chordata; class Mammalia; order Primates; family Hominidae; genus Homo; species Homo sapiens. The sequence continues at coordinate 26,822,346 of NC_000018.10, read as the reverse complement.
TTGATGTATTTGCTCTAATATATGTCCCTGTGTCAGATATATGTGCCAATGACACATCAGAAAAATTTCTGTTAAGTAGATAATCATTGATTAACCTAATTAATTTCATAAATTAATTTTCCCCATAACTATAATAAAACTTTTTATGATGTGGTTTGATATATACAGATTATAAAATATCCAGGTTAAACCATGTCTATGCAAACACTTCCTAAAATGTGGATACTATAATACAACGTTACTTGCCTCCATCTCAGGAGGCTTTCCTTTTTGATATACCTATCATCCCTCTGGTGATATTTAATTAGGAATAATTACTGCAATCATTTACCTTAACTTAACCATCTTGGTCAAACTACTTTCTCTCTAAATTCTAAAAAAGATCCACCATGAAAGGTGAGTCACCTTGAAATCATACCATTATGATGAAAATTGCCAGGATCACCATAGCTTACTGCCACAAGGCACAGTCATCTTTGTCTTAGCAGAGTTCTAAGAGGAAATCTTAGGATGCACTGTACTACAGTTCACTTTTAAGAGCTGGTAACCACCTGGGACTCCATTAATCCTGACTTACTAAAAAAGAGATATCAAAGAAAAAAGCATATTGTCCACTTCCTTATTTTTATTTTAAACTCCAGAATTTCCTTAACAAAATGTAATTCCAATGCAAGCATTCTAAATGGGAAGTTTAACTGATAAATAAAGTTGTGTTCTCAAGGTGGTAGAAAGAAGATAGGAAGGAGGGAGGGAGAAAGGAATGGGGGGAGGAAGGGAGGAAGAGATGGGGAGAGAAGAAAAAAAGGAAGGGGTGGGAGAAAAAGATGGCATGTTTTCTCTAAAGAAATTTTTTTTTTTTTTTTTTTTTTTTTTTGAGGCATGGACTTGTTCTGCCAGCTAGGCTGGAGTGCAGTGGTGCAATCATAGTTTACTGCAGCCTTGAACTTCTGGGCTCAAGTAATCCCCTGCCTCAGCCTCCCACAGCAGTGGGATTATAGGAATGAGTCACCATGCCCAGCCATTGTTTTTTAAATATTACTTTTAAACAAGGAAAAGAGATATGCAGCCACTAATTGAATAGCTAAAGCTTTCTTGATGTGATGACTACATAACACTCTCAGAGAAAAATTCTAAGAGGTGCGGGAGAGTGTAAAATTGTAGGGAGTTGTGAACTATTCCCTATCCACCATCACACTCTATCAACAGAGGGTTTTAAAATCTGCATTCAGTTGGAGCCTAGACTGGGGGCACCTCAAAGAGCTGGAAGCATTGGTCATCCTCTGACCCCAGCACAAAATTACGAAGGGTGATCAACAATGTAATATTGATAAAGACATAAATGTTGAGTGAGTTTAAATATTAGGTACTATGTCATACTTTTCTCCCTCATACACAGCATCTTCAATTTTAAAAGTCCATAGAATGAAAAGACAGGTGCATATGGATGTTAACTGCAGCAGCACTTAGCCAAAAAAAAGTGAATATTACAAAAATGAGCATCAATAGAAAAAAGGTGAAATAAATTGTGATACATCTGCACAATGAAATACTATATAGCTATTTCTATTTTTAAAAAAGATACTAAAGAAAATTGTTGTGTATGTGTGCTGCATATGCAAAGAAAAATAGTCAAATAGATGTATAGAACTATAGGAAATATAGCAACATAGGAAAGAGTTGGAAGGGATATATACCATACTTAACAAGGACTACTTCTGATGGAGAATGGTATCAGAAAGAACAGATGAGGAATACTTTTTATTTCTTATTTACATAATTCAAATTGTGTAGGATACTATCTTTTTTGTGATATCTTAGTATTTTTTCTCAAATTTCAAAGATATTTTATGTTACTATTCCTAGAAACATTCTGGGTATGAACCACAACTTCCACCATTCCAAGTGTTTTTAGAATGGAACTTGAAGAACCTTAGACACAGTAGGGTTCCCTTTATAGAATCAGCAAACCCCAGCAGAAGACAATACAAGAATTTGTGAATCCACCTAATCTCTCAGGGTCCCCAAAAGAAGGAGCAGCCTAAAACAATTCCTGGAGTTTGTGACCATGTCAGGCTAAAATACCTATCAGGTGCATCTCAGAGTGAGAGCTAGAATATCAAAGTTTACGTTTCCTTCCCAAGATAATATTGCATAGAGAAGTTTTTAGAAGCTAGTCACAGAATATCTTAGAAAGTTACATTGCTTATTTCAGTTAAATTTTGTGGATTTCATGGATAAATAAAAACACTTTCAGGATGGTAAAATAAACTGTTCATACTGTGTTTAGGAACTTTTTGTCTTGCCTACTCCCCAAAATCATTTGAGAGCAGTATATGTAGACGGGAAGCGAAAAGACTCAAGAAAGATGGCAAAATAGCACTTTCCAGTGCTCATTCCCCTGCAGAAACATCAATTTGAACAATTATTCAGGCACAAAAATACCTTCACAAGAGCTAAGGAAACTGAGTGAGTGATTACAGTATCTGGGTGTAGCACAGAAAAGATGTGTTGAAGAAGGTAGGCTGGGCGCGGTGGCTCACGCCTGTAATCCCAACATTTTGGGAAGTAGAGGCAGGCGGATCACCTGGGATCAGGAGTTTGAGACCAGCCTGGCCAACATGGTGAAACCCTGTCTCTACTAAAAATACACAAAAAAATTAGCCAGGCATGGTAGTGGGTGCCTGTAATCCCAGCTACTCAGGAGGCTGAGACAGGAGAATCACTTGAACCCAGGAGGCAGAGGTTGCAGTGAGCTGAGATCATGCCATTGCACTCCAGCCTGGGTGACGAGAGCAAGACTCTGTCTCAAAAATAAATAAATAAATAAATAAATAATAAAAAGAAAAGAAGGTAGGAAGGACAGTTCACATTACCCACCCATGACAACCTCCCCCAATCCCAGGCAGTACAGAATAAAGACAGATACCCTTTATGTGGGGGAAAGAGATGAAAGTGAGCACCAGACTTTGCCTCAGGCTCCAACACTGAGCCTGCCCCAGTAAAATCCAGCGCTGGGCAGCACCCTGTGGCTTCAGACTGCAGGCCAGCCTGCCAGGCTGAGCCTCCAGAATTGCCTTGGCACCAGTCCAGATCCTATAGCCCCAGATTCCAGGCCTGCCTGGGAGACTCAGTCCCCAAGTATACCCTACTGCCAGACTGACTTCAGCATCCCCAGGCTCTGGATAGGCCCCAGTACCAGGACAACTCTCCCAGACTTGGGCTCCACACTAGCCTCAAGGCCAGGTGATCCCCAGTAGCCCCAGGTTCCAGACCACACACATGTCTCTGGATGAGTTGACTGGTAAAGGGATTGCCCAGACAAAGCCAGTCTGCAAAGATTGAAATAAGTCCCTACTTCTTCAAATACACAGACACCAATGCATAACCACAAAGATAAAGAACAATCAAGGTAACATGACCTCACCAAAGAAACAAATTAAAGCTTCAGTAACAGACCCTAAAGAAATGGGGACTTACAATCTGCCCAACAAAAAATTCAAAAGAATCGTTTTAAGTAAGCTCAGCAAACTTCAAGAAGATGCAGAGAAACAATTTTACAAAATCAGAAAAATAATAAATAACCAAAATGAGAAAATTAACAGAGATTGAAATTATTTTTGAAAACCAAACAGAAATTCAAAGCTGAAAAATACAATGAATGAAATAAAAAATGCAACTGAGGGCATCAACAACAGAATCAATAAAACAGAAGAAAGAAATTGCAAATTAAAAGGCAAGTTATTTGAAAATGTACAGAGAAGACAAAAGAAAAAAATGAAAAGTAATAAAGAAAGCTTACAATATTTATGTATCAGCATCAAAAGAGCAAATATTCAAGTTATAGGAATTAAAGGAAGAGAAGAGAGATGAAGTAGAAAGTTAAAATTTTCAAATCTGGGGAAATATATAAATATCAAGGAGAAAGAAGATCAACATTCTTCAATCAGATTCAATCCAAACAAGACTACACCAAGACATATTAAAATCAAATTGTCAAAAATCAAAGACACAGAGAAAATACTGAAAGCAGCAAGAAAAACGAACCAAATAATAAAGAAAGAAGTTCCAATAAGACTAATAGTGAACTTCCCAACAGAGACCACATAGGCCAAGAGAGAATGGGATGGTATATTCAAAGTGCTGAAGGGAAAAAAAACAAAAAACAAAAAACTGCCAACCAAGAATATTTACCTGGCAAACTGTCCTTCAGAAATGAAGAGATAAAGACTTTCCCAAACAAAAGCTGAGGAGGTACATTGCCACCAGATCTGCCTTATAAGAAATGCTAAAGGGAATTCTTCAAGCTGGAAAAAAAGTAATGCTGATTAAAACACATAAAAGTATAAAATTCACTGGTAAAAGTACATGGTTGAATTCAGAATGCTCTAATACAGTAATGGTGGTATGCAGATAACATATCATGACTATGACAGTTAAAAGAAAAAAATTATTTAAAATAATAACATAACAAAAAAATAGTAACAGCTACAATTTAAGGATACACAATACAAAAATATGTAAATTATGATATCAAAAACATAAAATTGGGGGTGGGGTGGGATAAAAGTATAGAATTGTATATGCAATCAAAGTTAAGTTGTTATCAGCTTAAAACAGCCTGTTATAAAGTGTTTTACATAAGCTTCATAGACTATAGACTAGAATACAATAACCTTTAGACTAGACTAAATAGACCTAACAAATATATACAGAACATTTCACCCAGTAGCAATAGAATACACATTCTTCTCAAGAACACATGAAATGTTCTCCAGAATAGATCATATTAAACCATAAAACAAGTCTTAATGAATTGAAGAAGACTGAAATTATATCCACAATGTTATGAAACTAGAAATCAATAACAGGAAGAGCCTTGAAAAATTCACAAAAAGATGGACATCAAACAACATGCTCCTTAACAATAAATGGGCCAAGGATGAAATTTAAAAATATCTTGAGACAAATTAAAATGAACACACAACATAGAAAAACTTATGGGATGCAGCAAAAGCCATTCTAAGAGGGAAGGTTATAGCAATAAACACATACATCAAAAAGAAAAATGATCTAAAATAAATAGCCTCATGTTATGCCTCAAGGAACTAGAAAAAGAAGAACAAACTAAGCCAAAAGTTAGTAGAAGGAGGAAAATAATAAAGACCATAGCAAAAATAAATGAAAGAGAGAATACAGGCAGGCAGGTGGATCACCTAAGGTTGGGAGTTCGAGACAAGCCTGGCTGAAATGGTGAAACCTAGTCTCTACTAAAAATATAAAACTTAGCTGGGCATGGTGGCATGTGCCTATAATCCCAGCTACTCAGGAGACTGAGGCAGGAGAATCACTTGAACCTGGCAGGTGGAGGTTGCAATGAGCTGAGATTGCACTACTGCACTCCAGCCTGGCTGACAGAGTGAGATTCCATCTACTGGGAAAACTGGCTAACCATATGTAGAAAGCTGAAACTGGATCCCTTCCTTACACCTTATACAAAAATTAACTCAAGATGGGTTAAAGACTTAAATGTTAGACCTAAAACCATAAAAACCCTAGAAGAAAACCTAGGCGATACCATTCAGGACATAGGCATGGGCAAGGACTTCATGTCTAAAACACCAAAAGCAATGGCAACAAAAGCCAAAATTGACAAATGGGATCTAATTAAACTAGAGAACTTCTGCACAGCAAAAGAAACTACCATCAGAGTGAACAGGCAACCTACAGAATGGGAGAAAATTTTTGTAATCTACTCATCTGACAAAGGGCTAATATCCAGAATCTACAAAGAACTCAAACAAATTTACAAGAAAAAAACAAACAACCCCATCAAAAAGTCGGCGAAGGATATGAACAGACACTTCTCAAAAGAAGACATTTATGCAGCCAAAAGACACATGAAAAAATGCTCATCATCACTGGCCATCAGAGAAATGCAAATCAAAACCACAATGAGATAGCATCTCACACCAGTTAGAATGGCGATCATTAAAAAGTCAGGAAACAACAAGTGCTGGAGAGGATGTGGAGAAATAGGAACACTTTTACACTGTTGGTGGGACTGTAAACTAGTTCAACCATTGTGGAAGTCAGTGTGGCGATTCCTCAGGGATCTAGAACTAGAAATACCATTTGACCCAGCCATCCCATTACTGGGTATATACCCAAAGGATTATAAATCATGCTGCTATAAAGACACATGCACACATATGTTTATTGCGGCACTATTCACAATAGCAAAGACTTGGAACCAACCCAAATGTCCAACAATGATAGACTGGATTAAGAAAATGTGGCACATATACACCATGGAATACTATGTAGCCATTAAAAAGGATGAGTTCATGTCCTTTGTAGGGACATGGATGAAGCTGGAAACCATCATTCTCAGCAAACTATCACAAGGCAAAAAACCAAACACCGCATGTTCTCACTCATAGGTGGGAACTGAACAATGAGAACACATGGACACAGGAAGGGGAACATCACACCCCGGGGCCTGTTGTGGGGTTGGGGGAGGGGGGAGGGATAGCATTAGGAGGTATACCTAATGTAAATGACAAGTTAATGGGTGCAGCACACCAACATAGCGCATGTATACATATGTAACAAACTTGCACGTTGTGTACATGTACTCTAAAACTTAAAGTATAATAAAAAAAAATTATTAGGTTAAAAAAAAGAGAGAGAGAGAGAATTGAAAAAAGTAGAAAATATCAACAACCCTGAGTTGGTTTTTGAAAGGATAAACTCAGAAAACATTTAACTAGACTAAGAAAGAAAGACTTAAGTAAAATCAGAAATGAAAAAAAGACATTACAACTGATACCACTGAAATACAAAAAATTGTAAAAGACTACCATGCACAATTATATGCCAACAAATCAGATAGCCTACAAGAAATAAATAAATTCCTAGACACATAAAACCTATCAAGACTGAATCATGAAGAAGTAGAAAATCTGAACAGACCAATAAAAAGTAAGGAAACTGACTCAGTCTCCTTAATAAAACGTTTCCCAACAAAGAAAAGCCCAGGACCTGATGGCTTCAGTGTTGAACTCTACCAAACATTTAAAGAACTAATACCAATCCTTAAACTCTTTCAAAAGATTGAAGAGGACGGAGCACCTCCAAACTCATTTTATGAGACCACTATTACCCTGATACAAAAGCCAGACAAGTACACTACAAGAAAAGAAAATTACAGGCCAATATCCCTGATGAACATTGATGCAAAATCCTCAACAAAATACCAGCAAACCAAATTCAACAGCACATTAAAAGGATTATTCACAATGATCAAGTGGGACTTATCTCTGGGATGCAAGGATGATTGAACATACACAAATCAATAAATGTGACATACCTCATTAACAGAATGAAAAACCAAAAACATATAATCATCTCAATAAATGCAGAAAAAGCAGCTGACAAAGTTCAACATCCCTTCAAGATAAAAAGAAAAACTTTCAAAAAAAAGGTATAAAAATGTAGACATTTATCAAAAAAATACATACAAATGGCCAAAACTATATGAAAAAGTCTCAACATTAATTATCAGGGAAATGCAAATTAAAACCACAATGAGATACCGCCTCACACCTGTTAGAATGGCTATCACCAAAAAGATAAAGGATAACAAGTGTTGAAGAGGATGTGGAGAAAACAGAGTCCTTGTGCATTGTTGGTAGGAATGTAAATTAGTAAGCCATTATGGAAAACACTATGGAGGTTACTCAAAACATTAAAAATAGAACTACAATATGATCCAACAATCCCACTACTGGGTATATACCTAAAGGAAATGGAATCAGTATGTTGAAAAGATACTGGCACTCTGATGTTCATTGCAGCATTATTCCCAAGAACCAAGATATAGAATCAACCTAAGTGTTCATCAACAGATGAATGGATAAAGAAAATGTAGTATATACATAATAAAATACTATTCAGTCTTACAAAAGAATAAAATGCTGTCATTTGGTATAGCTTGGATGAACCTGGGCATCATGTTAAGTGCAATAAGCAAGGAACAGAAGACAAATACCATATGATCTCACTGATACGTACAATCTAAAAGAGTCAAACTAATAAAACAGAGAGTAGAATGGTGGTTACCAGGGGTTTGGGGTAGGGGTCAGGGCTGAGGACATGTTGGTCAAAGGATACAAAATTTCAGTTAGACAGGAGGAAGTAAGTTCAAGAGACCTATTGAACAACATGGTAATTATAGTTAATAACAATGTATTATACTCTTGAAAATCACTAAGAAAGTCAATTCTAAGTGTTCTTACCACAAAAAAATAACAATGTGAGGTAATGTGTATGTTAATTAGCTCAATTTAGCTACTCCACAATGTATACATATTTCAAAACTTAGGTTGTACATAATAAACATATATAATTTTTGTCAATTAAAAAACACATTTTTGAAAATAGAAAAAGAAAAGTCATATATATAGCTATGTAATGGAGAATAAATTCTTCAATGAAGACACCATTTGGAAATAAGGAGAGCCTGAGAATATGCTCTTAATAAAAATTTCTTATTGTTATTGTTTTTCAATTTTCTGCTAATAAGGTAACTTCCATAATAGCCCTGCAATAGAATAAGTATGAGTAGAGTAAGTGTTATTATGTGTCACATTTATCAATAGCCATGCATGTTGTCTCAGAAACATATACCTTTTTTCATAAACTAACTTTGATGTAATTTCTACATTATCAGAAGTCAATATAGAATTAATTTTCTCTACCTACAGTACTCCACTTATTCATTCAAAAAATGTCATGAGTGCTTACCTCCAATATTCCAGGAACTCTGACATGTGAAAATTCTTTGTAAAGTGGAAAGTGCTACTCAAATATCAATGCTTGCTTTTCAGTCTGAGCAGCCATTTTCGTGTCTGCTGCCTCCTTAGAGCAGCTATTGACTACTCTCCAGAAAAAAAGAGAATCTGATAGGTTTCACAGAGGTGATAGAGAAATTTCAGCCACTTCCACCTTTTGTAAGTGAATCACATAATATTCTCCATTGTATCCACAATAAAGGCAACAGGACTCATGTAGGTGACCTAACAGGGAAGGGAATGTTGGTTAGGCAGCACCACCTAATGGCTGCTGGACAGAACCTGTATCCTCTTCCTTGAGAACATGGGCTGCTTTATCACTTTTTTGTAGATGGGTTTTAGATACAGGCAGACTAGGCATTACACTATTAATTTTTACCAAGGTCAAAAGAGATACATGACTTTGACCACCTCCTTAAATGCTGTTAGAAATGTGACTGGACAATGTCAGGCATATCAGAATCACTGCCACTTTGCCTACTCAAAGCTAATAGATTTAGGGCACCATGACTAATAAGATGGCATCTTGCTTTCTATTAAAGACACTTCTTTTAATTTCTGCTACAGATGAAGAAAGAGGAAATAAAAGCTACTTAGAATAAACCCTGCTATAACTTAGCATATGTCTGGAAAAGAACTTCAGGGGAAATTCAACTCGAGATTCCCTTCCCAACAATTAATTTCCATGATCATAATGATTGAGATGAGGACTGACGTTATCCCCCACCCCTACTCCCCACCTCCCTCTTCTCATTGTTACACATTGATGTAGAAAAATGCTTTCTTCAGCTCTTTCTAGTCTAACTAGAAGTTATTATCACCCAGAAACAGTAACGCATACTTGTGTGCCAAAAAGGACAAAGGACTGCTTTCATTGGAATAATCCATAAATTCCAACTTCATTACTTCCACATTTCTTTTCTGAAAACAAAAAGAATGATTTAATCAGATAAACACACCTAACTTTATGCCTCTTCCATCCCTCTCACTGCTGCTGAATCTAGTCTTTGTCTTCAGGGCTTTCAATTCCTTGATCTTTACATTATCGCTGAATCCTCTACTACTTTTGTCCATTTTCTCAGTCATACTTTCAATAAGATCGTGGTTTTCCAGGACCCGTTTACCCACCTTCATACTTTCCCTTCTAATTTTTAATCTCACATTCTTCGAGTCAGCCATTTTGCTTTTGAGCCCCATTTTGAATACAGAGCATTACTGAGGGGGAAGTTCACATAACTGAGTAGATGGGATCTGCAGCATGTCCATGCCATCTAATTCCACTTGTCTCTGTCCACTGAGCCATCTCATCAATTATGTATACTGATCCCTATTGAGATTCTCTGTATAGCTCTTTGAAAACTTTTCTACCCTTTGCAAGTCCTCACCAAACTACAGCCATATTATCTGGTTCTTACTTCACTGAGACGCTAGATGACTTCAATTTGAACCCTTTAATTATTCTCTCTTAAATTTCCAATCTCCCTGCTTCTCATGGTTTTCCCCCTTTTAATCACATTCAACCAGAAGTGTCCTCTGAGACTAACCTTTTCCCTCAGGGTTTTATCTCACTCTTTCCCTCCTCGGGTACTTAATAATAATTGCCTCTCCTCACATATTCCGCCTCTCCCTGCCCCTGGGCACCTTCCTTCCTTGGTTTAAAAATACAACTCTTGGCCAGGCATGGTAGCTCACGCCTATAATCCCAGCACTTTGGGAGGCCAAGGCAGGAGGATTACGAGGTCAGGAGTTTGAGACCAGCCTGACCAACATGGTGAAACCCTGTCTCTACTGAAAAAAAAAAAAAAATTGGCTGGTGTGGTGGCGTGTGCCTGTAATCCCAGCTACTCAGGAGGCTGAGGCAGGAGAATCACTTGAACCCAGGATCTGGAGGTTGCAGTGAGCCAAGATTGCACCATTGCACTCCAGCCTGGGTGACAGAGCGAGACTCCATCTCAAAAAAATAAAATAAAATAAAATAAAATAAAAATAAATAAATTATAAAAATACAACTCTTCCCTTGAACCTTTTTTGTCATCAAGATTAAGTCCCATCCCGCTCCTCTTCTTTGTTGAGCTTCTGGAAAGGGTTGCTGTAACTCACTGTCACCACATCCTTCCATCTCTTTAGCCTTCTTATCACTGACTATTGGGTTTTTCAATGGCTTTTGGCTTCTCTAAGGCACCAGTATCCTCCTAATTACAAAATCCAAAGACCTATCCTTGGATTTTCCCTTCTGTCTCTCCTCAGTATCCAGCCCTGTTGCCATCTTCTTCATGAAACCCCTTTCTACATTGACTTTCAGGAACATATTGTCCTTTTACCACCCCAATTATTCCTCCCACTTCCTCTACTTCCTTTGCCTTGAAATTACCTCCAAGGTAACCATGTCCCCAGCACATGGGATACACAGGGATCAATGCAAATAAAACTCTGCCCCAGTTTTATCTGTAGAAGCTAACATTCTAGGGGGGATAAAAAATAACACAGTAATTAGGCAAATCATTTAGCATGTTAGAAGGTGAATCAGGTATAATTATCTCTCTTATAGATGAGAAAATGGACGCCTAAAAGAATGAATCATTTGCATGAGTACATATAATCAGGATCAGGATTACTCCAATCCAGCACCCTGACTCCCATCACCACGCTACACAACATCTCCAATGCCCGAGAAAAGACCTCTGGAAAAGAACTTCCCTCGTAGAAAAGGATTCTGTGCAGCTGAGCCTGACTTTTCCCTACACTTTCCCTAGTGCATATTCCTTCTTTAGGACCCTGACACCACAATACCTAGTCTGGGTAGTATGTTACTCTCCACATAAAATTCCAACCCAAAATAGAAACGAATCACCTAAAGATGGCTTTGTTTTCCTTCACTCGCATAAGAAAGACAGACTGAAATTTTGAAAAATGTCAACACCTAAGGAAAAATGTAACTTAAAAGTATGAAGAAAATACACAAATCATACAAAAAAAGAGGCATGAATACGGTTAATCTTATGAAGTACAGGGTTCTGATTTAGGCAGGAATACCTAAGTGACTCATGCAACCCACCCATTCCATCCTTCCCTCTGCTTTTGGAAAATGTCTATAAATAAGTTCCCCAAGACTTTTGTGTTGTCTACTTCAAAGCTGGGGCACACAGCGGAAGGCAGGCTGAACTCCCATTGTAAGCCCATGATCTGGTCCTTGCAGGTACAAGTCATTAACTCCCCCTCCTATGAAACAGTTATCATTATGCTTCCACTCCTTCACCCAGTCCCCATTAAACTAACGGTCCTACCAAATAAAGTCTACCAAGTAGAAGTTCTCAATAGAATGACAACTTAACTAGGTGAGGATCCATAAAAGTTAGTTTAGTTCAATTAAGCAAACAATTATTCAGCTCCTATTACATGCCAGGTCCTGATACAGAGTAGTCATTTAATCAATATTGGTTGAATGAATAAATGAATAAACGAATAATTAAATAAATGCCTTGTTGTGTGCTAAGGCTACAAAGGCGAATGAGACATATCCCAGCTCTCAAAGAGCAAGTTCACCTCTCAGGCTGAACATGTACACACTCAAACTTCAGCATATTCAAAAATGAGCTATTCATCTTTTTTTCTCTCTTTTGAGACAAGGTTGCACTTCGTCACCCAGGCTGCAGTAGTGTCCTGCTTCTGGTTCACTGCAGCCTCCACCTCCCTGGGCTCAGGTGATCCTCCCACCTCAGCTTCCTGAGTAGCTGGGACTAGAGGCATACACCACTAATTTTTGAATTTTCTTTCTTTTTTTTTTTTTTTTAGAGGTTTACACCATGTTGCCCAAGCTGGTCTTGAACTCCTGGGCTCAAGTCATACTCCCACCTTGGCCTCCCAAAGTGCTGGGACTAGAGGCATGAGCCACCACGCGTGGCCTTCATCTTCTTACTAAAAGTAAACTTTGTTCTCCTTTCTTACTTCCCTTATGTTCCCAATCTCATTTAACCTCAGAGTTATTCATACTTCCCTCTCCGTGGGCCCTGACATCTTCCAAGTCCATGGCCTCATTTTCCTTCCCATGATCACTTTCCTAGGTCATGATTTATGAGTTTTCATCTGAATAATTGCTGTACCTTCGTGACTGGACACTCCAGCTCGTCTGTCCTGTCCTCCACCCTCACCCATGCCACCTACTCTCCACCTTGCCCCCAGAATTGTCTTTCTAAAACGTAACAATCTCAACAACTTTCTTGTTCAAAAACAATGCTGACTTTTCATCATCCCCTACTGTGGTAGTCACGCCATCCATGATAAAACAGCAGCCTCCATCTCCAATCTTACTGAAACCATACTCCCTTTTCTTACCTGACTTCCACACACCCTTAGCCCAACCTCATTGGATTATTATCTGCCCTAGAGCAGGTTCTACTCCCTTCAGCCTCTGTGCATACATCTGGGCCATCCCTTCCCCCTGAAATGCCCTGACTATGGGCCATGGCCATTATGGTTCTATACCTCCTCCAAGGCCTGACTCTAATTCCTTCTACTCCAAGGCATCTTCCTAATTGGAGCGTCCTCTCTCTCCTTTATTTCTCTCAATGAAATCCATTCATACTTTCATTATGGCATGTTTCACAGTTTTCTCATGTTAGAATCACTAAATGCCTCTGTGAGACTTTGAGCCCCAGGAGCTCTTAGACTTTATCTAACTCATCCATATAATCCCCACAGTGCTCATTCCAGTTGTGGCTGAATTGGCTGGGTAGTAAAATATTTTGTCTATAACTGAACTGAGCATACATAGAATGATGCTAATGAGAAGTGACTGAGGTTTAAACCTGATTTTTAAATAGAATAAAATAAACAGTTTCCTTTGCATGAAGAGGAGTTAGTACCCTGGTCATGAACTCTCTCAATCTCATCAGTCTTCCAGGAAATACATAGTCTTCTGGGAAACCCCCATAATTTTCCTACAAATGCAAAGCCAGATTCACAGGGGAGACTGGTGAGAGAGTTTCACAAACTCAAGCTTAATTCTTCACTACTACATACACAACTCAAGGCACAGGCCCTGCAGACAGTAGGTCAGTAACAGCAACACTTAAAGACAACCCTAGTAAAGGACAAACTTGGTGGAAAATAATACAAAAACATACTTTTAACTTGTCCAATGCCAGTTTCTGAACAGTGCCAAAATATCACCTCTTGAAGATGAGAAGGCATTGGAAGAAGGGGTAAAAAGAAGGGAATTGAGACGTTAAGGGTATTGAGACAAAGAGGAGGACCCACTACCATCTGCCATGTTCTGCAACCTAATGTTTCCTTCCTGGACACCAATATGGCCCTTCACACCCTCTTGATTTGACCAACAATTTCTGCATCCCATCCCTGGTCACACATTAATGGTTAGCCTGCCACTTTCTTGGATAACTACATGGGGTGTGGCATCCCCTTTAGACCCCTGACTCTAGCTGTTAGTCATATCTTTGATGGGAATAGAAAGATTTATGGCCCTGATCCCATATTCCTAAATCACCTCCAGCTGATCAGTCTACTGGTGAAAGAGACTCAAAAAGATGAATCTAGAGAAAAGATTGCCATGAACAATATGTACTTGCCTGATGTGTTCCCTCTATATCAACCTCTACATTAACCCACCAATGGTGGCTTCAGCCACAGGATATAGGAAGATCTGAACATGCAGGGCCATTTCTCCACAAAAGAAACAGGACAAAAATGGAAGATAATTCCTACTTGCTGGATGCCCTGACATTGACATCCCCTCATTCCTTGAATTTACAGTCAACAGTAAACTTGCACAATCGAAGTTAATCCTAACATAACCTCCTCATTGAAACTCATAACGCTGTCAGGTTCTTTTATCCCACCCTTCGCGTAATGCACACCTCCAATCTTGCCCCACGTGAATAATTTCACTGTACCATTACTGATACCAGCATTCAAATGATTTAACAAAAAACATAGCAAATTTTTTCTTAACCCAAATCTAGCTGATCAAAATTCTGATTAAACTTTTGCACAAAAAAAAATTTGAAGAAAAATTTAAAGGACAATGAAAACTAATAGATATTCAAGTTTTTAGAAAATAAACTTCTAGAGACTGTCCCAGGATCAATCCATATTTAGCCCAATTTCCTGCAACTTCTCCATGTAAAATATCCTACAATGAGAATTTATAGTCTGACTGGCAACCCTCAGGCACTGTAAAATTCTTAATCATCAAAAATGCAATTATGCTCACTATACTGTAATTACTAAGGAAAGAGTGCACTCATACATTTTACAAAGATTTTCTAAAGAGAGGAAATGGTAGGTGGTGGGGGGAGAGTTTCTAATTAACTTTCAATTAATCAGAAATTCAAGTATAACCAGAAAACTCCACTTCTTAAACATTCCATGAGCACTTGCTATGCACCAAGCACTCAATTACAATAAATTGGTAAAGTGCAAAAAAAAAAAAGGCCATTTCCTAATTGATAGATGGAACCCCTTTCTGGAAATTCAATTTAACAGATGATTCCACTCTGGGTTTGTACATCAAGGGAGGTCATATGTAAGTACCCAAAGCTTTGAAATTTTTCAACATTTTAGACGTCTACATCCAAATGAGATAGCAAGAATAGTTTACAAGTTTTATCTTCTGAAATCATGAAGGGTTTCTGTTTGCCATAGGAATGTTTTAACTGTAATGCAGCGTTTCAGTAGGGACACACCATTTATGCTGCAAGTGACACACACACACACACTCAAAAACCCTCAACTCGGACTAAATTAATAAAGGATATTTGTTGAATCGTAGCTGAGAAGGCTGGAGGAAGATGCGGTGAGTTTGGATCCAGCAACTGGAAAGATATTGCCCAGGGCTAAGTTCCATCTCTCGCCGTTGGGCTGACTTGCTCCTAAAGCTGCCTCACTCCAGATCTCACATTCTCAGGCTTCTTCAGGCAGAGGAAGGGAGGAGTCTCTTCCTATAGCGTTTGGAAGAAGTGCTACATTTTCCTTACCCAGAAACCCCAGCAAATAGCTCCTCAAGTCTCTATGGTCCTGATTTGTTACAGATCCTTCAATGAGCCAATCACAGGGCCAGAGCAGATGGGATGGTCCTGACATTGGCCAATCAGGGGCCACTCTGGAACCAGGGTAGGTTCAATCTTACCCAATCACACAGGGCTGAGAAGGAAGGAAGGTAGTTTCCCCAAAAGAAACTTGAAGTACTTTTAAGGAGAAAGGGAGATTGATGGCTAAAATATAAATACATTAATGTCTAACTAGACTGCCAAATACAAAGCAAACTCTGAGGGCTTTACTCTTACTTGCCAGTCTTGGCATCAGATCAATCGTAATTTTCATATCAGAACTTTTTTTAAAAACATGTTTATTTCATGGAACTTTCCAGAGTGAGGGGTGAGAGGGTAGAGATAGCAACCTAAAGCTGCCCTCATTATTCTAGCATTCTGGTATACTGGGGCAAAACATCAGAGACCCTGGGCATGAAATCTCAATTACCTCTTTGGAAAAAATAGAAACTAGTGGTCAGTCCCCGGAATACATAGATCAAAATTTTTTAATAATACTAATAGCTGACATTGGTTATGTGCTTGCTATGAGCCAGGCACTATCAGCCCATTACATGCATTAACTCATCTAATCCTCACAGCAACTCTAGGAAGTTGATCCTGTGATTGCCCTTATATTACATATGAGAAAACTGAGGCAGAGAGAAGTTACCTTATCCAAGGCCACACTCCTACGAAGCGGAAAGTCCAATATCTGAACCCAAGCTGTACCGCTAGAGGAAGAATAGGTCATGATTCAAGAGTCCAGGGCTTTATTCTGGAGTATAATTTGCCTGTTGGTGGAAAGGAACATTTCTGGATTTGATCATTGGTGCTGCTACTTAAATCTTCTCCAATCCAGCTTCAGGGGAATGCATTCCAAATTCCTAGAGTCGGAGAACTATAAAATACTAAAAATCCAAGGTCAGCCTCTTGCTGGGAGCCCAGCAAGAGTACCTTTTGCCATAGGAGTGATGGGCTCAACAAAATATTAATAACAGCAGGAGAGGCAGGGCCAGCGTGGGCAGCACAGGTGTCTCTTCTTTGGGTGAGAAATCAGAGTGAATAGTGCCAGGTATAATAAAAAGAAACTGTAATGGCCTCCAAGGAGAAGAGCCTGTGCTGCCAAAAACTGTCAGGAGTAGGATGGGGAATTCAGGGACTTCGCCCTTAGATTCTGCTGGGTGGAGGATCTGAAACCAAAGACTGTTATTGCCACCCTTATGATTGTAAACTGCACTTTGCAATTTGTCCCTCTAGCCGGTGTGACCTGAGAAAGTAAAGGTTACATATTATGGGACATAATTAAAGGAAAAGTATTACATTAGCAGATGCTGAGAGTCCTAGCAATTACCATGATTTCATTTTTTAGCTATTCTTTTCTACTTTTTGCCCAAACATTAGACGACAAGGATGGAATTCTAGAATGGCATTTGTTATAAAACACACCAGCCCATTACACTAATTCTCCTGACCCACTGGAAATGGAGCGAATACAAAAGACAGAGTCTTCAGTCCAAACCCAGTGCAGATTCTGACATGCACATGTGATGAAAATCCTACAGCTGAAAGAACTAAAGCAGCAGGGGCTAGCCAGCTCAGACACCACAGGAGGGCAAAGAGAAGCTGAATGAGCAGTCCATGCAGCTGAAGACCAAATGTTGAAACAGTGTCAAAGGTGCATTAAAATGCCTGCTGCTGGTTTCCATGCACATTGTCTTCTGCAAGCTTAAATGACTGAAAGAAAGATCCAGGAAAGGGACCAGGAATTTCTGCCTTGGTGTCCAGGCTCGCTTCCACCCAGCCTAAGTGACAGCTGGCTGCAGTGTGCCTGCCACCTAATGGTGACACCAGTTGCTTTTTTATTTAAGAGGCTGATTGCACTTTTCAAAAAATCTAAATTTCTTTCCTCACTCTAATTTAAGTGAAATGATAGGAGTATAAATTGCTTTGTTACAGTTCCAAACAGTAGCCCTGCTTGAATTTTTTATGGCTCTAATGAAGATCCTGAGTATCCTTTTAAATATTAAAATTCAGATTAAATATCAACTAGATGTAATGACAGCTTAAAAAACGTTATCAGTACATTGCTATGCTTAATGAATATAAAACACGAAAAAGGCTGGGCTTCATTTACTGTGCTCCTTCCAACCCAGGAATTTCAGCCTAAATTTCCCGACACCTTCATTTTCTCCCTGAGTCCTATGTTTTAGCTGTTAAATGGGGGTGCAGCAAAGAGTTTTAGAACCAAACATTAAAATTAACAACCCTTCTTTAAGAAACACATTTTCTGCACCATCATTTTCTCTGGCCACTTATTTCTTCTTTGCATTTTATGCACACGTCTCATCAAGATGTGTTATTTGAAGGCTGCGCCCCCAAGTATGCTCTCTCTACCCAGATCTTACATCAAAGAGGTGAATTGTTAAGGAATTTACACCACATTTGGAATCAGGGTAAAATTACCAGAGAAAACAAAGGGCTAAAAACCCAATATCACACTTCATCAGGAAAAGTAATGGAAGGTGGGTCTTCCTAAATCATTTGAAAAAAAAAAATACTGTTCTGATGGGACAGAAAAAGCAGTCTCCTGGTAGTCTGTGGTTCTGCAGCTCCACCCCTTGGCAGGTGCTAAAAGTAAATGATTTCTGCATGAGCCATCCTGGATTTTTTTTTTTACATTAGATGTGTATGTGTGTGTAAAAATTTTGGTTTGGGGGATATTTTAATCTGCTTGACTGTAGTGATCATTTCACTATGTATATGTATATCAAAACATCATGTTGTACATCTTAGATATATACAATAAAAATATATTAAAAATAAATTTTTAAAATATTAAGTTTGAGGACATGGAGGATAACCAAGAGGGTGACGGAGCTGGTTTTTGGCAAGGAATCATTGAAGCAAAACTGTGAAAGGAGACATAATGATATTTGCTTTCTATTATAGGATTATCTATGCAAATGCTTTAATAGCAATTGTAATGGCATTAAATTTGCTGCCTCAAAGTGGTGAGATGATGAGATTGAAGGACACAAAATCAAGCAATTTAACCATAAGTTGGCATTTTATCCTTTCACTTTCAGCTGTCCCTCGCCACATTGGTAAAAGCTAAATGCTCAGATCACTGCCAGTCATTTTTTAAATTCTGGATGTCTTGTAAACCAAGCAAATCTCCCTACATATGCAAGATCCATGGTGACATCACACAACCACATATTAATAAATTTTTATACAACATCCTCAAAGGCAGGATAAATTATATTTAAGAAAAATAATACCTTGGTTAGAAATAATGGCTGGTATTGCCAATAAGTAAGAGGAAGCAGTGTAGGGAGAGGGGAGTGTAGGGTGCTGTGGGATGGCCTCTGCCTGCAGCTGTCTGCAGCCCAACTTGATTTGTTACCCAACTTCCAGAAAGAGCCTTAGGCTGCCAGGGCCTGGCTGAGCCACAGAGGCTGAATTGGGACATGCTGAAAAAGGCCGACCACCTCATTGCTGTGTGCTTCTTCAAGCCAGAGCTTGTTTTCCTGCCTTCCAGAGAGGAAAAGTAGGCTGTTGGAGCCTAAGCTGTGTCTCCCATGAGCTCAAAGAGCTGTGGCTTAAAGTCTGTGGCTCTGGGCTTATGAGTTGTCAGCCACTTCAAAGGCACTATTGGGGTCTACCTTGGGATTGTTTCCCTTTTCAACCTTTTTTGTTTTTAGCTTAGACTTCAGGCCGTTTTGGTCCTTGATAAATTCATTATTATAATTGTGGTCAATAAAGAGGTTTCTCATAATGGACAATAAATAGGTAACAACAACTCAAAGGGGGATAGTTTCATATCTAAAATCCAGGTAAGAAGGTTAGAAGTTTCTGGACCTGTGTTAGTTCCTCAAACATTTGTACACATCTTCAACATGGTGACTCACACTTTCTTCCTATTATAAAGCACTACTATTGTGTATTGCCGCTTGGCTTACTCCCACTCCTAGAGATCCTAGTTGTAAAAGACGGAGTCTAGACAACAGTATTTTTTTAAATTTTCCCAGATATATCTATTGTACTGTCAGGATCAATGGTCCTAATTTTATTTTATTTTACTTTGTTTTTATTTCTAATTTGTTATTTTTAATTTTTGTGGTTACAAAGCATCTCATGTACTCATACTATGTGTATATATTTATGGGGTACAAACTATGCTTTTATATAGGCATGCAATGCGTAATAATCACATCATGGAATATGGGGTATCCATCCCCTCAAGCATTTATCCTTTGTGTTACAAAAAACCCAATCACACTCTTTTAGTTATTTTAAAATGTACCATGAAATTATTATTGACTGTAGCCACCCTGTTGGGCTGTTAAATACTAGGTCTTGTTCATTCCTTCTAATTATTGTTTTTGTATATTTTGACCATCTCCACCTCCTCCCCACACCCCTGCTATCCTTCCTAGCCTCGGGGTAATCATCCTTCTACTGTCTGTCTCCATGAGTTCAATTGTTTTGAGTTTTAGATCCCATAAATCAATGAAAACATGCAATGTTTGTCTTTCTGTGCCTGGCTTATTTCACTTAATATAATGACCTTACGTTCTATCCATGTTGTTGCAAATGAAAAGATCTCATTCTTTTATACAGCTGAATAGTATGCCATTGTGTGTAAGTACTACACTTTTTTTTTCCATTCATCTGTTGATGAACACTTCAGTTGCTTCCAAATCTTGGCTGTTGTGAACAGTGCTGCAGCAAACATGAGGGTGCAAATATCTCTTCAATATACTGATTTTCTTTCTTTTGGGTACATACCTAGCAGTGGGATTGCTGGGTCATATGGTAGCTCTATTTTTAGTTTTTTGAGGAACCTCCAAACTGTTGTTTGGAGTGGTTGTACTAATTTACATTCCCACCAACAGTGCACGAGGGTTCCCTTTTCTCCACATCCTCGCCAGCATTTGTTATTGCCTGTCTTTTGGATATAAGCCATTTTAACTGGGGTGAGATGATATCTCATTGTCATTTTGATTTGCTTTTCTCTGATGATCAATGATGTTTAGCACCCTTCCATATGCCTGTTTGCCGTTTGTATGTCTTCTTTTGAAAAATGTCTCTTCAAATCTTTTGCCCATGTTTTAATCAGATTATCAGATTTTTTTTCATATGAAGAGCTCAGGTTATTAGATTTTTTTCCCTATAGAGAAAAAATTTGGTTATTAATTTCTGTCAGATGTATAGTTTGCAAATGTTTTCTCCCATCCTCTGGGTTGTCTCCTTGCTTTGTTGTTTCCTTTGCTGTGGAGAAGCTTTTCAACTTGATGTGATCCCATATGTCCATTTTGCTTTGGTTGCCTGTGCTTGTGGGGTATTGCTCAAGAAATTTTTTCCCAGACCAATGTCCTGGATATTTTCCTCAATTTTGTTTGTTTGTTTGTTTTTTGTTTTTTGTTTTTTTGTAGCTGTTTCATAGTTTGAGGTCTTAGATTTAAGTCTTTAATCCATTTTGATTTGATTTTTGTATATGGTGAGGGATGATCTAGTTTCTTTCTTCTGCATATAGATACTGTTTTGCCAGCACCATTTATTGAAGAGACTGTCTTTTCCCCATGTCTGTTCTTGGCACCTTAGTTGAAAATGAGTACACTGTAGGTGTGTGGATTTGTTTCTGGGTTCTCTGTTCTGTTCCATTGGTCTATGTGTCTGTCTGTTTTTATGCCAGTACTATGCTGTTTTAGTTACTATAGCTCTGTAGTATAATTTGAAATCAAGTAATGTGATCCCTCTAGTTTTGTTCTTTATGCTTAGGATGGTTTTGGCTATTCTGGGTCTTTTGTGCTTCCGTATAAATTTTAGAGCTGTTTTTTCCATTTCTGTATGTCATTTGTATTTTGATAGGGATTGCATTGAGTCTGTAGATTGCTTTGGGTAGTATGGACATTTTAACAATATTTTTCTTCCAATCCACAAACATGGAATATCTTTCTGTTTTTTTTATTTTTGGTTTTGGTTTTTTTGGTTTTTTTTTTTTTTTTTTTTTTTTGGTGTCCTCTTCAATTTCTTCCATGAATACTTTAGTTTTCATGATAGAGAACTTTCACTGCTTTGGATAAGTTAATTCCTAGGTATTCAATTTCATATGTGGCTATTGTAAAAGGGATTACTTTTTTCTTCGGTATAGAAATGCTACTGACTTTTGTATATTGATTTTGTATCCTGCAACTTTACTGAATTTGTTTATCAGTTCTAATAGTTTTTTGGTGGAATATTTAGGTTTTTCCAAATAAAAGATCATATTATCTGCAAACAAGGATAATTTGACCTCTTCTTTTCCAATTTAAATGTCCTTTATTTCTTTCTCTTGTCTGATTGTTTTAGCTAGGGTTACCAGTACTATCCTCAATAACAGTGGTGAAAAGTGGGCACCCTTGTGTGTTCCAGATTTTAGAAAAAAGGCTTTCATTTTATCCCCATTCAGTGTGATACTAGCTGTGGGTCTGTCATATATGGTTTTTATTGTGTTGAGGCATGTTTCTTCTATAACCATTTTTTGAGGGTTTTTATCATGAAGGGATGTTGAATTTTATCAAATGCTTTTCCAACATCAATTGAAATGATCAAATGGTGTTTGTTCTTCATTTTGCTGATATGATGTATCACATTGATTGATTTGCATATGTCAAACCATCCTTGCATCCCAGGAATAAACCTTACTTGGTCATGATGAATGATATTTTTAATGTATTGTTGAATTCAGTTTGCTAGTATTTTGTTAAGGATTTTTGCATCATTATTTATCAGAGATATTGACCTGCAGTTTTCAGTTTTCTTCTTTTCTTTCTTTCTTTTTTTTTTTTTTTCTTTTGATGTGTCTTTGTTTTTGGTGTCTGGGTAACACTGGCCTCACAGAATGAGTTTGCAAGTATTCCCACCTCCTCTATTTTTCAGAATGGTTTGAATAGCCTCTGCTATTTTTCAGAATAGTTTGAGTAGAATTTGTATTAGTTCTTTAAATTTTGGTAGAATTTGGCAGTGATGCCATTTGGTCCAGGACTTTTCTTTACTGGGAAATTTTTATCATGGCTTCAATCTCATTACTCTTTATTAGTCTGTTCCAGTTTTAGGTTTATTCATGGTTCAATCTTGATAGGTTGCATATGTCCAGAAATTTGTCAATTTCTCCTAGATTTTCCAATTTATTGGCAAATAGTTGCTCATAGTAGCCATTAGTGATTCTTTGAATATCTGCAGTGTCAGTTGTAATGTCTCCTTTTTCACCTCTGATTTTATTTATATGGATCCTCTCTCTTTTTTTCTTAGTCTGGCTGAAGGTTTATCAATTTTGTTTAACTTTGCAAAAAACCAACTTTTTGTTTTATTGATCTTTTGTATTGTTTTCTTCATTACAATTTCATTTATTTCTGCTCTGATCTTTATTATTTTTCTCTACTAATCTTGGGTTTGATTTACTCTTGCTTTTCTAGTTCTTTAACATGCATCATTAGGTTGTTTATTTGAAGTTTTTCTTCTTTTTTCTTTTGACACAGGCACATATAGCTATAAACTCCCCTCTTAGTACTGCTTTTGCTGTATCATAGATTTTGGGATATTGTGTTTCCATTATCATTTATTTTAAGAAATTTTTCAATTTCCTTCTTAATTTCTTCATTGACCACTGGCCTTTCAGGGGCATATTGTTTAATTTCCATGTATTTGTACAGTTTCCAAAATTCCTCTTGTTACTGATTTCTAGTTTTATTCTGTTGTGGTCAGAGAAGATGCTTCATAGTATTTCAGTTTTTTTGAACATTTTAAGACTTGTTTTGTGACCTAACGTACGGTCTATCCTTCAGAATAATGCATGTGCTGAGGAAAATAATGTATATTCTGCAGTCCTTGGATGAAATGTTCCATAATATCTATTACGTCCATTTGGTTCATACTGCACATTAAGTCTGATATTTCTTTGTTGATTTTCTGTCTGGAAGATCTGTCCAATGCTGAAAATGAGGTGTTGAAGTCTCCGTCTATTATTGTACTGGAGCCTATCTCTCTCTTTAGCTCTAGTAATATTTGCTTTATATATCTGAGTGCCCAGCATTTGGGGACATATATATTTAAAACTGTTATACCTTCTTGCTGAATTGACCCCTTTATCATTATACAGTAACCTTCTTTGTCTCTTCTATAATTTTTGTCTTGAAAGCTATTTTGTCCAATATAAGTATAGCTACTCCTGCTCTTTTTTGGTTTTCATTGGCATGGAATATGTTTTTCCATCCTTTTATTTTAAGTTTATGTGTATCTTTACAGGTGAAGTGTGTTTCTTATAGACAACAGATTAATAGGTCTTGATTTTTTGTCCATTCAGACAGTCTATGTCTTTTGATTGGAGAGCTTAGTCCATTTACATCCTATGTTAATATTGAAAATTAAAGACTTCTTGATATTTGTTTTCTGATTATTTTGCGGTCTTCTCTTCTTTCTTTTCTGTCTTCCTTTTAGTAAAGGTAATTGTCTTTGGTCATATGATTTAGTTCTTAATTTTTATTTTTTGTGTATCCATTGTATGTTTCATGGTTTGAGGTTACCATGAGGCCTGCAAATACTATCTTATAACCCATTATTTTAATCTGATAACAACTTAACACTGTTTACATAAAGAAACAAACAAAGAAGCAAGCAAAAAGAAAACTAATAAATACTCTACGTCTTAACTTCATTCCCCCACTCTTTAACTTTTTGTTGTTTCTATTTATATCTTATTGCACTATGTCTTTAAAGGCTGTTGTGGTTAGTATTTTTGATTCATTCATTCTTTAGTCTTTCTACTTAGGATAAAAGTAGTTTACACGCCATAGTTACAGTGTTATAATATTCTGTGTTTTTCTGTGTACTTATTATTACCAGTGAGTTTTGTACATTTAGATGATTTCTGGTTTTGGTTTTGTTTTGTTTTGTTTTGTTTTGTTTTGTTTGAGACGGAGTCTCACTCTGTCGTCAGGCTGGAGTGCAGTGGCGCGATCTCAGCTCACTGCACCCTCCGCCTCCCAGGTTCAAGCGGTTCCCCTGCCTCAGCCTCCTGAGTAGCTGGAACTATAAGGGCGCACAACCATGCTCAGCTAATTTTTTGTATTTTAGTAGAAACAGGGTTTCACCATGTTAGCCAGGATGGTCTCCATCTCCTGACCTCGTGATCTGCCTGCCTCGGCCTCACAAAGTGCTAGGATTGCAGGCATGAGCCACTGTGCCCAGCCGAGATGATTTCTTATTGCTCATTAATGTCCTTTCCTTTCTGATTAAAGTACTCCCTTTAGCATTTCTTATAGGATGGGCCTGGTGTTAATGAAATCCATCAGCTTTTGTTTGTCTGGGAAAGTCTTTATTTCTCCTTCATGTTTGAAGGATATTTTCACTGAATAGAGTAAAAGTGTTTTTCCATCAGGACTTTAAATTTGTCATGCCACTCTCTCCTGGCCTGTAAGGTTTCCAATGAAAAGTCTGCTGCCTTTGGTTTGGAGCTCCATAGAATGTTATCTGTTTTTTTTCTCTTGCTTCTCTTAGAATCCTTTCTTTATGCTTGACCTTTGAGAGTTTGATTGTTAGATGGCTCGAGATAGTCTTCCTTGGGTTAAATCTGCTTGATGTCCTATAACCTTTTGTATGTGGACACTGACATCTTTCTCTAGGTTTGGGAAGTTCTCTGTTATTATTCCTTTGAATAAACATTCTACCCTTATCTCTTTCTCTACCTCTTCTTTAAGGTCAATAACTCTAGATTTTCGCCCTTTTTTTTTTTTTTTCTTTTTGATGGAGTCTCCCTCTGTTGCCCAGGCTGGAGTTCAGTGGCGTGATCTTGGCTCACTGCAAGCTCCGCCTCCCAGGTTCATGCCATCCTCCTGCCTCAGCCTCCTGAGTAGCTGGGACTACATGCGCCCGCCACCACGCCCGGCTAATTTTTTGTATTTTTAGTAGAGATGGGGTTTCACCGTGTTAGACAGGATGGTCTCGATCTCCTGAGCTCGTCATCCATCCACCTTGGCCTTCCAAAGTGCTGGGATTACAGGTGTGAGCCACCACGCCCAGCCTAGATTTTCCCTTTTGAAGCTATTTTCCAAATGCTGTAGAAGCGTTTCACTGTTTTTGGTTTTTTTTTTCTTTCCTCTCCTCTGACTGTGTATTTTCAAATAGCATGTCTTCAAGTTCACTAATTCTTTCTACTGTTTGATCAATTCTGCTATTAAAAGACTCTGACGCATCCTTCAGTATACCAATTGCATTTTTCAGCTACAGAATTTCTGCTTAATTGATTTTAATTATTTCAATCTCTTTGTTAAATTTATCTGATAGAATTCTGAATTCTTTCTGTGTTATCTTTAATTTCTTTGAGCTTCCTCAAAAATGAATTTTGAATTCTCTGTCTGAAAGGTCACATATCTCTGTCTCTTCAGTATTGGTCTCTGGTGACTTACTTAGTTCATTTGGTGAGCTCATACTTTCCTGGACAGTCTTGATACTTGCAGATGTTTGTCTGTGTCTGAGCATTGAAGAGTTAAGTATTTTTTCACCATCTCTGTAGTCTGGGCTTCTTTGTACCTATCCTTCTTGGGAAGGCTTTCCAGGTATTCAAAAAGACTTGGGTGTTGTGATCTAAGCTGCACCTGCTTTAGGGGGTACCCCAAGCCAAGTAATGCTATGTTTCTTGCAGGCTTATAGAGGTACCACCTTGATGGTGTTGGACAAAATCCAGGAGAATTCTCTGGATTACCAGGCAGAGATTCTTGTTCTCTTCCTTTACTTTCTTCCACACAAATGGAGATTCTCTCTCTCTCTGTTCTGAGCCACCTGGAGATGGGGTTGGAGTGACACAAGCAACCCTGTGGCCACCACCATGGGGACTGCACTGAGTCAGACCTGAAGCCAGCATAGCAGTGGGTTTTGCACAAGTCCTTCTGTAACCACTCCCTGGCTACTGCTGAAGATCCTGGGTTCTACAATCAGCAGGTGGCAAAACTAGCCAGGCCTGTGTCCTTTCCATCAGGGTGTAAATTTCCCTAGGCCCTGAATGGGTCCAGGGGTCCCATCTGGGAGCCAGGGATTAGAGTCAAAAACCTTAGAAGTCTTTCTGGTGTTCTATTATACTGTTTTGTATTGAGCTAGCACTCAAACCACAAGACGCAGTCCTTCCCACTCTTCCCTCCCCTTTCCAAAGGCAGAAGAGCCTTACCCCATGGCCACTACCATCACAGGCCCATGAGAAGTACTGCCAGACTACCACTGACATTCACTTAAGGCCCAAGGGCTATTCAGTCAGTTCTGGTGGGTGCTATCTGGCCTCAGCTTTACCCTTCAGGGCAGTGGGCTCCTCTTTGGCCCCGGGCAGGTCCAGAAATGCCATCCAAGAGCCAAGTCCTGGAATCAGTGACCCCAAGAGCCCACTTGGTACTGTACCCTTCTGTGGCCCAGCTGGTGCCTAAGGTGCAATACAAAGTCCCCTTTAGTTTCCCCCACACTTTTCTCAAGCAGAAGGAGTCTTGCCCCACAGCCACCACAGCTGGAAATGTGCTGAGTCTCACATGACGCCAGCAAACCTCAGAGTCTCACCGAAGTCTTTCAACATAGTACCTGAAAGTACCTGAGTATTGCTGCTGGTTATTCAGGGCCTAAGGTCTCTTCAGTTAGTAGGTAATAGGTCCTGCAAAGACTGGGTCCTTCCCTTCAAGGAAGCAGGTTCCTTTCTGGCCCAGGGTGTGTCTAGAAATATCATCTGGGAGCTAAGACCTAGAAAGAGGGCCTCATAACTCTAACCAACGCCCTATCCTGCTGTGGCTGAGCTGGTAGCCAAAGTGCAAGATAAAGTCTTCCCACTCTTTCCTCTCCTCTCCTCAAGTGGAAGGTAGGGTGTCTCTTTTGGAACCACAAGCTGTGCAGCCTGGGGTTAGGGGAGGGATAATGCCAGCACTTCCTTAGCCACCCCAGCTGCTAGTTCAGTAGGTCATGTACCCCCAACAAGTCCACTGGCCCTGAGCCCAGTTCAGCACGAGGACTCACCTAGGAGTTGCCGTCCTTGTGGCCTAGACTGCTTTTCAGGTTTACTTAGGACGCCCGAGCTGCTGACTTATCAGAGGCTACACAAGGGACTGTTCCAACTCCCTCACCCATGTTTTGCAAACTATTATTTCCCCCATTACATAAAATGGTCCATAATCTAGGTATTAGAAGCCAAGTTTATTCCAAATACTCACAGCAAAGTTTAATAAATCTTCCAGATAAATCTAAAAACAAATCAAATATGTAGAAACAGAAAAGAATGATAGTCACGGTGGTGGTCGGGGGTGTGGTAGGGAGATGTAGTTCAAAGGATACAAAGTTTCAGTTTTGTAGGATGAATAAGTTTAGAGATCTAATGTATAGCATGAGGACCCTAGTTAATAATATTGTATTGTACACTGAAAACTTGCTAAGAGCTTAGATTTTAGGTACTTTTGCCACAAAGAAAGAGAGAGGGAGAGACGGAGGGAGGCAGAAAGGCAGGAAGGCAGAAGGGAGGAAGGAAAGAAGGAAACTATGTGAGATGATGAAGATGCTAACAAATGTTAATTTGCTTGATGGTAGCAATCACTTCCATATGTATATGTATATCAAAACATCATATTGTAGACCTTAAACTTACAAAGTACAATAAAAAATTAAAAAGATAAAAAATAAAAAAGAATTAATCTACATATGGCAAAATAAGAATAACCTAAGTTGAGAAACAAATGAAAAAATTTAAAATAATAGATAATAATTCATTTTTAGGAACACAGCAATAATCAGAGATATTCAGAAATATTTGCATCTTTTAATTTATTTATCAAACATTTATTAATACTTTATTATGTGACAAATGTTGTCCATTCATAGTGTTGGCTACAAAATTATTTATGCTACCCCAAATATTAAAATCATCAATATGTCAAACATTACCGAAGTAATTAGATAAATTTAAGATATATCTAAATAATGGAAAGTAATGTTTTGAAAATATTAAAGATGTAAGAAAATGTTTGTGAGATAATGTCAGTAAAAAGCCAACATACCAAAAGAAATATACACAAGCAATCTCAATTTTGTTTGTTTATATACATACAATTGAACATATATACATATATACTAAAAATATTTTTTAGATTGCTTTACTCTGGGTAGTAAGATTATCTTTTAATTCCCTCTCTTACCTTTTCTACATTTTCAATTTATCTACACTAAGCATGTGTTACCATCATAACCCCCAAATGAATAATAACTAATTTTTTCTAAAATTAAAAAAATCATGTATTTAATAAGAACAAAAATTATTGTTCTTATTAAATATTATGGTGAAGACTCACTAATGTCCAGATTTGGCATTTTCCTACATTATATTTTTTCCAAATTATATTCACTCAGAAAAGTTTAAAGAGATTCTCTTGTTTTTAAATGACATTTTTATGAAATTAGCCATTTCTTTGTGTGTATTTAAGCTCTTAAAACTTCCTTTTAAGTTGGAGTGCAGTCATTCCAATGGAGGTCCTCTGGTTGCTATGACAATTTACCTCTTATCTCTGCTACCCTGTGATCCCATCACTTTGGCATTTGGCAGCATCTTTCTTGAATTGTTTGTGTAGTGATGCAGAGAAGCTTTGAACATTCTTGCCTTTATATAATATTCTTTAGTAAAGAACTAGTCCTTTGCAATGTGCCATTTGAAGAAAGTTCAGAGGGGGGAAGATAAATAATTCATAAGAAATAACAAGAGAACTATCACGCCTAGGTTGTTCTGAGCATAGACACACAGGCCATAGCTGGGTTGTAAATAGAATTTGAGTAGCACAGTTGTGTGTATTCTAGTTAGGAAGCAAGCCTGGGTTTGTCTTTTGAAATATATAGAAAAATAATGCTACCATCCCATTATTTATGTATTCATTCTTTCATGAAATATTTAAAAAACACTGGCTCTGCACAAGGCCTGTGCTATCTGTAGAATGAAGAATACGATGAAAGACAAGACAGTCTCTGCCCTAAAGAAGTTAATGTTTGGGGCTGGGTGTGAGTTGCAGAGTGTTGCCACTAAGAAATGGCTGCCTGGCCAGAGGCCACATTTTCTGGCCACCTTCTGAATCCAGAGTTGGCCATATGACACTCGTCATTGTAATGAGAATGGATGTGATAAGTGTCATTTTCAGACAAGTGTTTTTAACAAGATGTTGTGCCTTTATGCTTTCTTCATTTTCCACCTGCTGGAAGCTAAAGAATGCAGACCCTAGGAGATTGCACAGCCCCACACAATGGAGGAAGGTATGGAAGGTTTCAGGCTGTGGTGGTTTTAAAATGGGTGCAAAATCCCTTGATACACTTTTCTTTGAAAGCTGGAGCTTAGTTTCCCCTTGTCTGAATGTGACCTAAACTCAGTGACTTGCTTCTAACACATAGAGTGCAGAAATAATGACAGAGTGTGACTTTTCAGGGTAGGTCATGAAGGACAAGCCCCATCTTGCTCTTTCTTGCATCTCTCACTCTGGGAGAAGTCAGCTGTTATGCCATGAGGACACTCAGTGAAGAGGCTTGCATGGCAAGGTATTGTGAGTGAGTCATCTTGGGAGTGGATCCACCAGGCCCAGTCCAGCCCTCAGATGATACAGCCCCTGCCAACAGTTTGCAACCTCATGAGAAACCCTGAAGTCAGGACCACCCAGCTAAACTTCTCTCAAATCCCTGAGCCACAGAAATTGTGAAATAATGTGTTTTATTAAGCCAGTAAGTTTGATGGTGTGATTGGTTATGCAGCAATAGATAACTAATAAATAAAATAGGTAGAAAAACCTGAACTAGATTAAACTAATGCTGTCCTTAGATCAACACCTGGAGAAGAGCCTCCTGCTAACCAGTAATACCACACTGGACTATTATGTTAAATCATTAAAAGTTGGGGGGTTATTAGAGAAGCTAGTGTAACCTTAACTAATACAAGGAGATTACATACACTTATATTCAACCCTCCTTGTACCATAATGTTTAGCACTTTTAGATACTTGATAAAAAATGATTATAATTATATTAAAATATTACTCATGTCTTAAAAGAGGTAAAAACCCAAGTACAAGAGACACTTAGAAGATGGAGAGTTTGTCTCCATTTGCAAGAACAGAATTTTTTTTATGGAACTCGTGACTTTTTCCCTTTTTCTTTTCTTCCTTTTTTTCTTTTTGTTTCTCTTTTCTTTTTTTTTTTTTTTTTTGAGACAGGGTCTCACTTTGTTGCCCAGGCTGGAGTGCAGTGGTTCAGTCATAGCTCACTGCAGCCCCGAACTTCTGGCTCCAGTGATCCTCCTGCCTCCGCCTCCCAAGTAGCTGGGACTATAGTCACGCACCATAACGCCTGGCTAAATTTTTTGTAGGAGTCTCACTATGTTGCCCCAGCTGGTCCTGAACTCCTGAGCTCAAACAATCTTCCCGCCTCAGCTTCCTAAAGTTCTGGGATTACAGGTGTAAGCCACTGTGCCCAGTTGAAAACTGGTGACACTTGAACAATGCCATGTAATGAAAAACATTTTGAGATAATTGGTGAGAGGGTGTTCCATCCAGGGGTAACATCAGAAGAACAAACACAAAGGTGAGAAACATGGAGAAAATTTGAGGGCTAATGGGTTATGCAATCTGAGTGCAATATTAAATGATAAAGAGGATGAGGAGTCAAGATAGGAAGGAAAACCAGGGATCGAACACAGAAGGCTTTAAATACAAAGATATTGGGTTTTAACTTCAGGGCCATCGATGAAGATGGCATGAATAGAGCTGCCCCTGGCCTTCATGTGTAGGATTATTAGGATGGGAAGAGACTAGAGACACGGAGAATATTAGAAGCCTACTGAAACAAGCTGTGACAGGTCACTAAACTTTTCTTCCCAGAATGGAAAGAAGGAACAGGTGTGAGAAACACAGGAACAGCTTAGGCTCTGTGATTTGGTTTCCCAGAGGTGATGATGGCTTTGTCTTGAGCAGGCCACACTGTTTCTCTTCATGAGTAAATTCTGTGAGCATGGAAGAAATTTCTTCTATGCAAAGTTAAACCACAAGAAAATGAGACCAAGATAATGGTCTCATTAGCATCATGTTCTAACCAACTGAGCTAAGTAGACTTTTAGAAAAATCATACCTGCCTCTTGGGCTCATCTAATAAAAGAAAGCCAAATATCGATTACTTAGTATTCCTCATGGCTAAACCCCCAAGAATCAGCTGTTCTTTAGAGCAATGGACCCCAGGGAGCAAGAACTTGATAGGCAGAATATACCATATCGTCCCTAAAAATTCAAGCTTACATTTGGCCCAGCTAACAGCGGTGATCTGTTCTCTTTAAATAAGCAAGTTAAGTCCCATAAGAAAATGGAAGAGCATCTGGCAAGATGGAAAAACATCATCTCAGGGTTAAAGGAACCTTCATGCCTCCTCACACAAAGCCTCTTCCTCAAATATTTTCTCGTCTTCCTCTGGCTTTCCATTGCAGGTCCTTTTCTCACCTACATTGATCTCTATTTACTTTTACTGACGTGCATAGCCTGTGCTAAAAATCTTACTAAAGCCTCGGTCTTTCTGGAAGATGGACTCATTTCATCCAGTGATGCTTCCTTCCCTCTATTTCTGTCATAAAGAATTACTAACCAAGCCTCTCTCATCTTTCTTTTCGGGGCAGAAGCCACCCCAACCCACCCTTATGCATCAGTGCAGCACTCAGAAGAAGATGAGAAAGTTGCTGGTATATTTCGGCTTGCTTCATTAAAAACAACTCTAGGCACTACAAAGTGTGTGTTATTAATATGCATATGTGATATCTTTGAGGCAGAGCTGCCTTTAAGGTGTATTTTCAGCAGGACAACATTTTCCCACGTGAGGCGGGGAACAACAGTGCATCATATGTGTGGGAGGGAAAAGCCTGTGGGCTATGTACAATACTTATTCCCTTTGTGTCTCGCTTCCCTCTCCCCCTTGCCCCCTCCCACCCACTTTATTAATGGTTTCTGCAATTACTGGTAACAGTGCATTGCCAGCAAAGAAAAATCGGTGACTGTCTGACAGATTGTCAGAAGGAGGGGCAAGAGAGGTTGCCTGTGAAGAGAAAGGAGGGCATTGCTACTGCAAAATGGAGTTTCTGAAGCCAGGGTGCACTAGGATGTGTGGAGGTCTGAAATCCAGGTGGATATAGGATTCTCTGTGTTACAGTATCGACATTTTATGAATAAAAAGGGAGATCTTAATACAGAAAAGGTCACCTGAGAGCACATCCGATCATGTCTAAGACAACGCTTCTCAAGGGATTCCAGGAAGACTGACACAGGAGGCCCCAAGAAATTTGATTGAGCATATTTTTAATGTCCATTATAGGTTTAAAAAGACACATTTTACATGGAATGCAGTGGTTCAAATATCCAATAGATTTGGTCTTCATTAAATGTATTACTTGGTGTACAGTATAAGGATTTCATATTAAGGCCAGAAATGGAAAGAGAACCTCTGAAAGAAGTATCACATTAAATAAGTAAACAAATATATATTTAGTCCCTAATAGGAATGCCGAGAAATGTCAGTAGAACTTGGCTTTTTGATTAGTAGATTTGACAGTGGAAACATTAGCCCAGCTAAATACAGCCGTATTCTTAGCCTAGCTAAACGCAACTGTATTCTCATCCACATGTAGAGGAGAATGCTATAGTTACGCACACGTTAAAATAAGTTTGAATGATTTTGCCCATCAGAATAACTATATTGCACCTGAAACCAAAAGCTAATATTGAGATTCAGTATAAGAGTATTTGTTTATTTGTCTTTTATTGGTTTACAATATCTGTCAAGCAGATATTACGTTTTTATATTTTGAAAAATGTTTTGAAAGAGAACTGTTGGTTATAAGGAGATATTTTGCTTACAATGGCAAATCTTCATGGTATTTTGGGCCTGTAGCATTTATATCTTATCCTTTAAGTAAAACATTTGGTAATGGTGGTCATAATAACATATGATATTTTTCAAACTACTATGGTTACAGTTTTTAGGATATGTGTGAATATATATCTAAAATTATATGAACTTCATTTGGTTCCATTACAAAGTTTTGACAAGGTAAGAAAATGTGGCTAAATCTCCAACAGGACTTTAGTGATTAAAATTCTTTATTTTATTTCTTGATGAATCTTAAAAGAGGATCTGAATACACAGGTCATGGCAATATTATTAGAATCTCCTTTTCTCTTTTCTCTTCTCTCCAATTCTCTAGCTTCCCAAATCTGTGATTATGGACTCCTCAAACTCCAGCAAGTTCTCTTACACTCTTCCTTCACAGATACCTCTTTCTCACTCACACACACTGTCCCATCTTTTGGATAATGCTCTCCAACTGGCAACGATCCCCACAACCCACAGTCCCTTCAGCAGAGCAGTCATTTTCACCACTTTTCAAGAAAACAAATCTGTCAGCCTGCATGGCCCTCACCCTGTCCTCTCATCTCCTGCATGGGGGCTGTATTAGTATCAACATGTCAATATGCTTGCTCTCCATAACACACAATTGCACACACACAATTGTGTTTTATATATATATACACAAACACACACACAGAGAGAGACAGAGATAGAGAGAGAGAGCACACACCAACCTCCTGCTGTCTGGTTCTGGGCTTTCTCAGATGCTCCATTCGGTAAATCCCATCTAATGCTAAGATTCTGTTGATCCAAATTCTATGGAGTCTCTAGTAAACTCAGATCAACAAGTCTTCCCATGTCAGGCACCGAGCTAAGCCCAGGGATGAACGTGATAAAGCCCCTCTATTGGAAGATCACAGATCAATGTGGTTGAAAGGATTTAGGGAGTAAACGAGGAGAGACAACGCCACTTGCTAAGTCTGGGGGCTTTACCTAAGTACAGAAATAAAAAGATGTCATTTTGTACCCACTAGACTTTAAAAAATTGCTAAGTCTGACAATACCAAGGGTTATAGAGAAAGCAGATCAGTGGGGAAATCTCATAGCCGGCTTTGGGGAGAATTGGTAGATCCACTTTGGAAAACAGTTTGGCATTGTCTTGCCAAGCTGAATACCTGCAGACCTTGCTTCCCAATGTATATGCCCCAAATAACTGCATACACATTTGGTGGTTCATACCAGCCAAATATAATAGCAAAAACTTGTCCTATGCCTGTCAACAGGAAAGGGAAATAAACAATTATTGTATTTTCACATCATTAAATATTATGTAGCAGTGAAAATGAACAAGCAATAGCTACATGCAACAACATGAATACATTTGGGAACATAATTTTAAGCAAAGAGAAGAAAGCACCAGAAATCTACAAGCAAAATGACGGGCATTTTTAAATAGAACTTAAAAAAATTCAACTAAATATTTTGTTCAAGATTATATACATTGAGATAAAACTGTATTTAAGAGGCAATTCAATGGACCAATAATCATAAATGTTAGCAGAGTTGCTACCCACTGAACAGAAGCAGGGTTTGCGGTAAGATAACACACAGGATGGGAGTTTTGGTAATATTCTAACACTTAGATTGGGTGGTGGTTGTGGGCATTCCATTTATTTTTAAGCTTTGTAACTATCATTTTTTACATCATAACATTTTATAAGTATAAAGTTATAGAATAAAATAATATTAAAAATCAAATTTTATTTATTTTTAAAATTAGTGCATAAAAATTAAAACATGTCTGAAATAGTAATTTTATTTAAAATGTATTATTGTTGTCCTTTAAAAAGATGTTGTGCTGGACAATGTTGAAATTCAAAAGTAACAGTCTTTGAAGAGTATGATGGGAGGATAGGTCCATCAAACTAGAACACACATGGAAGCAAGCATCGTAACAGGGGGTGACAGATTGGCTCAGTAAGCTCATATTCAGTGCCTTCCATGTCAGGCACCCAGCTAAGCCCAGAGATGGATGAGATAAAAGCTCCTGATTGGAAGATCACAAACGAATATGGTTGAAAGGGGCCAGAAAGTAAAGGAGGTGGAGAGATTATGTCACCTGCTCAATCTTGGAACTTTACCTAGAGAAAGAAGGATGTCACAACCCTGAAACACACAAGATGCTCACTAGACTCACCTATTTTCCTGGTACCTGGCCTCGTCCTCCAGGCCTTCTTCCTTTCTACCCTTGGCACCTTGAGGTCAAGTATTTGCTAATGACCCAACAGAGTCATCCTGTTCCTCAGAGCCTAGGCTGTGCCCATGAGCACCTAGGATCCTGTGAAGATATTCACGTAAAAATGGCCTGGCAAGATTTTGCAGCCATGCCCTCCATCAAAACAGCAGCTTCCTCGAGTCATGGCACAGGGTCAGTTCCCTCTTCAGGGTGGCCTCTGGAGTGGATCCACTGCTCTTGGAAATGAAAGAACAGATGCTTTTAAAGCCCACCTCTTTTCTCTCCCAGCCTTTTAAGTTTCAGTCCTTCCAACTCAACTCCAGCATTGGGAGAGCGCCTTCCACGCTTAGTGCATCAGGAGACACGAAAGCATGCAAGTTCAGGCCCACCCTCAGGGAGCACACAGTTCAGAAAGGGATACAAACTCACAAGGAGCAACTTCTAAGGCTAAGTGAGGTGCTGAATGCCCTTGGGGATCCAAGAGAAACAGAGTCTGCCTTCAGGGGAATCAGAGAATGCTTTGTGGAAAAAATAGCTTTGGAAACAGGCCTTGATAAAAGGCCTTTGACTCTCCCCCAAACTTGTCTAATTCTACACGTGAATATTCAAGAACATCTGGATTCCACATGTGGCACCCTGGTATAGGAATGAGTTGCCACCACAAAATTTGACTGAGAGAGAGAGCAACAGAGAGAGAGAGACTCTGTTAATTTATTGAAAAACCTCAGATTTCTGCTTTCCAAACTCACCTACGTCTCCTCTCTCTTACTTAATTACAGACTCCACACATCTTCTGTCTACACTACCTCTTCATTCTCTTTCCTTCAGCTCACTCTTCCAAACGCCCTGGCATCTGGGAGCCTGGCACCTACTGAGCTGTTCTTTCATTAAAATGGTAGGAAAAGTTGTACTTCAACCAAAAAAGTTAAGGAGGTGGGGCAAGGGGAGGCACTTTGCCATTGGCTTTGTTTCCAAGCATTGGCCTTTCAGTAAAATTGCCAGCCCTCTAATCTATAGAAGAAACATCAAAGTGTCCATTAAATGCCATCCCAACACTTGAAAAATGTGTCAAGCTTTATCTGTACATAAAGCTTCTACCATTAATGTATAAAAAATGCCTTACTAAAAAAGGCCAAGAGGAAGAGTCATTAAGTAGATTGACAGACTGACTGAAAAGAAGGGACAGAGAGGGGCTTACAAATGCATCTGTTACACAGGGACCCCAGCGTAACTCATGGAGTCCACATGAGCCAAGAGATACTAGCAGGAACTTCGTGTCATGGTAAAAGTAATAGAGCTGGATATGATAAGGGCATTTGTTAAAATGATGAGAATAGTGTCTATAATTTAAATTGGTCTCACCTCAATTCACACTATATTTAAAGTTATGTAAGAGGAGTTGGTAAAAATGCCCTGAAGAACTATGTACAGAAAAAAAAAATCATTTGTGATTTATTTGCATATCTCTTAGTCATTGTGGACAAAAATAACAATGTTAATTCCCTAAGGAACAAAAATGTGACAACTGAAAGCAGTCATCCAGATATCCTGAGGACTCTGAAGAACCCAGATATGGAAGGTAAGCATTTTGGATATTCGAGATATTGAACTGTAGGCATTTATGCTGCCCTGCATAGATGCTAGCAGATTTCCTGATCTAGTTTGTCTGCTGATTATTCTAGTTTTCTCATTTGTATTATCAATTACAAAAAAAAAAAAGTTTCAAATAATGTCTAACACAGAATTCTTGACCTAGTCTTGCAAAGAAATACTAAAGGATCCAAATACCTTTCATAGAAGAAGAAATTGTCAAAAGATGTCTCTCTTGTTTTGTGGGGAGGCACTCCACCAGTACCTCCACAGAAAAATGTTAAGTTCAGAGACAAGAAGCAGATTCTGTTCAAATCAACTCAGCAGGAATTTGTCAAAGACACACTTGTGGCATCTATGCTGCTTTGCTATCTTGAAAAAAAAATTAGCAAAAATTCTCTCCCTAACATGGGATTTTTTTTTTTTTTTTTTTTTGCTTTTTTAGAAGTTCTGTGATTTGACTGCAAATGGGCTTCTGTAAGTGATAACTGTTACATTTTTCTGATAGCCCAGATATCAACCAAGCTCACCACCGAAGAAAGTGATGCCTTTGCATTCACAACATAGACTGGCTCCCTTCAGTAGGTCTGACATACAGGATGGAAGTCCCTGCTCAGAAAGATGCTTGTCAAAGACACATAATAAAGCATTCCATTCAGATTCTAAGAGGAGCCTAGACTCTGCTAGCATGAATGAGCAAATGAAGTTAACAACATTGTGTTGGTTTCAAGGACTTTTTAAAGGAATGCATGATCCCAATGGACCTGGACATCACAGGACAGAATTTTAATTTGGGTACATAAGCTATGACTTTTTAAGATTTTATTTTCATATCATAAAGCAAATGAACATAAAGACTGTAGTAGAGTACAAATTCAACGGTTCATAGAGGAAAAGCTTGAGGGAAACGATGAAACCTGAAGGAGAGAAGACCTGGGACCAGGTACAAGATGAATGCTATAGAAAGAAAGAATTCAATATACGGGAAAATTTTCTAAAGGTTATAAAATCACTTAAAACATAATGGGCTACCTTATTAAGTGGTGAACTCCCTAACACTAAAAACTTATTAAGAGAAGGCAGCCCTTGTCAGTGATGCTGTGAGGTCATTCTTACAATGGGGCAGGAGGGTGGACCAGATGCCCTTCAAAGGCTGGAAGAGTCAGGGGCTCCATTTTATGCTCCATCCTGGCTCTCAGGAAAAGAAATGCTGCACGTGCTTGGATAAGCACAGCTCTGTCAAACCAGGAGGTGTTAAACCATTATTCCAGAGAGCATGTTAATTCTGAATAGCACAGGGACCCTGGAGATTAGTGAATAATAAATAAAGCATTTCTTCTTTTGTTGGTAGCGTCTGTCCCTGTTCATTAACTCTCTATTTCTGGCCAGCCGAGGGGTATTCTGGGAGGCACGATGCCTTTGGGTTTTCTCACTGCTGAGCAGAGCCACTCAACAGCTTGGAGCATGCTGTCTGCACTCCCCGAAGGGAAAATCTAGAGTCTTTTCATTTGTGCCGTCTGCAACACCCTACTTTTCCTCTTTCTCTCTCCTGATCTGTCTATCAAATATAATATACATAATCTGTATACATATTCACACCCCATCCATTGGTATTCCTTTGTAAGTGACTCAGGTCTAAGTCTAAGTCTTAGACTGGTAAGATAACTAATTATGGTGGTTTTTTAAGCTATTCATTTTATATTTTCAAGCTCATAGTATAGAATGTCATTTTTTCATTGATTTTAATTGAATTTTAAAATTGGAGGCTTTTGTTTGCTCCTCAGAAAGCAAAATAGTCTGTTTTTCACCACAACCATTTTGTCTTTTAATTGATGAAAAATGACTGAATACAAGATCTGGGGAAGGGCCACCCAGCACATGAAGAAAGCTCATAGCATCTTCCTCAGAGGCCTTCATGTATCGCTCCTAACATCTACCTCCCACCCACCGTCTCACAATGGTGTCACATGTTGTATTCAAGCCTCTAATCCCAGGGCCTTTGGCAAGCCTGCATGCTTGCAGTCTCTCCCCAGCCTTTTGCATGTTGATCCTTCCTCTGTGAAGGATCTCTTTCTTTGAAACTCTCTTTCTTGGCTTCTGTACCACTGAATTATTCTGATTCTCTTCTTATTTCTCTGATGCTAATTCTGTGCCTCTTTTATGGGTTTCAAATTCTCTTTTCTTCTAAATATCACTTTCTCTCCTTTCCAGATTCCTCTCACCCCCAAGTCCTTATTGCCTCATTGAAAGTGAGTCACAAAATTACATCTTCATCCCTGACCTCTCTTTTCAGCTTTACACCTGTTTGTCAATTGGCTGCTGGACATCTCCACCTGAACTCCCTCAACCTTGGAATCACAACGGCTCATAACTACTCATGTCATTGTCCTAGGTCAGTTTCCTCTAGGGCTTCCTCCACTGGAAAACAAAGGAGTTTAACCAAGATTCCTCCTAACTGCGGTGATTTTGTACTATTGAACTCATCCTCTTCTCCCATAAATAAGCTCTTTTTCTTGTCTTCCCTTCTGCTTGACTTCCCCCAATCAAGACTGGGCTCAAACCCCCAAAGACCCCAAGGCACAGTTAAAAACAAGAAAGCAAATTTGAAGCAAGTCTGGCCTCCAGCTCAGAGTCTTTTCACCTTACCCACCTCAGGATTTCCCAATCTGCCTCGAAGCTTCACCTTCTCCTGGACTCGGATACTCCACACTCACATGGAGGGGGTTTGCTCACAGTTCCCTAAATACCCACGCATCCACCCACCCTGTTTCACACTTCGTGGCTTTCCTCATATTTTTTTCTCCTCTGCAAACATTTCCTTTCCCTTCCAAGTTTCTCTGCCTGATGAACTCACACCCACTTTTCAAGGCCTTTCTTAAATGTTACCTGAAAGTAAACAATTTCTCACCCCAACCAACCAAAACTGTCTCTTGGACATCTCTCGGACCCTCTTCACTAGGGGTCCTTAACCTCAGCTGCACATTGGAGTCACCTGAAAAGCCTTTCTAAAATCCCAATCCCAGGCTGTACCCCAGACCAATGAAATCAGAACCTCTGGGAGAAGGACCCTGGTACTGGTGTTTTTAAAGCTCCCCAGGTGATTCCAACCTGCAGTCAAGGTCGATAACCACTGCTTTGTGCCATTTATCACTTTCTTCCTTGTAGTCGTAATTACACTGCATTTGTCTTATTCCCAGGACTAAGTTTGCAACTCCTCGAGGGCACAGACCATCTTATCACATCTGCTTATGCCCTGCAGTTCTTAGTGAATCAGAGCTGCAACAAATACTGTTGAATCGAATTTAGGAACTTAAAATTAACCAAAAACTTCCTTTTTAGATTTTGCAAATAATTTTAGAAGAGGTGTCATATTAGTGGAGGACTAACTTGAATTTTTTAATGTGGTTCTGTTCGCCATTACCAAAAATATTCTGATATGACTTTGAAATCAGAATAGCTCTCATTAAAGACCAACAAGCTGCAAATATGTGGCCTTTGCTTTTATACTTTTGCTTTTGAACTCTTCACAAAGAAGTCTTCTGTGTTTCTTTGAGAACCAACTGCAAAATGTGACAGTGCATGTGCTCATCTCTAACTGAAATAAACAAAAGCAGTCAGTAACATGTACAGTTATCTGCCTGCCTAGCTCTGGTACGGAAGGTACCACAAGCAAAACTGCAACGTGAACTTAACACAGAGCATCTGACCTCTTTTCAGGAACTGCAGAAAATGAAATGAAAAATGAGACAAGGAAGACTTGCCAGCCTTTCATATGGCTACAGTTGCTAAGGAAACTGCTTTCTTAGCTTCAACCTGTCCGGTATAGCCCATTTCATGCATTCTTCTGGGTTTTTGAAAATAAGGATATCAAAGAGGGAAAAAATGATAGAGAATAAAAGTGAGGGTTGTCCTGGTCGAAACAGAGCCTTGCACTGTTTCTCTCTGCTATGGTGTTGCTGTTTCCCAGGCACCTGGAATATTTGCCACCTGGCAAAACCCTTCTGGAACTAAAATCATAGAATTAGCCAATAGGGTAAACAAAACAATAGGAAGCCCTATTTGACATGCAGCAGTAGCTAAAAAACTGCTTTCTCACCCCAACTGGGCTCTCTTTCCTGCTGGGAAAGTAGGAGGCAGCTCTTAACACAGCAGGAAAAGTGCCTCAGCTCTCTCCTGCCCCACATCTCAGGAGAAAGTGCTTCAAGTATCTCAGCACCATGAATACGACCTGGAGTTCCACCCGTGAATCCAAATTGCACGTGTGAGAAGGGGCAGGCTGGAAACTCCAGCCTTCAAGTCAAATGAGGGTAATAGGCTGGTCATAGGAAACAGGGGAATCAAAGGTAAGGAGGGCCAGCTTACAATAATTTATTTTTTATTTTCATTTTTTTTAGAGACAAAGGGTCTCACTCTGTTGCCCAGGCTGGAATGCAGTGGTGCAATCACAGCTCACTGGAACCTCAAACTCCTGGGGTAAAGCGATCCTCCAGCTTTAACCTCCCAAGTAGCTGGGAGTACGGGCACGTGCCATGATGCCTGGCTAATTTTCTTTACTTTTTTTTGTGGAGACAGGGTCTCGCTATGCTGCTTAGGCTGGCCTTGAACTCCTGGGTGCAAGCGATCCTCCCAGTTTGACCTCCCAAAGTGCTCAGATTACAGACATGAGCCACCATGCGTGGTCCCAATTTACCTAATTCTAGAACCTCACAGAGGATGTGGAAACAGAAGAAAACACACAACACCAAATTACGTGTTAGGAAGATATCACTCCATCGATAGCCAATTAAATAAGCAAGTATTTCTCAACATCTACTGAGGAGGCATTATGTTTGGGTGATTAACAGAGATTCATTTTGGAAAGTAACTTGGCAGTAAATATTACTGTACTTCATATTCAAAAATAATGCCACTTTCCTTCTTCCCCCATTTTCTATCAAAACTTGTTTTCTGGGCTTTCAGTGGGAATAATCTGTTTCCTTCTCCAATTCCAGTTAAATGTAGCATAAATAAAGGTTACCTATACAAGAAACTGTAGCACTGTTTGAATTGCAGAAGGGAAAGTTGGGTAGTTGAGAGGCGAGCAAAAAGCTTTTCACTTTTAACCATTTGCCCCTTTGGAATGTTGAACTATGTAAATGTTTTTAAATAAATAAATAGCACTTTAAAATCAAATAAAGTGCTGTTTACTTAATTAAGAGCTGAAATGTTCAAACTAAACTAGAACTTTTTTAAATTTTACATGTCTTTAAAGAACATGTAAAATTAAATGCTGCTTGCTTAATTAAAGGCTAAGATGGCCAAACTGAACTATAGATTTTTAGGATATCTTTGAGGAAATTTATGTTGATTTTTCTCAAATTTATAAGGTTTTCAAAGAACCCAGATAATATATTGAATGTGTAGTCATCTAGTTACTAATCCTTTGAAAGGCAATTATTAAAATATTTTCTTAGATACTATTTAGCATATATCTACCCTCCTACATTTTTAAAATGTGGAATGCTACTGTATTATGCAACATAGCTTAAGAAGTTCTATTCAGACTCCTGGGATATTACAAATCAGTCAGAAATAATGTCCTAAGATCTAAAGATTTTTTTATTTTCTCAGTCCTTAAGTCAAAAATCATTTATCCTTGTGGCTTCAAAAGGAAGCCATGTGTTCATTACAAGGGAAGTGGACTCACTGCAGTCAGAAACTATGAACTGGTTGGTCTTATCGAAAGTATATAACTCTGGCCAGGTAATCCAAGATCTTCCACCTCCTCAGCTAAGAAACAGGAAGCACGATGTGATTATGGTAATGTGAAAACGCATATTAATGACCAGTAGGATTCTCCCAGGGCGCGAAATCCATCCAAACATGGATTACATTTGCGTTTTCTTGATTTTTCAGGTGAATGAAAAGATGCCAGTGTGTTCTCTCAGATGTATATCTCCAGACGGGGAAGTTTCCTGTGGATGTCACAGCCAGAGGCTAGTATATTCTGCTAAGCCCCAAGATTACTGTGTCGGTCACCTAGGACCGCCAGAGCATTCTTAACACTTCTGGAAACCTGCTCCGCAAAGTCAATAGGTCAAAAGGATTTCCTGTATCTCAAAAGTGTGACAGTAAATTACACAAGGAATCCACTTGAAATACAATATGAAGAGCGTACCGTAATGTGGCTTAAACTCTGATTCCTGCCACTCTTGCTGTCATCTAGGCATAGCAGGAAGGATGCATGAAGCAGGTGAGGAAGGTGCATAGTGCTTCTCCAGGGATATTGGGGTACCCAGCCCCTAGCTGCATTTCAGAACCAGGCAGGGAGCAGGTAAAAACACCCAAGCCTGGGACCTGCTACAGAACAATCAAATCAAAATCTCTAAGTACAAGGCCCTGGTGCTTCCCAGGTTGAAAATCACTGGTTTACATGAAGAGTAACTTCAAAATGTGATTAGTCAAAGGTAAAATTATTTCTGAATGCAAGAGCCATCTGAAGAAGGTACTAAGATGTTAGTTGTTGGGTTCTGGTTACAAGGTAAGTAGTGGGGTGTGTGTGTGTGTGTGTGTGTGTGTGTCTGTGTGTCTGTGTGTTTAACACCATAGTATGTTTCCTTGGTGTTCTTATTGTTCTTTGTTTGTTTTCTTTTTGTTTTGTTTTTTTACAAAATTGCCTTAGCTAATAAAATCTTGGGATAACCGAGACAGAAAGGCATACATCAAAGAAGCCAAAGATGTAGCTTCCCATTAGGGAATGCTTTTGTTGTATAGGTGCCAACTACTTGGCCCCGCCTGAAGAATGCAAACTCCCATATGAAACCCTGGCCAACCCTTCCAGAGTTGGCTGCAAGATTCTACTCCTTGGGCCATGAAGCATTCTCTGGTCCCCACA
This sequence comes from Homo sapiens, assembly GCF_000001405.40. NCBI lineage: Eukaryota > Metazoa > Chordata > Mammalia > Primates > Hominidae > Homo > Homo sapiens. The sequence continues at coordinate 26,777,838 of NC_000018.10, read as the reverse complement.
GCACCAGTTGGCAAGGACTTTGCTCTCTCAGGTCTCATGGCCAGGAGCTTTTTGGGTACTCCCAGCGAAACTTCTCCTTGAAGGCTTCCTCATTTCCAGAATGCACGCGTATATGCTCTCCACACATATGTGTTTTGGCAGGGGAAAGATCTCCTTTAGGAATTCCTTTGAGGATGCATTTAAAGTACTGACTTCAGGCAGGGCCAAAATGACCTGTGAGCAGAGGCATCTGCAGGCAGCATATGTGTTCTTTCCACCTAGCATGAAATTTGATACAGCATCTTTGGGTCTGAGAAAAAGAAGGTGGGAGGAGAGCGGAGGAATGTCTTCATTTCCTTTCCTGTCATTAAGCCCTGCCTAGCCTGGGCTTTGTCAGCTCCAGGCAGACTCCCATCTCCAATGTGAGGCCAGGCTGCTTTGATTTTGCTTCGATTGGGAGCTAGCTCAACCTTGTTATATGCCAAATACCCTCCAGGGTGTCCTACTTTTTGGGATCTTCTCCTGTGTCAGAGCTCCTGTGGCTCTGCCTTTCTGTCCTTTAGGAGAAGAGCTCCCACCCCCACCGCTACCCTTCCCAGGGAAAGGGCTCCAAGGCTGGTTTGCCTGCTATTTTAAAATGCTGTGCAAGAGCATTTTGCAATCTCAAATGAAAATTATGAAAACGTGGGTTACTATGACAAAAATTATACCAGCCAGGTTTGCAAATAAATGGGGCATGCTCTGAATTTGATTGAAAAAAAAAATGATTCAAAAACATTTGAAAATGGAGCTAGGGAAAAAAAATCTCTTTTCTCTGCCCCTGCTCAGAGTTTACTTGGTTCCTTTCCTCCCTCCCTACCCAAATTCAACTTATCCCCATTTCTAGTGATTTCTCAAGTCTGAAAAACTAGAGGAAGTGGAAGTAACTTTTTTTAGAAACCAATCATATTTCCAATCGTATCAGCTCCAGAAGGAATTAAGGTGCACTGGGATTTCACGGGTTTTGGAGTTACACAGACTTGGGTGAGAATCCCTCTTAATGTGTCACATAACAAACATGTACCTTGAGCACTTCTCTTAATCCCTTAGGGCCTCAGTTTCCTCATTAGTAAAAGAAGAATAATGCCTCAGAGGGTAGCGATGAGTACTAAATGAAATAACATGACATATTGGTGTTCACTAAACATTGTCTTTTGAAGATGCAAATTGGTTAAGAATACATTAGACTTCAAATTCCCTCTTTTGAACTTACTGGTTGGGTAACCTTGGGCAGGCAATTTAACCTCTCTAAACCCCAGTTTTTTCAAATATTAAATAGGAATTAAAAATTTAGCTCACAATTTATGACACTTTTGAATTGCTCAGAAAGTCACAATTTTAGAAAAGCATAATTTTAAACCACTTTTATAGATAATTACAACATTTTTCTTTCTTTCTTTTCTTTTTTTTTTTTTTTTTTTTTAGGCAGAGTCTCGCTGTGTCACCCAGACTAGAGTGCAGTGCCTCAATCTCGGCTCATTGCGACCTCCGTCTCCTGGGTTCAAGTGATTCTCCTGCCTCAGCCTCTCAAGCAGCTGGGATTATAGGCACCCACCACCATGCCCAGCTAGTTTTTGTATTTTTGGTAGAGATGGGGTTTCACCATGTTCTCCAGGCTGGTCTCGAACTCCTGGGCTCAAGCAATCCACCTTCCTCAGCCTCTCTAGGTGCTGGAATTACAGGTGTGAGCCACCAAGCCCAGCCTATAATTACAATATTTTTCTATTAGCTTGTATATAGCTCTGTCTCAAAATATGTGTTTTACCAGTACATGAGAAATTTACTAAAGAGCATGGTTATCTCCCCTCATATGCTAAATGTGTTTATGTTCTGTTAGCAAGTTCTTTTTATATGGAATGTTTGTTTTGAGTGTCTGAATCTAAGATAACTTTGTGCTGGACAATAAGACATGGCTACAAAATATTTCTGTTCCCAAGTCTAAATACACCATGTCACCCTACACAGGATAATCAACTGCTCTATTATTGATTAGGACCTTGAGGAGGATCTTAGTCGTAAAAAGTCAACAAGAGAGAAGTCCCTATTGTAATTAAGAATTTTTGTGGGCCAGTGGGAAGCCTGTCTTGGTCTGATAGACAGGAGCCTGGGGATGGGGGCGTGGAGAGAAGGGAGAAGTGGGCACGGTAGGAGGACTGCACTCCAGTCAGGAGACTGAGACCAGAACCCCACAGCAGGTGCAGCCTCCCTGATCAGACAACACCTGAGACCCAGTCTGACCCCATGACTTCTGTCATCAGAGACACAATAATGACAAGATATGGTCCAATTTTACCCACACATCAGCCACATCCAATTCAACAGGGAGCATGCTCCAGGGATAAGAGAATCTGGTCCTGGGAACAGAAACAGGAAACTGGCAGCCAGCTGGGGGTAATTGCTTCTTCTTTTCCTTTACTTACTTTTCTGGTGTTAAGAGTTTGCAATTTGGCTAATGAACATGGATAAATTAGATAGAATTCTGCAATATGATGGACCATGTGGGTGCAAGAATGAATTTCATAGGACTTTAGCCTTGGAATTCCACAAAGTAGGTATTTTATAATTATTTTCAGAAGATACACAGCCAACAAACATGAAAAAAATGTTCAACATGACTAATCATTGAGTAAATGCAAATTAAAACCACAATGAGATACCACCTTACTCCTGCAAGAATGGCCATAATTAAGGAGTCCAAAAACAATAGATGTTGGTGGTTGTGGTGAACGGGAGCACTTTTACACTACTAGTGGGAATGTAAATTAGTACAACTACTGTGGAAAACGGTGTGGAGATTCCTTAAAGAACTAAAAGTAGAATTACCATTTGATCCAGCAACCCCACTACTGAGTATCTACCCAAAGGAAAAGAAGTCACTATATGAAAAAGACACACGCACATGCATGTTTATAGCAGCACAGTTCACAATTGCAAAAATATGGCATCAGCCTAAGTGCCCACCAACCAACAAGTGGATAAAGAAAATGTGGTATACATACATCAAGAAATACTACTCAACCATAAAAAGGAATGAAATAATGTATTTTGCAGCAACTTGGATGGAGCTGGAGGCTATTATTCTAAGGTAAGTAACTCAGGAATGGAAAACCAAATATCATATATTCTCACTCATAAGTGGGAGCTAAGCCTATGAGGACCCAAAGGCATAAGAATGATATAATGGACTTTGGGGACTCAGCAGAGAAAGCTTGGGAGAAGGTATCAAAAAACTACATATTGGGTAGTGTGTACACTTCTTGGGTGACAGGTACACTAAAATCTCAGAAATCACCACTAAAGAACTTGTACATGTAACGAAAAAACACAGGTACCCCAAAAACTATTGAAATTGTAAAAAGAAAAAAAACAAGTAAAAAAAATTATTATTAACATTTTCAGAAATGAACTGAGCATGAAGCACTGAGTTTCCCAGTTTATGAGTCAATGACACTCAACTCATCCAACCTGCTTTCTCTCTACTGCATGCCCTTGGCCACCCATGAAGCATATGGACATATGCACAAACACACATGCCTTTAAGCAGCATCCCTCAAATCACATCAACTCAGCAATCACCTGCTTTCCCTTTCCTACAAGGCTAATATAATCTCAGGTACCTACTACCTCCACTCTCCCATGTTAAACTGCTAGACACATCTGCAGCTTCCACTCCTCTTTCCATGATATGTTTATTAAAGTAGGAACTAGCACTTGCTTATTATTCTTCCATAGGGCTAGCACTATGCGTGAAACATGGTAGGCACTTATTATAGCAAGGGAGGGAGGGAGTCAGGAAGTTAGGCTGGCAGGCAGGAAGAATTGTTACAGTTCAACTAATACTAACTTGCCCCAACTTTTGTTATTATCTTGTTTCTTTTTCTCATTTTTTGCTCTGATTCCAAGGTCCCGGGGGGAAAGAGTGATCCAAAATTAAAATCAGATACTTTACTGCTCAAAATAAATGTATTTCTAGAAGAAAGTTTACAGATATAAAAATAGATGCTATATTATCCATATGCATATGAACTATAAAAGTCAGAATTCTATTAAAATTTTACCACAAGGAAATGGTTAAGTAAATATAGTGCATTTACAACATTACAACTGCGGCACCTTTTAAAAAACTGTATTTAGAAGAATGTTTAATTGCATGGAGAAATTTCCACAAAAACCTTTAAGTAAAAAAAAGCAGATTGCACAACAAAATGTAAAATAGATCCTCTAATTTCAAAAAAAAAAAACAAAAACATATGAAAGAATAAAAGGGTATACCCGAGAATGTTAAAAATTGGTATTTCTGAATAATGAATTATAAGTGATTTTTAAATTTTATCTTTATGCCATTACAGATCTTCCCCAAATTCATGCAAAATTTATGTTAGTATTAAATATATAATCAAAAAAGGAAATTATTATAAGAAAATAAAAGCCATGTGAATACTAAATGAGGGAGAAATAATTTAAGAAAATCTCTGCATGCAAGTCAAGATTCCCAGAATGTGATGGTTAGTACCAGATGCTGTAAAAGCAGGAAAGATTTTTAATTATTGTTTTCCAGACCAAATTTCCAGAAACTACCATTGCTGTGTGAGTGCTCTCTGATTACTCTGTACAACAAACCAAGCTCTTCATTTTTCTGCTGATTTTTCAAGCAGGCTGATCATGTTCTCTGGAGAAATACACAAGACTATATACTTAAAAAGTTCTACTGAAATCTTAAATGCCACCACAGCCAATTTTGTTGTTATTATTTGCTTATTTGTTTGTTTATGAGACTTGTACAAATAAAGACCCACACACAGACAGGAAACCATAAAACAGCAACTACACTGTTTGGAAACTCAGAAAGACCTGTCTCCATGTATACCATGATAACATCTGCTTCTAATTGAAATGATTTATCAAAGTGACCATCAGCAGGAATGGGTCGGCAAGCACATAAATCTAGCACAAACACTTTAGGCTCTGAGCTTGGAAGCGTAAAGTCTGGTCTTGTTTCTGACATTAACAAGACAGCAGCTAGCTGGCTGAGCCTATGGAAATCAATTACTATCTCAATAACCCAGTCTCCTCATCTGCACAATGGAATTAATATTAGATACTGATTGCCAATTTATATCTCTCATCACAGGGATGCTTCTCTTTCATTCATTTATTCTTCCAATAACTACAGGTGGAGGGCCTTCCATGTGATGGGCATTAATCCACCAGGTCCTCTGTACCCAACCTTATTCTTTGTCCCCACAGACAGGCTGCATGAGCATTCCTGGACCCCCATTAGCCTTTGCAAAAGGCACCTCGATGCTCTCACTGCCTGTGCCTTAGTCTACTAAGGTGAAAATGAAAGATGAAGGAGGAGCACAGGTAAAAAAAAGCACCATAGGTGTCTGATGCTTGCCAGGTGATATGGTTTCGCTGTGTCCCACCAAAAATCTCATCTTAATTATAATCTCCATAATCCCCACGTGTCAAGGGAGAAACCAAGTGGCAGTAATTGAATCATAGGGGTGATTTCCTCCATGCTGTTCTATGATGGTGAATGAGTCTTCAAGAGATTTGATGGTTTTTATAAGTGTTTGGTAGTTCCTCCTGTGTTCAGTCTTCTTCCTGGCGCCTTATGAAGGTGCCTTGCTTCCCCTTCCACCATGATTGTAAGTTTCCTGAGGCCTCACCAGCTATGCAAAACTGGGAGTCAATTAAACCTCTTTCCTTTATAAATTTACCCAGTCCCAGGCAGTTCTTTATAGCAGTGTAAAAATGGACTAACATACTAGGTATATTACAACGTGACAGGTGACAGTATAAGTTATGTAGAACACAGTTGGCTTCTAAAATCAAATCACCTTATAAGCTGAGAGCCACATTGCCATGTGGGGTGGTGGTATCTGGAAATGATTAAAGACTTTGTTTTGTTTTGCATCTGTTTGTTTTATTCTCTAGTCTTTGTTGGGCTGTGCCACCAGGACCTTCTGAAGGTCAAAAACAAATACACAGTAAACAAAAAGATGACCCCAGATGCTACAGCAGGGTCAAAAGAAGGATAACTTTGCTTCATTTCAACAATGTTAGAAACACTTCTCTGGTCTCACCAGCAGGAGGAGAGGAGGCTCACTCTTCTTGGGAGGTTTCCCTGCACAGGAAGGCATTTCTGCCCTGAGCAGTGATATATCTGCAAACGCTGGTGCCCAGAACTTAATACCTCAAAAGAACCTGGTCTTCAGATTTAAAAACAAAATAAAATAAATCAGTTCTGGGATCACTGAATTCTTTATGACAGCACTGGGTCTGCCATATGTGCACCGAGTCACAGAATCAGCCCACCAGGGCCCTTTCCTTTTAAACAACAAGAAAGTTGATACCCGTTCAAATGGCAGCACATAGCCTGGCATGGGGTGGAGGAAGCTGTGTCCGAGACGTGTATCAGTGTAGCTTGCTTACATTTTGTCTCTTTTTTTACGTTTTTCTTTTTTGGGTAAATCTAACTCAAGCAAGCAATTCCCAAGCTTTAGTTTTAAGCAGTAAGGACTCTTCTCAAATATTTCCCTCAATAAAGAAGACTGGAACAGAAGCACAGCCACAATACTCACACAGGCTGTAGACACCAGTTCCCATAAGCAGGAAATAATTCACGTAGTGGTGACACATGCGGAAAAACAGAAAACAAAGTTGTATCACTACAGGATGGTAGCCAGCGTTAATCCTTCTATGAAAGGGAGTAACCTGAGAGTTACACAAGAAAGCCCATAATCATAGTCTACACTACTTGTGATGCTTAATTTTAGGTGTCAACTTGCCTGGACTAGGGAATACCTAGAGAAATAGTAAAGCATTCCTTCTTTCTATGAGGGTGTTTTCAGAAGAGATTGAAATGTGAGTCAGTCAACTGAGTGTTGGGACTCTAGGACTTACACCAATGACCCCTACCTCCCCCGAACCCCTGCCCCTGGCCTAGGTTCTCTGAGGCTTGCAGACGAGGATGGAGCCACGCTAGCAGCATCTCTGGATCTCCAACTTGCAGAAGGCCTGTCATGGGACTTCTCAGCCTCCATACCCATGTAATCCAATTCCCCTAATAAAACCCTTCTCATCTATCTATCCAAATCTATATCCACGTATCTATCTATATCCTATTGGTTCTGTCTCTCTGGAGAAACCTAATACACTGCCATATTTTAAAAAAAATGTATAGCCATGTTTTGCAGCAGCATTATTCATAATAGCCAAAAGGTGGAAGAAACCCAAGAGTCATCATTGGATGAATTCATACACAAAATGTGGTCTATACATACAACTGAATATTACTCAGGCTTAAAAAAGAAGGAAATTCTGACACCTGGTATAGCATAGATGAACCTCAAGGACGTTATGCTAAGTAAAATAAGCCAGTCCTAACATTACAAATACTGTATGATTCCACTTATATGAGGTACCTAAAGTCAAACATAGAGATAGAAAGTAGAATGATGTTGCCAGGGGCTAAGGTGGGGGGAGGGGGGAGTTGGTGTTTAATGGGTACAGAGTTTCACCTGGGAAATATGAAAAGTTCTGGAGATGGATGATGCTGATGTTTGCACAATAAGGTACTTAATGGCAGAGAACTGTACACTTAAAAATGGTTCATATGGTAAATTTTATGTATATTTTACCACAATTTTTTTTAATTTTACCACAATTTTTAAAAAGATCTGTATTCATAGAACATTTTTTGTCCAAAAGTTAGAGTAATAAAGTCTTTTGACCCCAAAATTTGTATAAACAGTCATCTGGAGTTGTTTTGCCCATAGCTATGACATATTAATATTTACATCTGATCATCTGCCTGTTTCATTCCGTGAAAGTGAGAGGATGTAAAGTGACTGTCCAGGAGGAAGGGTGAAGTCTCTATAACCATAAAGAAAAAAAGGAGTTCTTTTTTCCCGCAAACTTGAAGCTTTCTCATGCATGTGAAAGTGGACTACCTGATCTTGATTTGCTTCCACCACACACTATGATTTGCTCACCATTATCATCAATCAGCATTGAGCACACACAGTGTGCAAACCACCAGTTAAGTCACAGTGGAAACGACAAAAGGATGTGGAACACAGCCCCTATCCTCCAACACATAATAGAGGACTTGAGACAATGAGACACACATACAAAGACAAATACCAGTACAAGATGGTATTTAACAGGTACTACATCCAATCAATAACCCTAACAAATAAGCAAATAAGAACGTACAGAAATAGAAAAGGAAAAGGGGCTAAAAAACTTCTCCAAGGTTATACAGCAAGGTTGCAGGCACCACATCTATTCCTGCACAAATAACATCTAGTATTTACTGAGTCCCTTCTGTGCCGGGGACTGTGCTAAACCTTCTACATGGGTTGTCCCATTTATTCCATGTAAGAACCTAATGAGGTCATGTCATTGTTATCCCAATATTACAGATGAGGAAACAGAGGTTTGGTGACGTAAAATGACTGTGCAAGGCATTCAGTCATTCAATGAGAAAGCTGAGTTCTCATTCAGGTCAGTTCAACTCCACAGGCCGTGTCCTGAACTCTCATTCTCTATTGAATGTGTGGTATCATACTCGATATCTGATTTCCTTTTTGCACCCTATAAGTGTGACTTTGCCATTTGGCTTCACAATGTAAAATATTTGGCAGTCATAATTGCTAGGCATATAAACTATGTCAAGCATCTAGAGCAAATGATACTTAGATTTGGCTACTCAGAGTCACATATGGACAAAAGACAAAAAAGAAAATCCCAGGTTGTGATTTTAAACCACAGAATGACAATCAGCATTCCAGGAATGACCCATGCACTAATTAATTATAGAAGTCATTTATTGCTTTAGGACACACGGATAAGAAACGGCTTTTAATATCCAATTCCATATTAAGGATAGTCCTTTTCATGATTCTAGGAGAAAAGATAGGTATTATAATATCTTTGTAATGACATCAATTTATAATAGCACATAGAGGTAGCCAAAGCTGTGAAAGTCTGAATGCTGACACTAAAACGTGTCTGGAGACTGGCCTTTTGCTTTCAAAACACCCAATCGAATGTCTCTGGACTCCTACACCTCAAGCACCAACAAAAGTTAGCATTCTTCCATGGCAGTTCACTTTTAATATGATACCATCAACAATGATCACTAGAATATGTGATTTGGGCCATTTTTGTAACAGCGAGCATCCACTTGTGCTGATTCATCCACAGATTTTCCGGCCAGATGCCCCATTGGCAAAGCCCTGGAGCCTTCCCTTCATTAGTTCTCCGCTCCAGCCATCCGAGGTAATTCCTTCCTTTTCTCTCTCCTGATCTGTCGGTTGCAAATAGAAGGAATAAACAAACCTTCCGGAATGGATAAGCCAGGCTGCACAAAGGGATACACAGGAAGGATGTGCAGGGTTTACAGCTTGAAACAGGGAAGGGGCTTCCTTTCTCTACCCCTGATGCCCTAATTTGGGCAGGGTTAAGGGCAAGGTAGAGAAGTCAAGGGCACCAGCAAAAGAAAGATAATAAGGGGAGTGTCTGCTGCTGTGAAGAAACCATCTGTATCCACTTCAGAATCTCCTATTTCTCTTCAAATTTGTTCTACTTTTCTCTGGTTTGTTTTTATTGAATCAGAACTTGGAGACAAGTTTTTAAGTGAGCTAGACCTTTTGTTTCACTGCTAAGTGAGCAAAGAGAGAAATAATGTCATGTCCGTGCACGCGTCTGCGTGTGTGTGCATGTGTGAATCAGGAATATCACATTTTAGCCCCAAAGGTTTCAATCAGTCAATGATTGAGGGAGAGAGTGAAGCAAGGACTAGTGAAGATAGCTACCAGGTAACTGATTGTTCTCTTGATGAGTTTGCCTTGAGGGAAGAAAGACAGAAATTGATCAGAACCTGGAGAGGGGAAAGGGAAGTAACTTCTATTAAGTACTTATTGTGTGCACAGGGGATTCATTTAAAGTAGTGTGTTAAATCCTCCTAAACACCTTTCAAGTTAGTAGTATCTCTATTTTTTGGTTGTGGAAACTGAATAACTAGAAAGGTGTTTAGGAGGATTTAACAAGCTGCCTTAAATGAATCACCTGTGCACGTAGTAAGCCCTCAATAGAAGTTCATTTTCTTTCTTCTCTCCAGGCGCTGATAAAAACTAACCAGGTGCTTCCAATCTTCTGATAAGATAGTCAAAGGGTTGGGATTCAGTCTGTATCCTGCTCTTTAATTCTTATTTAATAAAGATATTTTTTAAATAAAATATATAATCAACAGAGAAACATGATAATCTGTTAATAACAATCTTCATGAACTGGTCATACCTTAAACTCACAGCTAAACCAGCACCTATAAGCCAATGTCAACACCTTATAATTATAGGGAAAATCTGCAGGCAAAAATAAACTCTATCTCGGGCAGTAGACTTAAAGATGGAAACTTATGAAATAACAGCTTATGATAGATCAAAGATGGCCACACTTTTTGTTTTACATTCTTCTCATCAAGAGTTGGCTTATGACCACTCTTGGGCTAGATGTCCTTGGATCTAGGTGGGCTCTGTGGTCATACTTGACCAACAAACTATGGCAGAAGTGACTGTTTCCATTTCTGGGCCTAGGACTTAAAAAGACTGACAGTTTCTTGGAACTTAGCCACCATGCTATGAGGAAGCCCAAGCAGTCCCACAGAAAGGCTACGGTAGAGAGGAAAGGAGGCCCCCAGCCACAACCCCAGCTGAGCTTCCAGATGACAACCAGTGTTAAATACATCAGTGAGCCACCTTGGAAGTGGATCCTTCAAGCACCTCAGCTGGTGCTGTGTGGAGCAGAGATAAGCTATTCCCACTGAGCCCTGTCCAAATGGCAGATATGTGAGCAAAATAAATGACCGTGGTTGTTTTAAGCTGCTAAATTTCAGTGGGAATTATAATGCACAATAGATAACAAAAACACATTTCATTGCTTCCTTAGCATTTAATAAGATTTGAAATTACATAGATACGTGCTTTTATCTTGTTTGTTGTCTGTCCCTCCCCATAGAGTGTAAGCTGTGTAAGGGCAAGAACCATATCTGTTTCATTCATCTCTCTATACCTAGCACCAAGCACAGTCTTACCCAGAAGAGGTACTCAATGAAATATGTGTTAATTTAATAAATAAATGAGAGCAGCATCATGGTTGTATATGCTGCACTCCTTCCTCGCTCCCTAATTTAAGGATCAAAACCACAAATTGGAAAGATTTTAAGCATTTCTCTAATACGTTGAGGTTTTCACAAAACAAAAGAACAGCAACAACTAAAAAAACAATAATTCAGCAAATATTTGACCCCAACCAGTGTGAAAAGAGGACTCACAGGGTCTCTGGTCAGGTGTTAGAGGCCACTGTGCACAGCCCATCAAATTCTGAAACATGGTCATGGTGTTGTAACTCTATGATGCAGAAATATCAGAGAGATATATTACCTCAAAGATACATCTTCTCTGGGTTAAACATTCTCTGTTCCTTCTTTATTGCTCAAACAACAAATGACATCAAGAGTGAAAATACATGGGGTTTGACCCTTGGACAAATTATTTCATATTTTCTGTGCTTTGCATTCAAAGTAGGTAAAGTCACTATGTTAAAAAGCCCTTTTAGTCTGAATTTTATGTTTCTAATGAAATAATAATTGTGAAATAAAAATTAAAATTTTAAGATTTTTAGCTATAAAATGTAATTTGGTTATGAGTTACCACCATCATTTTCTTTTTTTTATTATTATTATACTTTAAGTTCTAGGGTACATGTGCACAATGTGCAGGTTTGTTACATATGTATACATGTGCCATGTTGGTGTGCTGCACCCATTAACTCGTCATTTACATTAGGTATATCTCCTAACGCTATCCCTCCCCCCTACCCCCTACCCCCTTCCCCCACCCCACGACAGGCCCCAGTGTGTGATGTTCCCCGCCCTGTGTCCAAGTGTCCTCATTGTTCAGTTCCCACCTATGAGTGAGAACATGCTTACCACCATCATTTTCATGGTGATGGATGAGTTAATATTTGCGAAGGACTTGGAACAGTGCTTGGCACACAGTTAAGTGCTGTGTACCTGATTGTGTAATAATATAAAATAAATGGGATCATTTTGCACCACCTCACTAGAGTCCTTGGCACCAGCCAACCCTACCTTGCATTTCTGACCTAGACTTGCTGTCCTGCTGTCATACTGCTCACTGCTTCCAAGACACACTGGCCCCCTTTCTATTTTCTAAGCTTTTCCCTCTGCAGGGCCTTGGCACTGGCTGTTCCTTCTACCTGTACAATTATTTTCCTGGGTCTTTCTATGCTTACCTCTTACTCATTCTTCAGATCCCAGCTCTTCTGGGAGGCTTTCCTTGATCACTCTAAATAAGTAAATTATACCCAACCCCGCACCATTAAGTCCCAGCACATCATCCTACTTTATTTTTCGTAAGACTTATTCCTATGTATAATGATCTTATTTAGTTATGTACAACTTTGCTACCTCTCTGTCCACTAGAACAGATGGTTACTAGGAACAGGGACCTGGTCTCTCCTGTTTGTGACTAAGTCTCCAGTGTCTAGGAAAGTATCTGACACTTAGTAGGTGTTCATCAAATATTTGGCGACTTAATGAATGAAAGAAGCCTCTCTTCTGGCTACCTTCTGGTGTGCCAATGATCCTCATGAAATGTAGTGCCCAGTACTGGACTCTGTACACTGGGTCATATCAGACCAAGACTCATTACAAATTCTATAGACATCTACCAGTGCAGCCAGAGATCAAATGAGCTATTTTGGCAAGCGCATTTTAATACTGACTCACATCATGTTTTCAATTCAAGTCCCTGAGCCTTTTTTTCTGCATGCTACTCCTAGACATAGTTTCCCCTTTCTGTATTTATGCTTGTCCACACCTGGCTGATGCCTTTCACTGTTCCCTCTCCACCCAAGCCTAAGGCCATCACAACAGATAAAAAACAGTACAGCAACCATCAGCACAGGAACTGCCCCAGGCTCTGCCTACAACCTACCTCCCCCACCCTCTCCAAGACCTCTCTGTCAACAGATCCCTATCTGGCTGGCTTTGTAGCCAGATGCTCTCTGCCTCCCTAACCTCTTTGGATATTATTTTGTTGAATGGCATGGTCAGCTTTTGGCTAAGCATCTCCCCCAAGACAATACCATCCTGCCTTCTACACAAGTGCAGTGCTCAAAATCCAATCCTCCCTTGTCTGGGGGACAAGAACAAATAGTACTAAGGGGTGTGTGTGTTAAATCCAAGTGTAGGACCTTACATTTATCCTTGCTGAAGTCTGTCTTGTAAGATTTCACTCATTGTTCTAATAGTTCTGGATTTGTATTCAGTCATTCAATAGCTTTGGGAAGCTCATCCAGCTTCACAAAATCAACAAAGGTGATCAGTGTGTCATGAATAATCTCATCCAAGTTACTGATAACAAACATTGAACAGTACAGATTAAATACAGACCTTCCTCAAAGCTCCAGCAAGTTGACAATGATCCATTAGTCAGCAGGATTCAGGAACTGGTGGGTCCATCAGTTGACAATGCTGCCACAACGCAGAATCATCCAATCCACAGGTTCCTTCAAATTTATAAAAGAATTTGCTAAACTGCCTTGCTGAAATTCAGTAGTTTGTTTGCCCATGTAGTTCTTGTGCCATGCTTGCAGGCAGCACAGTTAAGAACTGGAAATACAATACTCCTGTGAGTATTAACTTTACCCTCCTCTACCCATCAGGAAAGAATGTGGCCAGGGGCCAAGGTTCAGGATGGTGTATCTCAAGCCATCTAGACGAAGAAGGGTCCCTGGCTACACCTGCGGGCAATTTACTGCCGGCTCAGACCTGATGGGCTCTCTCCCACCTCTCTGAGAGCTACATAGGGTCCAGATGGATTCCCCTGCCTGCGCTCTTTGGATTTCTTGAGGAAGACAGATTGATCACATACCCATATGGCTGTAGTTCAAAGCAGTGAGTTAAGAGGCAAGGTGCCTGAGGGAGAGGATGTCTTTCTGCCAGAGTGAGAACACAAGACAGCTATAAATTCAAAGTCCAGAGTCCAGACCCAAAAATGCTACCACAGTGGAATAGGAATGGGGAAGCCATTCAGGGAAGTCAGCTCTATCTTTTGAAAACTTTTTGTGCTGTAAAGGAAGGAAAGATAAAGACAAAGATGACTTCCTCTAAAGAAAAGTGGGAAGGCTGCCTCCAATCTGAACTTCCTCTCGCCTCCTGTGTCTAAAAAAAGATGTACCAAAAAGTGGAGGAGGTCAGGAAAAAGCAAACTAATTGTTAAGTATAATATGGCTTGTTGTTTTTGTATTTACATTTTCATGGATTCCCTCCCCCGCCCACCATTTGACTAGGACTTACTAATTAGTGATTGATATATGTCTTTCTTAACACAGAACTCAGCAGCCAAAAGAAAAGATTTGTCAATACCACAAATGCATCATCATTTTAGGTGAGTGGCATGAAAAATGTGGGCAAAGGCAGTCAGAAAATAATCAGGACCCAGAATCTGTAGGTCAAATATATTTCACCCCACTTTCTAAACTATATCCAATTTGGTTCTTCATTAAGCCTGCAAACAAGTAGAACTACTCATTCTCCAAGTTCCTAAAAAACAAACAAACAAAACAACCTATAATGTTTTGTGGAAATAATTTTTCTTTATTCATCAAGAAGAAATAAGCATGAACCTTTTAACTATGTGAACATAGCAGAATCAGACATGCCAAATATCAGAAGGCATGAATTCAAGTCATTTTTTGAAAACATCAATAAAAATATACCTTTATTCATTCTTTCAAAAAATATTTAATGGCATTTACTGTATGCAAAAAAAAAAAAAACAAAAACGAAAACAAGAAAACTTTTACTAAATACTTTGAGGGAGATGCCAAGGCACATAAAAAGTCATCTCTGGCCGGGCACGCTGGCTCACACCTATAGTCCCAGCACTTTCGGAGCCCGAAGCAGGCAGAACACGAGGTCAGGAGATCGAGACTATCCTGGCTAAAACGGTGAAACACCTTCTCTACTAAAAATACAAAAATAAATTAGCCAGGCATAGTGGCAGGTGCCTGCAGTCACAGCTACTCAGGAGGCTGAGGCAGGAGAATCGCTTGAACCCGGGAGGCAGAGGTTGCAGTGAGCCGAGATCGCGACACCACACTCCAGCCTGGCGACAGAGCGAGACTCTGTCTCAAAAAAAAAAAAAAAAAGAGTCATCTCTTTCCTCTCCAGAATTTTGTTATAACATTTTTATAGGCTGGATGTGGTGGCTCATGCCTGTAATCCTAGCACTTTGCGAGGCCAAGAAAGGAGGACTGCTTGAGGCCAGGAGTTGGAGACCAGCCTGAGCAATGTGGCAAAACCCCATCTCTACAAAAAATACAAAAATTAGCCAGGCATGGTGGTGCATGCCTGTAGTCACAGCTACTAGGGAGGCTGAGCTGGGAGGATGGCTTTAGCCCAGGAGTTCAAGGCTGCAGTGAGCTGTGAGCTTGCCACTACACTCTAGCCTGGGTGACTGAGTGAGACCCTGTCTCAAAATAATAATAATAATAATCAACATTTTATAGAGGTAAGAAAAAACAGATGTCTATAACAATGGAGGAATTATATATGACAGCACTATATTATTGTTTGTATTTGTATTAGTTATCTGCTGCTGTGTAACAAATTGCCATAAACTTAGCTACTTAAAACAATACATATTTATTATCTCAGTTTCTGTGTGTCAATAACCTGGGCACAACTTAGCTGGGTTCTCTGATTCATAGTCTCTCACAGAGCTACAATCAAGGAGTCAACTAGGGCCAGGGTCTCATCTGAAGGTTACTTGGGGAAGAATCTGCTTTTTAGCTCACATATGTAGTGTTGGCAGGATTTGATTCCTTTTGGCCTATTGGATGGAGAATCTCAATTTCTAGCTAGCTATTGACTGCTGGCTGCTCTCACATCCTTGCCACATGGGCTTCCCCAACATGGCAACTTCCTTCATGAAGCCATCAGGGAGGATCAGATATCAAGACAGAAGTCACACTCTCTTGTAATGTGATCCCAGAATTAGCATCCCCTCAAGATTGACATGTGCTACTCATTAAAAGCAAGTTACTCAATGGGTGGAGATTACACAGGCAATGAATACCAGGAGATGGGGACTGTTATAGGCCATCTTGGAAACTATGTAGTGCAATACTTAAATAGAATAGGAAACATAAATACTCAAACGCACCCATTCAAGTTTGCTCAACATTTTTTCTTTATTACATAAGGTGTTTAAAAACAGGAGAAACAGAGGAAAACCTCGTAATCTTTACTGCCCCCTGGTATTGGGAAGATAAGAATCACAGTTATCCTAGAGGTACCCTCACATGAAAAAGAAAATAGAGAGGAAAGGGTGTGGGAAGGAACAAGGCTTTACTGAGCGCTGCTCACAGGCCAGGCACTAGAGAGGCACCAGCTCTCTACAGGGCTCGGAGAAGGTGCCCCTGTGGACTTGAGTGTGCAAAGCATCAATGTGATGTAAGATAAAGGAGATACTTCATTGCATTGTTAGAAAAGTAAGCTTTTGGCTTGAAAACAGCAGAGTCCAAGACACCTTCCCATCCTCAAGGGATAGAAACCCTCTACCTTCTTAAACCTAGAGCAGTAAGCTCCACCTAAAAAGGCATGTGTCTCATAAAATTTCATGATTGAAAAGGTCACATGTGCTCACCTTCCTACAATGTTATCCTCAACAAATGAGCCTTGTGAAAATACAAAATTCACCCAGTCCACAGTGGCTCACACCTGTAATCCCAGCACTTTGGGAGGCCGAGGCGGTGGCTCATGAGGTCAAGAGATTGAGACCATCGTGGCCAACATGGTGAAACCCTGTCTTTACTAAAAATACAAAAATTGGCTGGGTGTGGTGGTGCATGCCTGTAATCCCAGCTACTCGGGAGGCTGAGGCAGAAGAATTGCTTGAACCAGGGAGTCAGAGGTTGCAGTGAGCTGAGATCGCGCCACTGCACTCCAGCCTGGTGACAGAGTGAGACTCCCTCTCAAACAAACAAAAAAAAGAAAATACAAAACTCAGAGGAGTTCTTATATTTGCACTTTGTCTGGCTATGTCTCTTATTTAAATGACTAGCAGGCCGGGCGTGGTGGCTCACGCATGTAATCCTAGCACTTTGGGAGGCCGAGGCAGGTGGATTGCCTGAGCTCAGGAGTTCAAGCTCCTGGGCAACACGGAGAAACACCGTCTCTACTAAAATACAAAAAAAATTAGCCAGGCATGGCGGTGAGCACCTGTAATTCCAGCTACTAGGGAGGCTGAAACAGGAGACTTGCTAGAACCCGGGAGGCAGAGGTCGCAGTGAGCCGAGATCGCACCACTGCGCTCCAGCCTGGGCGACAGAATGAGACTCTGTCTCAAAAAAATAAATAAATAAACGAAATAAAATAACATAACGCTCTGCCCCCATATGCTACTTCTTTGAAATTCATGGTTTAAAAACTAGACACTCCATTTCATTTGCTACTTTCAAGTGTCCTAGTATGTTTGCCATGAATTAGGCAGGGGTGGGGGGAATTTGAATGGACAGGACAAGCCATATCCACAGTAGAAAGTTGAAACCAGCTACACTGCCTCTGTTTTTCTAAGAGGAAAGTGTAAAAGAAACATTTGTTTCTCCCCCTTCTCTCCAACTCCAAGGCAAGCTATTAAGAGTTCTATGGGACATACTAACAGGGAATAAAGCATCGCGGCTTTGACTTTGCCACTGAACTACTAGTGTCAGGTTGCCAGCTGAGCATCTTATCCAAGTGTGAGATGAGAAAGCCTTCCACTGATTTCCCTTCCTCTACCAGATTCTCCAAGGACGAAAATCTTTACTCTGTGCAAAGCAAATTTTGATTTTCCTTTTCACCACAACAATTATTACCAAATGCAAGGATCAGTAGCTAAGAAGCCTGAAGTGAAAGCAATTTCCCATGACTTGTTTTAGTGGTACTGAATGGAACCTAAACCTGTTATTGGTAATATTCCCATCAAGTGTCGTATGTACTTTCCTCCCTCCCAATTTCTTTTCTTTCTCCTCGCCCAATGTCCCTCCATCCTTCTCTCCTGACAATCTTTGAGACAAAAGACCCCTCTCCTCAAAGAGCAATGATGGCTTGTGAAGGCTGCCATCCAGAGTAATGCAGAGAAGTTGATGTGCTCTTTAAGCTCTAGAGTCAAGTCCAGGCATCCATATTTTTTGTTTCTTAGGTAATGATTCTACAGTGAGGCCAGAATCAAGAGCTTCTTCCATGTTTGGCCCAATTCTCTACTGTATTTGGTGCCTGTATTTGAAAAATTAGAAAGCTTTTGATTGAGAAATAGAAAGCAGAAGAACTTACAAAGCATGTCAGAAAGACAACACCAGTGTGTCTATAACACCAAATGAACCTGCTTATCCTTAGTAAGGTGGGTTCAGTTAAAATTGAGGATCGCAAACTTAATGCACATTGGAATCACCTCATGAACGGTTTTAAATCCTGATGTCCTGCCATACCCCACACCATGTAGGTCAGAACCTTAGGGAGCAGGACCCATGGTGTTCTCCCGAGAAGGCTCCCAGACTTGTTCCTCTTCCACTGAGTCAGTTTCCTTTCACCAGATGACCAGATGTCCAGGCAATTGCCAAGTGCGGCAAGGTTGAGAACTACCAATTTAGGATCATTTCCTTTTGCCATCTAGCCAAGCAAGACATTTTGAATCAAATCCTTTAATATGCAATAGACCAGGACTTAAGGGAGTACAAAAGAGGGCCATTTAGTTCAAGGTGGTGGGTAGGGGAGAGGATAGGGAGAATGGGAGTAAACGAGCAGCTTCCTAATGACAATTCCTAAATGGAATGTTCAAGGTGGCCATGAGCAGAGGGTATCCCAGGTACAGGGAACAGCTTGAAGGAGCCAAGAGGTGTGAAAGTCCATGACACATGAAGCCCTTCTCTGTGCTGTAACACCCAAGAGAACAGAAATGGGGCTGAAAGTAAACCCCCAATTAGGAAGTGATGGCTGTATCCAAGGGCTGGGCTTTTTCCACCAGAAAGGGGCATGCTGAACATGCAAGGGAGTGCTTGGAGCAATTCTGCATTTTAAAGAGGGGACTCTGGCAACATCTTGACTGAATTTGAGGGTCATAAAGCCTAACTAAAAGGAATCTAAGAGAGAAATTACTAGGACCAAACTAAGCCTATGGCAACAGGAAGAGAGTAGAGAAGGATAATTGGAGATCTTAGGGTGTGTGATTTGGTGACTTATCCAGCGTGTCCTGACTTTCTGGGTTAAGCAGCAAGGCAAATGAATAGCGGTGTGTGAACTGAAGAAGGGCATATCTGAGAGGCTCTGATCCCAGGAAAAATGAAGTCTGTCTGTGCACCTTCTTGGAAGAGCATCCTAATTATCATAGTTATAACATGTGAAGGGTTTTCAGAGGCATTCCAGGGCCTGGGACTCAGCTACTGTTGGCAGGACTTAGCTGAGTGCCTCCTCAAGCCATGACTCTAAAACTGGACAGCCATTTTGGGTGCCTGCTGGAATTCTTGATTCTATTTTAGGATGATCACTCTCATTTCATCCAGAACTCAGATGAGCCCAAGAAAAACTCATCCTTCAGTGCTTGCTGGAATATAGCTTTACATCCCATTCTCAACCTCAGAGTTCCAGGACCAGGGCCCCTGCAGTTCCAGTCAAAAGGGAGGGCTTGGACTCATTATGATCCCCAGCCCAGGGGACAAGCAGGAGGCCTAACAGGCTCTGCATCACAGATGGGTCCATATTAATTCTATGGCAGTAGGTGGCTCTGACAAAGGAGAAGGAAAATGGGGAGGTTAAGGACCCTACACCTAAACCTTTAGATCATTCTCCAAAGCCTGGATCTCTGGAGGTGAGCTGCATTAAGCTGACTTGAACTGAATCAGACCATACCAGGCCAGTCAGTAATACTGCATCACCTGGAGGGCCTCACCCAACACTCTCCTCTGGGAAAACGATGAGAATGGTGATGTAAAATGCTAGAAAGTGAATTAACTGCTCCCCAAACTTCATGCTATTTTAACATTCTGTGGTCATGTTGTTTTTTGTTTTTTGGTAAACTCTGACAAATGCTTAGAATTTTGTCAAAACAGACTGAACTGCAATCATGCTGCGTTACACTGACATTATTCACACTTGCTAATGATTAACTCTCTTTGACACTGTAGCGTTGTAGAAGGCACAGTTGAACAAACAGCTTCAGGGGGGCCAGAAATGAGTTACACGAGACTGAGCCAACTGACTTGGAGGAGCTCCAGTGCTATTTGCCTAGTTTAGACTTGTCCTAAGGGGCATTTCCATTTGGGGACCTGAAGTCCTGGAATTCCTTCCTCTTCCTGGTTCAACAAAACTCTAATTTATTGACCTGCAGGGCACAGTCTAAGACATCTGTTAAGTTTGGCATTTCCTTGACCTGTACAGAGAATTCTGTTGAGTAAAAATGGTTTGCCTTTTTCATTCCAGTTTTTGTAGTGTGTATGCATCCCGACTCTGATCTAAAGGAAGTACCTTCGTATAAGCCCAAGAAACAAAAGGGTTTTGCTTCTTTTGCATCAAAGCTGCTCCTTTTGGAGCATCACCTCAATGCAGTCTTCTCTTTTCAGTGTGACAAAACTTTGGATAAATATCCAAGAATCCTTCCTTTACTACACAAGGAGAAAAGGAGAAAGTGTATTGAACAGCATTTTTTGTGCTTGGCATGAAGAAAATCAGTCCTGCAAGAATGTGAGAAAATTTTGGTATATAAGCCAAACAATTGCTTCATGAGCACTGCCTAACAGCTCATGTTCACCTTGGAAGAAAAAGGTAATGAAACATAAACAAGCTTTGGAACTAAGGAGAAGGAGCAGAAATGCTTACAAAGCTCCCACCCTGCACAGGCGCCAGACACAGCTACTGACAGCCCAGGCAATACTTGGCAGGTGTCGGAGATGGAGGAGAGAGGCTAAAGGTGATTCATTCTCAACTCCAAATGAGAGGTCCCCTGGGTAACACTTAATATTGCTTCATCTCTGATTTCCTATCAGCTGCCTTTGCCATAATGGGAGATGTCCATGGGAATTAAACTGAAAAGAGGCCTGGGGTTAAATCTCTATAGTGCTTCTGTCAGCTAAGGAGAGAGAGATGGGAAACTTGCACAAGGGCTGGTGGGCTCCCCACCCCTCCTTTTTACCAGGAACAGGCTCCCCTAACTTAAAAAAAAAAAAAAACAAAAAAGCTTTTATCCCAAAATCAGATATTTATTTTTTAGCATATCCAGATCAAAAGGGGAAATAATTCCAATTTGTTTATAGAAAATGTAGACATGCCCAGGGGTTATGATAAATTGAGATCTAGACTTCATGTGGGATTTGAGGCTGCCCAGCTTACAATAATGCTAGACTGTTTGCAGTGTCTTTAATGCAATGTCCTCAGACCTTTCAAAGCCAGTATAATTGAAAATCGTAGGCAGGGGAAGATTAAGCTGTTTGATCAAGGATAGGAAGAGATACTTTTTCATTGAAGTTTAAGAGGAGCCAGGAAGTTGGGGGGAAAAGGCAAAAAGTAGACTTTTGTCTATGCATAAGAATTTCAGTAGTGAACACATAACACTATTTATGTAAACTTAATAATCTAAAATGTGAAATATTGCTTAATGTTTGATGAAAAAAAGGAAGCTATTTTCTTATTTTTCTATACTTAAGTATTGAAAGAAAGCAAAATATATATTCTTAAAACATGTGATTATACATTTTTGGCATGTTTCTAAAGTACACGATAGAGTCCATTGAGGAAGAAGAAAGAGAACCTGTTTATGGTTCCCATTAAATTAACTAACAATAATCAGAAGTATTACACTTGGTAGAAGGTCAAAGATACTGCCCCAGTGAGTCATTTTCTTTCAGATTTCCAGCAGTGGCAATGAAATACATTGACTTGCCGTACTAATTTTTTCTATAAACAGCTACAAAGACTGGGGTGCAATCTACAGTTAGAGAGAACAGCTAAGTGGTGCTTGCCCAGATCTGAACCATCAGATTGGTTTTCATGGGCATCCTTAACTATACCAGAGTCATCCAGCAAAACAGAGCAGGACATTCCCTCTGTCTCATGTCGTTTTGCTAATTGAATGCAGACTAGTGTCAGGTCCTTCTTAAATTTATCCTAAACCCTGTAGCCATTTGCAGTAGTAAGGAAGGGTTGGAAGCCAAGATTTATTTGACTTTAAGACTTCTTTCAACTTTTTATGTTCTGCCCCAAATAGCAATTTTATGAGAGCATTGACAGGGAACTCAGGTGGGATCAAGTTTGGCTACAAAACGAATGAAAACAATGAAGAATCTGGTTGTGAAAGTAACAAATGTATATGAAAAATCCACACTTGTATTGGTTTGCTAGGACTACCATAACAAATTCCACAGACTGGGTGGCTTGAACAACAGAAATTTATTTTCTGACATTTTTGGAGGATAGAAGTCTGAGATCAAGGTGGCAGCAGGGCTGGTTTCTTCTGAGGCCTCTCTCCTGGGCTTACAGATGGCCGCCTTCTCACTGTGGCCTCACGTGGCCTCTGCTCTGTGTATATCTATGTCCTAACCTCCTCTTCTTATGAGGAGGTTATATTATATTGGATTAGGTCCCACCATAATGACCTCATTTTAATTTAATTACCTCTTTAAAGACTATTTCCAAATACGGTCACACTCTGAGTTACTGGGGGTTAGGACTTCAATTTATGAATTTCAGAGGACAGAATTCAGCTTATAACAACAGTTAAACATGCTAGTATCCCCACAAGGGACCACTGCAAAGAAGAAAGGGAAGCACAGACTCAGAAACTTGAAGAACTGCATGGGGTTTATTTGAACAATTCAATCTGCCACACATGTAGCTAAAAGTTACCTGCATTTGAGATGAAAAAATTCTAGTCCTGCTTTCCACCCCCCACAGAAAACACCCTAAATTCATCCCTGAAATGTTGTTAGATGGTTTCAGAACTAAACAGGACCACAAGAAATCATGCTGCATCCTTTCTACAGGAAAAGAAGGTAAGTATTTGTTGATCTGTGAGGGTACCTTCTGTGGCCAATGAGAAACATGGATGCCACTTGGCATAGTACCTGGCACATGCAGGCCCCTCAGTACAGGTTCTTTTTATCATAAGTATCTGATTTGAAACAGGTATAGGCTGTGTAATTACAAATATTGCAAATAAATTTTTTTAAGAATTCAGAAAACCTATGCCTTCCCAGGGTCAGGTGACAAAACAGCATTTGTTTCCTACCCTGCTTCCCTTTTTACTATTTCATCAAGTAAACATGTATCCAGCAGTGACTAAATTCCAGGAACCACACTAGGCACTTCAGATAGTGTCTACCCTGGAGGTGGTCACAGCCTAGGAAATGAGGCAGATATGAAAACACATCATTAACCAAGTAACAGACAAAAGCTACAGTGTTGGTGTGATGGCTACTTTTAAGTATCAACTTGGCTCAGCCAGCTTGCCAAAATATTTGGTCAAATAGAATTCTGGGTGTTTGTGTGAAAACGCTGTTTGTTTGAGGTTAACATTTAAACTGGTGGACTTTTGGCCAGGTGCGGTGGCTCACGTCTATAATACCAGCACTTTGGAAGGAAGAGGCCGGCAGATCGCTTGAGCTCAGGAGTTCAAGACCAGCCTGACCAACATGGCGAAACCCCACCTCTACTAAAAATACAAAAATTAGCCAGGTGTGGTGGTGTGTGCCTATAATCCCAGCTACTCGGGAGGCTGAGGAAGGAGAATCGCTTGAACCCAGGAGGCAGAGGTTGCAGTGAGCCGAGATGGTGCCACTGCACTCCAGCTTGGGTGACAGAGCGAGACTCTGTCTCAAAAAATAAAAAATAAGCTAGTGGACTTTGAGCAAAGCAGACTGTTCGCCACAATGTGGGTGGGCCTCACCTGATCAGTTGAAGTACTGAATAGAACAAACCTCGCTCTACCCTGAGCAAGAAGAAATTCTGCCAGCAGACCACTTTTGGACTCAAACTGCAAATCCTGAATCTCCAGCTTGCCAGCCTACTCCACCTGATTTAGCAGATTTTGGACCCACCAAGCCTCCATAATTCTGTGAGCCAATTTCTTTAAAATAAATCTCTCTCTCTGTCTCTGTCTCTCTCTGTCTCTCTTCCTGTCTGTCTCTGTGTGTGTGCACATATATATACATATATATTTACATATGTATATATGTGTATACATTTTATATATGTATATATATGTATGTATATGTATATGTGTGCATATATGTCTAAACTAATATGTTCTGTTTCTCTGGAGAACCCTGACAAATACAATAGGTATGCTTTTAAGCCTTTAAATTACAGAAGGCTTCCCAGAAGAACTGGTATCCAAGTTGAACCTGGAGAAGAGAATATTTCCTAAAACTGGCCAGTTAAGCCAAGAAGCAGTTTTTCTAAAACTAATGTCTGTCAACGAGACAAATATTCTGGAATCCAAAGGTCTCTCCAAGAATTATTTTTCATTTCATGCTTCCATTCTGATACTCTTTTAAAGATTAACATAAGCATACCTGGTATCACCTGGATAACTACATAGAACCAGAGTACTTTCATATAATGTTAACATCTCCCATTGCATTTATGTCGATGATCAAGTTTGCAAGAAATCACATTAAAATTGTATCTAAAAATGATATGATGAGAGAATTTTAACACCACACAGCATGCCCTGTGCTGGATTGCCCAATAGTTAAAGAAAGGAGAGGGACATGCATATAAACACACACACAAAGATTCATTCACATGGGTTTTTTTTTTTTCTAAGATCTTGATATTTCAATAAGCCTAGAAAATAGTAGATTTAAACTCAAATCCAGCCTGGCACAGTGGCACATTCCTGTGGTCCAAGATACTCAATAGTCTGAGGCAGGAGAATCTGTTGAGCCTGGGCAACAAAACAAGACCCCATCTCTTAAAAAAGAAAACACACACACACACACACACACACACACACACACACACACACCCCAGAAATCCTTTACCTGCAGACACCTAGAAATGCTGCATGAAAATGTAATAGTTGAGCTCTGAAAGAAGAAAAAGAGGGAGAGAGAGGCCTGTTGATACTAGAAATAAAAATGAAACTGAATCTTGATTTTGGCAATCATGCATGCTGATGAATAAGCATGGGGCAGGAAAGGGGAAGGAGGCTAATTGAAGGCAGTGAAGGCTAAAGGTTTAAGTTTTATAATGAATAGAGAGTTATACAATGTAGAAAGTTGGAAGTGTAACTCATACATAAAGTCATATCTTGGGCCAGGCGCAGTGGCTCACGCACTTTGGGAGGCCAAAGCGGGCAGATCACCTGAGGTCAAGAGTTCAAGACCAGCCTGGCCAACATGGCAAAACCCTGTCTCCACTAAAACACAAAAATTAGCCAAGCGTAGTGGCAGGCACATGTAATCTCAGCTACTCAGGAGGCTGAGGCAGAGAGAACTGCTTGAACCCGGGAGGCAGAGGTGGCAGTGAGCCGAGATCAAGCCACTGTACTCCCAGCCTCGGTGACAGAGCAAGACTCTGTCTCAAAAAAAAAAAAAAAAAAAAAAAAAAAAAAAAAAAAAAAAAAAAATCACGTCTTGAAGGGCTGCAATTCTGGCCAAGTAAAACCAGAAAAACTTTGCGGGCTGTCTGGAACCCAATAAAGAATATCTCTGCCTTGGCTGTGTGTAGGGGAAAACACATTAAGAGAAAGCAAAAGACTTGGCCTGGGTCTCTGATGGGTTTGAAGTCTGAATGCTGCTATTCACAAGGACTGGGAAATCCCAAGCCATTAAAATATCACATACTTGCTCATAACTTTGGGGCACCTTGCAGAAGACATGCAAATCCCTTTTCGAAGGATGTTACTGCATCTTTGTCACACAGAATTCTCACTTTAAAATGTGCAAGTCCTGTATAAAATGAGCCCATAATAAGAAATTACAAGAGAGAGTCAGCAGACACAACAGAAGGATTGAGTCACCTAGAACTAGAACTAATAAAATAATAATCTCAGAGCTAATATGAAAAGTATATTTAAGCTGATTAAAGACATTAAAAAGCATAAAATAAACAAAAGAATATAAATGACAAAAATAGATTTGAAAAATAATTAAATAGAAGTACTAAGGAAAAATATACCAAAATTAAAAACTCAATGGATGAGTTAAAGAACCAACTAGATCTAATTGAAAAAAAAATTAATGAGCATATATGAAAAAGTTAACCAGAATAGATCCCAAAATTATAGATATTTTAAAAGATAATTATGAAAAATTAAGACATTTAGAAGAGAATAAAAATGTTTAACAATCTGTTAGGAATTTAGAAGAAAAGAATACAGTGTCAAGGAGAGGCAAGATTTGAAATGATAATGGCTGAGTATTTCTCAAAAGTGATTGAAGGGATGACTTCTCAAATGAAAAAATTTGAATCTTAACCAGACTAACTAAAGTAAAAATGCTCTTTCATATAATATACCATTGTGAAACAGAAAGGGAAAATCATAAAAGTAACTAAAATAAAAGAACAGGTGAGCCTAAAAAGAAAAACATTCAGACTAGCAATTGACTTCTCAGTAACAAAAGTAGAGGCCAGAAGATAATGGAATAATTTCTTCAAAGTACTAAAAATTCTAAAATTCTTTACCCACCTAAACTACCATTCAGTAGTGAGGGTATTGAAATATATATATATAAAAACATAATTTAATATATAATTTAACATATATAATTTAATATATATAATATTTGTCTATTATATATCATAAAATATTAAAAGGATTAAAAGGATTTATTCACAAACCCTCAATGAAAAAATTTCTGCTTTAAGAAGGACTCCAACCTCCCCCGCCCCCACATAATTAAGTTTAAAAGAAATGATGAGGCTGGGTGCGGTGGCTCAGGCCTGTAATCCCAGCACTTTGGGAAGCCAAGATGTGGGGATCACTTGAGGCCAGGAATTTGACACCACCCCAGGCAACACAGCAAGGCCCTGTCTCTACAAAAAATGAAAAACAATTAGCCAGACTGGTGGCGCATGTCTGTAATCCCTGCTACTCAGGAGGCTGAGACAGGAGGATTGCTTCAGCCCAGGAGTTTGAGGCTGCAGCGAGCTAGGATTCCACCACTGCACTCCAGCCTGGGTGGCAGAGCAATTCCCTACCCCAAAAAATAGTTATAATAATAAAATTTCAAAATAAAAGAAATGATGAGCAAAGTAATGAACAAACATGTATAGAAATTTAAACAGCACTGACTGTTAAAAAATACAGGGAAAGAACTTAATAAGGAGTGATTTTAAAGCATTCTAAGAGCTTTGCATTTTTAAAGAAAATAGTAAAGATACTGACTACTGTAGATTTGATCTGGTCAAATGATCATTTAAAAAATTGGGCCACGCGTGGTGGCTCACACCTGTAATCCCAGCACTTTGGGAGGCTGAGGCAGGCAGATCACCTGAGGTCAGAAGTTTGAAAACAGCCTGACCAATATGGAGAAACCCCATCTCTACTAAAAATACAAAATTAGCTGGGCGTGGTGGTGCATGCTTATAATCCCAGCTACTTGGGAGGCTGAGGCAGGAGAGTCGCTTGAACATGGGAGGTGGTGATTGTGGTGAGCCGAGATCACGTCATTGCACTCCAACCTGGGTAACAAGAGTGAAACTCCGTCACAAAAAAAAAAAAAAAAAATTGAAAAACAGTCACTAAAAGAATAGAAATCAAATGTTTAAAAGAGGATAAAGGAAATACTTTTTTTTTTAAGTAGAAAAGATGTTAAGAAGAACCAAAGAAAAAGCAGGCAATTAGAAAGCAAAAATGAGATGGTAGGAATGAATTTTAAATATCAGTAATCTCAACCAATCTAAATGGATCAAAATCCTCAGTTAAGAGACAAAACTCTCAGACTGGATTATTTCCATTTAAAGGAAATATAGGGGCTACAGAACAGGACACATAATGTCACAAAGGAAAACACAGACTTCCGAAATGCAAAATATGGAGTGACCTACAAGAAACTAACTTGCTTCTGAAACAAGTCAATAGCATGAAAGAAAAAAAAGGGGGAACTGCTCTATACTAAAAGAGATTGAAGAAGTATAACAAATTAAATACATTGACCTTGTTTAGCTCTTGATTTAAATTACCAACCATAATAGGGCCGGGCACAGGTGGTGGCTAACGCCTGTAATCCCAGAATTTTGAGAGGTTGAGGCAGGCAGATCACCTGAGGTCAGGAGTTCAAGACCAGCCTGGCTAACACAGTGAAACCCCGTCTCTACTAAAAATACAAAAATTAGTCAGGCATGGTGGTGCATGCCTGTAGTCCCAGATACTCAGAAGGCTGAAGCAGGAGAATCACTTGAATCCAGGAGGCAGAGGTTGCAGTGAGCCGAGATGATGCCATTGCACTCCAGACTGGGAGAAAGAGCCAGACTCCATCTCAAAAAAGAAAAAAAAAAAAAAGACCAACCATAAGAAAGCACAAGAAAATTGGAGGAATTAAATTATATGTTGGGTATTATTACATGATACCAAAGGATTCTTATTTTGCTGGACGTGATAATGGTATTTTGTTATACAAGAAAGAAAACGTATTATTTAGAGATAAGTACAAACTGCATAGGGTAAAATATCATGTTTGGGACATGCTTTAAAATAGTTCTGCAAGGGAAACAAAACAAAAAGAAAAGGAATATTTTTAAAGGGCTAAGAGAAGTAAATGTCGTTAAGTCCTGGTAATTGATTAATCTGGGTAATGGGTATATGTGGGTTCACTATACTGTATTCTCTACTTTTGAATAAGTTATTAAAAGATTTTAGTCCAACTACAAGCTGTTTTCAGAAAACAACTCTAATTGCTTCTCAGCCTTTTGGCTAAGACCAAGTGTAAAATACACCTCTAAAGACAATCAATTACAAAATTTCAAAATAAAATGATAGAAAATACTACACACAATAGCAACCCAGAGAAAGCTGGAAAAACTATATTCATATCAGACATTATTTAACTTTTACTTTAAGTTCAAGGGTACATGTGCAGGTACATTACATAGGTAAACTTGTGTCATGGGGGTTTGTTGTCTAGATTATTTCATCACCCAGGTATTAATCCTAGTACCCATTAGTTATTTTTCCTGATCCTCTCCCTCCTTGACAACTAGATCTTAAAGCAATAAAACAAACAAAAAAATATTTGGGAGGAATAAAGGAGGTCATCACATAATGAGAAATTAATCAGGGGAAAAAAATCCTGAACCTACAGGTGCCTAATAACATGTCTCCCAAAGTATATAAAATAAAAATTGGCCAAGGTATGAGGCACACTACCAGGCATAGTAGAAAGTTAGAATACATTGTGGTGGGTTGAATAGTTACCGCTCCTCAAAAGATATGTCTAAATCCTCTAAGTGGTTTTTTGTTGTTGTTGTTGTTTTTTCTTATTTGGAAAAAGAGCCTTTGCAGACATGATTCAATTAAGGATCTCCAGATGGTATTATCCTAGATTGTTTGGGTGGGCCCTAAATCTAATGACAAGTGTTTTTATAAGAGACAGAAGACAAGGCACAGACACAGAGGAGAAGCCGTATGAAGATGAAGGAAATGACTGGAGTTATGAGCCAAGGAACGCCTGGAACCACCAGAAATTGGAAGAGGGAAGAAAAAAATCTCCCCTAGAGAATCTTGTTCAGAGGGAGCGTAGCCCTGCCATCACCTTGATTCCAGACTCTTGTCGTACAGAACTGTTAGAGAATAAATTTCTGTTGTTTTAAACCACCAAATTTGTGGGAATTTTTACAGGAGCCCCAAAAAACTAATACATGTACCTCTCTGCATAGTTGGTAGATCAAGCCAACAAAAAGTAATAAAAACATACAAAAGATTTCAAGAGCATAGTCAAGCAGTTTTTATCTAATGAGCATATAAGCAATCCTGCACTCAATTATTTGTTAAAATATCCCTTATTTTTCATTGCACATGAATCATCTATATAAATTTGAGTCATATTGTAACAAAATAATTTGTCAATATTGTAGAGCTGCAATCATTTTTATCCTCTAAAAGAGCAGGTGCATTGCCCAAGTATGAGGAAAATTGGCTTAGAACTTTCTGACCTTTTAGTATCCTAGAGACAGCTTGTCTTTTTTTCTGCTTAGGAGAGAATATAGTTCACTAATTAGCCACAGATAAACAACTACAACCAGGCTCTTAATTTTATCTATTTTGGATGACTCTTACAGGAATTAAAAATTTCAAGGACACACAGATTCCATTGCCATTTCAAAGTAAGCATTCATGTTACAGTCATTGTCATCATTACTGGCAGGATAATTACTCTTAAAGTAACAGTCCCCAGAAGCAAGAAGTTGCCCCCCCGCCCCCCCCGCACCGTGCCCCGCCCCGCCCCCGTGTTGCTCATCAGCCCTGAGGCTTCATAAGTAAATACACACAAAGTTAACATGCTTAAATAAATGTTGCATGAATCAGATCGTGCATTTTATATGCCTCTCACAAAAAAGAAGTAGGTTAACAAGTATAACACAGTGAACATCCAGGGAAAATAAAATAAAATAAAAGTAATTTTCAGAGAACAGCCCTACCTATCCTTCTTATAGTATACCAACAAAAAACAACAATCAAAATACAGCAACATGATGGGAAGATACTGACAATATAAGCTGCCTTTTCCTTTCTCCTTGAATTGCATCATTCATACCGTTACCTCCTCGGGGCAAGGACTAGGTTATTATTTTTTGGCACAACTCTATTTAACCATGCAATGCGTGTGCACTTCCAGTTTGTAGAAATATTAGATAATTTTATTAAAAGAAAAAAATCTTCACACTTTTGCACCCTATTGTGTCTCCTGGCCCCCAGCAAGGAAAGAAATCTTTAGAACTGAATCCAGTTTGGAAGAAGGGATGTTTGCCTAGTGAAGCATAAAGTATGTCCTAGGATATCTGGGAGAAAGGTCACTGTACCAGGGCTTCCATTTCATCAACTATACACTGTCACGGCATTTCCTGGAGGGATTATGTAATGTATTTGGACAAAGACCTCTCTGGTTGCCCACTCTTAGTGAAAAGTGAGCTTTGGAAAGAACAGTTAAGGCATAAAAACACAATTCCTTAGGGCAGCTTTGCAGACAGAGCCAAAATGTCTCATGACCCATAAAATACTTTAAGTTCTAACCAGCCCTACCACGGAGAGTGTCAGAATCACATCGAACAGCGTGAGCCACATCTGCCAGCAGACGTCACATGATGGGTTCCAAATTTCAGTTTAATGCTCATTCTTCCTCATATTGTGGTTTCTTTCTGGACTACATTGATTTCTTTTCAATTGTGACCTAGGCAGTTTGCATGGATGCCTTACGTGGGTAAAATGTTACCTTCTGAAAAGCCATCGAGAATATTAGGTAACATCAAATTCCTTGTGCCAGATTTTCAGAGGAAAAAATATATGGTGTTCTAATTGCCCTTTCTGGAAACAATGATTTAAAATTTTCTTTTTCTTTCTGAAGGGGTCATCCCAAGCTATCTGATGATAAGCTGATGTGTTAATGCTATTCCTTGATTTGCAGGAACAAAGCAGTTAGAGCCAAAAATCTTAAGTGAATTACAGCATGTAAATGTCTCCTGAATAAAGAGAAGCACATTCCTTTTGGAAGTAGACATCGTAAGCCAGGCGATGTTAATGAGTGAAGAGAAATGCTTAGAGCTTGTGCTGGGAGAGACAAGTCCTGCAGTAAAAGGACTTAGGAGTTGCCCTGTCCCTCTGATGTTCCCTGGATCTGCAGCTGTAGAGCTTCTCCCTGGTTACTCCTGTATCTGGATCATTACAACTTTCTTCTCCAGTAGATTCTCCATATCACTGCCAAAGGCTGTCTTTTCCTCATTGTTTTCAACTACCCACACATTTCTGGGACTCTACAGCCATTTTCCATTGCCCTAGGCAGCAAGACTTAAGCTCTAAGAAATTCAGCCCTGACAGTCTCCGAAGACTCTACAACCAAAATACCCTATGCTTCAAAGTCTCCCAAGGGCCCTCCTACATGGTCTTTATTCCTTTGTTTTCTCCCTTCCTTTATTTTCTAACCCTACTTCCCCTCCCCCCATAAGAAAACGGAGAAGATACACAGTGCTCTACCAGTTATGCTGAAGTCACACTGACCCCACGACACCAGCTCATAGGCTCACCCAGCCCTCTCCAAGGTAAACAGTGCCTGAGCCCTTCCTGTCCTCTTTGGCAGCTTCATCAGCCACCTGAGAGCTTTCGCTGCCCAGTGCCTGCTTCCTTGTTCTCTGTCATACACCCATCTCACCCCCATCCCACTGTGTCTCCCTAGTCTTTGGCTTTTTAGTGGGTGTCAACCAGAGTGCCAGGTGGTATACACATTCATCAGATAAACATGGTTTATCTCCCGGGGTGACCATTTTTCTCAAATTGAAGATGGGTGGAATGAAGGGAAAGGAATTAAGTAATTTGTCTAAGTCATCTGAAACATAATTTTTGTATTAAAACAAACACGGATGTGTTATGGAGTAGAATGCAAAATCTACATTACTTTTTAAAATGAAAATGAGACTTCAAAGAAGTTTAGCATCTGTGGAGGGTGGCTTCTGGCAGCACCAGTAGGTCTCTCCACTTGTACATTCTCACTTTCCTCGACCTGAGGGGCCAGCAGAGACACCGGAAAACACGTGCCAAAATCCCAGGCTGTTCTTGACTTATTAGTCAATTTCTTCCTTCACCGATTTGAGCACCTACTATGTGCTGGGCCCTGTGAATATAAATATGATTTAAACAAGCCCCTACCTTCAAGCAGCTCACAGTCTAGCAAGATTAATGCAAATAACCAGCTCTAACAGAATGTAATCACTTTTACAATAAAGGTATGTGCAAAATGTTATGGTATCATATATAACATAGCAATTAACCATTTCAGACAGAACAGAGGAAGAACTCAAAGTCTGGCAGTCTGGCTGCATTCCTTAAATCGTGTATGTTTTTCTACCATATCTCCTACCATCAACAAAGCCTGCCTCAGGTGTTACATTTCTGTGTCTAATTAATTTACTTTGCATAGTACCAAATGCATATAGAACCCATGCATTATTTTGACACTGGGAAATGGTCATGGTTAAACACATTGTTGTGGTTTGAATTGTATTCCCCCCAAAAAGATACGCTGAAGTCCTAACCCCCAGTACCTCAGAATGTGGCCTTATTGGAAAATAGCATCTTTATGGAGGTGATCAAGTTAAAATGAGGCCATCAGAGTGGCCCTAGCCAATATAACTGGTGTGCTTATAAAAAAAGGAGAATTTTGGACACATACACACAGAAGGAAGACAACAGGAAGACACACAGGAAGAAGGTGGCCATGTGACTGGAGCGATGCGTCTGCAAGCCAAGGAACACCAAGGATTGCCAGAAAACACCAGAAGCTGGAAGAGGCAAGGAAGAGTCCTCCGGTAGAGCAATCAGAGAGGACATGGCCTTGCCAACACCCTTGGTTTTGGACTTCCAGCCTCCAGAATGGGGAGACAATAAATTTCTGCTGTTTTAAGCCACCCACGTTTTGATACCTGTCATGGAAGCCCTAATAAACTAATATACAGATGCATGTCATTTCAGTGTAAGTTTCTAATCTTTTTTGGAAAATTAAACCTCGCCTTTGTCATTCTTGGCAATATTCTTTGCTTGAAGCTAATCTCCAAGTCATTTTCTCTACTGCAGTGGCTCTCAATGTGTCATCGCTGGGCCGGCAGCATCAGCATCAGCAGGGGGCTTGTTAGAAATGCCCTATACTTCAGGTCCCTGCCCAGACCTTCTAAATTCAGAAACTGTGTGAGCAAGCCCTCCAGGTGATTCTGGCTTGAGAACGACGGCTGTACTGCATGCATGGGCCAATCTCACTTTGCTTCTGAATCCTGTTCTACTCCAAATATTAAGGATTATTAGAGATTAGTTCTCATCTTCCAAAATATCATAACAATAAAAATAAGCTACAGCTTTCATATCATTGTCCTCAAGCTAAACCTCCAAAGATCCAACAGAGTTTCTTTGGGAGGGCTTTTAACTCCGTGATAGACAAAACTGACAAGTGAATGCAATGTAGAGATTTGGGGAATTTTCTCCCATACTTGGCACTGCCCTGCTGCCTTCGAAGTACCTCAGTGCAGATGTTCTCATGCCACAGAATACCCACCCAACTCACCCAACTGCCCCATCCAGGCCTTGTCCTGTCATTACCCAGAATCCCAAATTTCCTTCTCTCTTCCTTCAATAAAATGTCCAGGCCAGGCACAGTGGCTCACACCTGTAATCCCAGTGCTTTGGGAGGCTGAGGTGGGCAGATCACGAGGTCAGGAGTTCGAGACCAGCCTGGTCAATATGGTGAAACTCCATCTCTACTAAAAAAATACAAAAATTAGCCAGGTATGGTGACATGCACCTGTAGTCCCAGCTACTTGGGAAGCTGAGGCAGAAGAATTGCTTGAACCCAGGAGGTGGAGGTTGCAGTGAGCAGAGACAAAGCAAGATCCTGTCTCCAAAAAAAAAAAAAAGTCCATTCACTCACAAGTTCGGTCTCAAGAGAGTATTTGGAGAAAATTATTAATTTATAATTAAAATATTAATCACTAATGACCTCCCTCCTTAATTGATCCAGGTTGTATAATTTTCTAAGTTTTTTTTTTTTTTTCAACCTCAAAGGACTCTATTTGGAAAGGTTTCAAGTACCGTGTCAAAATAAAATGAAGGTCTTTTGTTTGTTGTTATTTTGGAGAGTGGGGTAGCCAGTGCCCTTTAAATTACAAGTTCATGGAGCAAACATTCAGCTAACACAAGGCCAGTCCTGTTTGGCAACTGTCTCCCGTTCCTGGGTCAACAGCCCGTCAGCCAGTTGACCTTGAAGCAATGGCACCAGGCCTGTCCTTGTACTTTTGCTGCATTCCATATTGGGTGGGGTTTTGGTTTGGGTTTTTGTGTGTGTGTGTTTGGGTTTCTTTCTTTTTCCTTCTTTCTTTCTTTCTTTCTTTCTTTCTTTCTTTCTTTCTTTCTTTCTTTTTAAGATATTTCAATTTCTTAACAGGAAATTTTAGCTGCTGGTTTGAATTTAATTGAAGTATTTTATATGTACACCTTGAGACCCTCAGGCTAGGGTATATTTTTAATAAATCAAACAAATAAATTCCAAGTCTGTACTAACTGAAATGTCCTCATGCCTTCAATGATGGCCCTCTAAATGAAAATACTGAAAAATTCAAGAATAATGCTGCCTTAGTAGCAAATATATATATGAAAAGCAGCCCAGATTTTAAAAGAGAAAGAAATTCATGGCCTAAATTTTCCTGGAAATTGATCCCAGTTCCAACTTCCAGAGATCACTCTGCACCCAAAGCCCCAAATAGGAGGAAAGGGAAATTGGTGTGCAATGAACATTGTGCCAGGTGCTTTATTTCTTTACGGGACAGTTGGGTTAAGTGATTTCAACCAATCAGATACAGCCCCCTGAAGAGAAACTCCCATTCCTGTTCAAACTGTAGGTCTGACTCAGGTTTGCATATAATGGATCAACCAAGGTTAAAATCATCACTAGGCTCATTCCCAAAGTAATGCCTCGCCCTCACAGCTAAGTGGAAACCAAACCAGCCACCAGAGAAATGGAAGTTAGGCCATTGTATCAGTCAGGATATTCTTTTAAATAACCAGAGGGCTTTGTTGTCTCTTAGAATTGGAATGTCAAGTGGGAAGATAAGTTTCAGGGGCTGTTTGATTGAGCAACCCAAAAATGTCATTAAGAAAAGATCCGGCTTCTTTCCATCTCTCCACTCTACTTTTTACAGGTCAATGAATCCAAGTTGTTTTTGTTTTGTTTTGTTTTCATTATGACAAAATGGTGGCAGCCATTCTAGACTGACACGCCACAGCAGCTGGAAGAAAGACACGATCTTTTCCTCTGATGCCTCTCTCAGAAGCGTGAGTAGACTTTTTTTCCAGAATGCCCCAACAAAACTCTCTTTTCTATTTGTTCTTTCATCTAATATTTACTGAGACTTACTATGTGGCAGGCACTTGGATTTTATTAGAAAACAAAACAAGATGTTTGCCTTCATGGAGCTTCAGCAGAAACTTACATTTTAATGTCTTTTGAGTCTTATTTGAGCTGTCCCTTGACTTCTTAGGTTCTGATAACCTCACTTTTTCCCTTTGTCCCTGCAAACTTAAGTGTGGTAGCTGTTTTTAGCCATTAGTGATCTCTGGTTACCTGAGTGTTGCCTTTTTTCTCTCTTAACCTTTCAAAGAACAAATATGTATCTCCTTTCTGAAAGGGATCCTGACGGATGTGGGATGGAAACCTAAACAAATAACTATTTGCTATGAGAAAAAGTTGGGAAGGTGAAAGTAAAGCCTGAGTAGGACACCAGTCTATAATCACTAGATGATTTAACCCCAGCTGGGATACTGCCAAGTGAAAAGCCATGAGTCAGCTCTACTAATATAAATTGAGGACTGATTTCTGTAAAGGTGGTGCATATCTAGGCATAACTGGTAAATTTATCTCTAGGCATCTATCTGCATGAATGGGTTTGTGTTGAATAGAAGGAAACTTTCTAGGAGAAGTTTTCTGAATAGGTACCCAGTGGGAGAGAAGGTACCAAAGGAAGGAAGGAAGAAGGAAGAAATTGTAGATAGAAAGCACAGTGATGCTTCCTCTGTCCACTCACAGGGTCTAGGTCTGCACCCCATAGAGAGACAGGGAGCAGGCTGGCCAGAGAAGACAAGCAGCACTACTTGAAGCCCAGGTGACAGCTGGCTGGAGCATTCTCTGACTCTTAACGCTGTGGGGTCTGGCTCATTCTCTCTCTGGGCCCACTTTATCTGGGCTTTCATCTCATCATTCCACCAAAACTGCTCCTGTGAAGGCCACAAATGACCTCCATGTTGCCAAATCCATCGCTCAAATGTCAGTTCTCATCTTACTTCAATATCAGCATTGCTAATCTTTTGTTTTCTTCTCCAAAAGCTTATATTTTAGAGACATTCAGCTGCTCTGAATGAGTGCCAAATAGCTAAAGGAAAACTAAACCATCATCTAATCCATTTGACTAATAAGAATGATGACAATAGTAGTAGCTGACATTATTGAGCATTTACCATGTGCCAGACAACATTCTAAGCACCTTACGTGGATTATCTCATTTAATCCTCACTGCAGTCTTGTGAGATAAATGCTATTATTATCTTCATTTTATAGATGAGGTCTCTGAGGTACAGAAAGATTAAGTAACTTGCCAAAGGTCACACAACCAGTAAGTGGTAGAACCAGGAAGTCTCCGTATTTCCATTGTTTGAACTCAAGCAAATCGAATTCCCTATCAGAATTTTCAAATTGTCACCCGCATATGTTTTGGTGATGTACATATCAGAAGGAGAGAGAACTGAGTTTAAGGATGTCAGGTTCTTAGAAAGATCACCACACTATTCTGCCTCCTCCACACTACTGTCTTAGTTCAGACCATGGCTGGCCATGGTGAATTGACCTGCAGCCAGAGGGGTCAGAACACCATTCAGAGAGACCCGGTAGGGGAGCGCAGTCCAGCAGACAGAAGGTCTATGGATGGCCAACAACATTGAAGAGGCCCGGGGTTCGCAGAGCAGGACAACAGGAAGTCTCAGAAGTGGATGATGTTCTCATCAAAGGCCAATGGAGACCTCCATTGGAGGGTTCCAGGGACCGAGACACCAGGTTGAAGTTCAGGAGTAGAACTGTTACCCCTGAGAAAGGAACTGGAAGAACAAAGCAAAACGGGAGCCCTAGTGGGAAAAATGTTTCAGCAGATTATAAAAATTGAGACTCAGGAGCAAAAAACAAAGCATAAAACCATAGGCTCCAGGAGGGCAGGGAACCTGTTTGTCCTGCACCATCACATTCTCCTACACAACCTGGCACACACCCCATACTGTTCTGTGAGTTCCAGGTATCCAGTCTCAAACTGAAGGCCTGCTACCAATAGTGTGGTCAAGTTCATATTCAGTGGATATTGAGCACTACGAGAGGTGCTGTGCCAGCTTCTCTCGTGCTGGGTCTAGGAGCACTGGACTAGGAGTTCTTGAATGTCCCCAGTTAAGGATATGCAAATACTAAAGACGAGGTTGAGGCTGGATCTGCAGTCTGTAGTCTTAGCAGCCAACAGAGAAGGCATGTGAAGGATAAAAACTAGATACACCAAGCAATTTCCTTTTATCTTTCTTTCCAGAAGTATTCTTCATATTTCTAAATTTTTATATAATTGTTCATTCAAGTCATACTGCTGGCAGAGGCTGAATGTATCACCAAGCACTCTCAAAATCTGATAAAAACTGATCAGATAGTCTGATATTTTTTGAATAACCTTAGCAATGAAATCAATTAAGATCAGAAGCAGATTGTTTCCCAGAATTATTTTTTTTTGGTAAATATCCTTTATGTATTGATTTTGACCTGGCTAAAATGTTACTATACATTTTTGACCATTGTTGAAATACTCCATAAAAATGACTAAATACTAAAGCTAAGTGGTATCAGTGTTCAAAACAAAATCAACTAATCAAAAAGGACTCATTCACATAAGTACAGAAGCACCTTTTGGTTTTAGTATTGGTAAATTATTGCTTTATTATTAATATGGTTAATATATTGACTTCCTATTATTCCAAAATGTAAAACCATGTGAAACTGTGAATTAGTTACAGCAAAACTTCCAGTGCTCTTAAAATATTTTGTTTCTTTGTGATAATGGTGCACTTCCCTTTTTTGTTGGTTTATCATCCCATGAACTGTAAAGTCCCAGTCTCAATTACTGAATCTTTAACTCCATGAAGTCTCTGCATCATCAGAAAGTTCATGTCACTCAAAGGATGACACGTAGAACAGTGGTCCCCAACCTTTTTGGCACCAGGAACCAGTTTCGTGGAAGACAAATTTTCCACGGACAGGGTGGTGGGGATGGTTTTGGGATGAAACTGTTCCATCTCAGATCATCAGGCATTAGATTCTCATAAAGAGCACACAATCTAGATCCTTCACATGCACAGTTCACAATAACTTCGTGCTCCTCTGAGAATCTAATGCAACCGCTTATCTGACAGGAGGCAGAGCTCAGGTGGTAATGCTCACTTGCCCGCCACTCACCTCCTGTTGTGCAGTGGCTTCCTAACAGGCCATGGACTGGTACTGGTCCGTAGCCCTGGGGTTGAGCCCCCTAATGTAGAGTCAACTGTCTTTGCTCATAGAAATCCACTTTAACTTTCTCCATTTTATTATTTCCATCCGACCAAAAATACTTCCATTATAAAAAATGATGAAACAAGAGAATACATCAGAGAGGTTGATTTAAAACACTGTAGTTCTAAATTTGAATTGAAAGTAACAGTATAAATTCAGTATAAACCAAAACATTGGAAAAGAAATTTTAAGACAACTAGAAACGTGAACACTGACTGGATATTTGGTAATATTAAAGAATTACTGCCAAATCTCTTAGGTATGATAATGATATCATAGTTGTGTTTTTTTAATGGTCTTTATCTTTTAGAAAACCATACAAACATTTTCTAATAAAATGATATGTTGCCTGAGAGTCTCTTAAGAATACCGCAGGAGTGGAGGAAGCAGGTGTTGAATTTGGATAATGGGTATGTGAGTGTTAACAGTACTAAACGGTCTCTCTCTGTATATTATATATATATGCATGTATATGTGCATGTGTGTGTGTGTGCGTGTGTGTGTATATATATACACACACACACATACTGAAGTAGCTTGAATATGACTGGAGAGTCATACTTGCCTAGTGGCTCAACAGTGTTTTCCTCCAGAAACTCTCTTCATATGTTTTTGCAAATTAAGATAATTAATTTTCTTGCTTTCAAATAATCTTAATTCTCTTGCTTTCCAATATCATAGGGTTTCCCTCCACAGATTCACCTCATCCTTCTCTTTCATTTATAGAAAGCAGGTTGAATCAGATTGAATATGAATAAAGAGAATCAAAGTAGACAGCAAAGGAAGTCAATTAGACATGTCATTTTGAGAGGTAGAAGAAGTGGTAAAATGCTAGCTTATTGTATTAGTTCATTTTCATACTGCGATGAAGAAATACCCGAGGCTGGGTAATTTATAAAGAAAAAGAGGTTTAATGAACTCATATTTCCATATGGCTGGGGAGGCCTGACAATCATGGCAGAAGGTGAAGGAGGAGAAAAGCACGTCTTACATGGCGGCAGGCAAGAGAGCATGTACAGGGGAACTGCCCTTAATAAAACCATCAGATCTGGTGAAACTTATTCACTATCATGAGAACAGCATGGAAAAAACCCACCTCCATGATTCAATTACCTCCCACCAGGTCTCTGCCATGACACATGGGGATTATAGGAGCTACAATTCAAGATGAAATTTGGGTGGGGACACTGCGAAACCATATCACTTATTTTCTAAGGAATGTACTGTTTATTACTAGTCTTCAGTACTAGAGAAAAAACTTTGACCATCATATAGCATAAGATAGCCCTATGTGCGTCTGGGGAAATATTACTTCTGCAATCTCTAACATGCAAAAGGCAGAGGAACATTACTGTGTCTCTTGTTGCACTTCCAGAATTTTCCCTCCAATCCCGAGTTACCAGCAGTTAGCATTCATTAAGAAGTCAAGGCCAGGCATGGTGGCTTATCCCTATAATCCCAGCACTTTGGGAGTCTGAGGCAGGTGCCTCACTTGAGCCCAGGAGTGTAAGACCAACATGGGCAACATGGCAAAACCCTATCTGTACAAAGTGG
Organism: Homo sapiens; assembly: GCF_000001405.40. Taxonomy (NCBI): domain Eukaryota; kingdom Metazoa; phylum Chordata; class Mammalia; order Primates; family Hominidae; genus Homo; species Homo sapiens. The sequence continues at coordinate 26,736,879 of NC_000018.10, read as the reverse complement.
GGAGGATCACCTGAGCCTGAGGAGGTTGAGGCTGCAGTGAGCCATGATCGTGCCACTACACTCCAACCTGGACAACAAAGTGAGACCCTATCTAAAAAAGAAAGAAAGTCAATACCTGGAACAAGTTTCTGAGGGCTAACTCCAGTCCACTAATGTAAATAATAATAATATAAATTATTTCCATTTTATGTATAGGAAAACTAATGTTAAAGAAGGTTAAATAATTTTTCCAAAAAATTCAATAACCAGTGAGAAACAAAGCCAGGATTCAAACCCAGTCTCACTTGATTCAATGTCGATGCTCTCCACCATGCTCACAGACCTCCTTCAAACTTAGAGAAGCTACTCCAGTGAAGTGCACACCATGTTCTCTCTTTAAGTGCATGACCACAAATTCTCAGTAGGTGCTCAACTCTGCTGGGAAATACTGCTACACTCCTCTATTTAGGTCACTCCCTCTCTACTATCATCTATAATAAATAAAAATCACAACACTGCCCTTTACCACACATCTCCCTCCAACTACTGCCCCATTTCTCTGCTCTCCTTCATAGCAAAATTTCTTGAATGAATAGCTTCCTTTTCCTTCCTTCCTTTTCTCTACTGCCCTACTACAATGTGGCATCCATCTCACAATAGAAATTGCTAATGTCATAGGCTCTAATGACCCCTATCTTCCCAAAATTAATGCAAGGTCTTCTCAACCAACATCAACCACTCTCAGCACAGTTGATCATGCCCTCCTTAAAACTCTCATCTCTTAGTCTCCATGACACCAAGCCTTGCTGCACCTAGGCAGGAATGAGGGTTGGGTGAATTCAGGGCACAGAAAGAAAACCAGTGTGGCTGGAGTGCACAGAGTAATGGGAGAACAAGACAACATGTTTGAGATGCTAAGGAGACACAGCATCATGTGAAAACCTAAAATGTGAAGGGAAGAGTTTGCAAGGCTTTAAGGGGATTTTAAGCCGGTGACCAGTGTGCTCTTCAAAGGTCACTCCAGCTGTGTGGCAAGTGGACCATGCAGGCAAGAGAGTAGGAGCAGGGACAATTAGAAGGCTCATAATAAATTCTTTTTTTTTAAATTTTATTATTATTATACTTTAAGTTTTAGGGTACATGTGCACAACGTGCAGGTTTGTTACATATGTATACATGTGCCATGTTGGTGTGCTGCACCCATTAACTCATCATTTAGCATTAGGTGTATCTCCTAATGCTATTCCTCCCCCCTCCCCCACCCCACAACAGTCCCAGGTGTGTGATGTTCCCCTTCCTGTGTCCGTGTGTTCTCATTGTTCAATTCCCACCTATGAATGAGAACATGTGGTGTTTGGTTTTTTGTCCTTGCGATAGTTTGCTGAGAATGATGGTTTCCAGCTTCATCCATGTCCCTACAAAGGACATGAATTCATCATTTTTTATGGCTGCATAGTATTCCATGGTGTATATGTGCCATATTTTTTTAATCCAGTCTATCATTGTTGGACATTTGGGTTGTAAATTCTAAAGAAGTGTTTGTTGGTTTGAATTAAATTGGGAAGAAGAAGGAGGGCACCAGTAAGCAGAAATGTCTGGAGGACAGAAACAAAGCCAAAGACTGAAACTCCAGGCAGCAGATAAAGTTCTCTAGGAATTAGTGAGGGGACAACCTCACCAGTGGGATTCAGCCCAGTTTCCAGCAAACCCATGAAATTGCCAAATGAGGCCCCCTGTCCAGAGGTGGCCATGGAGCCCAGTTGCTCCTCTAAGTGGTGAGTAAGCCACCTTCTTCAGCACCTGCAATTCCTATCGAGCAATGTTCAGCAGCAGAGAGAATTTGACTCATTATCTTCTGCTGTATCTGTCATGTCACATTACTCCTAGGGCCCTGACAGAACACTCTAGAGGCATGATGCATTATGACTTGACACAAGTTACCCAGTGCTGTACCTCATTAGAGGGAGCAGGGAAGGTGTGAGCTAGGGGTAACCCGCTTTGTACTATCCCGACTCTCTCCATGACTTCATTAGTCTCTTGATCTTTTTGTGGTTGTCATTAGGGGCTCAGAGTTTTATGTCCTGGTCAATTTCCAAACGACAGCTTTTAGTGTCAAAGTGATCAAGGAGAGCTGCTTTCCCCTCCCCCTGTGACAGCAGCAGACAACCACAGGAAATTGATCATGTTGGATAAACTCACCTGATCCTAAAAATGATATTGGCTTCATGCTCCAGAGCAGGGCAAAAACAACTGAAAAATAATTGCCAGTACACCCCAGAGGGAAATTCTTTCCTCTCCCCAAATTTGACAATCAATCTAACCCAGTACACGTGACTAAAAATCACTGCTGTAAAGAATGTAATTCCATTTACACACCAAAGACACCATGGCAGTTTGGTTTGAATAGGGGGTCATTTTGTCTAGGCTTTTATTTTTCTTCATGAAAGACTATATTTGCAAGACTAGCAAGGACATAGAATACTAAAATAACAATCACATCTAGGTCAAAATAAGCATGTCCTAATGCACGTTCTTATCAATCTTAGTTAGATTAACTTGTCTTTAGCTGTGTTTTGATCATTCCTTCTCAATTTTTAAAACATTACGAAAACAAAAACTATGTGCCTCATTGCAATGTTCTTTTCCACCTAGTCTCAGAGTTAAATGTGCTAGCTATGTTCACAAAACACTCAACATTTTGTGTTACTTTAGGCTTTTACAAACAGAAAGTCTGCAGATGGGTTTATTCATCTCTCTAGAAATGAGGAATCCAACCTGACCAATACGATTCAGAGAGAGAGAGAGACTCTCTGTAACCAGGAAAAACAGTTTACATTCCTTTACATTTAAACTCCAGATGCAACCAGGGCTTTGAATTTTTACATCCCTTGAATTCTTAGGGAAGTACTGGGGAAGACACTTGGGTAAAGTTGCTCTCTAAATTAGTATGACAGCATTCATTTAGAGCTTGTGGCCCTATAGTGTGTGCTTCTCTCTTGAAGATATTCAACTAAATATGGCACGTCTGCTCATCACTTAAGAGTACCTGGCTGGGTACGGTGGCGCACTCCTGTAACCCTAGCACTTTCAGAAGCCGAGGCGGGCAAATCACTTGAGCCCAGGTGTTCGAGACCAGCCTGGGCAGCATGGCAAAACCCCATCTCTACAAAACACACACACACACAAAAAAAAGTACCCAACTTTCTACAATAAAATGGGCTGGTGCTCATTTGTGTGTTATTTGAGTCTGTTCGATTTGTTCTTTTTCCTCTGAAATCTCTGCTCTCTCCCCAAGTCCTTCAAAGGCCAGAGGTCCTCACCTGCCATGCACCCCGCCTCAGGGCCACCCACCATGCAAGTCTGCCACCACACCTTGTGCCTGCTTTTTTCCAACTAGGAAAATGGTCCTGATTAGTGTATAAGAAACCAAACTATTTGGGGAAAAAAATCCAGAGTTCTAGCAAATGAACCAGGATTAAATTTCAGAACTGTGTTTCCTAGACTCTACATAATTTAGTTGGAAGGAGATTCAGTAGCCAATAAACACACAAGAAACTCCAAAAGTGTTCAGCAAGAAGGTGAGTTGATAAAGGACAAGGGAGACATCAGAAGACACATGACAAGCTTGCCCAATGTCATCCAATGACAGCATCTAACTATAAGCAGTATGTCAGTCATATTTCCCATCCACAAAATATGGTCTGTTTTTATACCCATGTATCTATCTATTTATATACTCACAAGATGAATGTATGTGTTTTTCTTCACATTTTCCTGAAGATATCAAAGCCCATAAAACTTAAAAAATAAAAACTACAAATGAAAATTATGTGGTGTGCATGTTTTCTAGATTTGTTTTAGAGGGCTTAATAGGCAAATATTTTCATCAAATGAAGGTTAAATTTACTTGGGTACATGGTGATCTAAGAGCTCAGAATGAATGGAGCTATGTCACCTAGTTAGGCAGTGTGGGCTCAGGTAGGATCCTAGCTCTAGTATTGATTTCTTGTTGTAATTCTTTGGGTAAGCTTCTACTCCTTCTGCATCTCAATTTTGTTAATTTTCAATGGGGCCAATAATAACAGTCATAAGATTATTGTAAGGATTTAGTAAAATAATATGTGTCAAGCAACAAGCATAGTTCCTAGCATACCTTGGTGATCAATGGATAACTAGTTCTTTCCCCTTTTACCTCCAGTTAGATTTTAGATATATACAACAACCTAGGTTTATAACGTTTTTTAGAAGTCCATACTTACATTATAGTATAATCTGTAATCAACTTGAATATAACTATGAGATGTTTTTCCTTTATTCTAGATTCCAGTTTATGTCTTCCTCTTGCCTATTTGAGGACTAAAGTCAAAATGTCTATACCATCCTGTACAGCCACATATGGGTCTTGAGCACTTGAAAAGTGACTGGTCCAGCTTCACATGTGCTGTCAGTATAAAATACATGCCAGATTTCAAAGACTTAGAACAAACAAGAGAATGTAAAACATCTCATTAATAAGTTTTATAGTGATTGATTACTTGTATTATTATTATCATTATTTCAGAGAAAGAGCCTCTCTCTGTCTCCCAGGTGGGAATGTAGTGGCATGATTGTGACTCACTACAGCCTTGAACTCCTGGGCTCAAGCAGTCCTCCCACCTCAGCCTCTTAAGTAACTAGAACTAGTGCCACCACACCCAGCTAGTGTATTTTATTTTTAGTAGAGACAGGGGCTCACTATGTTGCTAAGGCTGGTCTCGAACTCCTGGACTCAAGATATCTTCCCACCCTGGCCTCCCAAAGTGCTGGGATTACAGGCATGAGCCACTGCACTTGGCACATTTTTTAACGATAATATTTTCTGTATAGTGTGCCAAATCAAATCTATTATTAAAATTACCTTCACCTATTTCTTTTTCCCTTTTTAGCATGGCTACAGGAAAATTTAAAATTATATATGTATTTTATGATATATTTCTATTAAACAGCATTAGTTTAGAGAGTAAAGACCCAGAGATATCCCAAAGAAATATTGAAAGGTGGGGCTGGGTGTGGTGGCTCACACCTGTAATCCCAACACTTTGGGAGGCCGAGGCAGTTGGATCACTTGAGGTCAGGAGTTCAAGACAAACCTGGCCCACATGGTGAAATCCCATCTCTACTAAAAATACAAAAATTAGCTGGGCATGGCGGCAGGAGCCTGTAATTCCAGCCACTCGGGAGGCTGAGGTAGGAGAATCACTTGAACCCTGGAGGTGGAGGTTGCAGTGAGCCGACATTACACCACTTCACTCCAGCCTAGGCGACACAGCAAGACTCCATCTCCAAAAAAAAAAAAAAAAAAAAAAAAAGATATCTCAAATGGTGAGATATTGACCATGTTCACCAACAGCCCAAGGGTAAAACTTAGAATTCAGAGTCCACAAACTTAGTGAGCTCAGTCCTCCTGTTGCTTTATGTCTGGCTTAGCTGACCACTCCCCTTCGGTTCCTGCTTTTTCTGACAGTGAGAAGTAACCCACCACTGCAGGAAAAGATCTAAACCAGGGCTATCAATCTAAGTGAGCCATACTTCCAGTGCTCAGTAGCATAGGTGATTAATGGGGACTGCACTGGGCAGCCCAGTTCCAAAGAACAACCCCCTCATATCTTCCTGAGTATAATAAAATAGTTTTGGGGTGGATTTTTACAACAGAGATATAGCCTCCCCCAAAAGAACCAAGCTCAAGACATTCCCTTAATCTTAACCAAGCCCTACACTTTTATGTGTTAAGATTACAATAAGGCCTGGTGTGGTGGCTCAGGCCTGTAATACCAACGCTCTGGGAGGCCGAGGCAGGCAGATAGCTTCATCTCAGGAGTTCAAAATCAGCCTGGGCAACATGGCAAAACCCCTTCGCTACAAAAAGCACACAAATTAGCTGGGCGTTGTGGCACATACCTGTAGTCCCAGCTACTCAGGAGGCTGAGACAGGGAGATTGCTTGAGCCCAGGAGGTCAAGGCTGCAGTGAGCCGAGATCCCGCCACTGCACTCCAGCTGGGGTAACACAGTAAGAGCCCATCTCAAAATTTAAAACGATTACAATAACACCCTTAATTCAAATACTAGCCTCTATTTAATAGTTTAGGATTGGCCTGGCAATGAGAAGTGTTGGTTTTATAATAGGCTTATAAAAGACTGACGGTCTAAGAGAAAACAACCGAATTTCTCATTTGCTACTAGGTGCCGGGTGTTGAATTTTAACCCTTGAAGAATTCAGAGGCACACACCTCGACTAATTGCACACTGGGTATGAAATATAGAAAACAGTGGCCATGTAGGAGTCTGAATCAAAAGGGCTTTTTTAGGGTTTAGTTGTCATTCTTGCCTTTCACTGAATGACAAAAGATTTTTTTTTCTTTTTTTTTTGAGATAGAGTCTAGCTCTGTCGCCCAGGCTGGAGTGCAGTGGTGCTATCTCCGCTCACTGCAAGCTCCGCCTCCCGGGTTCACGCCATTCTCCTGCCTCAGCCTCCCGAGTAGCTGGGACTACAGGTGCCCACCACCACGCCGGGCTAATTTTTTGTATTTTTAGTAGAGACGGGGTTTCACCATGTTAGCCAGGATGGTCTCGATCTCCTGACCTCGTGATCCACCCGCCTCGGCCTCCCAAAGTGCTGGGATTATAGGCGTGAGCCACCGCACCCGGCCAAAAGATTTTTTTAAAATCATGAAACACCATGCAGTGTGCATCTCAGGTGTCTAAGGCCACGTTAGTAGACTAGTTGTATTGTGGAATGGTGTATAATCTACAAAATCATACTGGCTTATTTTACACTGAAGATTGTACATAGGATTTTTAAAGTGACACCTTTAAAATGCTGGGGAAATAAAGATGAACCCTTTCCATATAGAATTCTGAAGACTAATTTTTGCAAAGGCATTAAGTATTATTATGGGATAAATGCAATTTGAGATTCCCACCCCCACCCCCCTCACAAAGAAAGAAGCCTCAAGTGGAACTTGTGATCAGGAAGAATGGGGAAGCTGTCATGAACTCGCCATTGTGTTATGCTCAGAACACTAATTTCATTTCTCCTCATTCCTTGATTTGACCAAATATCTCAAATTGATTTATCCACTTCATAAAATGTGTTCCCTTTAGAAAGGCAAATCTGCATTTTTGAAAGAGCAAATGTCACTTAGTTGAGTTGTTGGACCACACGGGAAGCACAATGGCAGGAGCAGTGGAATTAGGAAAGCTGTCTTCTCTTTCTCTCAATTCTACCCAAGTAGAATGAACTAATTATTCAGCCCCTCTGAGTCTCTGTTTCCCATTAGTAAATTGAAAGCAATGACTGCAGCTCTCCTTACCACACAAAGACATTTGGATGGCTAGCAGAAATAACAGCATGGCTCCTTCCTCTACCTTGGGCACACAGGGGATAAAGATTTGACTACCGATTCCATCCCCTAATCCCCCTCCTTCTCCTACCATCCCATCCAGCTAAGAGCAGAGAAGTAGAAGAGAGTTCTGTACAGCAAGACTCAAAGAAAAAAGTAGTTAACTGAAAGCAATTAATTATTGGTGGTTTTGAGAAAACCCAGAACTCCTAGCTAACTTGATCTAGCTTCGTAAGTCACTAAAAGCCCAGTGCCTTTCCTGTCTCCAGCACTGTACCAGCCTCTGGAGGAAATGCAAGAGACCTTCCAGACCTGATCACCACACCCTATTCATAATCTCGCCATGGAGAAGAGACATCCACTTATGAAGCCAGCAGAACAGATGTGGGCAACTTTCAAAAACGAAGTAACAAATGGTCAGCTCCTGTTCTTCTGTAGTGCTGAGGATGGAAGGAGAAAGAGTGAGTAAAACATATGCTTAATCCCACATGTGGCTGACAAAGTGTAGTGGGGTTTGCACAGGCCAGCTCTTGAAAACTCATTATGCAGTGGTCAAGGAACAGCAGGGATTCAGGTGCATTCAACCACTGAATATGAGGAATATACAATTTCAAAATCTGAAGTATACACAGTTAAATCCAGAGATGTCTTCATGAATTTTTAGTAGAAAATATGAAATTTCAACAAAATGTGTGTACCATGCTGCTTCAACTTGTCCTTCTCGAAAGGACACATTCACTTCCCTTTGCCCTTAGTGGTTCTTTGATGTAAGTTTTTGAGAACTTACATCAAATTTCTTGAGCTTTTTTGATACCACTAACGGTACTTGTCACTCAAGTGTTTCAATAGACATATTCTCAGAGAGGATCCACTGAGGCACAGGGATAACTGCTAACCTTCATTCTTCTGAAAAACAAATGTAAAATGCTCAAGTCAAAAAACAGGACCACCTCTGGTAGGTCCTCAGAAGCATCAGGCCGTGCTGTGGGGTGTTCCTAGAGGCAAACAGCACATGTCCATGAGGAACTCACTGTGTAATAAACAGATCCAACCCATCTTTTTTATTTTCAGTTTATTTGTCCATACGGCCAAGTTTAACAAGTCCTGGAGTTGTGGCAGGCAAGTGGGTTACATCGAAGTTTCTGTTTGGAGGCAGAGAGATGGAAGATAAAGGATGCGCCTTTAAATTTCCCCTGAACGTGTTACTTTCCAGCTCTAAAATGCTTTTGGCAAGAGAAAATAACACATAAAACAATTTCTGCTTATAGATGAAATAACAGAAGCTGAATTTATCCTCCTGCTTAAACAAGAGGAAAACAGAACAAAACCTGTGACTGGTTTTCAGACATTAAACAACAGGCAATGTGAGACTGTGATGTCAAGAAGATAGTAACTGGCTACAATTGGTGAGAGCCATTTTCAGGCTGTAGGACGGGGAGGATGAATCCAAACACAGACCAGCAGTTCTATTGAGTTGCGGAGTCAGAGACTAGAGATCAGAGAAGCCAAGGCAGCTAAAACTTGAGGGGCAGAGAAACCAGGAGCAAAAGGATTATATACACAGAGAGAACTCCAGCATCTATAGAGGAATATCCTCAAGTACTTGGCTGAGTACTGATCTGCAATTGCAAAGACAAAGGAGAAATAGGAGGAGGAAGAAGAGGAGAAGGAGAAGAAATTGCCAGAGGTGAGAAAAAGAATCACCAGAAATGATACACAGAATAATTTCCAAAGCTTGTACAGGGCTGGAAATAATCTGTACTCCACCAGACAAAGTAGTTAACTGAAATCAATTAATCCTTAATGGTTTCAAGAAAACCCAGAACTCCCAGCTTATTTAATCTGGCTTCATAAATCAGAAAGATATCATAATATGGGGCATCAGGTAGGATCCACAAAAGGGTATTGCCTTAACAATGAGATTAAATTAGACCTAGATTAAAGACTGCTGTGAAACTGCCCTAACAAAGTATAAAAGCAAATCAAAAAGAAAAGCTAATTCAAAGTCACTTAACAGTGCACAAAATCCAGCAAGTAACAGTATAAAATTTACATTGCACAATATCTGATTTTTAAAAAATTACAAGGTATGAAAAGAAGCAAGAAAATGTGTTCTATAGCAATAGAAAATCAATACATGGAAACAAGCAAAGAAATAACAGAAATGATGGGACTAACAGACAAGAGTGTTAAAACCAATAAATAATAATAAAAATTGGAAATGTATAGCTACTAAGTTAAAAGTAAAGATGAAATGAAACCATAAAAAAATTAATCTAGGCTGGGCGTGGTGGCTCACACCTGTAATCCCAGCACTTTGGGTGGCTGAGATGGGAGGATTGCTTGAAGCAGTTTGAAACCAGCCTGGGCAGAAAAGGGAGATCCTGTCTCTCAAAAAAAAAAAAAAAAGAAAGAAAGAAAGAAAGAAAGAAAGAAAGAAATACAAAAAAAGTTAGCTGAGCATGGTGGCGGCTACCTGTGGTTTCAGCTCGGGAGGCTAAGGTGGGAGGATCACTTAAGCCAAGGATGTCAAAGCTGCAGTGAGTTGTGATCATGCCACTGCACTTCAGCCCAGGCAACAGCAAGATCCTGTCAAAAGAAAGAAAGAGACAGAGAAAGGAAAGGAAAGGAAAGGCAGAACAGGGCAAGGCAGGGTGGAGAGTAAGACATGGATAAGTTAAAAGTAAAAGGATGGAAAATTTTATACATGAAAACATGAATCAAAAGAAAGTTGGAATGGCTATATTAGACAAGGTAGATTTTTAGAACACAGAATATTACCTAGGATAAGGATATTTTATAATGACAAAGGGATCCTCTTATCAAGAGGACACGATAATCCTAAATATATGTACCTAATAACAGAGTCTTTAAATATATGAAGAAAAATTGACAAAATACAAAGGCAAAATAAATGAATCCACAATTATTGTTGGAGAGTTTAACACTCCTCTCTCAGTAACTGATAGATCAAGTAGACAGAAAATCAGTATAGCTATGGAAGATTTGAACAACACTATCAATGAATTTGACCTGACATTTATAAAACACTCCAATTAACACTGGCAGAAGGTATATTCTTTTTTGAGTACACCTAGAACAATCACCAGGATAGATCATACTGGAGGCCATAAAACAAGTCTGTGTGTGTTCATTTGTGTGTGTATGTACATATAGAAATTAATTTAAATGAAAACAGAAAAACAATGGAAACAAAAGTTGTTTTTTGAAAATATAAATAAAATTGATAAAACTCTAGCGAAACTGATGAAAAATAAAGAAAAGAAGATACAAACACCAACATCAGGACTGAAAGATAGGCCATCACTACACATTCTACAGCTATTGAAAAGATAATAGGGGAATATTATGAATTTCATGCCAATAAATTTGATAACTTAGATGGAATGAAAAAATTCCTTGAGATGCAAACCTCATTCAAGAAGAAATCAATAATCTGAATGGCCCCTTCACAATAAAGAATCAAATTAAATTATTAAGTAAATTTAATTCATAGTTTAAAACTTTTATATGAAGAAAACTCCAGAAAACTTCACATAAAGAATTCACTGATGAATTATTCCAAACATCTAAGAATTAAATAATACAAATTCTACACTCAATTTCTCCAGAAGAATAGAAGAGAATGCTTCCTATTTCATGTTATGACATCAACATTACCTTAATACAAAAACCACACAAGATATTATCAGAGAAAATTACAACCAATTTTCTTAATAAATATAAACATTAAACATGTTAACAAAGTTAGAGAAAATCAAATCCATCAATACATAAAAGGGATAACACCTTATAACCAAGTAAAATTCATCCCGGGAATGCAAGATTTAACATTAAAAACCAATTGATGTAATCATCATGTTAATAAATGCAAAAAGAACAACCACAAGTTCATCTCAATAGATTCAGAAAGAGAATTTGACATAAGTCAACATTCATTTATGATAAAAGCTCTCAGCAAACTAGAAATAGAAGGAAACTTCCTCAACTGGATAAAGAGCAGCTACAAAAAGCCTACAGCAAATACTATCCTTAATGGTGAAAGACTAAGTACTTTCACCCTAAGATCGGGAACAAGGTGGATTTATTTTTCTCACGGACTGGGAGAAAATGCTTGTGAAATATATGTCAAAAACAAAACTCAATAATTAAAAGACAGGCCAACTTAAAAACAGAACAGGGTTGGGTTCACACCTGTAATCCCAGCGCTTTAGGAGGCTGAGGCGGGAGGAGGCCAGGAATTTGAGACCAGCCTGGGAAACAAAGTGAGACTCTTTCTCTACAAAAAATTAAGAAATTAGTCAAGCATGGTTGTGCACGCCTGTAGTCCCAGCTACTCAGGAGCCTGAGGTCGGAGGATCGCTTGAGCCCAGGAGTTCAAGGCTGCAGTGAGCTGTGATCACACCACTGCACTCCAGCCTGAGTGACAGAGTGAGACATTGTCTCTCTTAAAAAAAAAAAAAAAAAAAAAAAAATTAACGAGAAGAAAAATGACAAAAAATTAGAATAAACACTTCACTAAAGAAGATCTATAACTGGCAAATTAACACAGGAAAACATGCTTACCATCATTAGCCTTTAAGGAAATATATATGAAAACCATGAGATACCATGCCACACTCATAGAATGGCTAAAATTTAAAAGACTATGCTGACTAGGATGATGACAAGGGAAGTGGAAGAACTAGAACCATCCATCATACATTGCTGGCAGAAATACGAAATGGTAGAGCCACACTGGAAAACAGTTAAAAAAATTGTTTTAAAGAATGCATATACCATATGACTCAGTAATCCCTTTCAGGTATTTATCCAAAAGAAATGAAACTAAATGTTTTCACAAAGTTTTGTACTCAAATGTTTATAGCATTCATCCCAGGAATGCAAGATTTAACATTCAAAACCTTCATGTGAACCAAAAACTAGAAACAATCTAAATACTCATCAACTGTTGACCAGATAAACAAACCTCAGTATGTTCATATAACGGACCACTACCTAGAAATAAAAAGGAACAAACCAATGATACACACAACAATATGGATGAATCTAAAAAAAGGAAGCCAGACAAGAGAAAGCAATTACAAAGGACCACACGCTGTGTGATTCTGTGTAAATAAAACTCTAGAAAAGTCAAAACTCTACTGACAAAAGGCAAATCAGTGATGGTCATGGGTAAGAGGTAGGAGGAGAGGAATGCCTATAAAGCAGCACAAGAGAACTTTTTGGGGCGATAAATTTTGCTGCTGTAGACATTTACGTAGACGTTTTTGTGTGAACATGTTTTTGTCTTGGGTACACCCCCAGGGAAAGGAAATTACCAGATTGCATAACTCTATGTTTAACTTCTGGAGGAACCATGTCTCTATCATGATTGCAGCAGTGGTTACACACTGTATACATTTGTCAGAATTGTACACTTACATTACAATTAAGTGACTTATTGAATTGTCCACTTAAAATTGGTCCATTTTCTTCCATATAAATTACACCTCAGAAAAGTTAATTTCTTAAAGCAAAAAATACGAAATTAAACAAAGAAAAAGAAACTATTGTAATTAATCCTGGATTACACACTTTACTAAAGTACAGTGCTCAAATTGATAAGATGCAGCCAAATTTCTACTCACTTTGTGCTGTGTAGACCCTGCTAGTTTCCTGTGCCTATTCTAGAAGCTGTGGTAGAAATATGGCCATTAGAGAGGAAAGGCCCGGGTTTCCCTTCTGGAACCATCATCTACCACCAGATGGGCATATGGCATGTTAGTTGCCTCCAAATCTCCCCTGCTTCAAGAGTCCTCCACCTCCACCTCCAACAAAGAGTACCTTCTCTGAGCATCTCTGGAGCTTCTTCTTCAATCTGATTCTATCTGTTTTTCCTTGCTAGGATTCCTCACAGTTTATGGTCCATGGGAAGATTCCTAGTCTAGTCTCTGAATACATACATGTGTATATATATGTATGAACATGTGTGTGCATATATGTATATGTATGTATGCACACGTATGTGTGTGTTTCTATCATTTCTAATGACCTGGAACAGGGGAACACTGTGTGTGCTTAGTCCACCTTCTTGTAACTCTCAGAGCTTAGTTTCAAATAATGACATAAAGGAGCTGCACAAATGGAAAGCAAATAAAAGGCCTATAATTAAAGCCAGTGTATTATTTCGACTGAGTTGGAAGTCAAACATGAAATTTCTCATTAAGAATTTAACTCTTTCATTAATAAATGTATCTAGTCTGCATATGTCCTATTTGAGGTCTCTCACTCTTCCCAGAAAAGTCCTGAAGTGTATTTACGAAGAACGCCAAAGTATATTAGTGCTGGATTTTTAGAATGACTTATAGATGATAGAGGTAGCTAGATAGATGACTGATTGATAGATAGGGAGACAGATAGATAGATAGATAATAAATAGATATAAATAAAAGGTTTTCTTTCTTATTTTGTTTTTTAAAGGAACATTAAATATACCTATACGTGTTTTTATTTAAAAGCAATGAAACTGCCATCCAGTACATAAGAAAACCCCTCCCCTGCAGTGACCTTCTAAAATTCTGCCTTAAAACACAAATGGAAGTACATTTGACATCATCTCTCAGTCACAAAACACAAATTCAAAATCTCAAAAGATTTTCTTAGCTCCTCTCAGCAAATAGAAGTGGGTTCTCTGCTTCTAGTTGTACAAAATTGCACCACGAACACTCACCGGATGATGTCTGCCCAGTCAGGCCTGCAGTTGCCCTGCCAGAGGTTTTCTCAGGACTGGAGAAAGTGCCAGAGAAAGAATTGTCAGGGAGCCAAAGTCAGAACACCTGAGACAAGAGTGAGTTGCATGGGCAGAGCTGAGTTATACTTGCACTGTGCTGGTATCCAGGTTCCAAAGTGACATTAATTATTCTGAAAGTTAACAAATGAAACTTGCCATGCACAAACGCATCCAAATATCAGATCTAAATGCCAACTCTATTTCACTAACAAAGGAAAAACTGGACTTGGCCAGAATTATGAAACCCTAAAAACAATTTGCAATCATTTCACCATTCTAGCAAATGCTGGACAGCACCCACAACCAGGAGACAAAACCAGAAGGTTGATAACACACACCACTGCCCCACTGCAGTGGCTTATCCTGTTCAGCTGAAAGAAGAGGGCAGTTGTGATCAAGATATTTCCTCAGAGGACTTCCAATGCAATGGAGATGAATGTGAATATGGAGTAATAGAGAGTGACATTCCTTATGTTGTGTCAGTTTTGAAATCCAGATCGATGGAGATATAGATGTCAGCTCGGAGGACAGGCAGGCTTCATTGCCCATGGACATCACACTGCCAGCACCTGTCCACTCAGCAGGTTGTGTGCCTTGAAGTGGAGGAGTACACATGATCTCCTCCTCAGCCTCCCGCCCCGGGCTGCAGCGGCCGTAAAGGGGATGCCTCCTCTCAGTCTGTGTCAGCACATGGAGATCAGTCAGGGGAGACCGCTTATAATTATTTGATGCAGATGGTCACTTCATCAGCATAAACACTAAGCAGCCAGTTACAGGGTGTTGCCCTGCCTCCCCAGCCCTCTTCCTGAGCCGGCCTTCAGGCTATCAGGCAATATATTTTAAGCAAAAAAATAGCCTGCTCATACCACTCTGGAGGCCTCTTTTGTGAGACATGCAGCCATTTCTTTTACGAAATCCTAAAAGAGTGACAAGTTTCTGGGTTCATGGGACTTAACGGCCAGATGAAGAGACTCACCTATTCCTAAATAAGGTCATCAGAATGCTTGAAACTTGTAATGAGAGCTGGCAGGCTCCTCAGCTCCCCTTCCGTGGGTTGAGCCTCTCTGTATTTGTGGCAGGTCCTGAATTAGAGAAATGGGCTCTCACAGTGACACTGAGCTAAGGCTTGGTGGTCCACAGCCTCATTTTGACAACTCACCTCCCCCAGCACAAAGAAAGGACCCTGGGGAGCAGGGAAAGCCTAGGGATGCAGGGCTCCAAATTTTAAAGTGAAAAAGAAATGTAAGAGACAAACAAGTCCAGTGGGTTTTCAATATTTTTTAGTAGGATATCTCATTTTGCAAATAACACCACTGAGTGAGTGCTAAAGTATAGAACAGGAAAAGCAAAACTGTTTTAAAGGAGAGTCTGGGGCTCCAGAGCCCCATCCACCTGCCTCCATCCCCATCCCCAGCTGCCACAGAATTATCTGACAAAACCTAGGTCTTCTCACAGAGCAATTTGGAAAACACTGATTAATAGATGCTCTTACTGGGGAGAAGAAACAGAGCCCCAGAGAGATGAAGTGACTTGTCCAAGGTCAAACATAGTGAACTCTTCCAAAGTGGCAAAAAATAAAAATAAAAACCCTCGTGAACCTATAATCTCAGCTCCCTATTCCCCATACCAGGCAGGTGTTCCATGTTGTCCCACTCAATTTGAAGTGTTATTTACAAAAGTGCAGTAACCTTCTTGGACAAAGAGCAATTTGTTTCACCTTCAGCCCCACATTTTCTCCCCGTAAGAAATGATCACCATAGAGGGGTTACGCATATAAGATCATCCAACACAGCCCGTAAAACTCCCCAAAAAGACACCTCATTCTCACCATCAGCCCAGCATACAAGCTCCTTGTCACCAGAAGGGCATGCCCAACCCATGCTATGCTGTGTATTTTGTGGTGAATTGATAAGTGAGTCCTCTCTTCCCAGAGAAAATGAAACAGGGACTCAAGCATTTGAACATGATCAATAAGGACAGACCATCTGTAAAAATCCAGGATCCCCCACTCCTTCTCACCTTCCCCTCAACAGGATGCTTCTGCCTGAGTTACATAAATAAATGCACTTTGCCTGACCTCTGTAAACAATAAGAGAAAATTATTCGTTCATAAACGGAAATTTGCCCCGGCTCTTATTGATACATCTTTGTGCATTTTAAGGTCTTTTAACGTAAAACTTGTGCCATTCTTAAAAGTGCCAGCTATCTGGAGAGCATATCTTAATCTCAGAGTACAAGGTTGATTTATATTTCTCAGGGATCACAACTAAGATATGCTGTAGCCACATTGATTTAATGGTTCCTATAAGGCTCCTTGCTTGGTGCAGCCTCCATGCATCTTTTCACTAGTCAAGTCAACATTCGTGTCTTTTTAAAAACACAGTAAATCTCTTTGATTGGGACTTGAGGCTGGAATCATTCAATTTGTGTTAAACTAAACTGTCTTATCTCCTTGTGTGCCAGGCTCTCCCTGGCATGTCCAGAATGGCATCCCAGCATGGCCCGGGATGCCAGGGCATAAAAGCAGCAAACAGGATCATTCAGACAGGTCAGACAGGCTTTCTCTGGCCCTCCCACTGCTCAGCTCCCAATGATGAGAGACAGGAAAATGTCATGTGATTATTACTCCATAAAAAAGAAGAAGGCACTTCCTCCTCTATGGAGACAGACAGAAGCTTGAGCAAAGACCAATTAATTTCAAAGGGGAAGAGACAGCTGTACATATGTTCCCTATGAGTGATCTTAGGCAGAGTCTCCCAAATGCCAAGAAAAATATTTCTGTTGGGAGCTTCTGTTAAGAATAGCATTTTTCCTGCAGTTTTAATGCCCTTTTTAATACATTCATCCCATTGCCTAACATGTATTGAACACCTACTATATGCAGGCATTTTCTTGCTCATGATGCTTTCACGCATCCCCTCATCATGGATTCATCCATTGAACAACTATTGAACAAGCTCTTTAGTGTCAGGACCCTTGCCAGGTGCTGAGCACGCAGAGAGCAAAGACACCATCCCTTGCTTGGAGAGGGTCAAGGAGCATAGCATTGAGTCAATTCCCACTTAGCACTGGGCCCCTGCCAAGAGCTCTGTGACTGTTGTCTTGTTCACGACTCACAGCAATCCTGGACACATTTTACAGATGAGAAAACAAAGGATTCAGAAAATTTAAGGCACTGTTCCAGGCCTTTCCAATTTCATTGTGGAAATTCTTTCCAGCTCACTATTGACTATAACCTCAGAGAGCAAAGAATGTGCTATAAGGGAGATACATAAAAAACAACATGATAGCACCATCCTTTCCAGCCAAAGGTGACAGCAATTTCCATTTTTCTTTGTGCCCCTGCAGTTAAAAAGAGACAAATGATATGAAAAAGAGTTTGGCAGTTCTTTAAAAAGTTAAACGTGGCTGGGCGCGGTGGCTCACACCTATAATCCCAGCACTTTGGAGGCCGAGGCAGGCAAATCACCTGAGGTCAGAAGTTCAAGACCAGCCTGGCCAACATAGTGAAACCCCATCTCTACTAAACATACAAAAATTAGCCAGGCATGGTGGTGGGCAACTGTAATCCCAGCTACTCAGGAAGCTGAGGCAGGAGAATTGCTTGAACCTGGGAGGCAGAGGTTGCAGTGAGCCGAGATCGCGCAACTGTACTCCAGCCTGGGCAACAGAGTGAGACTCTGTCTCAAAAAAAAAAAAAGTTAAATGTAATTACCACATGGCCCAGCAATCCCAATCCTAAGACTGTACCCAGAGAAATAAAAACCTTTATTGAACAAAAATGTTCAATAAAGCATTTTATTGAATGACAGCATTATTCATAATAGCCCCAGAGCAGAATCAACCCAGATGTCCATCAAATGATGAATGGACAAATCAAATGTGATATATCCATACAAAGAAATATTATTCAGCCATAAAAAGGAATAGAGTGCTGATACATCCTACAACATGGATGAACATGAGGGAAGTCAAACACAAAAGAGCATAGATTGTATGATTCCATTTATATGAAAGTCCAAAGTAGGCAAATCTGCAGACAGAAAGTAAATTAGCAGATGTCAGGGCAGGAAGGAGGAGTGACTGCTAGTGGGTACAAGATTTCTTTTTGGGGTGATGAAAATGTTCTGGAATTAGATAGTGCTGATGATTGGACAGTCTTGTGAATAAACTAAAACTGCTGGATTGTACACTTTAATGTGGTGACTTTCACAATATGGAAATTATATCTCAATTTAAAAAGTGAGATGAATGGCTGTGGCTAATCAAGATGCTGATGAGGATCCTGCATCCTGCCACCCTGAGAGTCACAGCCCAGGAAGAGCCTCAGAATGGAATATACTCAGCCATAAAAAAAAAAGAATAATGTGTAGACATGGACGTAGAGTGTGGAATAATAGATATTGGAGATGCAGAAGGGTGGGAGTGGGGTAAACTGTGAGAAATTACTTAATGGGTACAAGATACACTATTGGGGTGATGGTTAAGATCAAAACTCAGACTTCGCCACTATCCAATATATCCATGTAACAAAACTGCACTTGTGCCCTTTAATTTTTTTTTTTTTTTTTTTTTTTTTGAGACAGAGTCTCACTCTGTCGCCCAGGCTAAAGTGCAGTGGTATAATCTCGGCTCACTGCAACCTCCGCCTCCTGGGTTTAAGCAATTCTCATGCCTCAGCCTCCCCAGTAGCTGGGACTACAAGCATGCACCACCCTGCCTGGCTAAGTTTTGTATTATTAGTAGAGACAGGGTTTCACCATGTTGGCCAGGCTGGTAACTCCTGGCCTCAAGTGATTCACCTGCCTCAGCCTCCCAAAGTGCTGGGATTACAGGCGTGAGCCACCACGCCTGGCCTATCCTTTAAATTTATACAAACAAAAAAAAAGAAGAAACACCATCCTTAAAAAGAAAAAACAAAAGAGCTATACGTGGTGGCTTATACCTATAATCCCAGTGCTTTGTGAGGCAGAGGCAGGAGGCTCACTTGAGGCCAACAGTTTGAGAACAGCCTGGGCAACACAGTGAGAACCCATCTCTGTTAAAAAAAAAAAAAAATTTAAAAACTGGACAGGTATGATGGCACACGCCTGTAGTTCCAGCTATTCAGGAGGCTTAGGCAGAAGGATCACTTGAGCCCAGTAGTTTGAGTCTGCAGTGAGCTGAGCTATGATCATGCAATCTCACCACAGCACCCCAGCCTAGAAGACACAGTGAGACCCTGTCCCTATCTCAAAAAAAAAAAAAGAAGAAAAAAAAGCCTTCTTGAAGAGCGCCTTTGCCAGCTCCTGCTGCTTCCGCTGCTCACAGCAAGGATGTCACTCTGTGGGGGGACCCAGCATTCCTAATGCACAGGTGCGGGGAAGGCAGCCCTCAGCAGAGCCCAGAAGCAGGTGACAGTCTCTCCAGCTCCCAGCTATCTGTCCTTATCCTGAGCTGGCCCTGGGCAAAGTGTCAGGGGCCCTTGGCACTCACTTCCTTTTTGACTTCACACAAGTCTTAGTGCTCTTTCAAATAGGCTAACCCTTCAGACTCTTTGCCTCAAATTAATGAATGAGGGAAGGGGGTTCACCCACAGTAATTTTTCTCCTCTCATAAAATAGCAGCTGCATTTAATCTTGGGCTTCAGCCCAGGAATTGGAGCCTGCAGTGAGTTATAATCGCACCACTGCACTCCAGCCTGGGTAACAGAGTGAGACCCTGTCTCAAAAAAATGAAAAATAAAATAATACACATTAAATTAAAAATTGAGCAGCCACTGAATGCAGATGTAAAGCTCATTACTACTCCGTCTACCCATTCTGAAGTGAGCCACTGAAAACTGGAAACCTCCTTCCAACGGGGCGCCCCACATCAGAGGCATCCTAGGAGGCTAAGAAGCCTCCCACTCCCCTGAAAGGGCTGGCTGGGTGCTTCAATTCATTAAGTCATACATCTTCCGAGCTGGAAGGATCTTCCAAACCATTTCACTCAGGCCCTTCGTTTTATAAATGAGAAAGCTGAGCCCTGGCCACTTAACTTCCTTATCCCCAAGTCACAAGCTAATAGAGGCACAACCCCATTCTCTCCTGCCTCCTGCCCAGGGCTCTTTTTAACCCAGCACACTGCTTCTGCAGAGTCAGCTCTTATTTGCAGAAATTCTACACTCAAGATGACCAATATACACTTCTCCTAACACCTGCATCGAGCACATTCCTCTCTGAACACACTGCAACCTAGATACGAAATTTCACTAATTAAGGTCTTTTTTTTGCAGGTTCACACAGAATGGGACCCTAGCGATATGAAAGTCAAGAAAAAGTAAGGAGTATCATTAGAGGAAAGTAAATGCTGGACCTCCAATGCTTATCTTAGTGGTCTTAACTCATGAAACCATTCCTCACCATTATAGCATCTCTTTGATGGGTGAAGGTTATTGTCATATGTTGTGACTATCAGAACTCTTGATATGAGAGTAAGAGAAAAACCAGCTCAAACTAGCTTATGAGAAAGGGACATAATTAGCACACAGAAGTAGACTTTAGGAAGGCTTGATCAGGGCTTCAAAAATGTCACCAAAGATTCAGTGTCCCTTTCTCTATCTCTTGACTCTGCTCTCCTCCAGATTGGCTCCACATTCATGGGGACTCATCCCATTCCAGAACTTACTCTTACTTTTAACTGGTGGAGAAGAGTAAGCATCCACTTTCCTGAGAGCTCCAACAAGAGAGAAGTGAGGCCGGGCGCGGTGGCTCACACCTGTAATCCTAGCACTTTGGGAGGCCAAGGCAGGCTGATTACCTGAGGTCAGGAGTTCGAGACCAGCCTGGCTAAAATGGTGAATACAAAATACAAAATTAGCCAGGTGTGGTGGTGCATGCCTGTAATCCCAGCTACTCGGGAGGCTGAGGCAGGGGAATTGCTTGAACCTGGGAGGCAGAGGTTGCAGTGAGCCGAGATCGCGCTACTGCACTCCAGCCTGGGCGACAGAACAATATTCCATCTCAAAAAAAAAAAAAAAAAAGAAAGAAAAATAAGAAGGCAAGGCGTGGTGGCTCAAGCCTGTATCCCAGCACTTTGGGAGGCTGAGGTGGGCGGATCACAAGATTAGGAGTTCGAGACCAGCCTGGCCAACATGGTGAAACCCCCTCTCTACTAAAAATACAAAAAACTAGCCAGGCGTGGTGGTGGGTACCTGTAATCCCAGCTACTCAGGAGGCTGAGGCAGGAGAATTGTTTGGACCCAGGAGGCAGAGGTTACAGTGAGCTGAGATCGCACCACTGCACTCCAGCCTGGGTGACACAGCAAGACTCTGTCTCGGGAAAAAAAAAAAAAAAAAAAGTGAGTCTCAATACTTCAGATTGTCCCAACAGAGGTTTTTTTTCTTCCTCCCATAGAACCATAGTCTCATTTTCATTCTCTCTATGATACTGAGGACTAATTAATAAAGGGCCATTAAACATAGAAGAGAATTCTGCAACCATTGGGCCTATACTTATTAATAAAGAGATCTCAACATCAGATTCTACTTTCTAAAGAGTGGCTTTCTCAGTCAGCTTGGACACTGAAAGAACTCAGTAGAGGGGTGAGGAAAAATAAAGCTCATGAGAATACTCTACTAGATCTACACAATATTTTCTTTAGAGTAAGAGATGATGCTCTGGAGGTTTGCATTGCTAATTATAATACACAGTTTGAGACCTTGAAATTGATCTATTATATAAGCAAACGAAAGCCTCCTGCTATCTGGGGTGATTCATCAAAACCAGAAAGTGTGCCATGTCACCCCATCCCCCCGAAAAGGAAACTGCTGGAAAGCATGTTATCTTTATAGAGTCATTTGGTTCAGCAAATACTTTCCCGTCAGTCAGCGTCAGCCACAGGCAAAAGTGTGAAATAAAAAACGTCGGATCTTCACTATGAGCAACATCCCTCACTCAAGCCTCTTTTTGGTTGTTTTGGTTTGGGTTGGGTTGGTTTTTTGTAGAAACAGGTCTCACTATGTTGCCCAGGCTGGTCTCGAATTCCCACCTCAGCCTCCCAAAGTGATGGGATTATAGGCGTGAGCCACTGTACCTAGCTCCCAGCCTCCTTTTGGAGCAAAATTTTTCTCATTTTCAGTGCCGTTGACCTTTCCCACACCCCCAGCGGCAGCCTCTTGTGCCCCCAGATGCCCAGAATCCCCCTTTTTGGATCCCTAGTCTTCCTTCTTCTGCAAACACTTCATCATCATTATCAACACACATTAGTTAAGTATCTATAAGGTGAAGACATTTGTGGGGCGATTTGGACATTGTTACTTTGTTGGTTCCTTGTATCAGTTTCTTTGTAAGACTGCCTCTTGCCTATTCCCTACAGTCTGGCAGGGTTGTCAATCAAAAGAAAACACTGTCCTCAGCAAATGGTAGACCTGCAAGTCAGGCTGGCCTATCGGCATAAACAACTATGTGACCCCAGTAAGACCAATGAGAGCCCTTTCTAGGGATTGCTATGAAGATTCAGAGAGTGACAAAGAGTATTTTCCTTCTGCTACACAAGCATGTGCTGTAAGAACCACATAAGCCAGACACTGATGGTGTTTATCTTTGGGCCTGAGAATAACATCAACCCAGAAAAGAGGAGAAGTGAACATGGGAGAGAGATGGCTCTAATGGCATTTGGAGTATTGGATTAAGCTGCATCTAAAGTTTTATCCTTAGCTTTTTATTTACGAAGCCCTTAAATGTTCTCTTTAGTTAGGTTACCCAAGTCATTGTCTTGCATGCAACCAAACAATCTTGAGTGATCTAACAGAATATTAAGAAGTATAAGGTATCAACACCCTACTATATAATCAGCTGAAGAGGGCCATGGCCGTATGACCCAGGTAAGAACTTTTACAAATAATGCATCAACAACACAGGCTTCCTATCAAAGCTTATTGCATCCAGAATTTTGTAACCAGCTGACTGATCTTCCTGTCTCCTGGTCCCTATTCTTCACTTTTTTTTTAACCAGGTCTTGGGTTAGTTGAGTAGTTATACCAGCTAACCAGAAGTTGGATTATTTTCCAATGACATGATTCTGTCACGGCATTGATCTGCAAGCCAGAACCCGATACGTAGTGTCCTACTAGAGCCAGAATACCCCTTTTTATGACCAAGGAACCAGAGGTATAGTGATTTCCAGAGTGGTACTTGTACCTGCATCCATTCATTGCACAGACCTGCCTACTAGAATGAAGGAGCAGCCACCCTACTAGCAAAATGGCCCTGCAGTGATATAGGGCTTGATGAGTAACAATGCGTGTGGCCTCTGGATCAAGGAGTTAAGAACTACCTGAACATTGAAACCAAAACCAAAGCCAGAAAGTCCCTATTCCAAAGGAAAGAGGCAAAGGGAAGAATCCAGGTAAAAGCATCATGACAGAATCCAGGATGTTTCAGGAGTAGGCAGCAGTCACTGCTCTCCACTCTTACCCAAGTCAGCCTCTCTCTTCCCTCAGATCGCTAACTTGGTTCCTGAGCACTCCAGGAGCTGACTATAAAGTTGGTGAATAAGATGTATACAAATGAAAGAATATCTACAACAAAGAGCAGGGTTTTTTTTATTTTCCTTTTTACTTTTTTAGGTTTTTTTTAACTTTTTAAAAATAGGGCCAGGGGTCTCACTATGTTGCCCTGGCTGGTCTCGAACTCCTGGGCTCAAGTGCTCCTCCAGCATCAGCCTCCCAAAGCACTGGGATTACAGGCATGAGCCACTGCACCTGGATTTTTTTCTTTTTTTTTTTTTTTTCAGAGGCAGAGTCTCACTATGTCAACCATGCTGGAGTGCAGTGGCACAATCAGCTCACTGCAACCTTGAACTCCTGTCTTCGAGAGATCCTCCCAGCTCTGCTTACCAAAGTGCTGGGATTACAGGCATGAGCCATACACCAGCCCAAAGACAAGATTTGACTAATGAATGATACAGGTAATGAACATGAGGGATTCAGATGGAGGAGAGCTTACTTCTTCCTAGGTAGCTCAGAAAATACTGCAGAGAAAAGATGAGAATGGAAGTGGACAGTTGAGGCAGAGTTGAATTTCAATGGCAGCAAGGGTATATTTAAAGCAATAGAAGATAAATTCACAAAGGCCCCATAGTCAAGACAGCAAAGGGCCTGTTGAAAATACTTTACCCAGCCTCTTTTCCAATCAGAAAAGAGGGCTTTCTATCTCCTATTCCTTGGGGTCTTATTTTCTTTCCTCTGATCTGATAAACTAATCCTTCCTGAAGTGCAAATGGATTGATGAGTAGCCCTTTCTGAGTAACATATTTGCATTTTAATGGAGACCTTCTGGACAGAGAGCCTTAAACCTAAGAAATGGCTGTGAATACTGGTCATTTCTGCTACTATGATAAATTGGTAGGAGAGAAATTTAGGACAGGAAAGTTTTCCCTCAAATAACTATTTTTTTGCATGTAGAGCTGGTACTCTCTCAGAGTTCAGAGTTTAATAAAACTCAATTTGCCTAGTAACCTGTATTTCTCATGGGAATGCTAGCATTCACATGCCAGCCATCCAAATCATAGCTACCCAAGAAAAGCTTACTTACCAATCACTGGTATGTTTCTAAATGTTCTGCAGGTCAATTGATAACTTCAAATGGACCAGAGCTGGCACCATAAGTGCCATGGACCTGTCATGCCTGCTAAACTGAATGGCAAAGTCCTTTAAATACAATAAATATTACATGTCACTTTGGGTTTCTTGAGTCTAATGCTCTCAAGTTTGGGAAATCTTATGAAGCAATGATTACGTAATTAAGATAAATCACAAAGGAAATTGTCTCATTTTTTTTACGATAGCAACAAGTCTTTTTTTTTACTTTAAGTTTGTTTCGTTTTTATTAGAATTAGTAGTAGTATTGCTCTGGAAAGAATGTTCTATTCAGAAGCAGAAAATGGGAAGTAACTGTGAATTTACAATTTTCTTACCCTAGCTCATATTTATTTCTTTTAAACACAAGTACTTGTCATCAAACCAAAGTTAAATATTATGATGTCACAGATGCTGAACTAAATACATTAAGATACACAAAATACATGGGTACTATCATAGTCCATGACAGAAAAAAACTCATTAATTAATCTTTGAGACAAGAGAAAAAGGTTGGTTGGAACCCTACCTCAGCTTCTTTCATGACATGAATATGTTCATTAATCTTTCTAGACTTTAATATTCCCATTAGAAAAATGTAGGCCTTGTCAACCCCAAAGTATTGTCATCATAGATTGTCGAATGGTTTCTTTTGAAGACTCAACTAAGTGCAAAGTTTAAAGTATTAATTATTTTGTATTATTTCACTCATTACAATTCAGCTTTAAAATATAAGGGAATATATTACACAAGGTTATTTTGGAAGTAATTCCATAAAAATTTCAAAACTAAAGGATATAATTAAGTATATAATTAACTTCTACCATATCCATATGATAGAACCATTGGCCTTCTCCTGTGCCTTTACTGGAACATTGATTAAGCTCAAGCCCAAATTGACTGTTGTTGGCCACAATGGAGTACCTGATATTATATCAAATACCTCTGGTTCTCAATATAGTCATAGCTTCAAAGAATTTTTTCTTTCAATTCCCAGAGGAACCACCGTAGGAGGCGTCTTACTTTCTCCAGAGTTTAACATATGTACAATTTCAGACCAAACACATTTCTTTTAAAAGCCCACATATCAAAATTGTGCACTGCATCTTAATGCTGTCTGTGCCCCAGTATGTAATTTGTTTGGGGTTTTTCTGTTGCTTTTTTGTTGTTGTTGCCTTACTTTGAATAAGTAAATTAACCAATGAATGCCTGAGGACACGCAGCACATGTTCAGGGCTTGTGACACAGAAGGGCATAAAAGCAAGGATGGTAATATCTGCTAATAGAACTTCCCATCCCAGGAGGGGGTTTTCATTTCTTTTGTTTGCACAATTTAAATAGGCAAAGCTACCCCTTTAAATGACACGAACCTTTTGTCCCTATGAGATTTCGGTTATCAGGCCACAGTCTGTCAGTTTGAAACCATTTCCTTCCCAATTAGCTTGCAGTTGGGTGGTGTGTCATGCTGTTTTGCGGTTTCTCCACCTTCATTTGACCTTCAGCATCATCTGCAATGCTCTCTGTTTAGCACCAAAAATCACAATCAATGCAGAGAGGCACCTGGTGTGTTTGCTCAAGAATTTTGTGCTTGAAACCTTATAGCTTGAGAGGATTTGGGGACTGTGGTTTGTCTGTAGTTGAAGGTTTCCTCTGTGACTGGGATACTTTCTCTTCCTGAGACTGCAGGGAATAACAACCCCAGAAAATCTCCCTTACATTTAATGCTCCCGCGCATTAGTGGCAGTGCAAGGGAACACACCTTTATCAGTAGATACTATCTCTTCGACCCTTATCTTGTTTTAACTGAGATTTGGGCTATTTCCCCTTAAGCCAATTCTCTCTAGCTATTCCCATCCCCTTCCTTCCTGCTTCACAATGATTGCCTACAGACAGAGACTGCAGCCCACCTAAACATCATTTCTCATACTCTTCTTTCTCATTACTGCCACCACCCAATTATAAAATACAACTGAATAGCATAGAATGACAATGTAAGTGGGGGGGAGGAGAAAATCAATGAGTCCAGTGCAAACATCCAGTCTGTCTGAAAGAATCCCAAAACAAAGGTAAAATAAATACCAGCTTACCCAGTACCTCTGCAGTTTGAGACTGAATCCTACCAGAGTGAAACCGCAGCATCTGAAAACAGTAAATGGCATAATTAAAGAAACCCTTAAATCAAAATATATAAGTGAGACCTGTTTCCATGAATATATCAGGTTATTATTAAGCCATTGGAGAAGGTGTAGGAAATATTAAAGAATCACTTAAAAATTTTTAAAGCAATAGCTTCACCTCCAAGCTTTAAGAAATTTCTTAACTTCTAACAAAACAGAAAGTTAGTTTTGAAATTTCAGAAAGACAGAAAGCCCTAAATGTCATTTGTTCCAGTCTCCCTGTTCTACAAGTGAGGAAACTGAGGCCCCAGAAATTCAAGGCACTCAATCAACACGAATGAAGAGACCCAGAAGCATAGCTGCACACATAAGAGCAGAGGCCCGTCCTTCCAAACCCTACCTCACTTTTTCCATCCCATTCTCTGGGAATCAGAAGAAGCTTGAGAAGTAGTAATGGCAGAAAAGAAAGGTCTAAGTCCTCAAAATTGTTTGTTCAGCATTTTATCTGGAGTCTGCCTCTTTTGACATTTAAATCATCAACCTCTTGCCAGGTGAAAACTCTGAAAAAGAAGAGAAATCACAATCTGGCTTAAGAAGTTTGACAAAGAAGTAAAGCAAAGAAATGTCAAAGGGTTAAAGCTGAGCATCCAGACTACACAAAGAAGCCCTAAGTGAGCTGATTGTAGTAGGAGCATTAGCCTGAAAATCAGTACTGCCTGGGAGCACTTCCATCTGTCAATCAGAAAACATTAGAGTGGGTACTTAGAGAGTTAAGAGCAGACCCAACAGCCAAAATGATGAGCTTCCAAGTGAAATCTAAGGAATAGCGACTGTGATTTGCTATGGAGAGGTATCTATCACTCTATCATAACTATTGCCATTGCCATCAACTTTAATTTTCTACCTAGACACCCACCAGAATGGCTAAATTAAAAAGGACAGACAACTCTAAACACCGACAGGGGTATGGAGCAACACCATACGTTGTGGGTGGGACCGGAAAGGCGGAACCACTGTGACAAGTTCTGATAGTTACTTATACAACTAAACATATATCTACCCTTTGTCCCAGCAATTCTACTTCTTGGCATTTACCCAAGAGCAACAAAAACATATCTTTACAAAAAGATTTATACAGTATTCAGAACAGCTTTATCCATGGAATCCAAAAACTAGAAAAAGTCCATCAACAAAAAAATGAATAAACAAACTATAGAATATTCATACAATGAAATATCAATCAGCAAGTAAAAGGAACAAACAACATTACCCACAGCAATATGGATAAATGTCAAAATGTTATGCAAAGTGGAAGAAGCCTCACACAAAAGAGTCATTGGTGGAAAAGTCAGAACACTGGTTGTCTCTGGAGGGGTGGGGCTGGGGAGAGGCAGAAATTGACTGGGAAAGGGTGTGAGGGAACCTTCTGGGGTGATAGTTATATTTTATAACTTGAGAGAAATTTGGGTTACACAGTATTTATCAAAACTCTGTAAATCTGTACTCAAGACCTGTGCATTTCATTGCATGTACATCTTACATCAAAAGAAAAAAAAAACTGTAAACGTGTTAAACTTTAGTTATATATGCATATTATGAAGTATTTAGGGTTAAGTGTATTTATGTCTGCAATTTATTTTGAAATGCATCAAAAATATAGACTCATAGATGGATAGATGAATAGATAAATTAGACAGATAAATAGATGATTGATAGATAATAGCTAGATAGATAAAAATAGCTATAGTAAAATATTAATAGCAGACACTCCATTGTATATAAGTGTTCACTATATAATTCATTCATCTTTGTTGTCTGTATGAAAAATTTTATAATAAAATGTGGAGGGCTAGATGAGATGGCTCACACCTGTAATCCTAACACTTTGGGAGGCCAAGGCAGGAGGATTGCTTGAGCCTAGGAGTTTAAGACCAGCCTAGGCAACATGGCAAAAACCTGTCTCTACAATAACAAATAAAAATAATTAGCTGGGCTTGATGGTGCCCATCTGTAGTCCCAGCTACTAAGGAGGATCACCTGAGCCTGGGGTGGTCGAGGTTGCAATGAGCCATGATCACACCACTTCACTCCAGCCTGGGCAACAGAGTTAGACCCTGCCTCAAAAATAAAATAAAATAAAGTGTGGAGAATAAATCTTTTAAGATTTATGACTACGTTTAATCTGTATTAGCAAATCTCTGTCTCTCTCTCACTCTTTCACACACACACACACACACACACACACACACACACCCCACACACATTACCCTATTCTCTAGGAATTTCCAATCCCAGGTGTAAAGTTCATTAATTTGAATGTGAACATATCTGTGGGAACTTCCTCTAAGGGTCCCTTCAGCATGCACAGGAAAAAACATGGTAGTCCCATGGCAAGTTTTTGCTGCCTGAACAGCTTGGGCTTGGATCCTGGTTCTACTACTTTAGAAAAAGCTGTCTACTTTCTCTGTGTCTCACTCTCCCTATCTGTAAAATGGCTCATGATCACCCACCTCTGTAAGTCAGTATAAGGTGGTATGATCCACTTAATCACCAGCCAATCCCTCACCCCTACCGAGTGCTCAATACATGGACCCTCATCGGGTGGGCACTCAATGAACAATGATCAATTTGGTTTGATAGCAGGTTAGCTTCAACACACTACATACTTCTTCATTTAGGGAAAACTGTGCTTGAGAAATGCCCTATTTGGAAACACACTGTTTTAACATCCTAACTTCCTTCAAAGTTTTTCATTCAGACGAGACAGGGTATGTTCGTGTGCGTTGTACATAGTGCAGCACGATGTGAACCAAAGCAGGCAAACAATTCCATGAACTGGGGACAGTCAGGGCACGAGGGCTCCTTGTACATTTCTGTGATTTTTCTAATTTTAAACACACAGGCATGCACACACACACCACCGCCTTTACACGATTGGAAGGCTATCTGGAAGGGCAGGCTAAATAAACCCATCTCATGAGGACCTCCCACTCCTCACCCCTCCACCGAGCATAAGTACTTCATCAGCATTTCCTTGACCGGCACAGAGCCCTGATATGCTGAACAATAAGCGCTCTGTTTCTCAAGGGTGTGCTCATGCCAAAAAAAAAAAAAAAAAAAAGCCCTCGTACCTCGCCAAGATGAAGACCTTCCCCTTGTTTTATTCAAATGCCTCTGTTTCAACATCATGAATTCTTAGAGGAAACCATATTAAGGTAGTCAGAATTGCACATCGCCATCCTACACATCATACTTCTTAAGGAAATAAATTGAAAAAATGTTGTCCCTGGAGGGTCTGCTCCCATCTTCTTTCTGCAAAGTCCCCAAAACAAGATGTTTGGTGTACAAAACAAGATGGGGGTAACAGCATGGGGTTGCCAAGAGGCAGCCACAAACGAAGCCACCAGTGTGCTCTCATTAACCTTCCTTGCCTATTGAGAACATTCCCTTGGTAGTTTCATAAACAGTGCACATTGCTTTGGGAGCACTGCCTCTGATTGAAAGATTTTAATTATGGGTTCAAAGGACAACTCATAACACCAAAGTCTGAGAACTGAGAACTAAGGTAATTCAGCAGTGGCCATCCAAATAAGATAAACTGTGAGCTGAATATAAATCTGCATGTTGCATGATGGTATACCTGGCCTTCCCCACAGGACACCCTATAGATTATTTTCCCAGTACAAGAGCAGGCCTCATTCATTGTCCCTGATGGGGAACTGAAACATAGCAGGCATCATGTTCATTAGACTTGGCACCACTAGTACCCAGCACACATCCAGGCATGTAGCGGGTCCTCAATAAATGTTGGTTGGAACTAAATTATAAGGCTGCAGGGCAGAGGCAACATGGTGCAGTGTTCACATGCACATGCTCTGGAGCCTCTTAGGTTGAAATTCTGGCTCTGCTGCTTAGACAAGCTATTTAACCTCTGTGTTCCTATTTTTCCATCTGTAAAATGGAAGCAAAAATAGAATACCAATCTCATGGGATAGGGAAGATTGAATAAGTTAACAAATGCAAAACACATAGAACAGTGTTTAACATATGGTAAGTGCTATGTAAATGTTAGCTACTATTTTTGTTTTATCTGAGCAGTTCAGCAGGCATGGGATTCACATGAAAACTTCCTAGGTTTTCCTGGGAGAAAATAAAAAAACTGTCAGGCTGAGTGATGTGGCTCACACCTATAATCCTTGCACTTTGAAAGGCCATGGTGGGAGGATTGCTTGAATTCAGTCCTCAAGTGTTGAAGACCACCCTGGGCAACATAGCAGGACCCCATCCCTATAAAAAATGTTTAAAAGTTAGCTGAGTGTAGTGGTGGCTTGCCTGTAGTTGCAAGTACTCAGGAGGCTGAGATGGGAGGATTGCTTGAGCCCAGGAATTCAAGGCTGCAGTGAACTAGGATTGTGCCACTGCAATCCAGCCTAGGTGACAGAGTGAGACTCTGTCTTTAAACCAAAAAAAGAAAAAGGAAGAAGAAACTGTCAGCTAATCAATGAACACTACCCCTAAAAAGATCAGGCACATGTGAGGAAGAACAGAACGGCAATCTCAGGGACCCCTGTTGCACTGGTGTCATTATTCATAGCACTTCCATTCATTCTCAAAATTATCTCAGCTTGGACCACAAATTATGTGATCACTCTACACATGATCCACCTTCAGACCCTGGTTCAGAGTGAGTGAAGAATTCAAGAATTCTTGCTGTTCCACCAGCAAGTTGCTGTGCCATCAACAACTGCCCTTTACAGACCCAGCTGCTCTGACTCTAGAGAATCCGTTCTAAGTGTCTCGGCAGAAACCACTACCAAATACAATAAGCAAGACTCTTTGATCACCCAAGAGTTGCAATTAGTTGGAATGAGGAGGGACACGCTCCAGCTTGAGAATGCTAGACCATGGCCTGGCGTGGTGGCTCACTCCTGTAATCCCAGCATTTTGGGAGGCTGAGGCAGGTGGATCACCTGAGGTCAGGAGTTTGAGACCAGCCTGACCAACATGGTAAAACCCCATCTCTACTAAAAAATACAAAATTTAGCTGGGCATGGTGGTAGGCACCTCTAATCCCAGCTACTCAGGAGGCTAAGGCAGGAGAATCGCTTGAACCCAGGAGGTGGAGGTTGCAGTGAGCCAAGATCACACCACTGCACTCCAGCCTGAGTGTCAGAGCCAGACTCTATCTCAATAAAAAATAAAAGAGAATGCTGGACCTAGAATAGTGGTGCTTAAAAGAGGACTGGCCATGAGGAAAGGCAACCACACAAGAAACAGAAGTACAGGAAGAACAGAGCAGAACACCCATATCAAAGAAGCTTAGGGTCGGCCACAGCTGCGACCAAAGGCAAGGGCAGCAGCCAAGCTACCATGGATGCTGAGGAAGATTACCAAATGCCCTAACTCTGCCCCCAGAAAGGGAGGGGTCTTGGGAAGTTGGAGTCTTAGCGACCCAGGTACAATATTGGATTAGTACCTGAATCTAGCGTGTAGTAGGTACCTAACAAATTATCTTTGTGAAACACAACTCTGATCACTCTATCCTTGGTCCTGTTAGCAAACCTTACTCATCTGTGTACAAAACACCCTGCTGGCTCCCAGAGGTAGGTTGCAAGTGTGGAAGCCAGGGAGCAAGACAACTGTCTGGAACACCACCCCTTTCTAGTTCCTCACATATATAAAGAGCTCATGGCTCCAGGGCTGACCTTGATGCCCATCTCTGAGCCCTCTTGCCTGGTGTTTATCATGTGATCTCTGATATCAGCCTTGGATTTCTCTAGCCAATGAACAGGCTGGTCCTTTGCCTCCCAGCTCCTCCAGTGCCCAGTTGAAGCTCCCTGCTCAAGACAGTTTCTTTCAGAAGCCGTAACTCGGTCAGTGCCACAGATAGGCACTCAGTGACCCTTCAACAAATGAAGGCATGTGCTTGGCAATAATACTTGTACCTGATTCCTGAACCTCCTTCTAAGCAGAGGGGGCTGCACCAGCATTAACACGCTTTGCCTGTCTGCACATTCTCACTCCTTGCCAGTAAAGAAAGACTAAAGTATCTAATTGGGAAATTCAGGGAAAATAATTTGGTGATGGTGACTCAGCACCTCCCTTTCTGCTAAATGGTGAAAGGGTCTACCCAGGGGTGGTGGCCAACTTTTTCCAGAGACACCTGTGCTGGGTGGTTAAGTCAGCCAGATCCTGAGTTTGTGGATTTGCAAGCTCACCTGGCCCCAGAACAAATAAAGCCATGCTCTTTTCAGACCAGCTTTATCTGTGTGGCCACGCCTCCTCCTTCGCAGGCAAGGAGGGCGGGGAGTCCTCTAACTCCACCCTAAGAAGCAGAGTGGCCAGGAACATGTATACACCTCTGAAGAGTTCTTTTTCTTCGTAACTTCATGGCAACATGACCTACAGTTACTCATTTTTCAGGCCTGAGTTGATCGTTAATCATCTTAATTATGTTCATTCTGAAGCCAACAGGAGAACCAAGACCAAAACTTTATTGTCTCTGCTTTCATTTCTTGATGAAACCTCTGGACTAAGCACACATCTTCCTTGTTTATCTCTCTCAAAGGAGTGTGGAGTGCTTCATCTGGACATCCACGGGAAGAAGGAAGACATGAGGTAGGTGGTGTCCTTGTGTTCAAGTCAATAAGGAAGAAAATGTTGTGAACAAACAGTGCTATGAAGTAAAGGAAGGAAACTCCCTGGCAGGCATGCAGCCATACCTCTCTCAGGACACTTGCACTTGGGAGTAGACACAGGCTGTTGGTTCAGAGAGGAAGAGTTGATCTTTTTACAGTTAACATGTCCCTGAAATGAATCCATCTTCTCTAAGGATCGCCATTCCTGCCATGGTTTTGGAATTCGTAAGCTCTTCCTTAGGCAGATGTTCTCAAACTCTAGTCTCAGAGCCTCTTCACTCAGCGATTATCGAGAACCCCAAACAGCTTTTATTTATGTAGATTATTAGTGATGATATTAGAAATTAAAATGGTTCACACCTGTAATTCCAGCACTTTGGGAAGCCGAGGCAGGCGGATAACTTGAGGTCAGGAGTTTGAGATCAGCCTGGCCAACATGGTGAAACCCTGTCTCTACTAAAAATACAAAAATTAGCCAAGCATGGTGGCTGGCGGCTGTAATCCCACTTTCTCAGGAGGCTGAGACAGGAGAATTGCTTGAACCCGGAAGGAAGAAGTTGCAGTGAGCTGAGATTGTGCCACTGCACTGCAGCCTGGGCTTGACAGAGCAAGACTCTGTCAAGAAAGAAAGAAAGAGAGAAAGAGAGAGAGAGGGAGGAAGGGAGGGAGGAAGGAAGGAAAGAAGGAAGGAAGGAAAGAAGGAAGGAAGGAAGGAAGGAAAGGGAGAGAGAGAAAGAAATTAAAAGTAAGAAAACTTTAAATATTCATGTAGACATTTATTTTAAAAGAACTATAAACCCATTACATGCTAAGGTACATAACACATAGACAGCATTTTTATTCCATTTAAAAACTATATTTTCCAAAATTAAAAATTTATGAGAAGAGTAACATTACTTTGCATTTTTGCAAGTCTCTTTAACACCTATGTTAAGAAAAGGCAGCTAGGTTCTCATATCCACTTCTGCATTCGCTTTGTTGCAATATGTTGTTTTAGTGGTGTAGCTAAAGAAAATTCAGCTTCACATGACTACGCAGTTGGAAAAGGGATGACCTCACACATACCCTAAGAGGGTCCCTAAGTGAACTGTGGCACTAGTGAGCTCCGGAAGTCATAAGGGACCTCCAGAGCACCCCCCTCCACCCCCCAAAGCACACTTGAGAACTGTGGCACTAGCAGACTCCGGAAGTCATAAAGGAGAGTGACTGGGGCTGCGTTCTCTCTCCCACCATCTCTCCTCCGAGCACTGTGCTCTTAGATCTCCAGCCTACTCTGCTCTGCCCTCTTCCTTCTCAATGTAAGTAGTGAGGAAAGGTCACATCTGAAAGTGTCTTCTGCTGGGGAGGCCTCCCCTACCCATGCACTGCTGGACTGCCAAGCAGAGCAAGGGTGAAACCAAACTACTACTTTTCCTGGAATATTCTGTGCTATGAATATCCGCTGAGAACCAAGGGCAATAGCAGGCAGCTTATTGCATATTCAACCATCTAGACATTGGTTATGGCTTTTTCCCATAAAAAATATCCTAACCTCTTCTCCTCGCCTGCTTTTCCTTTCTTAGAATCACCCAACAGTCTTCCCAGCTATACCTGTGGGACATGGGTGGTTTTACAATATTTAAGAACCTGTGGATGAGCCTCATACCCAGAGGGAACAAACGCTCCCCAAAAAGAGTTACAGAAACCATCCTGAGAGATTTTAAGCAGAAGCAAAGTTCAAAGATCCAAGAGGAGAGACGAAGAGAGTGTATGTGTATGTTCAAAGATCCAAGAGGAGAGATGAAGTGTGTGTGTGTGTGTGTGTGTGTGTGTGTGTGTGTGTTTCATATGTTCCATTATCACTTCAAAGGAATTATTTTACAAAGAAAATATTTTGGACCTAGAGTGGAAATTAAAATTCCACTTAAGGATGATAACATCCACATTAGGGACCATTCCATCTTATAGATAAGCAATTTACATTGTATATAAGCAACCTTGCTAATCTTATATCATAAGAAAAAA
The DNA here is from genome assembly GCF_000001405.40 of Homo sapiens. Taxonomy (NCBI): domain Eukaryota; kingdom Metazoa; phylum Chordata; class Mammalia; order Primates; family Hominidae; genus Homo; species Homo sapiens. The sequence continues at coordinate 26,701,367 of NC_000018.10, read as the reverse complement.
ACTGTAAACATATATTGAACTTTAGTTATATATGTGCATTATGAAGTATTTAGGGTTAAGTGTGTTGATGTCTGCAATTTACTTTGAAATGCATCAAAAATATAGACTCATAGATGGTAGAGAGATGAATAGGTAAATTGGCCAATGGGCCACCAAATCATTTTACTTTTTCATCAGCATCTGTAAAAGTAGTGTTGACGTCTATTTCTGTTGGAGGGGATCACTAATTTCCATAACCTGAGAATCCTTGACTTTCCACTTTTACTGAATATTTAGATTAATAAATGATGCCGGTCCAAATATCCCAAGCAAGACAATGAGCCCGTGCCTCCAATTCCAGAACAATGAATGGCATCTGCTGTTCCCTATTTATAGTAAGATTGCTGAGCTATCAGAAATGAATGTGCATCAACTCAGCAGTGGTTTTCATGTTTGTATGAGTGGCCTCAGCCACTACCCATCATCAGGTTCTGAAGTGTATGTGCTCACACAGCCCTCCATCCACTCATCCTTGATCTCTCCAGAGAAGAGGAAGAAGCAGCTTTTCTCCTCCTGCACCCATTTATCCCAACCCTGCTAGTGTGCCTCTCATTCATTCTTTTCCCTTTCCTTAGAGCCCTGAAGATTTAGTCTTGTAAAGAATTGTACCCTGCCCAGTCTCTGCCCTGCATAGAGCTATGAAACTTTCAGTACATTATAAAGAGGCTAGGCACAGAGGCTTAGGCTAATTCTCAGTCACCTTTCATGCTGCTAAGTGTGAACAAGCACTTTTTATCAGCTCTCCCCTCCCCAGCTTTAGAGAATATTATCAACCCCAAAGAGCCTCAGGGCTCTGTCTCTCTCTCTGTCTCTCTCTCTCTCTCACTCTTGCTCTTATTTTCTAGCTGCAGGACCAAACCTCTCTTCATTCTGGTTTGTGGGTAAGAGACTTGCATTACACATTCTTGGGTGTAGACATGAGTGTACAAGCATTTCACTTCCTTTTTGTTTTATATCCTATCCTCATGCCTCTGTACCCCAGAGTCCCTGTTCTCCTGGGATGTCCTTGGTAGCTGACCCCAAACTATACAGGAAAGGAGAACAGTGCTCCTGCAGCCCTGCACCACCCCCACCTGAAATCTCATTAGAAGGGCATTCAAAGAAGAACATTAACTGACAAGGCTCTTTGAAGAATTTTTTCCATTCCCGTAAGAGTATCTTCCCAAAGGGAGATTCAGATCACTGCTTTGGTTTGTTTAGTGCTTTAACTTTAGTTTGCAGCTACTCCTTTGCAGGGAATCAATCAACAAATATTTAATCAGCACCTACTATGTATATATCACTCCCAGCCTCTCCAAGTGAGAAACAAGGGAAACTAAAGCATAATCTTTGCCCTCAAGGAGAACGTGACCTACTTAGGAAGACAAAGCTAACACAGAACAATTAAATGCTACACTGTGTGGATCTAAATAAGGGAGAGAGTTGTAGAAAACTATATCCTAGAAGAGATAGAATTTGTCTTAGGACTTGAAAGATGGATAGGATTTAAACGGGGAAAGGAGAGAGGTCCCTAAAAGCAAGAGGAGGTTGTTTAAGGAGGGGCTCTAAGGAGAATGCACCAATTCAGAAGAAGATAACACCCTGGGAAGTCTTGGGAAAGAGATTAATTAGAGACCAGAGTGTGGAAAGTCAGAGACTTCAGTAAATTTGAAAACAATCTTGACGCTTTCTGTACTTCATAATTTTAGAATTTTCCTCAGTGTTTTTTGGGGGCGGGGGGCAGGGGGACTTTGTGGTTGTTGTTGTTGTTTTGAGACAGGATCTTGCTCTGTCACCCAGGCTGGAGTTCAGTGGTGTGATCATAGCTCACTGCAGCTATGATCACTGCAGCCTTGACCTCTCTGGCTCAAGCTATCCTCCCCTGCTCAGCCTCCCAAGTAGCTGAGACTACAGGCATGTGCCACCATTCCCAGATAATTTAAATTTGTTTTTTTGTTTAGAGACGGGGTCTCACTATATTGTCCAGACTGATCTCAAACTCTTGGATTCAAGCAATCCTCCCACCTCGGCCTCCCAAAGTGCTGGGATTACAGGCATGGGCCACCACGCCCAGCCTTTCCTGAAAAACAGGGCACATTATCCTGAAGTTGTGATGGCCAAGATGTCTGGAATAATGTGATGTATTTGTTGCCTGAAATTCAGTCTCTAGCTATGAACATTGCCCTTTTTTCAAACAATTTTTAAAGCATTATTAAAACAGTCAAGCTACAAAGACATTAATTGCAATATTTCTTTAGGGCATTTGTGTTCACCCAGACTCCTCTGAGCCCTAGAATTCCAAAGGGGGAGCCTCAGGGGCAGCCTTGGGAGATAAGACAGAGATAAGTCAAGTGAGGGCCTGGGTGCCTTGAGGCAATGCTTCTTCTACGTACTTGCTATTGGTTTTCCATTTAGGATTTTCAAAAACATCAATAAATCCCTGGAGAAAGTTTTTTGTTACTAGTCATTCCACCATTTATAGGTCATCAAAAGCACTTATCTGTTTATTTGGGTTGAATCCTCCTTTTATTTTATTTTATTTTATTTATTTATTCTTTTTGAGGCAGGATCTTGCTTTGTCACCCAGGCTGTAGTGCAGTGGCTTGAACTCCTGGGTTCAAGCAATCCTCTCACATCAGCCTCCTGAGTAGCTGGGACTATAGATGCTCACCATCACGCTCAGCTAATGAATCCTCCTTTTAAAGAAACACACACACACACGCACACACACCACTGCACCACTGTAATTACAATATGATTGATAGATTCACTCACTCATTCCCTTATTTCTCATAAACTTGTTGAGGGCTATGTACCTAGCACCTACTAGTCAACATCACATGATTGATAGAGTTTGGCCTTGAACACCAGCATAAGAAAATAGATGTGAGGAGGCTGGTTAATGACAATGACGACAACAACAGTGATAATGACGATGATGCCAGTGCTGAGCCCTTACTGTATGCCAAGCACTGTGCACCAAATACACTTATTAATTTAACTTTTGACACATTCTTATGAGTTATTATTAAGCCGAGACTGACTGAGGTTTAACATATTTGCCCACAGTCATGCAGCTAGGAAGAGGTGGAAACTAGCGTCAAAGGTCATGCTCTCAGCCACAAGGATTAACTGACCTGGCTTTATAATGAAGACATGCTACCAGAAACATTCATTTGTTCTTTAAATATTATTTTACACAAGCGGATATTTTCTGAATATTTTCTTCACTTGATCTTAACCAAAAGGCCGAGAAGCGATTTTTCTGAATATTTTCTTTATAAAATCTCTCACACTTACAGGTTAAATAACTATCCCCTAGACCCCTAATCAGGGAAGGACCCTTCCACCATACTTTTCCTTGCTTTGCCAGCTGATCCTTCCCTCCTGCTCAGAATCCACAGTCAGCCAAATGCAGGGCAACAAATTAAAATGAGAAAATGGACACAAGACCTGAAGACCACTTTTAGAGAAAATAGGAGCTACCAAGCTCTAATGCGGTATATTTTTCAAAACATGCAACTGAGGTAGGACACCAGCGGGACTCATTTCCAGGTTCCAAGGGAATAAAGCGAAGAAAACTGCAGGACCCAGCAGATGGTGAGGAAAGCTAGCTGCCCTCATTGCCTGTTAGCATAAGACTCTCCCACCAGTGCTATGATGGTTTACAAATGCCATGGCAACGACCTGAAAGTTACCACCCCTTTCCATGGCAATGACCTGAAAATTACTGCCCCTTTCCCAGAAAGTTCTAAATAACCCATCCCCTCAAATTGCATTGACCCACCCCCTAATTTGCATGTAATTGAAAGTGGGTAGAAATACAGTTGCCAACAGCCCCTACATTGCAGGTTGTAGGCCTGCTGCCTAGGAGTTAGCCCTGTTCCACAAGGAGCACTACTGTTCAATAAAAGATTGCTGTTTAACACCGCCAGCTTGCCATTGAATTCTTTCCTGGACAAAGCCAAGAATTCTCCAGGATAAGCCCTTAAATTTGGGCGCTTGCCTGCCCTGCATCACAACCATTAAGGGGAGACACACCCTATTAAATTGTTATTCCAGAACTCAGAAATATAAGAACACTATGTGCTAACAGGATTTGGGTACTTGCTGGTTTCACACTGCAATTTTAAAAAGGGGGAGGGGGTCAATTGCTTTTGGAAAAGGGGGTCTCCCCCAATATTATCCAGTTGCACAGTAAGTTACTATTACTCTTATGGTCACTAGGAACAAACACAGGCATACTTTGCAGAAATCAGCAAAATTAACCAGGCCCTAAGCAACTTCTTATTTGTTGGGTTCAGCAATGGATCATCAAGAGAGGCAGGAAGAAAAGTGAAACTAGAGGGTACCACCAAGATGTTTCCTGGCTAGAGTTATTTCAGAACACTATCATTTCCACCAGAGAGCTTTAAAACATTTGCGTTTCTCCTATGAATCAGGCTGTATGGCAACAAAACAGATAAACAGAAAAAGTACATTATTAGCATAAAACAGTATTAGCATAAATAGAAAGGGAATCAGGATATTCGGAGGGGTGGGAGAAAACAGCTTGTATAATATGTGGCCTACTCATTTCAGTCGACTTCACTGTAGCTGATAAACTGTGAAATTTCCATAATAATATAGAGTACAGAAAGCAAACAACAATTTTATTTGATAGGGAAATTGCATCCTGATACTGGATATAAAATTCTACAGCATGTTCAATGATATTTTCAAAGCATTGAAAATATAGACATATGCTTTCATTTTACAATGCAGTTGTAATGTAAATAATAAATCCACCACAATTTGGCCGGTCCAGAGACTGCTGGCATCATTAACTCAGAAACTCAGAGATACAAACGCTCTACTTATCTTGCCGGGCCCTCAGCCAGAAGTCTCCTATAACTCTGCGGATGTTTATACATGCCCTCTGCTTCGTCTACATTTCTGCCTTGCTTAAGGGTCTTCCGGGGTTCCCTATTGCTGTTTGTATCACATTTTAACCAGCCATTGCTCTTTGATGCCCTTCTTTCTCCCTGCCTGTATCCTCTTTTTATTTCTTCCTATTTCTCCACACATTTTTTCAACAACAAATCAAGACCATCTTCCCTCAGCTTCCCAATACTGTTCATGACAGTAGATTGATTGAAAAATGGCCACGCCCCTCCCTTTTTTGTATCTATGCCCTTTGAAATGTGACTGCAGCTCCTCTCATCAAAAAGGCTGGTCTTACCGTTTTTTGGAAACTATAGTAGCATGCAGTGGAAGGAACAGAAGATGAGATCAAAACCAATCCTTAGAATACATTCCTTGTATGTGTTCTCTTTCTTTCTCTTTTTTCTTTCTTTTTTTCTTTCTTTCTTTCTTTTTCTTCTTTCTTTTTTCTTCTTTCTTTCTTTCTTTTTCCTTCTTCTTTCTTTCTTTTTCTTTCTTCTTTCTTTCTTTTTTTGAGACAGGGTCTTGCTGTATTGCCCAGGATGGAGTGCAGTGACGTGATCTTGGCTTACTGCAAACTCTGCCTCCCAGGCTCAAGCCTCCTGCCTCAGCCTCCTGACTAGCTGGGACTACAGGCCCGTGACACCATGACCAGTTAATTCTTGTAATTTTTGTAGAGACAAGATTTCACCATGTTGCCCAGGCTGGTTTCAAACTCCTGGGCTCAAGCAATCTACCTGCCTCAGCTGTCCAATGTGCTGGGATTACAGGTGTGAGCCACCACATGCAAACCCACTTTCTCTTAAAATTCTGCTACTACTATGGGAATAAGTGCATGTTAGCCTTCTAGAGGATGAGGGACCATGTGGAGGAAAGTCCAGGTATTTCAACCAACAGCCGTCAACTCCCAGAAGACCCACATAGTCACCCCAGGGTTGCAAAAGACACGTGAAAAAGATGAGATCAAAACTGCCCAGCTGAGCTCAGCCCAAATTGTCAACCTCCAGAATCACATGCTATTGTTTTAAGCCACTAAGCTTTATTTAGGGTAGTTTATTAACAGCAAGAGAAAACTGATACATCTATGTTGTCTTGTTTTCATCTTCCTTCCCTGCATTCATCACACCTGACAAAACACTTATTTCTTCTAGGAATTTCAACATATCTTGGAAAATGACATTCACCAATCAAACAAATCAGAACTATCAATAACTCCCATATATGAATGTGTGGGTAGATGGGTAGTCACAAAGCTAAAGGATATGAACGTTATTCCCAGTTTCTAGCAACACCACTCCCATGATCATTTTTAGTTTTTTATTTTCTGCCTCCATATCTTTAACATGGGAATGAACATTTGAATTTACCTACTGTTGAGAAATTACTAATAATTACTTCAAAATTTTTCGTAGATTGCCTAACATCCACTAATTTTTCTAATTTTAAAGCTGAAAAATACTTGCTTTCCTTCAAAGTCACCTAGCAATGTGAAGTACCTCCGTGAAACAAATAGAATTGAATCCAGTGATTCCTATGTAGTTTATTAACTTCAGCCCTGACTAATTATTTTCCGCCCTATAGCATCTGTACCATAGCTATTGTGAAGCAAAGGCTTTCAGTGTCTATACCTCTATGAACAACATTTATCCAAACTACAATATACATAGCACCTTGCTTCTCATTTCTCTTCTAAAACACCTCAAAATCTTATCTTTGAAAGTATAATTTAATTGATTTTTAACCAAAAATTAAATCTGTGTATAAAACTCATACTTTCATCAAGAACATAACTGGAAGGAGGCATCAAACTTCCTGATTTCAAAATATATAAAAAGCTAGGTGTGGTGGCTCATGCCTGTAATCCCAGCACACTGGGAGACTGAGGCAGGAGGATTGCTTGAGACCAGGAGTTTGAGACCATCCTGGCCAATATAGTGAGACCCTGCCTCTATAAAACTCAAAATAAAATAAAAATATGTTATTAAGCTACAGTAATCAAAACAGTATGGTACTGGCTTAAAAACAGACATATAGACTAACAGATGGTCAAATAATCTTTGACAAGGGTGCCAAGAATACACAATGGGGAAAGGACAGTCTCTTCAATAAACGGTACTGGAAAAACTGTATATCTCCATGCAAATTGGACAATTGGACCTTTATCTTAAACCATACCAAAAACTCAACTCAAAATGGATTGAAGATTTAAACATAAGACCTGAAACTGTAAAACTCCTAGAAGACTACATAGGAAAATAACTTCCTGACATTGGCCTTGGCAGTGATTTTTTTAAATATAAAACCAAAATTCAGGCAAAAAAGCAAAAGTAGGCAGATGAAATTACATCAAAATAAAAAGATTCTGCGCAGCAAAGAGAACAATCAACAAAATGCAAAGGCAGCATAAGGAATGGGAGAAAGTATTTGCAAATGATATATCTGATCAAGGGTTGACACATCCAATATATATAAATAATTTCTACAACTCAATAGCAAAAAGCAAGTAACTCGATTAAAAAATGGGTAAAGGACCTGAACAGTTTTCAAAGAAGACATACACATGGCCAACAGGTATACAAAAAGGTGCTCAACATCACTAATCACCAGGGAAATGGAAATAAAAACCACAGTGAGATATCACCTCACATCTGTTAGTATGACTATTATAAAACAAACAAACAAATAATAAAACAAATAAACAAATCAAAACCACAATGAGATATCACCTCACATCTGTTAGTATGACTATTATAAAACAAACAAATAAATAAACAAACAAACAAATGAAAGATAAGTTGTTATTGAGCATGTGGAGGAAAGGGAACCATTGTACATTGTTGGTAAGAATGTAAATTCGTAAGTCACTATGGAAAACAGCATAGAGGTTCCTCAAAAAATTAAAAATGATGGCCAGGTGCAGTGGCTCACACCTGTAACCCCAGCACTTTGGGAGGCCAAAGTGGGCGGATCACATGATATCATGAGCTCGAGACCAGCCTGGCCAATATAGTGAAACCCTGTCCCTACTAAAAGTACAAAAATCAGCCAGGCGTGTTGTTGCATGCCTGGATTCCCAGCTACTCGGGAGGCTGAGGCAGGAGAATCACTTGAACCCAGGAGGCGGAGGTTGCAGTGAGCCGAGATCATGCCACTGCACTCCAGCCTGGGTGACAGAGCAAAACTCCGTCTCAAAAATAAATAAATAAATAAATAAATAAATAAATAAATAAATAAACAAACCATAAACCCACCAATCCCACTTCTAGGTAGATATCAAAAAAAAAATGGAAATCAGGATCTCAAAGAGATACCTTCATTCCCATGTTCATTGCAGCATTATTCACAATAGCCAAGATATGGAAATAAGCTATATATCCATCATCAGATGAATGAATAAAGAAAATGTGGTACATACCTACACTGGAATACTATTCAGACTTAAAGAAAGAAAAGAAAACCTTGCCAATTGCAACAACATGGATGAACCTGGAGGACATTATGCTAAATGAAATAAACCGGACACAGAAGGACAAATACTACATGATATCACTTACTTGAGGAATGTAAAATAATCAAATTCATAAAAGCAGAGAGTAAAATAGTGGTTGCCAGGCACCAGGGGGAGAAAAAAAATGCAGTTATTAGTCAAAGGGTACAAAATTTTATAAAAGAAATATTTGTTAAGGAAAGAAAAAATAAATTTGTACTTTTATCATTGACAAATCCCATTGGCCTAGCACAGCACCCAGCAGATAGGAAGAATTGGGTCACTTTGGTTTGCACTGAATCTAACTTGGACATTGCTGCAATTGCTTATATAATATATATTGAAAGAATATATCAACATCATATGGACTTTACATACATTAGCTGTACTCATTTTCAGTTTCATGGATAGTCAAAGAAAGATTGAGAAAATAATTTCTTGTAAAACATGTTCTTGGAACTGCCTTAATTAGGATTAAGCTTGATGCTAACAAAAACTCAAAATAACAGTGACTTAAATAGGACAGAGGTTTATTTCTTTCTCAAGTAAGAATTCAAATGTTGGCAAACCAGAGCTGTAAGATAGCTTGTTCCCTGAAGTTCCTACGGATCCAGAATCTTTTTAGCTCATGGCTCTGCCATTTCTGAAGTAGAAATCTGGCCTCATGATACAAGATGATAGTTAGAATTCCAGCCATCATACCCACATTTTAGGCAGCACGATGAAGGAAAGGACAAAGAAAAAAGGACAAAGGGCACATCCTGGCTATCTTTTAAGGAAATTACCTGGAGAAGCTGCTTAAATCCCATTGGCCAGAGATTAGTCAGATGGCCATGCTGAGTCACAAAAGAGTCTGATGAAGTCTTTTTAAAAAATTGATTATATGCCCAGCTATAATCAGGACTTTAAGACGGAAAGAACAACTATCACAGTATGTAACCAGCAATCCCTGCAGAAATGTGCTCTATGTTGGGGAGATTGTCTTTACATTCTCTCAGAGCATAAAATTGCCCATGACTTGCCAGTTTTCCATTTTGTCCTTGGTTTGCAAAACAGCCACCTAACAGACAAGCTCTATCTATAGTTTGTTATGGCATTGAGTGGGGAGAAAGAGATCTTTTTCCAGTTAGGACTCTTGTATTAGTCTGTTCTCATGCTGCTATGAAGAAATACCCAAGACTGGCTAATTTATAAAGAAAAGAGGTTTAATTGACTCACAGTTCCACAGGGCTGGGGAGGCCTCAGGAAATTTACAATCATGGTGGAAGGCACCTCTTCACACAGCGGCAGGAGAGAGAAGGAGTGCAAGCAGGGGAAATGCCAGATGCTTATAAAACCATAAGATCTCATGAGAACTCGTTATCACAAGAACAGAATGGGAGAAACCACCCTCATGATTCAATTACCTCCCACCAGGTCCCTCCCATGACATGTGAGGATTATGGGAACTAGAATTCAAGATAAGACTTGGGTGGGGACACAGCCAAACCAAATCAACTCTCTTCTGTTGAAAATGAAAAAAAAAAAACAAAAAAACAAAAAACACTCCACCAAAACTAGCTCAAGGCAGAAGAAAGTTTATTGGCTCACATAGGTAAAAATTCCAGGATGGGACTTTCTTCAATAACAGTTTCATTTAGGCTCCAAAAATGTCATCAAGACCCATTTTCTGTCCACCTCTCAGTGGGCTCTGTGTTCATCCACTCATTGGCCTTATTCTTCACTTACCTGTGGTGGCAAGGTGGCAACAGTAGCACCAGCTCACCTACTTCCAGGTTCAAGTCCCTTGGGAAAGAACAACAGTCTCCTTATGCCTCGTTCTGACTGGGTCACATGGAGGATGAATGAACTAAATCCTCTAACAAAAGAGAATGTTAAGAATGGATGTGATGCTTTTTAAACTATGTGGCCTGAGAGTGGGAGAGAGTGGTTCCCCAGATGGAATTTGAGGTGTCATTTTACCTTAAAAATAGCGAATGGATACTGGGAAGACAAATGGTAAATCTCTCCAATGGAGACATATTTCACACAATGTGGGATTCAACTGGTATTCTCCATTACTCAAGATGTAACCACTTCCCAAAATATTCCCAGGACCATGGGGCTAAAAATAAAACCAATTTCATAGGCTTGATATGATAATTGAACGACAAAACATACTTGCAAATAGATAGCGTAACATCTCCAAGCAGGAAGAAAACTTATTAAGACACCATTCTGGGAGGGTTACTATTACCCTCTGCCAGATTAGGTCCCTAGAAAATTGTCATCTTCAGTATTGTTTCCAGCATTCAGTGGTGCCCAGTTGGGGAACTGGAGAATCCCTAAGCCAGGTCTTTCCTGCCTTTCCCTGTACACTATTCTCATTTCACCATCCAAAGTATGCTTGATGTGTGTCTTTTTTGTATCCTACTCTGTGACATATCTTTTATGAAAACTTTTATCAATACTAAAGAATCATGGCCAGGCGCAGTGGCTCATGCCTGTAATCCCAGCACTTTGGGAGGCCAAGGTGGATCATTTGAGGCCAGGAGTTCGAAACCAGCCTGGCCAACATGGTGAAACCCCATCTCTACTAAAAATACAAAAGACTAGCCAGGTGTGGTGGCGGGAACCTGTAATCCCAGCTACTCAGGAGGCTGAAGCAGGAGAATCACTTGAACTCAGGAGGCAGAGGTTGCAGTGAGCCAAAATCGCGCCACTGCACTCCAGCCTGGGTGACAGAGCAAGACTTTGTCTAAAACAAAACAAAACCCCCAAAAAACCACTACAGAGTCATTATTCTGTCTGTTGTCAGTATCCCAAAGTTCCCGTTTCACGTATAAAGTCTTCATCACATTAATTTCTAGGTAAATTTACCATCTCCCAACATGTAGTCTCTGTAAAAATACCAGCTATAGAAGTTATCTGAAAGCAGCTGACTTCTATGATTTCTGCCTATACTTTCTTTCTCTGTCTCCTCCCTCAGGGAATGCTGGAAGAGGAGACAGGCCCCAGATTTGGGCAGGAAGTAAACAGTTTTCAGGCTGAGGCCAATCTGAGCAGGAACATTCCAATATTTCTTCAGCTACGTTGTCCCAGCACTTCACTGGTTAACCTTTTATGTCCACCATTTGTGGATTTCACAGCTACTTGTCAATGGTGAATATTGATCATCATCATTATCTACTGAGCTGCTACCATATCCCAGCTACTCCTTGCATGTTGTTCATTATTTTCTCAACACTCAGCATATTTGCAATATGTTATGTAATATCACAGACAAGGAAACTGAACGCAGAAATGTTTTATTTCTTGCCAAACATCACATGAGGATGAACAATGAAACCGATTTGAAACCAGGATTGTCTGATTCCAACATCTCTGGGTCCTTTTTCACTCTGATATGCTGCAATTAAAAAGCCATTTCTAAGACTGTACGTTCCAAGATTGTTTCTATAGTTGGTTGTGAGAGAAGTTTCTCTGAACTTGCAGAGCACGGGAAACCAGGAGGAGGAGGCTCAGGGTGCTCTCCACACGTGTGAAACCGGCTGTGGGTGTTGCTTTCCTGTGACTGCCATTTGCCACTGATGATCTTCTCTTCCTCTGGAAGAGTAAGAGGGGGAAGGACACAGTTTCAGTGCTTCCCATTTATAATTAATTAATTAATTAAGGGCAGGTGCAGGGGCTCACACTTGTAACCCCAGCACTTTAGGAGATTGAGCAAGGAGGATCCCCTGAGCCTGGGAGTTTGAGATCAGCCTGGGAAGCAGAGTGAGACCATGACTTAAATAAAAATTTTTTTGTGTTTTGTTCTAATTTTTACTTTTTTGAGACAGGGTCTCGCTCTGTTGCCCAGGCTGGAGTGCAGTAGCGTGATCTCAGCTCACTGCAACCTCTGCCTCTGGGTTCAAACAATTCTCATGCCTCAGCCTCCCAAGTAGCTGGGATTACAGGTGCCTGCCACCATGCCCAACTAATTTTTTTGTACTTTTAGTAGAGACGGGTTTTCACCATGTTGGTTGGCCAGGCTGGTCTCGAACTCCTGACCTCAAGTGATCCGCCCACCTCAGCCTCCCAAAGTGCTGGGATTACAGGCATGAGCCACCACGCCCGACCAAAAAAAAATTTTTTTTTTTCAATTAGCCAGACATTGTGGCATGTGCCTGTAGTCGCAGCTACCATGGGGGCTGAGGTGGGAGGATAGCTTGAGCCCAGGAGTTTGAAACCAGCCTGGGCAGCAAAGTGAGACCCTGCCTCAAAAATAAAAAATAAAAAAAAAGCTATTTCTTACAGATATTCATTGAGTGGAAAGCAATTTAATTTTACGTATAATAAGTTATTTCAAAAAGAATTGTAGTTATGTGTGGCAATTTTTCATAAATACCTGATACAAATCAAGATCTACCATGGTAAGTGTGCTCCAGAGATACCCTTCTTGACCAAAACAAAGCAGGGCAGGGATTGGGAGGCCTTTTGGGCTGGGCTCCAGGACACAATGACTAGAAGATGATGCAAAGTGCATGACAGAGTAGAGAGCTACACAGTTTACACATATTAGACTCTGCACATATTAGAGTCTACACATATTAGACTCTGCAAAAGTAGTTCTTAAATGTTAGCTCACATGCACCCCAGTCACGTTACTGAGCAGATTCCTGGGCTCCAGTCCTGGGTGATTCTTGCAGGTGGTCCATTGACCAGATTAGGAGAATCATCATCCAAGGTCTCAAAGCCAAATTTAGGACGCAGAGAGAAAGAATCCTAAGTGGTTGAATGGGAAACTGATTCTCCTCTTGAGCACACCTTAGATTCAAATAATTGATTGGAGAAGATCATTCCATACAAAAATCTTCTGACCTGCAGAGTTTCTACAAAAAGTCTTGAGAAAGAAAAAGAAAAACATATATTTTTGGAAAAGATTGAATTTAATTATAATTTTGCAAATTATACTGTGGGAAAGGTCAACAAAAACAAGCGTATTGCGGATGATCTTATAAAAAGAACCTTTTGTAAAGTAAACAATTACCTTCTGATTTGTCTACTCTGAACCCTTGATGTTTATTTAAATTGGATGTTCTCATAGCAGGACACACCTGATACCTGGCTTGTCTAAACACTTAGAAAGTCAAATTGTCTAGTTATCAAAGCCCAGGCTTATTTTCTAAATAAGTATGGATGGTCTTTCAGGAGTCATTTCACAGTGATGTGCAGAGAGAAAAACAATACAAACAAACAAACAAACAAACAAAAAACAAATCATTGTTCCTAAGTGTGTTTTCCAGCCTATGTCTAACTTTCTAGCAGATAATGGCAATAAAAATGTTTGGGTCCAACATTGCAATATAATTTGAAATTCCTTGCTTACTGAAATCCTAGCCAAAAGGCTTTCTTTAGTTTTGTATTAAATTATCCCATTTGGTTGGCTGCCTTAATCAACTTAACCGATTATTTACCAGATCACCATTTTCCTTTGTGCAGACACCCCATCAGAGCTCAGGTGAACAATTTCTTGGGCCAGAGTGCCTTTCTTTTTCCTCAACACCAAGACTGTCTCCTGCCACACCTTTAACAGTGCTCTCCATCTGTAACCTCAGGTTCATAATGCAGCTTTGTTATTTGGTTTGTCTAAAAGCAATTAGTAGTTTCAGATTTTAATTTCCTATTTAGGGGAGAGATGATTTGGGGGAGAGTTGGGGAGGTGACTGAACAAAGCCAGTTCAACAGTTAATGCTTTAACCTTGCGTATAATTTATACAATAAACAAAGTCACATGCTTCCCTAATAATTTAGATGTAAGCAAATGTTGATTTATTCAGGAAGGCTACTGCCAGAAGCAAAGCCTGCAGCACTAAAATTTGAATTAAACTAGGACAGAAGCAGGCTAGTCTATAATAACATTTGTATAATTTTATTTTTGCCCTTGGCTCAGTTCATTTCCTCGTACAGTAGATGCATGAAATTGGTTCTTCAGCCACCTTTAGCTGATGTTCATTGATATCCGGGCAGGCAGAGAAGCAAGAGAATGCACCTTTCTAAGCTTTGTGTTTTCAATCACAAGGCCTTGACTTCCTAGGTCATTTCTGACAATGATTATCTTTCTCTGAATTGTGTTTTCGGCAAATATCTCAGAAAAGCTTCATTTAACCTAGAGATACGGTTTCCCCCCTCTTACTGTGAGGGGACTCTTAGAACTGAGACAGTTAAATAGATGCAAATGTTGTGCTGTTTTTATTCCTTTATTCAAGCCCTGGGGCATGATCTGAGTTCTCTTACTCTGCTTTCAGCAGTGAAATAACGGCCTGAAAAATCCTTTAAATGATGGTGAAAAATAAACATTAACTTGAAACAGTGAGGAATCAACCCCCCTTTTACTATTAACCTTTGACTTAAGTAAAAACTAGGACCTACATTTTACAACTTACCACTTTTGTTAGGAACTGAGGCTCCTTTTGAGGGAGCAGGCTCAAGCTGGTAAATAATTTTGGAGAGCTTCTGAAAAGTAGATGAAGTTTTACATCCAAACATAGGGAAACTTGGTTTTTTCATAGCAGTTCCTGAAATAATGACATTGCCAACACACACAGCACACACATGGAAGCGTTCTCAACCCCCATAATCACCTGGAAATGTCTTACAATTTTTATTCTGCCTCCTCCATACTTCCATTTTAGGCAAAGTAACAGCACTTTAGAAGGTCAAAACTTCTGAAATGAATTTATTCCCTTAGTTCAGGAAATCAATTATGCTAAAAATTTTCCCTGACGTTTTATTTAAGGGGAGTTAAGAAAAAATAAAATCCTAAAAATTTAGAAATTAAAGAATTGGTATTTACACTTTATGTGCAATAATGCATTTATGCCTCACTTCTTCCAGCTGAGAAGGTAAATAGCAGCCCTAGTGTTTTGGAGGCAAACATTGTTCTGTCCTATTCTTGGTAACAAAATCTGCTCCCAGGCCTTCTCCATCCTTGTCTGATTGTGCCCTGGGGCTGTTGCAGGCAGCCAGAGGAGCCTTTCAGAAAATCCAGGCCATGTTTTGACTTCATTAGAGATTCCAAATAGAACAAGTTTTAGCCTGGCTCAGGCTTTGGTTATGAAAGTTTCCCACAGCTCTCAAAAATATACAGAATAATAAATGGCTGGGCAGAGAAATAGAAGGCAATAGTCATTCCATCAAAGGTTTCTAGTCACATCATAAACTACAATTGCAGAGCCTGAGGAGCTTATGTCACTAGGACCCAGAGATAAAATGTTTTGCCTTTGGCCCCCGAGGTCACGCGCTGGGGCAAGAGCTTTGAGGTTGGGTCCTTTGTTTGCAGACTGGCAGGGGAAGGGCACTTGATCCCTGCCTAGGAACAGAAAGAATGCCTCTCTCCCCCACCCTGTGGCCCCTTGGCCTTCCCTGGGGACAGGCTGTGTGGCTCTGCGGGCATTGTGAAACCTTCTCACCCCAAAGGGTGGCTATGAAGCTTCAAATGTTTTCGGGCATTTCCAGCATAAAAGCAAAAATTGATGAGTTTCAGTGGGATAAGCTCTGAGGCTCCAAGGAAAAACCCCTAAGGCGGTGGGTATGAGGAGGAAACTTTTTATTGTCTTGCTGCAGATTTTTTCTTTCATTTTCTTTTCTTTTTCTTTTATTAAGTCAAGATGTTATATGAATGCATCACTTAAATATTACGTGCAAACTTCTTAAGGAAACCATCTCCTCCCAAGTTTACAGATCAGTCTCCAGTTTGTCCATATTCCTGTTTGCCACCATTCTTCTCTCTCCCTTGTTCTGGGTTCTCCCTTTTCTTACCCCCAACTTTTTTGGGAGGAATCATAAAACCACACTTTAATGACAAACTCCAGAAAGCTAGACCTTATAAGGACCCTACATATTCACCAGCTTCCATGGAATGGCCTTCATTTTCCACACGCTTTTGTTTTAGAAAACATATGAACTACTAGAAGTCACTCAAACAAGGAAGGATTTACATTCATTTTTTCCCCAAATAGTCTTTTAATATACATGTTTCTTGCTAGAAGCAGATTTTGTTGATGCTTTAATTTTTTTTAAAGCCAGTAACTAACTATAGCCTGACAATTTCTATCCCATTACGTTGATATTAGATTGGTGGGCTGTGACTTTATGACATCAAAGAAATTGATTACAACTTTTTTTATATGTGGCTCACAATGCAGCCATTGCCGTGATCCAAACCTTATATGCTAACCTCGGAATCACGGAAGTGACGGGAGAAACACGCTGTGGTTAGTGATTAAAGACTGGACATAAAATTGTCTCCAAACCCATTTTTTAAAAGTCTTTGAACATGACCAAAATTGTATTAACGAGCTTTGGCTGGAAAGAACACTACAGTGTTCTCTATCTCCATTTCTCACATTTTAGTTAAACTTATAAACCCTTCCCCCAGATGGGCTTCCCCTGGTAACCATATTAAACAGAAACATTAGACAGAATCAGTAAGAAAATGTTCACATTTGTAATCCCAGCACTTTGAGAGGCCGAGGGGGGCAGATCACCTGAGGTCAGGAATTCTCAACTAGCCTGACCAACATGGAGAAACCCCATTTCTACTAAAAGAAAAAAAAAATACAAAATTAGCCAGGCATGGTGGTGCATGCCTGTAATCCCAGCTACTCAGGAGACTGAGGCAGGAGAATCACTTGAACCCGGGAGGCAGAGGTTACGGTGAGCTGAGATCGCACGATTGCACTCCAGCCTGGGCAACAAGAGCGAAACTCCGCCTAAAAAAAAAAAAAAGAAAGAAAAAAGAAAATATTCATTCCTTTTCTTAAATGCATAAACCACCCAGAAAATATATACCTTAAAAATAAAAAAGGGGCTTAGTAAATATTTTATATTTCACTCAACTGGAATTATAATAGAAAGGGAAACTGTTTTATTAGAAAATTTACCATTTGCAGGAAGGTGTATGTGCCTATGCACCTCAGTCTTTATTAAGGCAATGGAGGAAAAACAGCCAGGAACAAGGTGAAAAGAAGTTCATTCACTGTCTCAGAAAATAAAGACCTCAGACTTTCTAAATGAAAATATACCATTAGCATCAGATACTAATCACAAGGTAGTTATTTTTAAAGAGGTTCCTAAGTAAGACACACACACCCATGACACCCTGAGGCTAATCTATGCACCTAGAGACTTATTCTGCCCTTTGTTGTATGTGAGTTAGCTGTCCTTGGAGTGAATAAAAGCTGCTTTCCATGTTATTCTACCCTCCTGTAAAAAGAAAAAAAAAAGTCACTTCAGAAGATACGGATAAAAATGCATCTGATTAAAAAACATTCCTCAAGGGCAATTTGGATAAAAAGTTAAGCTGGGCAACATCAAACTAGGCCCCTTCCTATAAAATACATCAAATTCAAAGAAGTTTCTTGTTTTTGTTTTCTTTTAAGTTACTAATCTTTTTAATGAATCTCAGACTCCATCAGCCAAACTGCTTTTTTAAGAACAGTTTTTACCTACGTAAAGGCAAGGATCGGTTTAACAGAAAGCACCCAAAATATTAATCACATGGTAAAATATCTTTCTATTTTTTGTTTAAGAAAAAAACTCTGTTCAAGGAATTTCAAGTGAACAGAATTGTCCACACTGGAAAGGACAGTCCTCGTCAATCCAGGTGACTTACTGTGGGCTTATGATCCCTGAAAGTGGCCCCCACTACCCCCCCATACCCTTGCTGGCATGAATTATAACACCAGGTCACCTCCTCAAGAAATCCCCATTGATAAGCCTCCAACAGTGTAAAATATCAGCTGTCGTGGAAATTTTTTTCAAGTATAAAGATAGTTCCTGCCCTCATTAGGCTACATTTTATTAGACTCCATGTATATCCATATCTTATACCAAGCCTATGAGCTATCCAATGTTCTATAACTCCCTTTGGAGCTATATGCCAGTCAGCACTCTTCATTCATTCATTCATTCATTCATTCATGTAACCTCCCTTATTGAAGACCTCACAATGTGCCAGCACTGCTTCCAAGAGCTGGGAAATCAGACATGAAGGAGACAGGTAACATCCTGCTCTCAAAGAGTTTATTTTCTCCTAGGCAGAGGCATTCAATAAACCAGCAAACAAATGAAGAAAATCATTTCAGACAGTGATCAGTGAAATAAAAATAAAGGAACGTGGTCAGATAGGGTGGGCTAACGTGGACGGAAAGGCTTCACTGGGTAGGTGGAGATGTTGAGCTAAAATCTGAATGTCAAGAAAGAGCCAGTTGTTGAGAAGCTAGGAAAATGAATTCTGCTTGTTTTTTAGTAAAAACTGATTTACTCACATTATTGTATGGATTGTACAACCTCACAAGCAGTATCACAGACAACTCACAGGATTCCAAGCAGAAATTCAAAACCCAGGCATAGTAAGAATACTTAGCTTTTATTTGCCAGCAGGACAACCCCGGGCATTATTGCTCAGCTGAGGGCATATTTAATTACCAAATGCTCTGCAAATGTCTTCCAAATTGTATAGATAAAGCCATCTAAATTGCTGACTTTCAAGAGGATATATTTCTTCCTTTATCATAGAAATGCCCGTATTCTCTGATAAATTTGCATTTCCAATGATTCACCATTCATTTCAAATTCATTTTAATTTACAATTATTTTCTTAAATTCTTCTAAACAACTGGGAATCTGTAAAGTGCATTTGCTTTATTTCATTAGATAACTAACTTCATTGCTACCTGAGCAGTTCTTTGCTTCAGAAAAACATGCAGCACTCCTGCTGTTTCACTGTACAGGCAGCATACTCACCATGCCAGCCAGATTTAGAAATGATTGCTTTTGCTTGTGGATTACAAGAAAAGACTTCATATCATATATTAATTTTTAAAATGTTTTCTTAAGCCCCATTTTAGCCTTTACAGCAAACCCAGAGGCCAAGTAAAAATGAATGGTTATAATATGGTTTTGTTTAAAGGCACGAAAGTGAGCCATAGCCTTTTCCCATGTCACATCTGGACACTTCCATTATGGTCACTTAGGTGTCTGATGGTTTGTCAGAAAGCTAGCTATAACTTAGGTGGAAAACTGGACTCCATTAAAAAAACATTAAAAGCTGAGAGGGAGGCAAGTTGATGTGGCATGGCTCCCAGCACTAAGAAAGCAAGAGTGCATGGTGAAGCTTGGAAATAGAAAGTGATGTCCTCATAAAAACATGGCTCTAGGCTGCTGTGCCACTAGAAATTCTTCTGTCAGTTTAGAATATTTCGCTTTAAGGGATTTCGACTTTCAAATGTATCTTTGGATGCAAAATAGACTGCACAAGAGGAGATAGCATAGAAGAAGGGAAAGAAGCGTTTGCTCCCAATTATGATCAGCTTACGTGAAACTGAAAATTTCTTTTCTTCCAGATGGAATATTTGATTAGAAAGGGGGCAAGTAGATTAGATGAGCTACCTTGCTGACATCAAGTGATCCTCTGGCCTCCATAACTAGAAAATGTTGCTGATAACTGATAGAGCTAAACAATGTTAAAAGCTTCAGCACTACTGGTTATCAGGGGAACCTTTCAGCCTAATTGGAAAGCTCAAAGCTTCAGGCGTCTGAAATTTTTTGGTTTGGGGCTCTTCTACAGCATTCCAATGCAGTATATCTAATCAATAATGTGATGCTATGCACAATACCATCACGAGGCTTATTAACTCCCCTGAGTTTTGTATTTGACTTGTTAAACTGTAAAAAGAGTTGGAGAAAACAAACAGAAAAGAAATATCTTGGTCCCTAGCTGCCAAAATATAAAACAAATATACAAACTCCAGTGCTCAAAGAGAACTGAAAAGGTCAAAATGGAAAATATATACAGACGTACTTTCATGCACAAAACATGAGCATCTTGGATGACTTCTCTTAGTGTGATCCCTCCTGTGTTTTAGGCAAAGGGGGCATCCATCCAAGAAATTCATTTACGATGATGTAGGTTCAACTCTAAAACCTATGGACATGAGGCTTTTTTCCACAGCAGACTGTGGTACTTTTCAGCCCACCCTGGCTACAAGCAGTGGTTATAGCTGCAGCAATTAGGGGCGGGCATCCCAAGGAAGTTCAGTATAGTCAGTTCCTCGGAGCGACAGCTGTCTGCATTTGGGATACTTCACAATTTTCTTAACCAATCTCCTTGCACAGAACTAAACAGCAGAATCTTCACACTCTGGTGACTCTGACAGAGTACACTTGATTCAGATGTTTGTGAAATTGTCTGCTCCAGAGAACTTCCACTGAAATCATCAGGGAGGTTTCGACAGCAACAACCAGAAAAAGTTCTTCATTTGGTTTTGAATTTTCCTTTTCCCCCAAAAGTTCACCAAGCTGCCTCCATAAGAGGTGTGAAAGGGAACATAGGTGGTACTAAGAACTGAGTGAGAGGTAAGGAGCAGAAGTTGGAGTTCAGATCAAATCTAGCACCTGCTCCTGCCCTATGATGGGAAACAACAACCTCTGGAAACACACGGCACAAGCCTCTTCTCTGTGCCTGAGTTAAGAGATACACAGACCTAAATTTGAACCTAAAGACATATATTTACTCACATTTTAATATTTCTGAAGTCATACTGCAGCCCACATGCGCTGTCAGCCAGCAGCAGTCAGCCTTAGTTGTCATTGCCTATACACGGGCATGAAACTGTGCAATGGCTAGGAAGAGAATCCTGGAGATGAGTGGGGACATCTCTTAGGAAATACTACATCACCAATGCTCTTGATGGCAAAGAGGGTGATCCTGTGCAGCCAAACATGAACTTGATGACTCCAAGTTGGAAAATAATTCAGATGAATCAGACTCAGAATCTGAAGTTTTGTAAATACCTTAACTAATTTATTTCATGTATACTTTCCTTATTACATATGCACAAGAGATGTATATGAGAGAAATCCATGCCAAAATAAGTTTAAAATCTTTTTCAGGGTCTCACTCTGTCGCCCAGGCTGGAGTGCAGTGGCTCAATCTTGGCTCACTGCAACCTCCACTTCCTGGGCTCAAACAATCCTCCCACCTCAGCCTCCTGAGTACTGAGACTACAGGCGTGCACCGCCGTGCCTGGCTAATTTTTTTTTTGTATTTTTGTAGAGACAGGGTTTCGCCACGTTGCCCTGGCTGGTTTCAAACCCCTGGGCTCAAGTGATCCGCCCACCTCTGCCTCCCAAAGTGCTAGGATTACAGGCGTGAGCCACTGAGCCTAGCCAAGAAACTCTTCCAATAGGTATACAATAAAAATTCTAAGGAATAAAACAATTACTGTGGTATAGTTGTGGTGGTATATCTTTCTTTCTTCACGGTACATAAAATCAATAAAACCGGTGACATCTAAAATTCAATGAAATATAGCATTTTTGTGACCTGGAAGAGTTTACCTAGCTGCTCTGAGCTTCAGATTTGTCTCCTAGAAAAAGAGAATAATAACCCCAACCTCTCAGAGAGATGGGGGCTGACAGAGCCAGCTCAGATAGAGTTCACAGAAGTCTATGTCCAACATTGTCTGTTCCCAGTCAATAGTAGTAGCTACTCTCCTCTTGTCATTTATCTATTTCAGCCTGGATACAATGCAAATACCACAAACATACTCGATTACTTATCACGGTGTACTTTACTTTGTTTGTTAGACTCACCAGCCATGCACCAAGTGGACAAAAAAGCACAAAGAGGGCCTTGATGACTAGTGTATTTTTTTGGTGATCATCAATGAAGCAGATAAAGTGAAATGAAATGATTGTTTGAATCCAGTGTTCTAATGGTAGAATAATTGTGACATCAAAACAGATTTTTTTAAATGCCACTCCAGTGGAATAGAAATGAATACTTCAATATCAAAGAGGGTAGAGAAAATTGCTTTTTTTTTAAAGGAAAACTTTGACAATCAAAGAATGAACCAACTAAAATGCCAAATTGTGTTTAAGTCAAAAGGTTAGATGATAGTTATTTTTCTCTGATTCCAACAAACAGGAAAAGGGGAATATGCAAATGAGCAAACGCAACCTAAACTAAAATTAGCTTTTATTTTTACTTCTTTTTTTCCTTTTAGAAAATCCAGTATTAAGTGGTTGTTTCCTTTTAAAATAATAGAGAAACAGAGCCAATGGGCTTCCAGTTTCCATTTTCATTCTGTCTTAGTATTTTCCTCCACAAATCGTCACCATAATACTGTAGATATCTCCTTTCTGCTTTGTAAGGTCACAGTTGGTAGAGTCATATACAGAAAAGAACAAGTTAGCCCCCTTATGCCTTAACAAATGTGCAACCGTGCTCTTTTAAAAGACTAGATGGCTCTCCAGAGCGACAGAAGGACATCAAAGTAGAGAATATGAAGACAAGCTAACAATCATTAATGTATTCTTAGAGGCATGGCCTCTATTAAAATGATGGGATTACAATTTATGACCAAATTGTAATCCCTTAATTTTAGGTCAATGTACACCCCAAACAAACAAAAACACAATCTGTTTTTAATGCATAGGGCGGGAAAGATAAGATAGAATATAACACCAAAAGAAAATAATTCTGCATGATGGAGCCTCCTGGAAGAGTGAACTGAATAAGTAAGCAGGTGGACATCAGCCTTCACCTGAAGTGCCCTTCTTCCTTCAGTCCACTAACCTAGGCATTTGGTGTTGCTGTTGCAGTTGTAGGATATTTATGAGGCCCATTATTTCATGCTGTCTGCTGTTGTGTACTTTTGCAAATAAATATTTTGCATGTCCCAAAATAAGCTCACAGGTGGAGATGGCAGCACACCCAGAGCCAAGAACAGGCCCGTAAACTGACATGCCATGGCTTTGAGCTCCCATGACAGCACAGCTGCTGCTGGAGTTAAGACAGAGTGTTCCCTGTGCCTCTGCCCCTCTCTGCTAACCCAGTCCCACATTTTTAGATAAATATAGCTGAATAGAATCTATTCAGAGAAGGTAGGGCAAAATGGTACAGACTTTGGGCTCTCACAACCCCACCAAACCTGCTCTCTTTAAGGACACCAGTGACTTAGTAGCCAAATCTTTTGGACAGTTTTTAGCATCTTTCTTTTCCTCTCTTGACCACATTCTTAAAATCCTCTCCTTTCCGGAGGGCTTCAGGACACCATCCTCTCTTGGGATTCTTCTTCACAGAAGCTATGGTCTCTGCCTCTTGTGTTTCTCTTCTTCTTCTTCTTCTTCTTCTTCTTCTTCTTCTTCTTCTTCTTCTTCTTCTTTTTCTTCTTCTTCTTCTCTTTCTTCTTCTTCTTCTTCCTCTTCCTTCTCCTCCTCCTTTTCTTTTTCTTCATCTTCTTTTTGTTGTTCTTGTTTTTAGAGACAGGGTCTCACTCTGTTGCCCAGGCTGGAGTGCAGTGGTGCAATCACGGCTGATTGCAGCCTAGAACTCTTGGGCGAAAGCAATTCTCCTGCCTCAGCCTCACGAGTAGCTGGGACTACAGGTGTGCATCACTATGCCCAGCTAACTTTTTTTTCTATTTTTTGTAGAGATGGGTTCTCATTATGTTGCCCAGGCTTGTCTTGAACTCTGGGCCACAATTGATTCTCCCACCTCAGTCTCCCAACATGCTAGGATTACAGGTGTGAGCCACTGCACCCGGCCTTGGGTTCCTTTTGACACCCCTTGAATGCTGGTTTTCCCCAGGACCTTCCCACTCAAGCTGTTGTTCAAGAGCCAGCAGCATGGATACCACCTGGAGGCTTGTCAGAAATCCTAATGATGGGGGGAGGGGGAAGGGATAGCATTAGGTGATATACCTAATGCTAAACGACGAGTTAATGGGTGCAGCACACCAACATGGCACATGTATACATATGTAACAAACCTGCACGTTGTGCACATGTACTCTAAAACTTAAAGTATAATAATAATAATAATAATAATAATAATAAAAAGAAATCCTAGTGCTCAGGATAATGCTTTGAGAGCAAATCTACCTCCCAACATCTGCAATCTGACTCTACCTTTCTCTCCCCACTGTGACTATCTTGGTCTATGACCTGATCATCCCTCATCTGTAGTATTAATCAGTCACTTAACTGGTCTTTCTTACTCCATTCTCTCCTCTTCCATCAATTTTTTAATACAAATTTTATCATGTCTGGGGCAAGTTGAATAAGACCCCTAAAAAATATTTACATTCTATCCCTGGAACTTGTGTTACCTTACATGGAAAAAATCGACTTTGCATGTGTGATTAAGTCAAGAATCTTGAGATGAGATTATCCTGGATTACCCAGGTGGACTCGGTGGACTCTGAAGGGGTCTTATAAAAGAAAGGCAGGAAGATCCGAGTGAATAGTTGGAGATGTGACAATAAAAGCAAGAAGCTGGAGTGATTTAGAAGCAAGAAGCTGTAGTGATTTGAGGAAGGGGCCATAAGCCAAGGAATGCAGATGGCCTATAGAAACTGTAAAAGGAAGCAAGGCAATGGATTCTTCTCTAGAGCCTCCAGAAGGAACATAGCCCTGCTGACAGTCTGATTTTTAGACTTCTGACCTCCAGAGCAGTAAAATAAAAAATGTTCACTGGGATCACTTGAGGCCAGGAATTTGAGACTAGCCTGAGCAACATAGTGAGACACTGTCTCTACCAAAAAAAAAAAAAAAAAAAAAAAAATTAGCTGGGCCTAGTTGTGTACACCTGTAGTCCCAGTTACTCAAGAGGGCTAAGGCAGGAAGATTGCTTGAGCCCAGGAGTTTGAGGCTGCAGTAGGCTATGATCATGCTACTGGACTCTACCCTGAGTGACAGAATGAAGCCCTGTCTCAAAAACAAAAGGAAGGATCTCCTTAAAAAGGAGTTTAAGGCTGGATGTGGTGGCTCATGCCTGTAATCCCAGCAGGCAAATCATTTGAGGTCAGGCATTCGAGACCAGCCTGGCTAACATGGCAAAACCCCGTCTCTATTAAAAATACAAAAATCAGCCAGGTGTGGTGGTATGTGCATGTAATCCCAGCTACTCAGGAGGCTGAGACATGAGAATCACTTGAACCCAGGAGGCAGAGGTTGCAGTGAGCCGAGATTGTGCCACAGCATTCCAACCTGGGTGACAGAGAGAGACTGTCTCCAAAAAAAAAAAAAAAAAAATGCATTTTAAGATGGAATAATCATAGCATCGTCCTCCTTGGGTTACTTGATTATAGGTCAAGACAAGATAATCCATCCTAAGTGCTTGGCACCACACCAGAAACATAGTAATTGCTCAATACTTTTAGTTGTTAACTACACTTTATTAGCATTCAACTAAAAATTGTTAACATTTATTAAGCCTTTATTATATTCTAAGTATTGTTAAGTGTTTTACATGTAGGCATTTATTTAATACTCACAACTACCCTCTCAAGTAGATACAATTATTGTCATCTCAATGATGAGGAAACTGAGGCACAGGGGTTACATGGCTTGCCCAAAGTCAAACATTAAGCAACAGAGCTGAGATTCAAACCCAAGCAGCCTGACTCCAAGTCCTGTACATGTAATCACTGTGCTACATATTTCGTTGATTCCAGAATGCATATTTTTTCAGTCAATGATTATCATAGTTTAATTGGCTGGTTTCTTTTTTCCTGTGGAACATTGTATGAGTCCGTTCTCATGCTGCTAATAAAAGACATACCTGGGACTGGGTAATGTATAAAGGAAAAGAGGTTTAATGGATTCATAGTTCCACATGGCTGGGGAGGCCTCACAATCATGGTGGAAGGCGAATGAGGAGAAAAGGCACATCTTACATGGCAGCAGGCAAGAGAACGTGTGCAGGGAAACTCCCCTTTATAAAACCATCAGATCTTGTGAGACTTATTCACTGTCACAAGACCAGCAGAGGAAAACCCACCCCCATGATTCAATTACCTCCCTCAGTCCCTCCCACAACATCTGGGGATTATGAGAACTACAATTCAAAATGAGATTTGGGTGGGGACGTAGCCAAACCATATCAGACATAAAATAACGTTACATCTTACAGTTGACGGCATCTTAAATTCCATGGTGTAGAATGTGCTGCTTAATGACACAGTCAAGGTGGAAAAGCTCTGGCTCCTATGACATTTTCACTCTCATTTCCCTTCCAATCTCAATCCAGAAGAGTGATTCTGATGATAGGGAGTAGATGAACAGACAGAAAGATGGAAAGTGCAAGACTTTTCAGGAAACTGAAACTTTCTTTTGTTGTTAGGAGAAGGCCAGGGCTAGGAGTCTTACTCTTACATTCACTTGGACAGGGTGGGAGACTTGAGGGACAGGGCTAGGTCAGATGCAGCCTAAACGGGAGCCACTTGTCTCTCTCCTCACCCAGAAAGTGTGGATGTGCGGGATTCCCAGAGTGTGTTCACAGATGGGGGTGAAATGCTGGCCAAAGTTCATAGCAACAAAGGCCCAGAAACAAATTAATAGAGTAAGATTCTGTGTATAACCCTGAGGGGAAAACTCTTCCTTAATTAGAGATCAATTCATACAATAGGACCAGAGCTCAAAGAAGCTTCCTTCTACTAGTGTCTCTGATCAAGCTTGCACTTAAGCCAATACAGAATTAAGTTTAGCAAGAGATATGTAAACAGAACCATTCCTGTTTTATGATAGGAAAATTATATATATTCGAAATCCCTGTTTGTTCCTTTTCCAGGGGTCCTTAGGTCCCTACCCTAAGAGACTTGGAATGGGGAACATCCTGAGACTGTAATTCAGGTCTTATATTTATACATCTCAAAGCCCCTTGTGGGCCTTTCTCCAGGTATTTGTGGACCAACTGTAAGAATGAATGAATGGATGTAATGAACAACAATATTCTCAGAGTCCCAGAAGTCTAGGATAGGAGATGGTTTAGAGGAGGCTGCTTGGGGTCAGGAGGTCTGGAAACAATAGTAGGGACATCTGGTTGGCTTTTAGGGAATTAGGAGCAAGGTCATGTTCACAACTACATTACATATTGTACTGGACCCAAAATCTCCAGAATGTTCTTAGGCCCTAAGAACTCCAAAGAAGTCCTAAATATTTTAAATATATTTTGGGCTTTTTTTTTTTTTTTTTTTTTTTTTGAGGCAGAGTCTTGCTCTGTCATCCAGGCTAAAAAGCAAGTGGCACGATTTCAGCTCATTGCAACCTCCACCTCCCAGGTTCAAACAATTCTCCTGCCTCAGCCTCCTGAGTAGCTGAGATTACAGGCATGTACCACCACACCTGGCTAATTTTTGTATTTTTGGTAAAGATGGGGTTTCACCGTGTTGGCCAGGCTGGTCTCAAATTCCAGACCTCAAATGATCCGCCCACCTCGGTCTCCCAAACTGCTGGGGTTACAGGTATGAGCCACTGCGCCTGGCCTTTAAAATATTTTGGACAGACAGAAATGTGGAAAGAAACTTGCTGGCTGATACAGGGCTGAGCTATTCTGCTGGACTGAAAAGTAGTGAAACAAGAATGACATCTGTAAAGACTCAGAGTCACAAGCAGAGGTTGGTTTTGAAGCTTACCTTGAGGACTTAAAGAGGAAGTGAAGCCTGGGTGCAGTGGATGGGGAGAGATGATTAGGAAGGTAAGGGGGAAGAGGGTCTGGCACGGTGGCTCACGCCTGTAATCCCAGCACTTTGGGAGGCCAAGGCAGGTGGGTCGCTTGAGCCCAGGAGTTTGAGGCCAGCCTGGGCAAAATAGTGAAATCCCATCTCTACAAAAAAATTGCAAAAATTAGCCAGGAGTTGGTGGTGCGCACCATGTAGTCTCAGCTACCTGGGAGGCTGAGGTAGGAGGATGGTTTGAGCCCAGAAGGTTGAGGCTGCAGTGAGCTATGATGGTGCCACTGCATTCCAGCTCTGGGCAACTGACCAAGACCCTGTCTCAAAAAAACAAATAAAATAAAAATAAAATAAATTTTAAAAAACATCAAAAAAAGATAAGGGGAAAGAGAGCCTAAGAGTGATGAAGGCACCTTCACTTCTAGTTGAAAGGAAAGCAAGAACAACTGTCATGAAGAAGAGGAAGAGGAATGAAAGGATACAAAGGAAGGGAGGGAGGGAAGGAGGAAGGGAGGACTCCCACAGAGTAAGACTCACCAAGAAGCCCAAAAGTAGTCACGTACTGTGACTTTCACTACCGAGGAACAAGCACCCTGAAGCCCCTCTACTCCTTTCCCCAAACCTCAACAACCCAAGCTGTATGTGTCTTATTGGGGAAATAACTTACAAAAATGAAAAAGCCCTTAGGTTTCAAATCCCAAACACCCAAAAGATTTTAAAAAGAAATATGCATACATCTAGTCACTGAGTAATAACTCGAGTTGCTAACACAATAACTGTAATTAGAACAACAAAGATTCTCTCAGGTTTTGCCTATGAAACATACTAGGTGCAATCGGGGGAGGTGATATGTTGATGCTTTATAAGCAACCCAGACTTAAATGCAACTTGGGTGAGTGTCTACTAGTGAGGAGAAGAGAATTCATTTTGTCTTATGTAACAGGGAGTGTCTGAGTATGAGAGCTGTATTGGGCAGCTAGATCACCCCACAAACTGGGTTTGATATTATAATTGGGGGTGACTCCCAAGAGAAAGTCCGCAGCAGTGAACTTGAGGAAAACGAGCATACTCCAGGAATAAGAAGAAAATGGCTAATAGCAAGCTGAAGGGTAAAGAAAAGCTCAACCCTCAGAATCAGCTGGAGGCAGTTCAGACACCATGTGGAGGTGCACAAGGTCTGAATGCCTCTGAGCACAAAACCAAAGCCTGAAAAGAGGAGGTAAATTAAAGACTGTTCAACAGAAAGTGTGTGGATTTTTGAAAGCAGCCTTTAAAAACTGCACACTTTATCAGAAACTAATGAAACAGAAGAGTCCTCTCCCTCTTCTCCCCTACTCCCTTTACCATCACTAATCAAAAGAACTGAAAAATAAAAGATCATGAAAATTTGAAGCAGGGAAAAAATGAGACAGACAGGGAGGGGTTGGTGAGGAGAAGAGAATTCTACATTTGAAGATAGAATCCTACAGGTGAGACTGGGGGCAAGAGTTTCCAATTACAGGGAAGGGTGAAAATGGCAGAGAAGATATGAAATATCTTATTTGTGTTTGTTCTGTACCGAAAATGAGGATCTTCCTACCCCAAGGACAATTTTTACAGAAAGCAAAATGTACTGTGAGAGACGATGGAATCTCTCTACATGTTCACAGAGCAGCCCAAACAGGGCTGTTCCAACCACCACTGACAGCTGATGGCATGCCCTGACCCCCACACTGCAGCTATGAGGAGCCCAGCAATGACTCTCATGGGTCCTCCACCCACCCCCAACTAAAGCAATCACCGTGAACCCAACCAAAGCATGAACACAAACACCCAGAGAGGCATCTCTCTTTTTTTTTTTAAGTAGAGACCAGGTCTTGCTATGTTGCCCAAGCTAGCCTCGAACTCCTAGACTCAAGCAATCCTCCTGTTGGCCTCCTAAAATGCTAGCATTACAGGTGCAAGCCACTGCACCTGACTGCGTCTCCATTTTTAATCAGAAGCTACTACAGTTCTCCTGCCTCCAATTTTTCTTCCCCTTGCTGGGTCTATCCATGTTCTGCTCACTGATAAGTCTGGAAAAACTTGACTTTCTCTGCCCTTTCTACCACCCCAGGGAGGCCTTGGACTATCTCTGAGGTTATTGCTCAACCTTCAGTGACCCACCTCAGCACCTCACCCCCATCTCACACTCTTCAGTGTGAATATTCTCTTCCATTCCCACAAATCCATGGTCACAGACTTGGATTACATGGTCCATTTTCCCTCTGCTCTGCCCTTCTGTGAGCTAGAAAGGTTTGCATACCACCTGGTATTGTTCTCTGATTATTTCCTATATAAAACATTTCATTGGCTAAAACTATTCTATTTCTGATTTGTACTTGGGAAGTAAAATGCTAATAAACACTTAATGGGTTGACAACATTTTTGGAGAGGTTGAAATGTTTTGCTTTCTTTATTCTGAGAAGTGGAGGATAAGTTAAAGATACAGAATTTCCCTTTCAGTTGCTTGCCTGAGTGAAGCAAGAAGGTATTGATGTGACAATGCTTCCACTCAAATTCACATAATCCCTAAAAATAAAAACAGAGGTCGGGCATGGTGGTTTACTCCTGTAATCCCAGCACTTTAGGAGGCCGAGCCAGGCGGATCACGAGGTCAGGAGTTCAAGACCAGCCTGGCCAATATGGTGAAAACCCCTCTCTATTAAAAATACAAAAATTAGCCAGGTGTGGTGGCACATACCTGTGGTCCCAGCTACTCAGGAGGTGGAGGTAGAAGAATTGACTGAACTCGGGAGGCAGAGGTTGCAGTGAGACGAGATCGTGCCATTGCACTCTAGCCTGGGCAACACAGCGAGACTCTGTCTCAAAAAAAACAAACAAAAAACAAAAACAAAAAAACCCAGAAATCTGTGTTTCAGAGATTATTACCCGTTTTTTAAACACGGCTTTATAATAGAAAAAATAATATATAATTTGGCTTTTTCCTTGAAACCCAAGATACACATAATCTACCACACACACACACACACGTCTGTATGTACATGTGTGCTTTTTTGCATGTGTATTACATGCCAAGGGCTTTATATATGTTATGTCTGATCCTTCTGACACCACCACGAAGTAATATTAATTGTCCCCATTTTATAAATAAGCAAACTGATGCCCAAAAGATTCATTCAAGCAAGGCTGTGCAACTAGTAAATGGCAGGACCAACTTTGGCCTGATGTTCTTTTCACCGCACCACACTACCTCTTTCAGATGTCCAAGATGGAGCCACATAGCTTGGTTATGGGGTTCCATTAGTCTGCCCTCTTATCTTATTTCAGCACCTACCCTGTGGCCATGAACCATTGATTCATAATTTTCCTGTACTTTCAATAGAATCAGGAACCACCAACCCTGACAAAGCTACCATCTATTGGCTCTAAGTTAGAACTAAAAGGTGGTTGTGGAGAATTGCTTCCCACAGAGAACTGAATTCATCCTGAGGGAAATCTCAAGGCCCTCTCCTTACCTCTTACAAATAGAACTATACAAAATATTTAAACAAAGAATATGGACTTAGCTGTGCTCTCTAAAGGTTCCTCCTCTAAGTAATGTGGACCAGTGTTTCTTTCTTTTTAAAAAAATAGAGATGGGGTCTTGCTGTTTGTCCAGGCTGGTCTCAAACTTCTGGCCTCAAGTGATCCTCCTGCCTTGGCCTCCCAAAATGCTGGGATTATAGGTATGAGCCACCATGCCCAACCTAGACCAGCATTTCTAGTGTGTGATGAGGCTTACTTGCATCAGAATGTCCTTAGGTGATGGTTTTGAATACAGATTTTCACACTAAATTTACTAAGTGACCCTCTCTAGGGCTGAGGTCCTAGAAATCTACATGGGATTATTACCTTCATTCCAGAAAACACAGTAAAAGTACGGCATTATAATTTTATGGGAACACCACCCAATATGTGGTCCCTCATTGATGGGAATGCACTATGTGGTTCATGACTACAGTTCCTCCTTATGGAAGCTAATGGTAATTAAATAATCCCATAAAGGAATACTTGCAAATCGATTAATACTCAAAAGAAAAAGTCCAGTGAACTAAGAGTGCTTATTACAGAGAGCACTGATCTGGTCCCAAAGGGGAGAAAACCTTCCCTAAGGAAGTGATACCTGAGCTGAAGGATGAACAGGCATTACTAGGCTAGAGGAAGGAAACAGCATTCTACTTACAGGAGATGCTTCTTGTGCAAAGGCTCTGGAGCAGTGAGCTGAGCTGGAAGAGCTAAAGGAGAGCAGCAGAGGGTACTCAGAGTGGGAAGACAGGAGCTTCATGAGAATGCAGAGGGAGATGGGCCAGATCAAGCAGGTCCTTGGGAGATTTTGGTCTTTACTCCAAGAGCAGAGAGAAACCATTGACTAGATGGTTTCATTTTTAATCTTTTAATGTTATTTTCAAATTTTATTTTTAATTTTTTTATGTTTACCTTATTTTTTATTAGGAGCCTACTGAGGCCCAGGGCCTTTCTATCAGCAAAATAAGTCTATGCCCCAGGAAGTAAAGTCTCTGCCTGCCTTCACTGCAGTTCACAGTTTTCCTGCTTGTGAAAGGGAGAAGCAACCCCTCTGCATAACACAAATGTTGTGGGCAAAATGGGTAACTGACTTGATTTCTATATTACAAGTCAGTGGCTTAGGTTCATACTCTTTTCAAACATCTCTTCTTACTGTCCAGGCAGCTACTACTACAGTGCTTAACCAGGGACAGGGAGTTTAGAATTCTGCATCAACCAAGTCTTTTGTTGACCATCAAGGACATTTGGAATTAAGCAAGCCAAGGGTAATCAATTCTGATGCTTTAGGCTATTAGACCACCCGTGGGGTTTGGGAGATATCTCCTGTTGTATATAAAATGGTACAATGGCTTCGTGTGTGACAAGCTCTCCTCCCTCTCGCCCTAATGGCCCTAATGTATTACATAGTGGCCTCTGCCAGAGGCAAGTACCTGACTACCTTTTGCAGGGTCCAATTCAGTTTGGGAGAACTTAGAGTCATTAAGAAATAATGGAATTTGTTTTCATTTGCAGAAGCACAACTTCTTTTTCTTCATCAAGAGGAAATGTGAATATCTACATCTATAATCAATATGAAACTACATATAGAGACATAGAACAGGCAGAGAAAACTGGGAGAATCTTCTAACTTTAAAGTGTTAAAACTTAGACCTCCTCAAGATTTTTTCTGTGATTTGGCACATGTGATGTACACCCGGGCAGAGGGTGCAAGGCCTTTCTCTTCTAAAAGGTTCAAGTTTCACTGATGTGAAGTTGGGGAAAGTAATTACTTAGAGAAAGAGTGGACAGTTTCCTTTGGATAGAAGCTGTCTTATACACTTAATTTCCTGGAGGAGGTAATATCAGCACCCCTATCAGGTTCTCCTAGTCTAATTAGGAAAACGACATTGTCAAGATTCTTCAAAATTAAAAGCCAGCCAATTAGGCTGTGAAGATGTTCCTTTAGAACTTTCTTTTGTTGGGAAACACCTTTCCCTTTATTTATCACCAACAGAGTATGTGGAAAGGCAAAGGGGAGAAGAAAGATGTTATGCAAGTTTTAAAAAAATGGGAATAGAATACGAATAGGTTGTCCAAAGAATGAAGACCTTGTGTTCTGTTCTCTTCAGTCCTATCTGTGTCCATTCGGCTTCCAGGCATCCTGCGTTGGACCCTGTAAATGAAGCCAAGTTACAGGGATTATGACCCAGCAGGGTAGTGCAGGCATATTGATCAGCATGGGAGCATTGGAAAGGTATTTTCTGCCACTTGTCTACTCATCTGCCTCCCTGTCTCCCTCCTTCCTCGTATTAAAAAAAATAGGTGTGGGCATGGGCAATAGAAAACTCAACCTCATCGTGAATAGTTACCCTTCCTTTGGGGCAAAGCCACCCCTTTCCTGCTAACTCACAGGACAAAGGTCTTACTGAGGTTCCTAAAGAGCTGCACTGTAAACCACTATGGCACACATTTACCTATGTAACAAACCTGCATGTCCTGCACATGTATCCTGGAACTTTAAATTAAATTAAATTTAAAAAAAGAGCTGCACCCTGTTTGATATATCTGAGTTATGCATTTGACAAGCACACCAATGAATGAGCATGTTAACTCCTCCCAGGAACCAAGCTCTGTCTACAGAGAGATCATCATAGAATCTCAGGAGCCCTTCCCACGGGTATGACATCAGAACAACTACAAGAGTCAGAGTCTTCATAGAAAAGGGAAAGAGAAAGAAGGAGGAGGAGGAGAGGAAGGAGAAAGTCATTAGTTTCTTCCTTCAAACAAGGAGCTTGATATCCCATGGATAAAGAAATTGGCTGATTTGATGTCTCCTGTTTTATTTACTGACTTTTGCGACAGAACAAATTATTTGAAAAGTTTATTCACTGTTTTCGTTTACATATGCTTCCTATAAGAGCCTGTTTTTTGTCTAGGAAGCCAGAGATGGATATAGAAAAGAGGGACTTGAGAGCAAGACAACTGGTTAGGAATAACACAAATGCAAGGTTTCCTCTGCTACAAAAAGTGCTGGTCCTGGAGTCAGACGAAGGCTCTTTCTCCTCTGCTATATGACTTTAGGGAAGTCATTCTTTCTCTTTCCTCATCTTCAATAAAATTAGATTAACAACCCTGGGTAAAAGAATAAAATGAAGCAGTGAAGGTGAGTGTTTGGTAAATTGTACAAATACAACTTCTCATTGTCTCTGTCTGAATAAGGAGTGTTAGAAAATAGGAACGTTACCACAGGAAAATACCAGGACTAGGTAAAATAATGTCAGCGCTAGCTAAGGCTAAATATATCAGAGATTAAAATATAGACTCAAAACTGTGTCATGATGCTTTGAAACTTAATATGTTGTCTAAAAGTGGAGAGTAACATTATCATCTTAGTTTACTTTCTGGTTCTTCCAGGAATGACAATGAGAACTTGTGATGTCCATGAATTCAAAGAAGAAAAGGGAGAGTGGTTTTACACCTTCTCCACCACCTAACCCCAATCCTACTACCTATAAACCTGCAAAGAAGCAGACTGCTTGGGCTTGTGTTTGTCCTTTAATTTATTTATTATCAATTTTACATTTTTTCTTAAGTTTCTATCATAGGGTTAGTTCTTTCTAGATCAAGCACAAGGAAAAACCTCAGTTCTTTTGCACTGATGCATTTCTAAGAGAACGAAGACACAGTTCAGGGAGGATGA
The DNA here is from genome assembly GCF_000001405.40 of Homo sapiens. Classification (NCBI taxonomy): domain Eukaryota; kingdom Metazoa; phylum Chordata; class Mammalia; order Primates; family Hominidae; genus Homo; species Homo sapiens. Next base: position 26,666,233 of record NC_000018.10, on the reverse strand, counting down.
GTTGAATAACCCAGTATTTAGAAAAGGCATACCTCTAAATATGATTATGACAGGCCACTCTGCCATCAGCACCAATCTTCCTTACAAATAATTCACAAAATATAATCAAAGATGAACTGCAGATAGAGGTCAGTTTTCAGGTTGAATAGATTTTAAAATCAGAGAGTGGCACCCTTATAGGAAATGAAGAAAGCAGAGAAAAATGTGTTTTTACTCTTTAAAATCTAAAAGGTTCTCTTGCTATTATTTCCAGAACAACAACAACAACAACAACAACAACAACAACAAAAAGAACTCTATTTTCAGAAAATAAAAGAGCACCAATAAAACTGTAGCAAGTACAATGAGACCAGAGGTAGCTATTTAGGCTAAATGGACACAACAGGCATCTCTAGATGGCCACAGAAATTACGAAAGAAAATCAAGGCTTTAGCTACCTCTAACCCAATCCAAACCTCAAAAAAAAAAAAAAAAAAAGTAAAAACAGGTTTTTGTTTCACGATTCTAAATAACCAGTTCATTATTTTATGAATCTGCAAGCTGTTGTAAATTTTGTATTTTCACGTACAAGTTCACATCTACACAATGACAAACACATAGGACATGTCTAAAATATTGTCAAACACCAGGCTATTTTGCCTACATAATTTCAAGTATCCAGACACACCATTTAGCAATTTCCAGTGATTTGATTTGGCTCAGAATATCCAAGTTTTTATACCACAGTGAAGGAATCTGCAATGAATGGGGCATTTTAGCTGTGCCGGACAAAGAATGGTGATCAGACCCAGCTCCCACTCACGCTGGGTCTTCAATGTGATCAACACATTGACCATGTGGTCAACACAAGGTCCTGGGGTTTCTGCCCCACTTCTTTATGGGCCATCGTGACCAGGTGTAACTCAGATGTAACACTAATTATGGAGAGAATCAGAGAACTAGATGCCTTGCTTTGTTTTTTACCGTATTGTACTTTTTTCCTCTCACCTGTTTCTTAGAGTTTAATATTTGTATATTTTACTCATTTTTAATTGTGCCAAAAAATATATAAAATTTTCCATTTTAATGATTTTTAAGTGTACAGTTCACTGGCATTAAGTACATCTCACGTTGTTGTCCAACCATCACCACCATCCACGTACAGATCTTTTTCATCTTCCCAAATTGAAACTCTGTACCCCTTAAACAACAGCTCCCCATTCTTTCCTCTCCCCAACCCCAGGTAAATACTATTCTACCTTCTAACTTTATGAATTTGACTATCCTAAGTACCCTACATAAATGGAATCACACGATATTTGTCCTTCTATCTCCACTCTATTTTGATATTGCCAGAAAATCCAAAAGTTAGAAAGAGTTAAACCCTGGGTATGATCAATAAAACTAAAATAACAAATATGTATGAATACTGGCCATCTTCTGGGTTCTGAGTTAGATGCTTTCTCTTTGATATCTGTCTTTACTACATAAAGATAAGTTTTAAACTATGTATTTGTTGTAGAAGACCCAAGGTTTAGCTTCTTCTCCCCCCAAAAGACATCTTTAAGTAGGCTTTACTATAGGAAGAAAACCTGCAGTAATGCTTGCCCTTGCCTTGGGGAAATAATGAATAATAGGAGTATAATAATGCTTTATCTGTGAAAATCTTCAGACACAAAGAAACAAGATAAAAGGCTGATGAGTTACTACCATTATCTGCAAGCTCTTTCACAGAGGCTTTGTTTTGTTTAGGGACATCTACAATTAGAAAAGAAATAGACACACCAACTTTGTTTTCTCAGCAGGAGCTGCTGTACGTTTGGTACAATCAATTTCTTTTTCCTTTTTTAAAAATTAAGATATTCATTATGTACAAAGCAACCTTAGAGGGACAGATTGAGGATTTAATTTCAGATTTTCATGTCTGACTCTCATAACCAGATGGTCTTTACACAATGGAAGTTTTGTACCATCAGTCATCATTGTTTCTTATCACTACTATTATTAATGTTATTAGTAAAAGTAATGTTGAAATCATTTAAACGTCCATACCGAATAGTCCTGTTGATTTGCTCCCCATCTCCCAGTGCACATTTTAACTGATCAGGCTAATACTCATTAAGACCCTAGAAACTGCTTTCTCTCCTGATAACTTTAAAGAAAGTGCAAAGATTCTTGGTATCAGCAGCAATTTGTTTACAGCGGCTCTTGCCAGAGTTAGAGTTAATACTTTGTTTCTTTTTCTTTTTTCTTTGTGTTTTTGTTTTTTGTTTGTTTTTTGAGCGAGAGTCTTGTTCTCTCCTGGCTGCAATGCAGTGGGGTGATCTTGGCTCACTGCAATCTCTGCCTCCCAGGTTCAAGTGATTTTCCTGCCTCACTCTCCCAAGTAGCTGGGATTACAGGCATCTGCCACCATGCCCAGCTATTTTTCATATTTTTAGTAGAGACGGGTTCACCATGTTGGCCAGGCTGGTCTCGAACTCCTGACCTCAGGTGATCCACCTGCCTTGGCTCCCAAATTGCTGGGATTACAGGCATGGGCCACTGCACCTGGCCTTGTTTCTTGTTTAATTATTACTTATTGACAAGATATTTTTGTTGTTCTTGATCTTTGGGGGTGTGTGTGTGCACGCGTGTGTGTGTGTGTGTGTGGTTTTTGTTTTTTGTGTTTTTTTTTTTTTTTTTGGTGGGGGGAGGTTGGCTATAGCATATTCACAATTCTTTTTCTTTTAAATACATTTTATATGTTTAACCATAGCATGATTCCACTGGATAAGTTTTATTGGATTTTTTCAGGGGTGGAGCAGGGAAAGGTTTCTTAAAAATTGAAATATGTCATCCATATCATTAGAGTTTTAAAGTTAGTAATATGCTTAAGGCGGACTTTTTATGGTTAGCAAAGCTGAGAGGTTCTGACACCCAAAGGATGCAAAAAGAGATAACTTACATAAATGTATATGGTGCCCCGGAGGTGCCGCAATTGTATTATGGGGTTTCTCATGAATGGCCTTGGTTCAGACAGTAGAACAGTGAAGCAAAGCTAAGTGGTTCTGTACCGGATGGGCTGTGCATGTGACACATTACACTGCAAACAGAAGTAACTTTCAGCGCCAGAGAGTTTACTAGGAGGCACTGGAATATGAACTAGTACAAAATATATAAGGAAATGCATATCTTATTAAAAATGTTTCTTTAAAACAGCCACTGCATTTCTTTAAAAAGCCACTAGCTTTAAAATGGATAGCCTAACAGATTACATGGAATAATCTGAAAATGATAAGGTCTGAAGCTTAGCAAAGAATATATTTAATACATAAACTGGAGAATGTAGAAAATAGGATGGTATGATATGATTGATTGATTGAACTCTTTCTTAGAGATTTCAATCAGCCCTGAAGTTTATTTCTTCCTATTTTGAAAACTGCATTTTCTTTTTTTTAAATTTTGTTTGTGAAGTGCTTGCTTATACTGATTTTGTAACTCCTGAAAGGCAAAAAGCAAATAATTAGGAAGAAAGAGGTTCATGGCAGAATTCTAGTCAAGTACCACTTCTTACACGAGCAATTATACATAATGCTTAATTAATTGTTTTATATGTGTGAGGCAGTCTTGTCAAAATCAAGGATCCTCAATGGAACAAAAAGAAGGTGTGTTCACTAGTAAGCAGCATCACAAACATATGATTTTTCATAGCTAGGATTTACCTTGGAGAAAATCTCATTTCACCCCATTATTTTACATGTGACAAAGTGAGATGTCCATGTAATTTCTAGATGAAATAATAAAACAAGATTTAGTTATTATCTTTTAAAAAGATTAGCCACAGAGATGTTGATAAATTAGTACTCCTATTGCAAAGGTATCCTTCTTCTATGCTGTTAAACACTAGAGACCATGTGACTTATTCAGCTACTATAAACCAAAATGATAATAGTTGCTATCATTTATTGAGAACTGACTGTGTGCTAGGCTCAGTTCTAGACACTTTCCATATATTATCCCATTTAACCTCAAAATAACCCTTCAAAATAGATATTTTCATTCATATTGTATGGCTAAAAAAACTAAGGATCAGGTAACACCACAAGTTAAGGTGGCAGAATTACTATTGTAACTCAACTAGAGTCATAAAACCTACTTGCAATTATTTATTTAAAATATAGAAGGTAAGTATCCAGCAAAGAATTTCAAATGCCAGTAATGAATACAGATGCTTCACAACTTTCTCCACACATCTACCTCCTTGTGGACAAACAGATTTCTCAACTGAATAAGACTATCAAAAACAGGTGTCAGGGTATCCAATCATAGTCGGGTTTTATTTCTTCATACATCTGTATTGTTTTACAATGTGCGATTATAACTAGTGTTCGTATTAGACAACCAGAGAAGAAACTTTGATAAAAGACCACATTGGGCCATGGGCCAGGCACGGTGGCTCACGCCTGTAATCCCAGCACTTTGGGAGGCTGAGGTGGGTGGATCACCTGAGGTCAGGAGTTCAAGACCAGCCTGGCCAACATGGTGAAACCCCATCTCTACTAAAACATTAATAATAATAATAATACAAAAATTAGCCAGGCATGGTGGCGCATGCCTGTAATCCCAGCTACTGGGGAGGCTGAGGCAGGAGAATCGCTTGAATCTGGGAGGCAGAGGTTTCAGTGAGCCAAGATAGTGCCACTGTACTCCAGCCTGGGCAACAGAGCAAGGTTCCACCTCCAAAAAAAAAAAAGAGAGACCACATTGATTTAAGGGTCTCAATACAAGGACTTGGTATGTATTTCTGTTTCAGAAATATGCCCATTGGTGTATCTGCAACTATTAGAAGATTTACCTTCTCAGAAGATGAGATATTACAAAGTCAATATTGACAGTGATACAGGAAACTAATAGGTTTTCCAGAGGCTAATTATAAACAGGTGGTGGCTGGGGCCAAACTCCAGGAATCACAAACCCATTTTGTTAGAGCTCATTAATACTTCTATTCAACTCCAGGAAAATGTGCACATTCCGCAGCATTATAGGGGGTTTCAGGTTGGCTGATAATAACCAGGTGATTTTCCCACAAAAAAAACTGACCCAGGGATAAAATAAAACAATATAATTAGCCTTCCCATGCAGCAGGGCCTCTCATGGTAGTCACAGGTGGATTCCGCTGGAGCAATGATGGAAATGCTGTTGTTTAGTGACCAGGTAGGGGAAACTGTGGCAGCCTCACCACAGCTAGTGGTATCTATGCACACCCAGGTTGAGCCCAAGCACTGAGGCATCTCTCTTCTTCCTGATGGAAAGTGCAATGGGATTTTAAAATTTGATCTGAGTGTCTGACTGCTTCAGTGGAGGGCTCTGCAATTTCACATTTCATCTCAGCAGCTAATGTCCAGATCTTGTCAAATCACCGCCAAGAATGTACCACAGGGCTACCCTGGACAAAACCGTGCTGTTCTGTGGCAACTTGCACTCTGAGGGTTCAGTGACTGTGATGCAACCAAATGTGCTTTCCCATGCTAACATTAGAAGGGAGGCTGCTGCTCCCCTCCAAGAACATCTCGTTTTCTCTTCCACAACCGTCGTAGTGCAAACCTTTTTCAGCTGAGCTGCTAGTTTCAATTCAAAATATCCTATCTTGGTTTTTTCTGCGTTTAAAAAGTGGTAGAACTTATTTTGACAGTGAGACCCTGGAAGATGAAAACAGAAAGAAACCAGTTTTCTTCTTGATTGTTTTCTTGCTGACAATTTTATTGCCATTGTCTTCCGTGTGGCTAATGGTTGTTAGGCTGCTGGTCTCATACCAGTTATTTACGAAAAAAAAAGGAAGTTAGATGGATTTTTAATATACTCTTTTTCCGAATTTCTTAAAGATGGAGAAAAAGGTGCTACGGACACCCCAAAATGCAGATTATTAATTAGATAAAAAGTACAAAAGTACTTTCAGGTCATTTTATGATTGCAGAGGCTGACTGAAGTCTGTTAAGTTTGTATCTCGTACTTGGCAAGATATGAACCTGACTTCTCACATGCTATTTCACTGACAGCCTATTTTAAAATTTAAAATAAATTTTCATTACTCTTGATTTAAAGGTCATGAAGTTTACTGATTTCTTTCTATTGCATGGAACAAAATAAATTTTCAAAATATTTTATACAGCCTCAACTTTGAGATCCCTTTGAAATGCAAGAAAATAAAGATCCCCACCACAATAGAATGAAAATTTACCTTCAGTCTATTTGCCACTGGAATTACTACAAGTTCAAGATCAACCAAACAGGTTGAATCACTTTAAAATCTCAATGGCCTAATGTTTTAAAAGATCGTCTTTTTGTAAATGATATCATTCTGGAATATTAAAATGTCTTACAAATGTACATTTCAGAACTTAATTCACTGAAATGAATATTATTCCCTTCAGAGCAGTTATCTTAAAAAGGAAAGCCCTTTTTCCAGTAATAATTTCATTGCTCAAAATTTGAGAACTGTCTTTATTCCTCTTAGGAACTAATAAGAAAACTGTCCTGTTTTTAGTCCTATTTTCTTTTTTTGACTCTAAGTAGCATAAGCCATCTTTCTCATCTACTTAATGTCTAGACCTGGCAATAAATTTTTGTGTTGTTGTTTCCAAAGTTAAATGATCAAAGATCAAAACTTTGTTGCCATCAAAGATATTTAGAAGATTGTGCTACAGGATTTGAGGACAATCTCAAAAAGGGAATTTCAAAAGTACGGTTCAAGCCATGTCAACAAAATTTAGAATGCTATGCTCAACTTTGCAGGGTCAGTGCTTGCAGAGGAACGTCACTCACCTTTCTTCTTGTCCTGCCTCTTGTGGCCGATCCCCTGTCAATGGCTGGCTCCTGACACTGGGCAAGCTGCCTATTTCCCTCGTCTATAAAATGATGCCAAAGGACTAGATGCCTGCAAAGGATCTTTCCAGTTCTAAAATTCTAGGACAATGATGCATGGTTCTCTATGTGACACTTGATTGTTTTTGTTTGTTTGTTTTTAATTAAAAGTCACTTTAGGCCACACCTTTAATGTGTTCAGTCATCATATCAGTGATTGGGGATATTTCTTCCATAGTCTCTTTTCTTCTCACACTCTCCTGTATTAACATTTAGTGCCATTTAGGGGCAAGAACAAAGTTTTTATTCCATTGAATTTAGGGCTTGTGGACATTTAAAATTTTTTATTGTAGATCAGAGAATGTATCAACCTTGTGTGTGGGGATAGAGAGAAAAAGAATGTGCAAAGATTCTCATGTAATATAAACTTGTTACATTAAAAAAAATCTGCCAACACCCCTGGTTCTCATTATGATGTTAATCTTTCATGTATTATGCACTAATCTGATTGACTCTATTTACTTTTTAAAAGCTCGGTCCTTCCCTTTTCTGTTGGCATTGCAGCAGTTGCTTACCTTAAAGGAAAAATGATGGTTAAAAAATACTTCCTGTGAAATGCTGCCAGTTGCAGGTATTTGCAGGACATGTCTGGTTCTATTTAGGGTTACTTTCTTTCTTTAGCATCCTTGGCCATATAACCTGATCTTTTCCATAAGAAATGTCAGCAAAGTCTTTGAATTAATGAACTGTGAAGTGCTCAAAAACATACCATTTCAAAAAGTATCCTACAAGGATATAACAGTAATGGGAGGTGATCCTTGAGTTTATAACCAAATATCCCACCCTAACTAAAAAGAACTAAGATAACCACTGGCCCAGGCACAATCTCCCTGAACAAAGACCTAGAGAGGAAGAACTGATGAGGAGTGGGGGAGGTCAGAACCAGAGTAACAATCTGGGGAAATGTATTTATGTTAGCCTGTCGAGCTCTGTTGAGCACTTCCGTCAAATAATGGAATTATACAACCCCCCCTATAAAAGATACCAGGTGGAGAATAGCAAAGAGAAGGGAGGAGGAGGTGAGGTGTGTTCAGAAGGTTGATCAAATAAAACTGAATGGTAGGTCCTTGGCTACACCAAATGTGGGTTTTGTTTTCTTTTAATTTTGCCATTAAAAAAAATGCGGTGTCACTCCTTCAATCTTTCTACAATTCTGCATGGTTGAACATTTGAAATGAGTTTGTGTATCACCCTCAGGCGCTGATTCAGACTTGATTGGGGCAAAGCAGACTGCATGTGCTTATTTTTATCCACGTCATTTGGGACGTTATGTCGCCAAAGGAACCAAAAATGTGCTGCTCTATTGCCAAATTATCACCTATCCTTTTATCAGACAGGGCGATGATCCTCAACAAGTTGTGCGACCTTAGTGTAACAGCAATGTCAGGTCAACTTGAGAAAGTGAAGAGAGAGCCCTAGACACAAATAAAAAGAAACAACCAACAATCCTTATAATTATCATCATCTGCTGCTTTTCCCTCTTTTGGCAAAGAAACACTCCATCCATTTGCAGAAATCGCCCGCGGAAACGTTACATCAAAACTAATCACAACGATTAAAATCAGCTTTTCTGTGCAAGAGGAGGGTAAAAAGCAAGTTAGAGGCTGGAATGAGACTGTTTTTCCACCAAAAAAAAATCTGGAAAAAAATTTCCTATGTGTATATTTCTCTATACGTATATGTAGAGCTTTATTTTTGAAGGAGATCAATTGTTTGCCCTGTGATCGGTTAATTTGATTTAAGTTTTATTTTGGAGATTGATTTAGACTAGAGGTAGAGGCATGAGCTAATTGTATCCTGATCCTTGCCTTGAGGGGTTTCAAAGCCCTGGAGCAACTCTTCTCTGTATTTTGTTCTGTCTACCTTAGCCAAGCTATTGCATTTCTCTCTGGTGTGGCGAGCCGAGCAGATCGCTGGGAGAGAAATCGGAAAAGGGGGGAGAGGAAAAGGAAAAGGGGACTTGGAGAGAGACTTTGTGCTTCAATGTTTCAGGTAAGATCTGACGGTTTGGGTTTGTTATTATTTGCTAAGGAGGGTATGGCTGGGACTTTGGGCGCAACTCGCTTTTACGCATGTGCCAGGCATGGGGCGAGAGCGCGGCACACTCGCACACACGCCGCCCGCCGCGGCGGGCGACTAGGAATCCGCTTGGACCCGCGGCGGGGCAGGGGCCGCCGCCTCCTCCGGGGCTGCCGCTCCCGGTTCTCGGCTTTCTTCCTCCAGTGGGAGCTGGCGAGAGCAGGGCGGAGCAGAGCGGGCAGGAGGAGCGGGTGCGGCCAGCAGGGGCCGCGGCCGGGGGCCGGGTTTCCGGATCTCTGGGCCGGGTTCCGGATCTCGGAGAGGAGCCGCCGTGGCTCTGGGAGCCCGTGCCAGAGCCGCCCGCCCGCCGCTCCGCGCGCCAGCCTCCCCGCGGCCGCTCCGCCGCGGCTCTCCCCCGCCCTCCCCGAGCCCCTCCCTCCTCCCCCGAGCCCCGCGCGTCCCTTTCTTCCCCGGCGCAAAGCTCCGCGCCCGCAAACCGGCCCCGCCGAGAGCGCCCAGCGCCGCGGGGGCGCCCAGAGCCAAGCGCACATCTCTGCGGGGCGCGCAGGGGGCGGCGGCGCCCGGGGCTGCGCTCCTGCCGGGGGTAGGGGCCCCGCCGCCCCCTTCTCGCAGGCAGCCTCGGCGGCGCCCCCGGACGCCCCGTGAAAGACGCCATTGTGGCGGCCGAGCGGACTGGGGCCCGGGGCGGTTTTTCCTTCCCCCTTTTGCCCGGGCCGGACCACGCCGCTCCCCTTTGTGGGCCGCGGCCGGTGCCCGGCGCTCTTCGTCGCCGGCCGGGCTGGTCCAGATTCGCCGCCTCCGCCCACCCAGGCGCCTTTAAAGCCCCCTCCCACTCCCTCCCATCTCCAGCCCTCCTCCCCCTTTTGGATGCAAACGTTTCATTTATTTTTAAAAAGCTCTTATTCCTCTTCCTCCCCACCTCCTCCCCGGATAAAGGGCACAGCACATGCTCCGGATTAGAAGTCTCCTTGGGAGGCGGGGAGGGGGTGGGGGCGGCGCTGGGACGGGGGAAGGATGCGAGCGCTGCAGGTAATGGCTGTGGCTTTGCTGCGCTCGCCTCTTCCCGGCGCTGCGGTCAGCGCCAAGTCAGGAGCCCGCATCCTTCCCTCCCCTCCTGGCGGCCTAGGTTCCCTTAAAGGGACAGTTTCCCGGCCGCCTCTGGCCTCCGCCGTCTGAACCAGCGCTCGGGGCGCAGAGGTGGGCGGGAGGGATTCAGTTTGGCTCCTTTCTGACCTCTTTCCTCCTCCGCCCCCCCAACTGCCGCCGCCCCCCTACCCACTCCCGCCACCCTTCTTTATTGAATGTGAAGTGTGCTTCCTCTCCCGCCCCCAAGAGGGACCTGGCTGGAAAACAGTCCGCGCCTCCTGGAAAAAGAACGGGGTGGGGGGCGCGTAATGGTGAATTCGCGTTAAAAGTGAGGTCGAGCCCCAAAACATCCAGGAAGAGGAAAGCAGACCTGGGTGCAGGAATCCCTTACCTGCACGCGCGCTCCGCACAGCCGCCCCGCCACCGCAACTTGCGAACTGTCGCGGGTAGACAGTCTGCCTTTGTGCTTTCGAACACTTGCACTGTCGTGGAAATGATTTTCTGGTATCAAAACGTTTTCAGTGACTGTGCTTCGGGGTTCGGCTGGGCGGAAGCCAACTAAGTTAGCAAAGTCGCAAATGGGGCCGTTGGCTTTGTACGTGGAGAATGGCACACCAGAACTGTCCAGGATCCCAGTGGCACTGGCTTCTTCGCTAAAAGGTGCACCGCAGTAGGCAGGAGTAATTTGGTACAAATGTATTACCTTTTAGATAATAGAACTGGCTGCTTTCAAGCAAATCCTTGACTATGCGGTATGTGTGCGTGTGTGTGTCTGTGTGTGTGTGTGTGTATCCTGAGTGGTACTGGGAGACATAACAGTTTAACATATTCTTTAAGAAACGTTTGCCTTCTGTTTTCAATCAACTAAGCTGGCAGCTAGAGATACAAGTTTATTTGAGAATACCCTCTGGGTACCAAGCATGCTTGGATTGTTTTAGCAAATTAAAAATGAGCAAAATGCTTTTACCTTCTCAGCAGTAGACTCCTTAAGAGACCTCCTGTTTTGTGTGTATGTGTGCGTTTTTTTAGAGAAACATTTTCTGTGTATATCTCAAATGTGTTTTTAATGTGGAAAAGGAGAAAATAAAGGATTTTAAAAGGCTGAGGCTGATGCTGTAGAATGATTCATTAAACCTGATTCTGCATCAAGGAATTCACCTACATATATGGGAATCTGTGGCAACTAATAGCCTACTTGGTGAATTTAAAATAGCAGTGGATCCGTTTGTCTCCTGGATAATGGGCAGTGTGCCGATTTATTCCTCGTGTTTGTATTTGTGTGGCATTTGGCTTACTACGAGGGGCTGATATTCAGGAAACTAAAACACTGACTGCAACAGTTTGACTCGGGAGTCCTGCTGCTGCCTGAATGGAAAGAATTGTGAGCAGTGGTTATGATGACAGTAGGTTAAATGTTTACTAATTAGGTTGCAAAGGTGACCATGAAACTTTAAAACTTTGCATCACGGAGAAAACTTCATTGGGTTAGGCTTATGTTAAGAAGAAGGTATCTAATTAGGCAAAAATGTCACACAGCCGGGAAGAAATTTTGAAATGAATTGAGGGTGAAAGATATTTGTCAAAAATCTCCCACCACAGTATGCAAAACGACTGCAGTGATTTTGCTGTATTAATTATGCCTGAAGCACAATATATAAAGTTCTCCAACACACACTAGATGTCTCTCTTCTAGCTGTAAGATTTTTGTGTTTGTAATTCTTTGCCAGGGCTTGCATAGTAGGGGTGCACAGTAATAGCTTGTTTCATATTTACTTAAGTAATGTGATTTACCGACCATTCAACTTACTCTGATGTGAGATATTTATTTTGGGGGAAGCCTTCAGTAATCATTGTACAAATTATGCCACTTAAGTATTAGGAAAGTAACTTCAGTAAGACTTCAACTAGATGATGATGAAAGCGTATTATTCGATTTGCGTTGAATAATGCATTATGGACCTTTTGGCATCAAATTATTTATCCAAAGCAATTTAGGTTTTTAAATGTAAGAGTAATTAGTGACAGATGTATTTTATCAGAGAACTTTCTTAAACTTCCATTTAGCTCTGCATTTAGCAATAACAATTGCTTGCACAAATGCTTTCTTGTCTTAATGTTTCTGAATCAGAGTGATAGTTTTCTACTTCTGATGTGATGTTTTTAGCTAAGGTCTTTTCCCATTTGCATTGCATTTGAGTCATTCAAATGATGTTTGTGAACCATTACTTCACCAACGTTTTTATTTAGTGTTTATTAAACTGCATTTCTGAACCTTCTTTTGGACTGCAGTTTATAATTTCCCAAGCAAACAGAGCATTTATTTGCTCCATCTTTAGGACGAACTATCTTGGGAATAAAAGTGAAATTTTTGGATGCAAGCATGTATGCTTATTTTAATAGCTTACTCATGCAGAAGTGAGACACAACTCGCTCTGGCTTTTCATTCATAAAAACATGCTAGATGTAAATAATGTTTTGCTTGTTGATGAGTTTGGTTTGAGATAACTGAAGAAAACAAAACAGATTATCCTTTAAGCATAATAAGCCTGTGTTCATTAGGTCCATTCATTCATTCATTGAACAAATATTTGTGCTTGCTGTATAGGAACTACTGTGTTAAATGCTGGAGACACAATGGTGAGAAAAAGCATTCAGAGCCTCCAATCTCATGGAGCTTATAGTCCAGACAGAGAGGCAGACATTCATCGAATAACTGAACAACTGACAGAGATGAGTGCTTTGAAGGAAGAGGAATATGGGGTTCTGGTAGCATTAACTTAAAGAGGGCCAAAATGGCCTGGACCAGGGTCAGAAGTGCCACACACTGAGATCTAAAGGATGAAGGGGCCTGGGCAAGAGAGACAGAACAGAGACGAAGTTCCAGGGAGAAAAAAGAAGGAACAGTATTTTACCAAGCCAGGAGAGGCTTAGCAAAGGGGGAGGAACTCAGGGCTTAACTGGCTGGAGTAAGAGACGGAGGAAGCAGTGATGCAGACTGCAGGGACAGGCACCTGGTCTTCACCCAAGAGTAAGTGATGGGGAGGATTGGGAGAGGGGCAGCAGTAATCAGATTGGTGTTTGGAAAGAATAACTCTGCTGGCACTCTGGGAAGTGGTCAGAGGGACCCAGATGGATGAAGCATAGCCCTTGGAAGGCTATTATAGTCATCCAGGCAAGAGAAGATATAGCTGGGGTTAGGGTAGGGGAAATACTGATGGAAGGGTTTGAGATCTATGTAGAGGGGAAAGTTTACAGAACCTAATAAAGGGTTGGCCATAGGTGAACAAGAAGAGAGAAGTGTCAAGTGGACACCTAAGTTTCGGGCATGTTAATTGAATAGACGCGGGAATTCTGAAGCCTGGGTGGATTTTGTATCTTTCACGTCATTTCTAATAGCCAGATTAAGTAGCAGTGAGAAGCCTCATTCACATCCGGTGTAACAGCATTCACAAAGGAAACCAAAGCATCTAGTCATTCTTTAATCCCTCCCTCCATTTGTTCAACAATTGGGTCTGGAGTGCCTACAGTGTATCAGGCACTCATCGGCCGGCTCTTTTTATCCTGTTATCCAAAATGCTTTTCCTTTATGAAGTGTACCATGTGGTTCCATTTATCCAAGTCTGACTAAGTTGGAATTCATCATTGAAGTAGGCCTATGTTGAGCCTTCTGAAACAAACCTGTGCCTTATAGTGCAAATTAATTGTATTAAAATATTATAAACATGTCAGATGATTATGAAATGAATGGTTGGATGCTTTTTAAAAGTCCGTTTACATACAAATAACTGACACAATTATGCAAATCACTCAACTGAAGACACTTTGAATATCACTCTCTCCATAGGGGTTTGATGTACAAATGCAATTCCATAAGCTACTTTTCTTGGTGGTTCTCATGTGGATGGCCCTGAGGGCAAATTCCAGTTGGAAAAACAACCATCATTTTGGCCTATTCCTTTTTCTCTATAAAAATGGGAACGATGTCATCTCTCTAACCTGCCTTACAGGATTGTTAAGAGGAAAAATAAGAGTATGTCCAACTGAAGTGCATATAAGTAGTATCAATCAACCCCAAAGGGCACTTTCTCTGGAGGAGCCACCCCAAGTCTGGCCCCTGCTGTCTCAGTCCCTCGGTCCATATCAGTCTCACCTTATCTCAGCTGCCTCTGAAACCCCAGGCACTGGTAACATCCATGGCTAAGATTTAGGGAACAAGTAGCAGAGGCCGTCTGGAATACCTATCTCCCTGAGCCCTCCAAACAAGACTGTGAGGCAAGTAGTATTCTGCACCCATCTTGTTCTGCACCCACCCTAGGTAACATGCCCGAAACCTCGGTGTCCACTTGACACTTCTCTCTTGTTCACCTATGGCCAACCCTTTATTAGACTCTGTACACTTTACCTTCTTCTTCTTCTTCTTCTTCTTTTTTTTTTTTTTTTTTGAGACCGAGTTTTGCTCTGTCACCCAGGCTGGAGTACAGTGGCTCGATCTCGGCTCACTGCAACCTCCCCCTCCTAGGCTCAAGCGATTCTCCTGTCTCAGCCTCCTGAGTAGCTGGGACTACAGGTGCCCGCCACCATGATCGGCTAATTTTTCTATTCTTAGTAGAGGTGGGGTTTCACCATTTTGGCCAAGCTGGTCTCGAACTCCTGACCTCAAGTGATCCGCCCACCTCGGCCTCCCAAAGTGCTGGGATTACAGGTGTGAGCCACCACACTCGGCCAACTTTACCTTCTAAATAGATCTCAGACTCTTCCATCAGTGTTCCCCCTACCCTAACCCTAGCTGTACCTCCTCTTGCCTGGAGGATTAGAAAGGTTATATCCGTTTCCTGAAGTCAAAGACTAGGCTAGTGGCAGAGCAGGGATTCTAACTCAGCTGGCTGACTACAAAACCCTGCCATTAGCCCCCATTAGCCGTTCTGCTTTCTCATCTACACCCATAGTCCTTTCTGTCCAGGACATACTATTTAAGCCCTTTTCAAGGGCACTTGGCAAAGGGCTTGCTTGTTCTGCCACCGGCTTCCATTCCTCCTGTTCTCTCTTCGCCCCCACCTCTGTATCTCCCTGCCACACCAGCACCCTGCTGTTATGCCAAGAGAGAAAGAAAAAAAACAAAAACAGTGTGAGATTGTTGTGAGAGATTGTTGTGATCAGAACATGTGAATTGGTCTCTATCTCTTGCTGAGCAAATCGTTTGCTCACAAGTACTCTGTCATGCTGACCAAAATAGGGATTTGTTTTCTATCCAATGGGAACTGACAACAATTCAGCCCTTGCTGCCGACACCAACGCTGCTATTAAGAAGAAGAGTTATGAACTGAAGAGAATGTTAACGAGATAGATTTCAAATGCTGGCTAGAGGAAGGGATATTCTTCCTGATAAATCTTTCCAAAGCATCTACTGCTATCATCACTGACTTGTTTTTGTAGCACTTTCACTTTGCTGGAAATTTGTAGCCAATGGAACAGAAAATGTGTGTAAAACAAAAGACCCAGACTTTCTATGTGAGGGGGAGAAAAAGCTACATTGGTCCATGGTACTGATCCTTCTCTATCCTACCCATCCATTCCCACCACCCCATATGCAAATCCCACTCCATCTCTGTCTGTGCTGTATTTTCTTGGTTAAATTACTGAATCTCTCTAAGCTTCAGTTTTCTGAACTACAAATGAGGTAATAATATGAGATCATTGTAAAGGAGATAATAATAGTCCTAGAGTTGTTCAGAGAATAAAATGAGATGTAACAGGATGTATATGCCTAGCACAAAATAAGCACTCAGAAAATATCCATATATTGTTAAGAGCAGGGACTGTGTTTATTCACCTTTGCTTTCTCAGTTCCTTAATACAGTGCCTGGCACACAGGATAAGTGCTCAATAAATAACTGTTGGATACATGAACACATAATTTCAGGGGACGCAAGAATAAAGCCAGATGTTGATTTCACTTCCCTGTAAGTACTTTTTGCCATTGACAAGAGGACCCAAGTTCTGCCAGATACCCTCACCTGCTGGTTATGGGCTTTTTCTAACCAATTAGATCAATCATTTGGGAACAGATCAAATTTGATCTGGGGAAGCATTGATGCTAAGTAGGACGTTGCCTCAAAGATGGTCCTGTTTTGCCTTTTGATTACTCATGTGGAGGTCGTCCTGTGCACAGTTGTCATGGGATTTCCAAAATCTGCAGACACTTACGCTATGAAATGATGCAAATGCACCACTAGGTTCTGAACCCCCACAATGGGAGTCACTGAATTTGCGTATTAACACTGAGAAGAAACACGGGACCCGGTCTGATACCCATTCCATCCAGCAGATGGCAGTGACACACATTGGCAAGTAAACTTGGAATCGCCTCTGGTCTTGCTGTTAGTTTCTCACCATTGCCTCTCTCTCCTGGAAAAGGAAAGCCCAGCCAGCTTTAAAAAGCTGCCTTTTCCCAGCACTTTGGGAGGCCGAGGCAGGTGGATCACGAGGTCAGGATATCGAGACCATCCTGGCCAACATGGTGAAACCCCATCTCTACGAAAATACAAAAAAATTAGCCGGGCGTGGTGGCGCGTGCCTGTAGTCCCAGCTACTCGGGAGGCTGGGGCAGAAGAATCGCTTGAACCCAGGAGGCGGAGGTTGCAGTGAGCTGAGATTGCGCCACTGTACTCCAGCCTGGGCGACAGAGCAAGACTCTGTCTCAAAAAAACACACAAAAAAACAAAAAAGCTGTCTTTGCTCCTTCACCGAAACAACCGAGGCTCAACGGGGACAGCTGGAAGGATCAGCACCTCCGAGCCGTCTGTTTCTTCCTGGGCTGTGGGGCAGGGAGGAGAAAGAAAGCAGACCTTGTTATCTGGTGCAATCCACTTACTGCCAGTTTCCCAGAGATATGGACCATAAGAGGCCTGCTTTCCTGTTTATTTAATCAAATCAACAGAAGAAAGTGCTGTTAACCTCCAGCGTCTACCATGCTCTGGGTTGAGAGCACTTGATGCCAAAAGTGATCAGGAATACTAGTAAAGATAATAACCCAGTCTTAGGCAGTCACGTGCTGCCAGGGAATGGAACAGTGTCTATGCTGCTGAAGACCCATGTGAAGTCCTCTCATGTGGGGTCGTGAAATGACTTGGTTCTTCTGGTTGCTTAGAAATAGAGACCCACTGTTAATTGTGTGACCCCAAAGCTTTGGTTTCATTATCTATACAATGTGGGTGAGGAAAACCACCTCAGAGGGTTGTTGTAAGTACTGAATATGTAACACCAATACAATGCCTCTAAGTGCCAGACTGTTTTTCAAGGGCTTTGCAAGATATTACTTGTGTAATCCTCATCCATCACCTAAGAGGGTGATATTACTGGCATCCCCATGTTTTAGATGAGGAGATGGAAGTGCGGAGAGATAAAGTAACTTGCCCAGGTTCACATATGGTGAGTGGCTGAGCCAGGAGTTGATCTGTGCATTCAAGCTTCCAGTCTTTGCTCTTAGTCTCCAGGTGCGGCTGCCTCTAATACTGATTAGTAATTACTAATACTAATAATTATTAAGCACCTTCCATATGCTAGGAACGTTACATATTTTAACTCCTCTCATATTTTCACGTTCACTATAAAGGTGGGAATGATTACCTTCCTCATCTTAACAAATGAGGAAAAAATATTTACTCTGTGCCCACTCAGTAGGAAACACAATAAAGTAATTCCAAAGAGGTGTAAATACTTCTGCTCCAATTTACTCTTGGATACAGGTAAACAAATTAATGAGGACTGCAATCTATTTAAATGCTACAGGGTGGGTCCCTCTGTAACTGACTTAGCGATAAGAGAAATCCGCAGTGAGAGTATATGGGGCTTATGCTCCCATTGTACATGACAAGGTATGTAAACATTTTTTAAATTGTCTTGCTCTTTAAAATTTTCATCAGGAGCCCTTGGATATTTATAGCCTCACAGCCATTTCCAGAAATGGTGAATGGCCTGCAGAGATTTGGTTTGGTCCCACTCCCATTTATAGCGCTGCTTTCTCCTCCTAAGAGTCACCATCATCATTTGATGAAGAGGTAAGAAGATCTAGGTGATTTAAAGCCTGGCACAGTGGCTCACACTTGTAATCCCATCACTTTGGGAGGCCGAGGTGGGTGGATCCCTTGAGGTTAGGAGTTTGAGACCAGCCTGGCCAACATGGTGAAACCCCGTCTCTACTAAAAATACAAAAAAAATTATACAGGCATGGTGGTGCACGCCTGTAATCCCAGCCACTACTTGGGAGACTGAGGCGGGAGAATCACTTGAACCTGGGAGGCAGAGGTTGCAGTGAGCCGAGATTATGCCACTGCACTCCAGCCTGTGCAACAGAGCAATGAGACTCTGTCTCCAAAAACAAAACAAAACAAAAAAAAAGATCTAGGTGATTTGTTAAACGGCTATCACCTATGAGGGCCAGCTCCTTTGTCCGTGAGTTCCAGGAACTCACAATGGTCAAAGAAATTCACCTGCAGTATGAACTACATTGGTCTCTCCCTTATCAGAAATGCCATTCCAAGTCTGGGATGGAAGGCAGGTTTTAGGATCTGGAGTCTAAGGACTTTGGACCCTACTTAATGCAGTCTGCACAAATGAAGTTTGGTAGAAGAGACAACTCTCAAAATGAGGCCAAAATTTCAGAATTCAGCCCTTTTTTTTTTTTTTTTTTTTTTTTTTTTTTTTTTTGAGATGGAGTCTCACTCTGTTTCCCAGACTGGAGTGTAGCGGCATGATCTCGGCTCACCGCAACCTCCGCTGCCTGGGTTCAAGGTTCAAGTGATTCTCCTGCCCCAGCCTCCTGAGTAGCTGGGATTACAGGCACCTGCCACCGCACCCAGCTAATTTTTGTATTTTTAGTAGAGATGGGGGGGGGGTTTCACTATCTTGGCCAGGCTGGCCTTGAACTCCTGACCTCGTGATCCACCCGCCTCAGCCTCCCAAAGTGCTGGGGTTACAGGCGTGAGCCACCGTGCCTAGCTGAATTCAGTCTTTTTTAGTGGCTGAGAATATTATATTTCAAAGATCCAAAGTATCTGAAAAGTGAGTCATTCAAAGGTTGTATAAGTCACACTAGCTCTGTAAGAAGTGCAGGTGGTTTTCTATAGGAAAAACAGATCTTTATCTAGACCTGCTCCAGTCTAGCTCATCCCCACTTAGTAGAAATAGCCACAGGAGTTCAAGACCAGTGGAGTCACAGAGACCTGACCAATCATGTATATTGCTGCAAGGTGAGCCAGGGTTGAGTGAGTGAAAGACAAAGGAAATTCTGCACACTTCCACCTTAAGAAATCAGGGGCATTTCTTATTTTTTTTTCTTCCCATTAAACCTTTGTGTTCATGCAAATCTTTGCACATGCTATTCTTTCACTTCTGATGTCTTTATGTCAAAATGCATTAGAAACAGAATGTTTCTAGCTGAAGTTCAAATCATTTAAAAAGCTCAATATTTTAGTTATGCATAATTGTTCAAGGGGTCTTCTTTCTTTTTCCCTCTTAAAAAAATTCTGAGTCAAAATGCATTTTAGATTTTAGGCTGAGATTCAAATTTTACTTTTGAAAACATGCACCCAGATTCCTTTTAGAGTCACACTTTTTTTTCATTGTACAGTTGAAGTGTTCATATAGCTGAGTTATTTTTGACAGCTCTTCTGCAAACTATAAATGTCTGGTAAGAACGTCTCCAAATTATTCTGCTAAGGAGCATGACAGATACATTTTTAACACCTGAAAATTATATCTTCTGATAAGTTTGGTTATTCAAGAGCTGATGATATAGTTTATATACGCTCTATCTTCTCTCTTTGCTTTTTACTGTTGTCTACTTTTTGGCCTCATAATTACTTTTTTGGTGCCTCCGTCAAAGGATGGAGAAAAAGAAAAGAAAGGAAACACATTTCAAATCCGTTTCTCTTTCTTTCTCCCTCCTGCTCCCCCTAACAACTTGACAAAGTATATTGGAAAGGAGTCAGCTCTTGATCCATGCTAACAGAGGGACGTAACAGCATGAAAAATCCAAAGGAATAGTCAATCCAATATCATTTTTGTTAATATATTGACTTGATGTATTAATTAGGCTAGTGTTAAATATTGCAATCTTAATTTGCATATTACTATTGGACTCATATTTTTCTTCTCCATTTCAACTTCTGCAGTCTTACTATATGACTTCAGCATTAATATGAAAGACTTATCCAACCCCTTACCAAATAGTCTTTTCCACATATGAATATGAATCAGCCTTCCCAAAGTATTTTCTAGCTCAGTCATTCTTAAACTTTAGTATACAACAGAATTGTCTGCAGAGCTTGTTAAAACACAGATTTCTGGCTCCATTCCCAGAGTTTTCAATTAGATAGGTCTAGGGTGAGGCCTGAGAATTTGCATTTCTAGCAGGTTCCCAATGGATGCTGATGCTGCTGTCCGAGGGACCGCACTTTGAGAACCTCTGTTTTAGGGGTAAAGTCGACCCTAGAGATGCTCCTGGAGGGAAATAAAAAAGGATTCACACAGGTGGGCACGGCAGCTCATGCCTGTAAACCTAGCACTTTAGGAGGCCAAGGTGGGAGGATTGCTTAAGGTCAGGAGTTTGAGACCAGTCTGGGCACCATATTAAGACCTCATCTCTACAATAATAATAATAACCAGGCATGGGGTGCATGCTTGTAATCCCAGCTACTCTGGAGGCTGAGGGAGGAGGATTGCTTGAGCCCAAGAGGTTGAGGCTGCAGTGAGTTATGTTTGCAGCACTGCACTCCAGCCTAGGTGACAGAGCGAGACCCTGTCTCAAAGAGAAACATAAAAGGATTTATGTGCCTGTAATCCTAGCTACTCAGGAGGCTGAGGCAGGACGATCACTTGAGCCCAGAACTTTGAGGCTGCTGTGAGCTATGATCACACCACTGCACTTTATTTTTTTGAGATGGGGTCTCACTCCAGGCAATAGTGAGACCCTATCTCTAAAAAATAAAAAAGGATTAGTCAGTCAAATAACCCTGGGAAACATGATACCCTCTTTTGAAGCCTTTTGAAGTATTTTGAAGATTTATAGAAGTCTTGCAATATGGGGAATCCATTTTCTAACTTAGATTTTCTAAAGTTATTTGACCACAGAGCCCTTTATTCTGTCAGTACAATTTAACTCTCAGAATTACTATTCTTGGAACATACACGTTAGGGAAGGCTGCCCTATTTTGCAGTGCCTTGATGGGCTAAACTTCAGTACCCCTCACTTCTGCTTCATGTGGGCAACCCACTGTCATGGACACAGGTTGGCTGTTTGCATCACTTGGCATCTCTGCAGCTCAGCAATCTCCCACTCCTGGCATTCTGTTGACCAGAGTATATTATTCTCCAACTGTTCCCACTAAGCCTGCTTTTCAACCTCAGTGCAGTCTGCAGTCCCTTCCCTGCTTCCTCTTTCTCTCTCTCTCTCTCTCTCTTTTTTTTTTTTAGACAGAGTCTCACTCTGTTGCCAGGCTGGAGTGTAATGGTGCAATCTCAGCTCACGGCAACCTCCACCTCCCAGGTTCAAGTGATTCTCCTGCCTCAGCCTCCCCAGTAGCTGGGATTACAAATGTCCACCACCACACCCAGCTAATTTTTGTATTTTTAGTAGAGACAGGGTTTCACCATTTGGCCAGGCTGGTCTCGAACTTCAGACCTCAGGTGATCTGCCCGCCTTGGCCTCCTGAAATGCCAGGATGAAGGTGTGAGCCACCGCACCTGCCCCCTGCTTCCTCTTTACTCACCCCCACTGCTTGTCTTCCTTGTCAACTCTCCCTCCTTAGTCAGCCTGGGTTCAGTGGACACTTGTTTCCACAGCATTCTCACTGCCACCCTTAACTCTTTCATCACCTTGACCTCTCTGTCTTTTCTGTCTTGCCAACGGTCGGTCCTTGATAACCTTCCTTTTTCCTCACTTTTGATCCTGAGGCCCTGAGTGGCACTGGTGGATTGTCACATAATTCTTCCTGCTGCCATTACAACATCCATCCATTCATCCAGTATTTACATGGCTTTTTCTATGTTAGGCACTACTTTAAGCCTTAGAAATACAAGGCAAAAAATCCAAGGTCTCACAGAGTGTACTTTCTAGGGGAAACGGGGATGAGAACCAAATCAGATAGGATTAAGTGCTATGCAAAAAAATTAAAGCAGGTGAGACCTCCATAAAGAGGTGATGTGTAAGCTGATCTCTGGGTGGCAGTCATGTTAGCTCACCTTAGCAGGCCCCCTTTTTTTTTTGAGACAGAGTCTCACTCTGTCACCCAGGCTGGAGTGCAGTGGTGCTATCTCAGCTCACTGCAAGCTCCGCCTCCTGAGTTCACACCATTCTCCTGCCTCAGCCTCCCGAGTAGCTGGGACTACAGGCACCCGCCACCAAGCCCGGCTAATTTTTTGTATTTTTAGTAGAGACAGGGTTTCATCGTGTTAGCCAGGATGGTCTCCATCTCCTGACCTCGTGATATGCCCGCCTTGGCCTCCCAAAGTGCTGGGATTACAGGCGTGAGCCACCGCACCCGGCCAGCAGGCCCCTTGATATTGCCTGGCAGTACCCAGCTAACTTCTTATTTCATTCCCCACGGAGGCTGTTCTAGATCTCTTTACTCTTCCCAAATTCCAAACTCATTCCCACTTATCAGATAATTTTGCCTCCTGACTTATTGAGATGTCCACTCCCTCTATTCCTGACACCAAGTCTCCACCATGGCTCTACTAATCCTGTCTTTCTTTCTTGTTGTCCCTTCTAACATCTTGTCTTTCCTGTCTCCATTGGCCCCTTCCTGTAGCCTACAACCATCTGTTGAACAACGCATCTTTTTGTGTACCCCCGAATTTCATATGTTGAAACCCCACCCCCATGGTGGCTGTATTTAGAGATAGGGACTTTGGGGACATAATTAAGAGTAATTACCAGTTCGTAAGGGTAGGGCCCTGATCTAATAATATTAGTGTTCCTATAAGAAGAGACACCAGATAACTCAGTCTCTATCTGCTCTCACACAAAGAAGAGGCTGTGTGAGCACACAGCAAGAAGGTGGCTGTCGGCGAGCCAGAGAGAGAGCCCTGCCAGAATCTGCTTCTCTGGCTCCTTGATCTTGGACATCCCAGCCTCCAGAACCGTGGGAAATAAATTTCTGTTGTTTAAGCCACCCAGTCTGTGCTATTTTGTTATGGCAGCCTGAACTCACTAACACACCATCCTTCAACACAAAACAGAACCTCCCTGCCTCCTGCTTCCACTTCCCTTTGCCTCCCCTCACGCCAGTGCACGCCCCTCCGCCCACCGCCATCTGGCTTCTCACACCTTCCGCCCTCCCACCCTCCCCGCAGGTTGTACTTTTCAAATTACATTTCCTTCTAGTGTGTTCATTTAGTGCATTCTTACGCCTTTTCAAAATGGGACAGCATTACAAAACGTAGAATGGAACATGCTCTAAAGGTTTTATTTTTAACTTCTCTTGGGATCGCAACCTCTGCAGTCTTTCAGTGTTTCACGCTACTTAACTGACCTCAAACACCAAATGTAATCTCTGCCTGTCACTGAATCCAACATATTTCTCAGTGAAGTTCCCTTTTTTACTTCCTTAACAGTTTTTTTGAATGACTTAGGGAAATAGAGATTAGTTAGTGCTCTAGTTTGTATTTTTCAACATCAACACTGTTGGTTTCCTACCACTTTCCAACTGAATGGTAATAGCCCTAAGCAGAACTAAAAATCAAAATTGGGAAGCTGGTTTATTCTTTCTCAGGAAATTTTCCCTGCTAAACTTTTGTATTCTCTTTTTAATTAATTAGAGTCTCATCAACCATTGCTTATTTAGTGGAATATTATCACAGGACACGCCCGAGAGGCACCGATTTCTGGGAGGGGACAAGTGTCATTGCTTCCCCAAGTGGACATTTTGCATCCAGGGCAGTGGTCACTCGCTCTAAGGAGAGAAGATAAGACATAGAGATGAGGCAGGATTAGGACATTCACTTCCACTGCTGTGGATTTCCTCCAAAGCTCCTGCACTGATTACAAAGAGTTCCTGGGTCGAGTCTGTCACATCCCCACAAAGAAAGCCAAAAAAACCCACCCAGCATTGCAGTGATTTAAGATCAAGCCCAATTCCATAGGGCATGGAAAAGTGTCAGGCAGGGAAGAGGGGATTAAATAGAGCAACATCTAGAGAGCACTTTGCATAGTGCCCGGCATGTAGTAAGTGCTCAGAACATGGTAGTCATTGTCATCAGTGCCATTGTCAGTATAATTATTACTGGTCCTCATCATATAAATATACATATGCATATGTATTGTACACATATGCATGTGTATATGAGTGAAGATTCCTTCTGGCTCTAAATGGAACCTATGAGTCTTGAAGGAACCCAAGGTGAAATGGTGAAGCTCATCTCGAGATCTGATACCTGCCATTAGAGTTGTCTAGAAGGCTGGTTGAAATGTCACTTTAGGCACTGATTTTGTGCCTAAAGAAGGGGCATGGAACAGGCTCTGCCCACCTAACCCCATCAGATCAATGAATACCTACAAAGAGTTAAACAGCTAGGCAAATATGGCATGCCAGACGGACTGCACCAGGGGTTCTAGGATGGGGGTTGTCATAACTTGGGGATAAGAGGGGTGGGAGGCTTACTGCAATGGAGACCAGTGGGGAAATGAAAAAAGGAAACTGAACAGAAGGTGAAAATTCACTCTTGGGCTGCCTGTGAAGAGTAGCAAAATGCTAGCCCAACAGGAAAGAATATGCCATGGGAAGCATTCACAAAGCTGTGTCTGAGCTAAAAAGGGCAGAGGAGCTTCTGGTGTCTAGAGAAAGAATACTTTAAAAAATCCAAACTATACAAGTAAAATATTACACTCTATGCTGTGGGTTACAAGCAACCAATTAATCAGCACCTGGTTCTGAGGCACCGTGGCGCTACAAGGGAGGCAAAGGCTCTGCCCCCAGATGTTTGGAATCTTGGGGGAAACGTGGTAAATGACAGCGGGGCAGGGAACTTGAACAAAGTACAAGGCCCAGTGGCCAGTGGGTTGGGAAAGCTTCCTGGAGGAGGTGAGGGTATAAACAGGCCTTACATACACACACAGCAAGCCAGGCTGGGACAGTGAGATGAACTGCAGGTAAAAACGATTTTAAAAGGCAAGTAAGAAATCAGTCTGGCAGAAACAGGAGTTTGGGGAGGAGAAACACAAATTCAGCCCCCTTTCCTGTTCCTATCCACCCTGCTTCTGGGATCTTGGCTACTCTCTCGGATCTAGATCCCACGATACCATCCAACTCTGCCGTCCTTGTCCTCTCTGTGTCCCCAAGCTTCCTCCGCAGATGCCTCCTCTTTCTATTTTGACCACTCTTCCCAGGGAACCTCATGTTCCTTGACTTTAGAACAAACCAGTGCAGCTGACTCCATTCTGTTTTTCTGCCTGCGTGTGTCTACCTGCCCAGTGCACACCCCCACTTGACAGACAGCACACACTCTTATAAGGTCCCAAAGTAAACTCCTCACCTTCCTCCTGTCCTGAACATTTCTCCCTCCTATAAGTGCTCAGGTGCTCAGTACAGAATCCCCATGATTTTCCTGATTCTTTTCTTTCCCTCAATCCCTCCTGGACACACACAGACACGTGTATGTGCAGATGCATCATGGTGCCTATGCATTTGCTCACACACAGACTCATCAAGGTCATTCCTACTTCCATGCCCCCATCCCCTCTCACTGTCATTCCTTTTTGTTTGTTTGTTTGTTTTTCAGAGACAAGAGTCTCACTCTGTCACCCAGGCTGGAATGCAGGGGCACCATCACGGCTCACTGCAGCCTGAATCTCCCAGGTTCAGCTCCCAGGAACCTCAGCTACCCCACCACCTGCCTCACCAGTAGCTGGGACTACAGGTGGGAGGCATCATGAATAGATCATTTTTAAATTTTCTGGAGGGATGAGGTCTCACTATGTTTTCCGGACTGGTCTCGAACTCCTGGGCTCAAGCAATCCTCCCACTTCAGCCTCCCTAAGTGCGAATTACAGGCATGAGCCACTGCAGCCACACTCTCATTCTCTACACTTACTCATCTACCCTCTCTCCTCTGGACCACTGGAATTTTTCCTTTAGACCTCTCTTCTCTGGACCATTGCCGTGGCCACCACGCTTGTCCCACCTACCTCCTCCCTGTAAACCACTCCCCACCAACACAAGCTCCTTCCTGCTATTACCAAAATTCTCTTTTGACAACCCAGTTCAGAATATTAGGATGCCAAACTCTATCTTAAACAAAACTGGCCATCTACTGATGCACGTGTGTATTGATTCTATGCTGTGTGATCCCCAAGCAGCAGTGTGGCCCAAGGATTCGGAATACAGGTGCTGGAGCCCGATTATCTGGGCCTAGACCCCTACGCTGCTGCTTCCAACTATGCGACCCAGGGTTTGAACATATCCTCATCTGAAAACGTGGATCAGCATTTGACCTACAGCACAGCGGTGTTGTGAGGATTAAACAAAGCAAATCTTTGTAACGGAGCCAGGCACATAATCAGCGCCCATTACACAATAACTACGATGGGATGGGGGAGAGAGATAATAAGAATACAATAATGTTATTGATAATGTTTATCATTATTGTATTGTTACACAATAACGTTTAACTCTGGGCCCTAGGATTTTTATTTTCTCATTTTTTTCTTTATTTTTCCAATTCTCTATAATAACCATGAAATCCTTTTACAACCATTAAACTGATCTTTTCTTTGGATATGACATGATGTTACATCCTTGCTTAAAAAGGTTCAATAACCTCCCACTGCCTACAAGATAGGAACCAAAGCCCTGGGCCCGGCTTCGGGAGCCCCGCATCTGCTGACCTCAGCCAGATAGACTGGCGACTCCTCCCACTGCCTCACTTGCACTCTAGGCTCCGGCTTCTCCAGACTTCTTTGCTCCCAGATGCTGTGTCCTGCATCGTCTTCTCTTTTTCTTGTGTCCTTACTTCGCAGAGATTCTCAGCTCTTCTGACTTCACTACTGCTCAATGAGACCCCTGTTCACACTAGGAACTCCTGGACTCAAGCAATCTCCATGGTTCAGAACCCAGCTTTTCTGTGGGGAGATGTTTCTCCCCAGGGGACTCTGGGGCAACATGCATTGCTCACCAAGACCGAGAGCTCCCTAAGTCTCCAGGCTGGGCCGCAGTCCCGTGGGCATCTCCAGACATCTGTAGAATCCTCTGAGGTTTGAAGAGAGATAGAGGGATGGAGAGGCAAAGAAGGAACGGAGGCTGTTGCATGCAGGACTCTAAAAACAAGACAGAGCAAGAGGGAATTTTGCAAGACTTTTTTAAGGACAGCATGATAAAAGCAACATTTTTAGGAGCAGATATGGGCAATAATATTATGCAAAATGAATAATGTGCAGAGGTCAGAAAGTCAGGAAAGAGGCAGTTGGCTGTAGTTGAATCAAAAGGGGTGAGGTCTTGTTCTCAGGTGGACTGGCTGTTGAAGACAGCACCAAGAGCTCCCACAGCTCCTGTTCCTAGCCACCTGCCCTTTGCTGCCCTGCCGGGCACTTCCCCAGACACATCCAATGACTACCACCAGCCTCTGTGACCAATACGAATGTCGTAGCCACCTAATGTGAGACACAGTCACACAGCTAACTGTTAAGCAGTAGAGACGTGATTCAAACCTGACACAACTGACCCCAAAATGGGGGCTGCTAACTAAGCCTCCTCCACTGCGGCTGCTGCTACAGCTTGAACAGCCAGCAGATCTCTTGGCCTTCAGAAATGCTGAGGTTAAAAAATGAATTGTATGCTGTGCTTAGGCCTGGAATAGTTTTGCAGTTGTATTTTAAGACTTTTTTTTTTAACTACTGGAAAAATTTTGGTGGGAGATAAATAAAATATTAAAGGAGGAAAAGAAGATATTCAAGTGTCTTCTAGGAAGTTATGAAGGTTATGAATAGAATGAACTTGGACTGATTTGACATTGAACTGTGAAGCGTGGGAGTTTCTGGATAAATGAAAGATGCTCTATTACATAACAAGCTGCGGTGCTTTTGCACTTTATTACCTGCATGTATGATACAGGCTGAAAATGTACAGTGAGTGCAAAAGACCTGGATATACTGGTAGATGATTAATTTGCAACTGATTTTTTAAAGACAAACTATGTATATATGGGAGAGATTTCCTTAAGTCTTTGATGTGACACCCAGGAGAGCCAGCCTACAAAATCAGACTCTCCTTGCTAAGACGGTCTAACGTTACAAAAATGATAACAATAGCCACAAAGTGCCAGTCACTGCACTGACACCCTCTTATTCAATTCTCACAACAACCTTTGAGGAAAGCATTATTGTCTCCACTCTTCAGATGAGAAAACTGAGGCACATAACTTTCTCAAGGTTGCACAGCTAATAAACTGACAAAGCTGAGATTCCAGCCCAGGTCAGTGGACCCCAAAGCCCAGGCTCCTCCCATTAGAGACACTGCCTCTAGGGTGAGCCGACCGCTGAATCAACTCACAGAGACATGCCTTCTTTTGTGTTCTGGAATCTTCTCCAACAGCAAGAAACAGGCCTCATCCCACTGAAGCGACAGGGCTACCTTTCTCCACTGAAAGGACGCCAGGCTTCTTAGTCATGGCTTAACTTCCCTCTGTTTCCAGCTCTTGAAATCGGCAGAGGGGAGGGTGACCACACTAGGTGGGCTGACCCCATAATAGAAGCCTTAACACATTTCACATTTCTGCCCACACACCCAGCGCCTCCTCCTCGCAGCTCACATCAGCACCACCCCCAGCAATCTGGATAGTCCTCTTGCCATTTGAGAGAACATTCTTCGTTGTTCACAGTCTCTGGGGTTCACATAAAGCCAAAGTTTACACTTTGGAGTGTTCTTTTGTCCTGTGACAAATCTGGCCCGGGGTTCAGAAGGAGCATGGGAGGCACCTAATCAGAAGCAATCCAGAGACGATAGAGTCAGGAGGAGGAAGGAGGGGAAGCACAAAATATGGGAGATGCATGGAGAGTTCCAAGTACCTCACAGGAAAAACAACAAAAAAATTTAAACAGTTTGAAAACTAGGCACAGTGTTGGAAGCGTCAGCAGTAGATGGAGCACAAACACGAGGGGTCTGAAGCCCTCCGAGGTGCTCTGGAGGGAGCGAGTCATGGCAGGGACCGCAGCGGGTGAGAGCAGTGGGAGGAATCCCCGCTTCACCGCTTCTCTGCTGTGGAATTCCAGGGGAGTTGCTTAACCTCTGGGAACCTCAGTTTCCTCTTCTGTATAATGAGGATGATAATATTCAAGAAAATGAAAATAGTTCCAGCAACTGCCGGCTAGGTTGGAATGGGGTCCAGCTGTTGGATGTCCAGGCCCCAGGCAAATAACTTTAGTGGGGGCCCATCTTTATGAACACTTTGGGTTTCTCTGAAGCGTGGCAGGACCATTCTGGCAGCTCAAGCCGCTCGCCAGGCTGCCCTCCTGGAAGAGGTGTCCAGACACAGGGCCATGGGTGATCATGTGAGTGTGAAGTCCTGAGGGCATCCAATGACCCCAACGCTCAGGTATTCGTTGATGCAAAAGTAATTGTGGCTTTTGCCATTGAAAGTAATAAGAAGAACCGCGATTACTTTTTCCCCAACCCAATAGAAATTCAGAGAGCACTCTCAATGGGAGAAATGGGAGTTTCGGTCGGGACTCAGGGCACCCTGGTGTGATGGCACTGCCAGCTCTGGCCAGTCTCAGGCAGCAGGGAAGGACCTAGAAAATTCCAGGAAGTTGCTGCAATGTGAGGAGCCCTGAGAGGCACAGGGTCCCAGCTTGCTCAGGTCGAAGGGCAATACTAGCTGTGATGTTCCTAAGGGAACATAACCATCACTCACATAATAAAAACAATAATCAGACAGTGTTTCTCTATGACTTTGTGGGAACAAACCAGCAACCAGACCGCCATGAAATAGACAGATGGGCACTCTGCAACCACAAACATAAACTCCCCCCTCTTCTGACTAACTTGACTATTGCTTCTCTCTTCACGGCAGTCCTAGCCCACTTTAATCTTCCACCCTCCTGGACAAATTATCTAGATACCCCCAATCGTCAAATGGCCCTTGCTGTTGGACTGAACTCAGTCTAAAACTGTCCACTCATTCCTTAACCCCTCCTTAGACTCT
Organism: Homo sapiens; assembly: GCF_000001405.40. Classification (NCBI taxonomy): domain Eukaryota; kingdom Metazoa; phylum Chordata; class Mammalia; order Primates; family Hominidae; genus Homo; species Homo sapiens. Next base: position 26,636,032 of record NC_000018.10, on the reverse strand, counting down.
CCCAGCACAAGCCCCAACCCCATAACAACCCCTCCCACACCCTCCTGCAGTTCCCTGGTGTGTGTCCTCACTTGCTGCAGCAAGCTGAATTAATCTACCCTGGCGTGACTAGAAGTGTGTTCTTGATGGTCTTTGGTTGGGGGGCTTCATGATAAAAGAACCTATCTCCCAGGGCTCTTTTAAGGATTGTGCACAACTGTGCCTGGTGTGTAGAGGGCTGTCACTATTTGGGGGCATTTCACAGTCCTTCTGATCTCACCAAGCATCTAGTCTGGCTCCTTAGTCCTCAAAGCACTATGGTTTGTGTACCAGTAACCTCAGCATCACCTGGGGCTTGTTAGAAATGCAGACCCTTGCGCCCTGCACTGGACTGACTGATGTGGTTTTTAACAAGATCCCTGGGGGGATCTGTGTCACAGTTAAGTTAGAGGAGCACTGCTCTAGCTTAAGAGATCCATTCTTGCACCACATGCTCAGAACGGCAGAGAGGGGTGCATGATGGGTGAAGGCTCCTGCGGCTGCCATTCAAACAAACATTAGGTTCCAGGCGATTTTCCAGCCATGGGTGTGGGCACGCCAAGCGCGCAGGAGCACGACCAGGTCTGGGGATTCAACTTGCTTATCCATTCATGAGCAACTCCAGTAGCAAGAATATGCCTGTTGCACTAGCAATTCTGTATTCATATCTTCTTAGTTTCTCACCCTAGTCCTGTGGGCACAGTGGGCAGGGAAACTCTTATCATTCCTACTTTATAGAAGAGAAAACAGCCTTTGAGATGCACAGGTTTTGCTTAGTGTCACTTGGTGGCCAAACGGTAGAGACAAACAGGTCCAGCACAACATTTAAGGGACAAGAAAAAACTCAGAAATTGAGATAAATAATATTTTAATGCAATATTTTTTGAAATAAAAATTAATGCAAAAAAAGCCATAATGAGAAACAGATCAAAAGTTAATAAAGACAAGGTTCCAAGGCAGCTGGAATTACATTAAAATTTTTGATGTTTTTGTTCAATGTGGATTTTTATCATTAATTTTATTATTTTTAAAATGCTGTTTCTTTTGCTTTCTGAGTCTCTTGGCACCCCCTTAAATTTTGCCTCACTCACTTCTGCTAGAGTCTCAGAGGGCGTTTAGCAAATGGCCAGAGTTGTGTGTGGTTTGTGGAGTTAGACTGCCCGCATTCAGATCCATGGTTGGCCAATTCCTAGCTGTGTTCATTTGGGGAAGTCAATTAAGCTTTACTGCTTTAGTTTCTTCTCCGTAAAATAGAGAGGGCTGAAGTTCAATTCGGTAAAAATAAAGAAGGACCAAGATGATGTAGTCCAATTACAGAGCTCTGAAGTTCTAGTTTAATCCAAATTTAAAATATCTACAAGATTGACAGCATTTACTTAAGTAATCCTCTATAAATATAAATTTTAATTATATAAATGTGCACATGTAATCATATCATACATACTGTTGTTTTTAGCTCGGTCTTTTAGCTCAATGCCCCTTTCTTACTCTTTTCCTTCCCTCCCCTCCCCGTGTAACTCATGCTAACATGCCCGATATGTATTTTCCATATTTTCCTTTGTATTTCTATAATGAGGTACAGACCACAACACACACATGCATATATATGTGTACACATTTTGATACGGAGGTTGGGATCGTTGTTTCACAAAATGGATTATATCATAAATGCTTTTCTGCACTCACTTATAAGTCATACCATATAGAAATCCCTCCAAGCCAACCAGTGTAACTCTATTCTTTCCTTTTTCCTTGGCAGTGTGCTAGTCTAGAGGTGCACTACCATGATTCATTTTCCCATTTTGTACTAATGAGGATTCATTTTTTTCCCACTTTTTTGCCACCCTGAATAATGCTATATTTAAACATACTGATACATATATTCTAATACTGTAGATAGTTTTCCCTGTTCCAGAATTTGATATAAATGGAATCATACAGTCTGGAATCTTTTGTATCTGGATTATTTTGTCAGCATGTTTTTGAGATTGAACCATGCTGTTGAGTGTAGCGTAGTTCTTTCCTTTTGATTGCTGAGTGGTCCGTTGTATGCATATACCACAGTTTGCTTATTCTTCTGAGTATGTGTATTTCAAATTTTAATAGATACTGCCATGTTACTTCCCCAAAATGCTGTACAATTTACATTTCAACTTTGTAATATTGTTGTAGTTGTCTTTAATTTTGGCAGGCCTGATAGGCAGATATGATGTCTCATTAGTACTTTAATTTGCATTTCCCTAACGATGGTAAATTCAAGCATCTTTTTGTACATTTGTTGACTCTCTGCTTTTGTGCTTCTATAAATTGCCTTTTCTTATTCCTTCATCATTTTTCTATTGAGTTGACAAATTATAAAATCTCTTTCTATATGATATAAGTACATTCTTTGCAGTTTGGGTTACAAGTATTTTTTCCAAATCTATCATTTGTGTTTTGAATTTGCTTACAATATTTAATACTGTACACATTTGGGGGGGTAATTATTTTATTTTATGTTTAATTGACAAATAATAATTGTGTGTATTATGGGATCATACCACATTTACGATATGGTCAACTATATGTTTCTTTTATGGCCTCTTGTGTTTTCCAGTCTTGTTAAGGTTTCCTTGTCCTTGGATTATACATGAAGCCTCCTTTTATGATAATTTGTCTTGTTTTGTTGTCCACAGTTAAGACTTTACTCTCTGGGGAATGTATTTTTGTTTATGGTATAAAACAGGGATTTAATTTTACTTTATTTCAGATGAAGAGCCAGTATTGTTTTTGAAATAATTTATTATTTTCCCACTACACTGAACTTCCACATTTGATATATGATGTATATTACATTCTCATATCCAAGACTTCTAGATCCTCTTTTCTCTTTCACTGATCTATTTCTCATTCTCATACCAATACCATATTTACTTCATAACAGCTTTATAATATCCTCTCATGTTGCGTAAGGTAATTCCCCTTGCACTGTTCTTTTTTATTATTTTCCTGCTATTCCTGAGCATTTATTCTGAAGTGAATAAATGTATTCCTTATGAAATTTTAAATCATTTCATCCAGTTCCTTCCCCTCCTTACCCCCTCCCAAGACTGTTGCAATTCTAATTGTAATTACATAAAATTTCTATATTTCTTTGGAATAATTGATAATTTTATGCCATATTCCATTTTCATATCCAATAACTTGATATATCTTTTCATTTGTTCAGACGTTGTTTTGAGACCTTTACTAAGATTGAATTTTATTCATATAGATGTAGCTATATTATTAATTATATCCTTAGCTATTTTTGTTCACTATTTTCTGAAGAGGGTATTTTCATCTTCTCCACTTCTATATGCTTATCATTAGAACAGATAAAAGCTAAAATATGTGTCATTATCCTGTATCCTCAAACTCTTGTATTCTCTTACTAATTCTAATTTTTTTAAAAACTCAGTATCTCTTAGATTTTCATATCATCAGCAAAAATATTTATTTCTTCTTTCCAATTGTTTATTTCAGTTATTTACTGCCCTTTTATTGCATTCACTAACTCTTCCATGACAAAGTCAAATTGTAATGGTTAGAGCAAACTTTCCTGTCTTTATGTTGATTTATTTTGTTTTTTAATTTTATTATTATTTTTTAAGATGGAGTCTCACTCTGTCACCCAGGCTGGAGTGCAGTGGTGCAATCTTGGCTTGCTGTAACCTCTGCCTCCTAGGTTCAAGCAATTCTCCTGCCTCATCCTCCCGAGTAGCTGGGATTACGGGCACCTGCCACTATGCCAAGCTAATTTTTTGTATTTTTAGTAGAGAGGGGGTTTCACCATGTTGGCCAGGCTGGTCTCAAACTCCTGACCTCAAGTGATCTGCCCGCCTCGGCCTCCCAAAGTGCGGGGATTACAGGTGTGAGCCACTGCACCGGCCTGTATGTTGATTTTAAATGAAATGGTTTTTTTTTGTTGTTTGTTTGTTTGTTTTGAGACGGAGTCTCACTCTGTCACCCAGCCTGGAGTGCAGTGGCGCGATCTCGGCTCACTTCAAGCTCCGCCTGCCGGGTTCACACCATTCTCCTGCCTCAGCCTCCAGAGTAGCTGGGACTACAGGCGCCCGCCACCATGCCCGGCTAATTTTTTTTGTATTTTTAGTAGAGACGGGGTTTCACCATGTTAGCCAGGATGGTCTCGATCTCCTGACCTCGTGATCCGCCCGCCTCGGCCTCCCAGAGTGTTGGGATTACAGGTGTGAGCCACCGCGCCCGGCCATGAAATGGTTTTAAAGTTGTAGTGCATTTAATGGAGGGTTTTTTGGGAATATTTTTATTCTATGTAAGTGATTTCCTTATAGTAATATTTTTGTTAGAATTTTATTAGGAATAGCTGCTATGTTGACCTCTAATTCCTCATAATCTTTTACTGATATGTTTGTATTAATTTTCTCCTTTAATTGTTGAAGTACCGTCAGTCATGCATTGTATAATGATGCTTCAGTCAATGACAGACCACATATACAGTAGTGGTCCCATTAGATTAGAATACCTTATTTTTACTGTACCTTTTCTATGTTTAGATACACACATACTTACTATTGTGTTACTATTGCCTACAGTATTCAGTGCGGTAACATGCTGTACAGGTTTGTGGCCTAGGAGCAATAGGCTATACCATATAGCCTAAATGTGGAGCAGGCTATAAAAGCTAGGTCTGTGTAAATATACCTAGTGATGTTTGAACAAGGAAGGACAAAATTGCCTAATAACACATTTCTCAGAACATATCTCCATAGTTAAGTGATACATGAATGTAATGATATGTTAATTTCCTGCTATGAAAATACTTTGCATTCCTGGAATAAGCCCTACCTGGTTTATTGATAAGGTGCTTGATTCTGTTCTATTTAGAATTCCAGTATCTTTATTTATAAATGAAATAGTTTTTCACAAAGGAGATTTTGGTAAGTTTCAGTGGCAAAATGAGAGATTCTATTGTCTGACAGGTAACTAGAATAGTATCACCACCATCTAATCAGAAAAGCATATATAAGTGTAGGGAGGATATCAAGATCGCAGTTGCAGATGGAAGTTTTCCAAAATTCTAAAACTTTCACTTAAGAGCTTCAAGTGAAGGTCTCAAAGCAGCAACCAGTTGTTTTCCTTGAGGTGATAAGCATCCTTCATTCAAGGAAACATCTGCCAGTTACCCAAGACTCAATGATCATAGTTCGTCTGTCACTTGCTCTTTCAGATAACAATGGCGTTCCATGAAAAAGTGGCTAGTGCAGCTCACAACTCAACCACACAAGTACTTTTCCTTGAGATTATCTTCATAGCACAGTGTGCAGCAAAAATACTTTATACATACTTTCCAGTCAGCAACACAGAACACTAAGCAGACGTGGGCTGGGCACAGTGGCTCATGCCTATAATCCCAACATTTTGGGAGGCCATGGTGGGAGGATCACCTTGGCCTCTCAAATTCCTAAGAGTCCAGGAATTTGAGACCAGCCTGGGCAACATGGCAAGACCCTGTTTCTACAAAATATTCTTAAAAAGCTTCTGGGCATGGTGGCATGCCTATAGTCCTAGCTACTCAGAAGCCTGTGGTAGGATGACCTTTTGAGCCCAGGAGTTTGAGGCTGCAGTGAGCCGTCATTGTGCCAATGTACTCCAGCCTGGATGACAGTGAGACCTTACCTCTAAAAAAACAAAAAAAGACATATACTCAAGGGTCAAGACTTAATAAAATTAACAATTTTTACTGCTTTGTTAAGTGAAACTGGATTTTTTTAAAAACTGGGGGTGTGCAGCAGTGAAAGATACAGTGATCACTCATGTAGTGTGCTGCTGTTGCCTGTATTAGCAGGAAGGCACCAGCAGTTTTACCCATCATTGCTTTTGCACCATTCGGATAAATGTCATCACAGTGAAAAAGCAAATAACACCTTAGTATTATTATGAACACAGTTTTGACCTTGCTGATCTTTCATATGGGTCTCAAGGGACCCCAGGGTTCTGTGGGCTATACCTCAGGAACCACTGCTCTGGACAGACGAGGCTTCTTTCTTGTTCCTTGAAAGGGCCAAGCTCCAGGAGTTAGAACCATCCTGGTCAACATGGTGAAACCCCGTCTCTACTAATAATACAAAAATTAGCTGGTCATGGTGGCAGACATCTATAATCCCAGCTACTCAGGAGGCTGAGGTGGGAGAATCACTTGAACCCAGGAGGTAGAGGTTGCAGTGAGCTGAGATCACACCACTGCACTCCAGCCTGGGCAACAGAGCAAGATTCTGTCAAAAAAAAAAAAAGGCGGGGGGGTCAATCTCTTTCCCAACTCAGGGACTTTGCACATGCTGGTCCCTTGGACTGGAATGCTGATCTCACAACACTTTGCCTCGTCCATTTTTCTCCTCATCTTTGAGGTTGCAATGTAAATGTCCCTTTCGCAGGGTCCATTGCCCAAACTAGGCTCAGCTGCTCTGCTCTGTGCTCTCGGGAAACCTTGACATTTCTATCACAGCTCTTATTACAATTGTAATTAACATTTACCTGCATGTTTATCCATGAATGTCTGCTCCCTCAAGAGTGTAAACTTCTGGCTCTGCCTACCTCTTCTGCCTTGGTATCTTCTGCACCTTGCACCTTACTTACTTATTGCATTCAATCAATATTATTGAACAAATTAAGGAGTGAATGATCTGTTTCACTTATGGTTGGTTAGCTCAGTTGGTTAGCTTGCAGGGCAGAGGCTAAGGTCATGGGCTGGCCCAATTTTACGCTTTTCTCCTTTTACAGCTCCCGTCACTAGCTTTTTCTCCTCAAGCCTGCACTGCACACCAACTGGGACGGAGGGTGCAGATGAATAAAGGCAAATCCATCACCAAAAGTAAGAAAACCCTTCCACACTTCCTCCCTCATAATTTGTTGTAGATTTGTTGCCATCTGCAAAGCCAGAAAGACAACTCCAGCACTTCCTGATCATCTTGAGACCCACTTAAACTCCCTGAGACTGTAAAAATCTCTCCTATTTATTCATTTACTAAAAGTCCCCTGGTCCCCCAGCAAATACACATGCCTTGCAGAACCTAGAAGAGTAATCGGAAACTCTCCAGCAGTTATGAGCCATAGTTTAAAAACCTCTGAACTAACAAAATTATCATTCTGTCCCAGATTTAAACCAAATTGTGGTGATTATAGCATAGACTCTGCAGTTCTGGTTGAGAGGCCAATTTAATTAGAAGCCTCTATCTTCAGGCTCTTATAACTCCACCCCATACCCCTTCCCCAAAAATAATTCTTTAGGATGAAATTTCTAATGCTGTCTCTCAGCCTAAAGGTATATTTTTTTTGTAGAAAGTTGAGTAAGGTTTAATTTAGGCTATTTTTAAAACACAAGAAAAAGGGCAAAAAAAGGGGGATTTCACCACTTAAGAAATCACTCAGACACTTTTTTTTTTTTACTATTTTATTTCCCAAATGCAAACTGCTTCCTTTAGAACTTTCAAGTTGACCTTCTTAGTGCCTTTGGCATGTTTGAAGAAATTTGGTTGAGCTGTAATGAAGTTGTTCACAAAATGTGAATTGCCCGTAAGAAGATTTATTTCCACTTTTTAAAAGAAACTTGCATGGAAATGGTACATGGGAATTATGATAAAAATCAGATCTATGAAAAAAGGTCTGTGTGTGTGTGTGTGCATGTGTGTGTGTGTATTATAGATGCATTAATATCTTACCAATGAAAATGTCATTGGTCAACCACATGGCCTGTTACCAAAAATGACCTTAGAAATATTTAGTCTAGGTCCTGTTTACAAGTGAGAAGATTGAGGTCCAAAGGCTTATATAAATGTTTTAGTCTGGATGAAAAATAAATGATTAACTCTGAAACATGTATCTTACATAGAGAACACAGACTCATAAAACAAAAGTAAATTATATGGCCACTTTACCATTTTGGAGGGAAAGGAGGGCCTCTAGCCCAGGGAAGGTTATAATTTTCACCACTCCTGGCAGATCACATGGTGGGAACTGGGGTGGGGGCCAAGGCAACCTCCCGGCAGCCTGCAGATCCCTGGGGGCTCTGGCTTGTCTTCTTCCAGTCAGGCATGGTAAAGCAGTTCCACCACCAAGTTCCTACAGCAAGAACCAGGTGGATTCTTCCTTTATGGATAACTAGGTACAGTCATGGCTTCTATTAAGAGTGGCCAGGAATTTCTTGACTAAGGTCACATATGTACTAATATCCCATTGCTTTCCTCAAATTGTATCACTAAAAACTAATGACATCATAGAATTCAAATGCAGCATCTAAGCCTAAATGAAAACAAATGCTAAATTGCATAGTGTTGTTTATTGTTGCTGTTTTAATTATTTGCTGCAAACAACTAATTTAAGGGAAGTCAGGTGGCCAAAGATACATAGCTTCATTACAACAGAGCATTTCCTTAGAGGACCCAGGTTCCAAAAAGAGAATTTTTCTGGAACCATGACCAATGCATTGGGATAATTAGTTGCACAATTGAACTATATTGTCATTTAAAATGATGTTTTAGTGTGTGTTGAGCCATATGACAATGCTGATGCTTGATATTTTTGACCCCACAATGAATGACAATTGTACATGGTTCAATCTAATATTTCAAATGCACCCTGGTAGCGAAACAGTAAATCTAGAAGCTTGGTGTGTTTTCACAACAGTTAGGCTTACTGGCATTAAGCTTTTGTTATAGGCACACACACACACACACACACACACACACACACACACACAAAACCCAGAAGATTGTCTCAAAGACTAGAATCAAATTGAGGAGAGTCAACAAAATCATAAGAAAAAAATCAAAAGCTGTAGAAGACAGTACATGGGAGCTACTTTCCAATTTCCAGTTTCCAGGTGCAAAGGAGGGGAGAGCCCAGGAACTCATTAGTACAAAGGAGAAGTGATTCTTAGCTCAGTCAGGGAGAGTTCAAGAAGGAGGTGGGGCATAAGTTAGGCCTTGAAATCTTCAAAAGATGTTTAGAAAGAGGGGGATGTAATTAAGAAAGAGGAACAAGCATCATTATTCCATACTTTTTATTTGATACCATTATTTGCTATTCATGCCCTTTGTTCAGCCGTAGTGGCTCCTTTCTGTTCTTGTAATCCACCAGGCAATTTCCCATTGCACAGCCTTTGCACTGGCTGATCCCTTTGCCTGAAATCTTCTTCCCCCTCATCTGCCCATGGATAGGTCTTGTTTCTTATTAAATATTACTTCCTGCTGGGCACAGGGACTCGTGTCTATATTCCCAGCACTTTGGAAGGCCAAAGAGGGAGGATCATTTGAGGCTAGGAATTCAAAACCAGCCTAGGCAACATATAGAGACCCTGTCTCAACCAAACAACAAAAAAGTTAGCCAGGCATGGTGGCCCGTGCCTGTGGTCCCAGCCCCTCAGGAGCTGAGGTAGGAGGATTAATTGAGCCAGGAAGTGGAGGCTGTGGTGAGCCGTAATTGCACCACTGCACTCCACCCTGGGTGATGGAGCAAGACCTTGCCTCAAAAAAAAAAAAAAAAAAAAAAATCACCTCCTCAGGGAAGCCTTCCCTCACTCCCAGATCTAAAGTAGCCATCCCTCTGCCCAAGCTGTCTCTATCATTTTGTTGTTTTCTTCATTGAACTTACCAATAGATAAAGTTATCTTATTTATTTATTTCTTGGTTTTTGGTCTGCTTCCCTCAAGCCCTGTGGTAGGAGGTTAGCTTCATGAGAATAAGGACTTTTCTGGAACAGTGCTGGCATAGGCTTAAGCTGTTTGGATGCTCTTGATTGCAAGCAACAGAAAGTCCTAATCGAGTTGGCTCCAACAATAAAAGGTTTTTTTTTTTGTTTTTTTTTTTGGCTCATGAAACTGTAAAGTTCAGTGTCCCATTAAGGAAGGATCCAGTGTCTTTCCATGTCTTCACTGTGCTTTCACGGTGTTAGCTACAGCCTAAACCTCATGGTGGCAAAATGACCAGAGCAGTTCCAGGCTTCACATCCATATGTACATCATCCAGGACAGAGCATCTTTGTTCTAGGATTCAGAAGTCCCAAATACACTCTGATTGACCTGATTTGGGCCACTCTGCATGCTCTCTCCAAGGCAACAGTTGTAGCCAAGGAAGGGGAATATATGGTCTGGCCAGGGTGGACTATGTGGAAGAGATATGGAAATGAGAAGGAAATGCTGGATCCTGTTAGGAAGGGGGACCAGAGAGGCAAAAGACACCTACTGCATCATCACTAAAACTTAAATGCATGAAGATGCCTGGGATCTTATTTATGAATGGGGCTTCTTGTAGCATGAAGGAACAATGTTATAGGACATTACAACAGAATACCCAATGTATTAGTCAATTCTTACACTGCTATAAAGAACTGCCAAAGACTGAATAATTTATAAAGGAAAGAAGTTTAATTGACTCACAGTTCTGCAGGGCTGGGGAAGCCTCAGGAAACTTACAATCATGGTGGAAGGGGAAACAAACATGTCCTTCTCCACATGGTGGCAGGAAGGAGAAGTGCTGAGCAAAAGGGGAAAAGCACCTTATAAAACCATCAGATCTCATGAGAACTAACTATCATGAGAACAGCATGGAGGTAACCACCCCTATGATTCATTTATCTCCCACTGGGTCCCTCCCATGACACATGGGGATTATGGGAACTACAATTCAAGATGAGACATGGCGTGGGGACACAGTCAAACCATATCGTTCCTCCCCCGCCCCTGCCAAATCTCATGTCCTTACATTTCAAAACACAATCGTGCCTTTCCAACAGTCCTCCAAAGTCTTAATTCATTCCAGCATTAACCCAAAGTCCAAGTCCAAGGTCTCATCTGAGACAAGGCAAGTCCCTTTTGCCTATGAACCTGCAAAATCAAAAGTAACTTAGTTTCTTCCCAGATACAATGAGGGTACAGGCATTGGGAAAAACCTGTTCAAATTGGGAGAAATTGGTCAAAACAAAGAACTACAGGTCCCACACAAGTCTGAAATTCAACAGGGCAGTCACCAAACCTTACATTTCCAAAATGATCTCCTTTGATTCCATGTCTCATATCCAGGTCATGCTGATGCAAGAGGTGGACTCCCATGGCCTTGGGCAGCTCTACCCCTATGGCTTTGCAGGGTACATCCTCCCTTCCAGCTGTTTTCATGGGCTAGCATTGAATGTCTGTGGCTTTTCCAGGTGCATGGTGCAAGCTGTCAGTAGATCTGCCATTCTGAGGTCTGAAGGATGGTGGTCCTCTTCTCACAGTTCCACTAGCCAGTGCCCCAGTGGGCACTCCTCGTAGGGGCTCGACCCCACATCTCCCTCCCACACTGCCCTAGTGGAAATTCTCCATGAAGGCTCCGCCACTGCAGCAAACTTCTGCCTGGACATCCAGGCATTTCCGTATGTCCTCTGAAATCTAGGTGGAGGTTCCCAGACCTCAGTTCTTGACTTCTGTGTACCCACAGGCTTAACACCACATGGAAGCCACCAAGGCTTGGGACTTGCACCCTCTGAAGCCTGAGTTTTGCCTTGGCTCCTTTTAGCCATGGCTGGAGCTGAAGCAGCTGGGATGCAGGTCACCATGTCCTGAGGCTGCACAGAGCAAGGGGTCCCTGGGTCTTGCCCACCAAACCATTTTTCCCTCTTAGGCCTCTGGGCCTGTGATGGGAATGGCTGCCATGAAGTTCTCTGATATGCCCTGGGGACATTTTCCCCATTGTCTTGGTGATTAACATTTGGCTCCTCATTACTTATGCAAATTTCTGCAGCTGGCTTGAATTTCTCCCCAGAAAATGGGGTTTTCTTTTCTATTGCATCATTAGGCTGCAAATTTTCCAAACTTTTATGCTGTGCTTCCTCTTGAAAGCTTTGACTCTTAGAAATTTCTTCCACCAGATACCCTAAATCATCTCTCTTAAGTTCAAAGTTCAACAAATCTCTAGGGCAGAGGCAAAATGCCGCCAGTCTCTTTGCTAAAGCATAGCAAGAATCATCTTTGTTTCAGTTCCCAACAAGTTCCTCATCTCCATTTGAGACCACCTCACCCTGGACTTCATCGTCCATGTCACTATCAGCATTTTGGTCAAAGCCATTCACCATGTCTCTAGGAAATTCCAAACTTTCCCACATCTTCCTGTCTCCTGAGCCCTCCAAGTCTCTAGGAAGCTCCAAAATTTCCCACATTTTCCTGTTGTCTTCTTCTGAGCCCTCCAAACTCTTCCAGCCTCTGCCTGTTACCTAGTTGCAAAGTCACTTTCATATTTCAGGTATCCTTATAGCAGCACCCCACTCTACTGGTACCAATTTACTCTATTAGTCTGTTCTTATGCTGCTATAAAGAATTGTCTAAGACTGGGTAATTTATAAAGGAAAGAGGTTTAATTGACTCACAGTTCTGCAGGGCTGGGGAGGCCTCAGGAAACTTACAATTATGGTGGAAAGGGAAGCAAACATGTCCTTCTTCACATGGTGGCAGAAAGGAGAAGTGTCAAGCAAAGGGGGAAACTCCCTTATAAAACCATCAGATGTCATGAGAACTCACTTTCATGAGAACAGCAGCATGGGGGTAACTGCCCCCATGATTCAATTACATCCTACTGAGTCCCTCCCATGACACGTGTGTATCGTGGGTACTACAATTCAAGATGAGATTTGGGTGGGGACACAGTCAAAGCATATCAGCCAAAATGGGGATACCTCTTAAGGAAAGAGGAATTTATTCATTATTTGATAGACATTAGGAAGCCATGGAAGATTCTGAGTGATGGCATAATAGAATGAAAGAAGCATTGAGGAACATCAGTTGGCAGCAGTTTGCAGACTTAGTGAGAAGAAATGTTAAGGGCGGGTAGTGGGTAGGAGGGATAGTCAGGGAGAGGGAAGAGACCTGGAGCCAGGAGAGGCAATGAAGAGATTGTCTGCACGTGAGGTGAAGGCCGAGACCAGACATTAAAAATGAAAACAATGTAAGAGACAGAAAAGATGTTCAACACATATTAACCAGATTTGATGGCTGATTGCATATAGATGATGAATAAGAGGACTAAATAAAAGATGACTGACCATTTTCCTAGAATAAAATCATTCCCTGGTTGGCCTGAAGAATGCTGTATGCCTCTTCAACTGTGTCTTGCCCCTTTATGGCTTGTTCACTACCCCCACGTCACGCTGGTCCTCTCAACACTCAGTCTCCTCTGACGCACCCTCTGCAGCCCCAGAGCCTCTGTATGCACTTCCGCCACCCCCTCTCTACCCTCTCCACCCCTACCCATCTGGTAGGCTCCTGCTTCAGATCTCAACTTAAATGTCATCTTCCCAGAGACCTCTGCCACCCAAACTAGGCTCTTTTCTTTATCTCATATGCATATTCACGTTATTTTTGATTAAGAATCTTTCCTTTCTTTATGGAATTCATCAGTGTTTATATTGGCATATGTATTTGTTGACCCTTTCACTGTCTCCCTCACTAGAGTTTAGCTCTATGGTAGGAAACAGAGACAATGGCTGGCAAGGACTCCAGGGTTGGGTGTAGGTGACATTCAGTGTGCTACCCACCAGCAGGCATGGACGCTGGGAAAGAGATGGTTTATGGGGAGGAGAAATGACTTTGATGTGGAGCAAGTTGAGTCTGTGGTAGATATCCAAATGGAGATACAAAATAAGAAGTAGCAGAACCTCAGAATGTAGAGCTTGAAGAAAACTTAGTCCAGTGTTTTCTCAAAATGAGGTACCTCTTTACCAACCCATGCCTTTGCACCTCCTCTTCTGCTCCTCTCGTGAGTTCTTACAACTTGGTTCTTCTTAGCCCTCCTCACCCTCTTTTTTTTTCTTACTTCTGTGATCTTTAGTAGAGAATTTAGACAGTTTGCAAGCCATAGTTGTATTGGATTGAGAAATGCCCTTAATAAGTCCCTCTGTTTTGCAAATAAGAAAAATATGTCCCAGAGATGTTAAATGACTTAAAGCCACACAGCTAATCAGAGAGAAAACCTGGACTAGAATCCATCTTTGTAAAATTCCAGTTCAGCGCCCTTTCATTAGCCCATATTCACTGCAGAAGTGGAGGTCAAGCCTTGGGGGTGAATTGTCAGAAATCCATGAACTTCTTGGCTCTTTTCTGGAACCAATTTAACTCTCCTGCAGAGGCCACAGAAAGCACGTGAGGACCATCAAATGCATATTTTGTACCTATTTAACAAAACAAAAAATGTGTTTTCTGGAATGCATGATGACACTGTGAAAGAAGGGTTTGGGTCTTCCAGTGCCTTTTAACAAGATAAATTGTATTTTCAAACCAACTCCGTATTAACCAATACTATTTAAAGAATACCATTAGCAAAGACCAAGAGCCAACAGGTTGGCGTTCACCGCGGCTCTGCCCTGCCCCCTTGTGCAAGTTTCCTATTAGTGCATTTCCTTAGGACGGCTCGGGGTGGGGCGAAGATGAGCTGCTTCTTTCCTCTGCCTTCCCCTCCCTCCTCTCCCCCAGTGTCGCCCCTGCTTGTCTCGTTTTTCCACGTATAGTCCAGATTGCAGACTCAGCTCTTGGACGGCTAAGACGAATTCCGCCGCCTCAATTTTTAATCATTCATTGAGCAGGTATTTATGGAACAACTAGGAAGTGCCGAGCTTCCCGTATAGCAGGAAACGTGCACCATCAGGTAGTCTATGGACAGTGTCTATGGACGCTGGAGTGTGTATTTTGTGACATGGGAAGCACAAGAGGTTAGGGGAGCAATAATCAGAGGACCCGACCACATTCATCCAAACGAGTAAGTAGCACCCTTATATTTAAAAAGAAAAGTAAAAAGATAAACATGTACCCTAAATCCCCCCAAAGAAATAAATTCTTCAGCATAGCTTTGTAAAGAATTCTTTTCGGCCGTGCACGGTGGCTCACGCCTGTAATCCCGGCACTTTGGGAGGCGGAGGCGGGTGGATCACGAGGTCAGGAGATCAAGACCATCCTGGCTAACACGGTGAAACCCCGTCTCTATTAAAAATACAAAAAAATTAGCCGGGCGTGGTGGCGGGCGCCTGTAGTCCCAGCTACTCGGGAGGCTGAGGCAGGAGAATGGCGTGAACCCGGGAGGCGGAGTTTGCAGTGAGCCGAGATCGCGCCACGGCACTCCAGCCTGGGCGACAGAGGGAGACTCTGTCTCAAAAAAAAAAAAAAAAAGCTTTTCAAGTGTTTCAGGATGACTGCTATGCAGTGAATAAAGCTACACCACCACCCTTACCTTTTATTTTTAAATTGCTATCAAATTTGCAATTTTAGGCCAGGCTCAGTGCCTCACACCTGTAATCCCAGCACTTTGGGAGGCCGGGGCCGGCAGATCCCTTGAGCCCAGGAGTTTGAGACCAGCCTGGGCAACATGGCGAAACCCTGTCTCTACAAAAAATACAAAAATTAGGCAGGCGTGGTGCTGCATGCCTTAGTCCCAGCTACTCAGGAGACTGACGTGGGAGGAGAGCTTGAGCCCCGGAGGTGGAGGATGCAGTGAGCCGTGATTGCACCACCACACTCCAGCCTGGGCAACAGAACAAGACCCTGTCTCAAAAAAAAAAAAAAAAAAAAAATGCAATTTTGATTGCTGTCATAAAAGTGTCAGACTAACTTGTTATAGTTTTTTTTTTTTTTTTTTTTTTTTTTTTTTTTTTTTTAAGATTTACCTTCAGCAAATGCAAACTCACACGTGAATTTGAATTTCATAAGGACAGCTCCCTGGAGAACAGTGAAGACAATCTGTCATGCTCAATAAATACTTGTCACCTTCTACCAGGGCCTTTTAGCCACAATAAGGAATTCAGTCATCAGTCCCCGCATTCCACAGAATCTTAGTGTCTACATTGTGCCAGACATTGTGTTAAGGTCTGATTATGAGACAGAAAAAATACCATAAAACAAACAAAAACCCCTCATCTCTGCCCTCGAGGAGTTCAGAGACCTGTGAGGAGAGACCCAAGCAAATAGCAACTACCATTATGCAGGGTCTCCTTGTGAAGAATATTGTATGACTAGGTAAGTGCATACAATATACTATTGAGGAAAGAATGCAAGATAAGTTAGGATGATTTTGGCTGAAAGTAACAGGAAACACAGTTGAAAGTGATTTAAATGAGAAGGCCACTTGTCATCTCACATAATAGGAAGCCCAAGAACGGCATTTTGGAGCTGATGCATTTGGTGGCTTCTCAAGAATAAGTGAGCTCTTCATCTCTCCACTCTGCAGTGGCTCCCCTTGTAGTCCAAGGATGCAGACAGGGCCATGTCCAGTGAAGAAGAGGCATCTTTCCCGTGCTTCTATTTTACAAGCCCGCACTGCCGGCAGATGTCTCCTCAGGTCCCATTGCCCAGGCTTGATTCCAGTGCCCAGGCCTTAAGCAATCATTGGCCTAGAAAAATGAGACCTGAATAGCTGTCGACAGCCAGCATCCCCCAAACACGTGGCTATGGAAGCCTACACAAAACCACATGCTGATAGCAATGAAAATAAAGAGAAATGGCTATTCTGAGACAACCCACAGTGTCACCTACAATACGTCTATATCACCTGCACAAACAAACAAATTACATACACCAAAATGTTATTAGTGGTCTCATTGGGAAGTAATAGTATGGAAATTTTTCCTTTTCTTCTTTTTACTTTTCTATTGCCAAAAGTGAACATACATTCTTTTTACAACCAGAAGTGAAATCTGTTTACAAAGTCAAGTAAGGAAATAAGCAATACTTTGAGATCATCATTTAAGACACACTGTAGCAGGAAGTATGGAGTGGGTATACCAGTGGCATCTACTATAGCTCCTGTATAGAAGAAACTTGATATCTACTTAGCTAAGCAAGACACACTAAAGTTTTTAAGCAACAAAGGCATCTATACACAACATATATCTAAGCTAAACTTTTTTTTCTAGTACTCAAAATTAGACACTTAGGATAGTACCAATCATGCTAATTCTGCCAAATAGACAATAATTATCCAAGACTCCAGAGAAGGCCGAAGACTCCAGGGAAGGCAGAGCCTCACTCTATAGGCAAAGAGAAATGGACATTGGCTTTCCCTGGAGGACTGTAAAATGCCAACTACTTATTCTTACAGAAACACTGGGACAGATGATTTCTGCAGTTTGTGAAAGGAAACATCCAACCATAAATGCAGTTCATCTACGCATAGTTTTCCAAATATCGGTAGAAACACAGCTACTTTAATTCTAGATAATAACAACCCTGATTTGGAAAATAGTTGAAAATAGTTGGAAAACAGTTGAATTTTTCAAGTATCAGTAGAAATGCAACTACTTTAATTCTAAATAATAACAACCCTGATTTGGAAAATGGTTGAAACTAATTGGATTTGCAGCACATCGAGTCGTGTACAGAACTGTAAATTAAATTGGCCCACAGAGTCAATCTTGAAACAGTCTTGCCTTAAGGTCCTTCCTCGTTCACCTTTATCCTTATCACAGGATCTGGGTGTCTGAGAAAGATGAAGAGAGAGGCATCGTTTATTCTGAGAATGTGTTTTCTTGAGTCCTTGATTTGCGGTTCTCTGAGGACAGAGTAGGTAGGTGGTAGGTGGAATGCACCTAGTTCCTGAAGCAAAGGCTCTAGTCCACTTGGCAGGGTTCTCTGAAACCATAATTTATCCTACAGGAGTACTGACAACACTAAATATGCTGATTCATCTCCTAATCCATTCAATTAACTTCTTGGAGGTAAATTTTCTTTTGAACCCTCACACTTGAACAACACTTGACAATTTCTAAGGGCATTCCCACTGAGTCTGCATAACCACTTGTAAGATAATTGTCTTGCCTATTTAGCAGATGAGAAAAATAAGATTTAGAAAGATAAAAAGACTTGCTTAAGGTCACATGGCTTTGAGTGCCAGAGTCTTTTTTGTTTTTTTTTAAACCTAGGTCTTCTTATTTACCCAAGTTCAGCATTTTTTCCTCATTAACACTGCCTTCGTAACTGGGCATAGGCGGAACCAGTCAACAAAGAACTAATTATTTGTGCTGTGATGTACTGTTATAGCTTCAAAGTTCACATGGACTTTCTGTCTTCCTTTTTTTTTTTTCCTTCTTTTTGTTTCCCTCTCCCTCCCTTACCTTGCCTGCCCTCCTTCCCTCCCTCCCTCCCTCCCTCCCTCCCTCCCTTCCTTCCTTCCTTCCTTCTTCCTCTGATTGCTTAATGCCAAGCTCACAGCTGTGGTTTTGGGGATAAAAACAAATACATTTAACTAAGTTATCTCTTCTACCCACACTCTTTTATTTCTCTATCCAACTTTTGGTTCAATTATAACCAACATATGGGAGATTTGGACACCGCATTATACATGCCAAAACCATTCTCTACCACATAGGAGGCTGTGGCATAATTTGAAAAATTACATGCATTAAAACAATATTGTTGGCTACTTAAAATACATGTCATCATTTATAAAACATTATTCCCTCTAGCTTCTCATATTTTCAGCTCAATAATAGTACCCAATTGATGGAAAGACTCTTGTTTATCCTGATTTTCCCATATCATATTTCAAAAGCCAAATTGTTAGTCATCCTGTCTATTAAGAGCCTTTGCTCCTCAAACACGGCATGGGAGAGAGATATGTTGAGGAGCGTCAGCTATGATACACATCTTTGTACGGCAGTTGACAGCATACATTCCTCTTGGCTGACATAACTAGCTCTGTGGATTACTGTAATGCCTGTTCCTTGACCCTGAATGTAATAGTATTCAAGACATACTCTGTTTTTTGAGCAGTGTTTTTGAATGGACTTAGCCTGGAGAAATGACCTGGAAAGGTTATTTTGGGATGGCCAATTTGTTTAAAATGCATGAGTCCACTACTCACAGGTTCATAGGTGTTAAGTGAGCAGAGCAAGACATACCCAGCAATTCCCACCCCTTTCTCTTCCTTACTCCACCAAATCAAGGTCAGGCAGAGTACACTTAACAGTCTGGGCAAAGTTCTGTGTTTATTTGGTCAATAATAATAATGGCAAGGTTTGCTTGTTTTCCACATTACTGAAATACAAAACAATTGAATTTATATGTAAAACTATTGATGGAGATTGAGCATCTTGTTCTCTTTGAAATAGCCTCCCAAAAGGCAAGGTCTCTGTCCATCACCAGGAGAGTGGATTAGCAAAGTAAGTCTAGATTGCATTACAAGTAATGGATTAGGCTGGATGCCATGGCTCATGCTTGTAATCCCAGCACTCTGGAGGCCAAGGCAGGAGGATCACTTGAGCCCCGGAATTTGAGACCAGCCTGAGTAACCAGACCTGGTCTCTACAAATTTTTTTTTTTTTAATTAGCCAGGCATAGTGGCACATGTCTGTAGTCCCAGCCACTCAAGAGGCTGAAGCCCAAGGATCACTTGAGCCCAGGAGTTGGAGGTTACAGTGACCTATGATTGTGCCACTGCACTCCAGCCTGGGTGACAGAGTGAGACTCTGTCTCTTTATGTATATATGAGTGTGTGTGTGTATGTATGTATGTATACATATATGTGTGTGTGTATATATATATATATATGTATGTAAGGGATTAGCTGTAAACATGTGTCTTAGATGGGCCTCGAGGGAGTTGTACAGAGTAAAAAAGAAATAGGCATATAAAACAACAATCCACATCTGGTAGGAACATATAAAACAAGGGAATAAACCTTAAAAACCATGAGGAAGGCCACCTGTGGTTGGTAAATTTAGGGGAGAGGATGGGGATTAAAGCATTTGATCAATCTATCAATCAATCAATCACAGACCCATGATGATGAGCCATGTACTGTAGAGTATGGTTAATTCCAACTCATCACCTGAGGTCCAACAATAAAAAGAGAAGAAAAAAAAAAAAAAAGAAACACTTAAAAAAAATTATTGTCTGCCATGACAATTAAAAGCACTAGTGGGCCTGGTGCAGTGGCTCACGCCTGTAATCCCAGCACTTTGGGAGGGTGAGGCAGGCGGATCACCTGAGATCAGGAGTTCAAGACCAGCCTGGCCAACATGGTGAAACCCCATCTCTACTAAAAATACAAAAATTAGCAGGGCGTGGTGGCGGACACCTGTAATCCCAGCTACTTGGGAGGCTGAGGCAGGAGAATCACTTGAACCTAGGAGGCAGAGGTTGCAGTGAGCTGAGACAGTGCCATTGAACTCCAGCCTGGGCAACAACAGCAAAACTCTGTCTCAAAAAAAAAGCACTAGTGATCCCAATTCCTATAGCTAGTGCTGAGATGTTTCTTTACAGTCCACGTCCTTTCCTTGGAAATGCCTTTTGTCTCCAACCAATAAAAACATGCCCATTTGAAAATAGGTAGATAAGTGATCACATTCTAATCAGAACGGGGTAGAATGCTGTATCTCAAATTTCTCAGGGGACCAGTACTGTAAGGGGACAGGATACTGAGGCTGGAGGAGACCACCCAAAACAGATATTTCTTTGATATTTCCTGTTCCAGCTTTAAGACCCAAGTTGATTTTGCACTCTTCTCATAAGAGATCTTCATTTGCACATCAAAATGCTCAGTACTACTTGTTTCTTATATTATTTAAGTCTCCCATCCCCTTCTCTATCCACGGACTCCTCCCCTAAAACCCTGAGTAAATCTGACAGACTAGCAAAATATCCTCATTGATGCTGTTTTTCTCCAGTAGCTTTGACATAACCCACCCTTGCTCCATAAATGAGAGGAGTAGAAAAAGTTCTCACCTGACTCACAGGTTTGGTTCAGCCACTGAGCAGCTGGGAGCCACAGAACCAGTCATTCAGTCTGCTGAGCCTCAGGACTGGGCTGAGTTGGATGGGGTGGGAAGGGATGGGGGGCAGTTATTTACAAAGCTTTGTAGTCTATCAGGTTTCCATAAGCCCATAACGTTTCCCTGCCCAGGTGGGGAGGATGTTATGATTTGTTTCACTTCACATTCTGTCCTTCTACTGATTGCATGGAATTCATTTGGTCCATGTAACCAGATCAAGAGCCTTCCTAAGAAAGTGCTGAGTTCATTTTTATACAGGAACATAAATGAAGGCAAGCTGTTATTTGAAAATTTTAAAAAGCAAATCAATCAATGAGCAAATTGTTAGTGAAAGCTACTAAGTATTCTTACACTTGTGCCACACTTTCACGGTACATAACTGGTAAGAGAAAAGGTATCTCTGTACATATGTTTAAGGGAACAAGATAAGTGTAGGTCACCACGTTAACGAGTTCACATTCAATGAGATGCTGATAAACAACTAAGTTTCCTGGATAGGAGACTGATTCGCTAGAGGTGGTTTAAAAATACTACCCACTTAATTCCTTTAAGATAGATTCCAAATGCCAAACATTCCAAAGCCTTCCAAGATCAGGCCCCAAGTCTCCTTTCTTGCCTGCTACATCTTCACAAACCCACACAGATTTCCAGCTGGGTCCAAAGCATTCTGTCAACTCCTAGGGTTCCAAGTCTCTGCTCACTCTGTGTTGTGAGGCTGAACGATTCATCCCTCTCCTCTCTGCCCATCCCACATCTGCACCAGGCTCATCTCAAAAACTCCCCTGCCTCTCCCCACCCCTTTTTCCGTTGTGCTTTCAAACTACATTATTCAACCCATTCTTTTGCTTTGGAGCATAGTCATGGATTTTTTCTATTTGTCTTTCTATTAGAAGGTGAGCTTCTTGGAATTCGGGGCTGGGGTGATTCACATCATAGCTCCTCCCTCCAGTGCCTTTGCACAGAGAAGAAATCAGCAAACATGTGTTCATTTGTTCAACAAATATTAACTGAAGGCATACTGTGTGCTGGGCACTGATCTACGTGCTAGAATATAGCAGGAACAGTTTCTGTTCCCATGGAGTAGACACTAGACTAGGAGAAGAGGATAGATGATAAATAAACACATGTGTGTTAGATCAACGTATATGTGTAGATATTTTTCTGACTGACTGTCAGGTGGTAAGTGATAAGTGATATGAAGAAAATAAAAGAGGGCAAGTGAAAAGAATGTCACATGAGGAAGGGGTGGTGGGGCTGCAACGCTCTGTTAAGTAGGATGGGCAGGGAAGGCCTTGCTCAGAAAATGACCATTGAGTGTAGGCCTGAATGAAATGAGGGGGTGAGCCATGTAAATATCTGGGAGAAGAGCAATCCAGGCAGAGGGAACAATATGTGCAAAGGCCCCGATATAGGGACATGCTTGATGATTGATGAATAAATGTATGAAATTATGTTTTCAGCACATTCTGTCAGCAGTTTGGTCAAATGA
Source organism: Homo sapiens (assembly GCF_000001405.40). NCBI lineage: Eukaryota > Metazoa > Chordata > Mammalia > Primates > Hominidae > Homo > Homo sapiens. Next base: position 26,613,750 of record NC_000018.10, on the reverse strand, counting down.
AAGAGCCTCTTCTCTCTGTTCAAAGTAGGACAAAAATGCTTGCTTTGTAAATGATATACTAAAGCCATTAGTCTACAGCTTTACAATTTATAAAGCTTATACTTGGGAAATTTTGGACCAGAGTTTCTTGTGTATGTTTTAGCTTTCTGTGGACACTTTAGCAGTACAATAAAAAATGGAGTTAATTTGAATCTCCAGAATGAAACCAAAAAATGTGATTCTCTCCTTTTGCTTTCACACCCATGTCAAGGAAAGCCTGGGTACCAAATCATGTTACCTCCTTCCTTGAAAAGAACTGAGAGACAGACAAAAATGACAGATAGAAAATCCAGATGAGCAGTGACAGGCTGTTCATTTTACTTCACAGGCTGGGTGGTTTGGGCCCAAGAATTTCTCCCACAGCTCTGTGCTACCAGGTACATGATTGTTAATTTAAAAAGGAAATCGTCAGAGTGTCACTTCTTTGAAAACAAGACAGGAACTAAAATATTTTAGTTTCAGGCTATTTTTCACACACTAAAAGTATCAAGTGGAATAAGAAATTTCACATCCATTGATTTTTCATCACAAGTCAATCCTCAGTGTGCTGAGTCCGAAAAACCAAAAATACACTGTTTAGCTCAGATACGTATTGCACTCCTGTCATGCACAGGGGACTAGTTCAGGCATTGTGGTTGGCACAAAGGTCTCTGGTCTCAAAGTTTATAATCCCATTGGCAAACTGAAACATAGTCCCCAGAATATGAAACAGTGACACTGGACACTGTACAATTAAAAATCAAATGAGTGAGGACTTCTGCTTCCAGCCAACAAACAATAATAACAAGGACCACATTTACCCTTCCACCTAAAACAACAGAAACCAAACCAACACTGGTTTTTAAGACAATGGATGTCAAGCAACGAAAAAATGAGAGGTGGAAAACACATGTGCTGAGCCCTATGCTTGCTCCTGCTCACTGCCCGAAGAGTTTCCAGGATACAGCACAAGGAAGATGTGTTAAGTTTGCCAGAGCTGCTGTAACAAAGTACCACACACTGAATGGCTTAAATGTCAGAAATTTATTGACCACAGTTCTGCAGGCCAGAAGTCTGAAATCAAAATATCAGCAGCATTGGTTCCTTCCAAAGTCTGTGAGGGAGAGTCTGTTCCATGCCTCTTTCCTAGCTTCTGGGTGCCTCAGCATTCCTTGGCTTGTAGATGACCATCTTCTCCCTGTGTCCTCAAGTGGTCTCCCATCTGTACACGTCTCTGTCCAAGTTTCCTCTTCTTACAAAGACACCGGTCCTATTGGATTAGGACCCATTCTAATAAGCTAATTTTAGCTTGATTATCTCAATAAAGACCCTGTTTCCAAATCAGTTACATTCTGAGGTACTGGGGGTTAGGATTTCAACATGTTTTTGGGAAGGGGATCAATTCAACCCAAAATAGATAGGGACCCCAGAGAGAACCAAGGTGGACTCCCTGAGTTGAAGAGATAAAGCAAGATTCCAGGGACACCAAGGCTGCCAGAGTTTGCAAGTCAGAGTATCAGAGAGGAAACAGCTGCACAGAGAGAAGCCCTGGGGTCTGCATTGGGTCCCCTGCATTATTTAACAGAATTTGATCAGCACATGCATGTGAGGAAACTATCCAAGTCAGGGGAAAGATTATTCAACAGAATAAGAGGAAACCGTGCCCAGTGCTCACACAGGGCAAGGATAGTGCCTGTTCCTACCAGCCAGATTGGAAAAACTCATAATTTACAGGGCATTGGGTAGATGACTAAGGAAAGTCTTGCTTCAGTAGTGGTGGGTAATTAGCTAAGCACTACTCCAGAGCCACCTAACAAATCTTAAAAGCAAAACCCCAAAAGATCGAACTGTTTCCAAGTAACTTAACTCATCCCAGAACAAAGCTCAAAAATATTTATAGCAACATGTAAGTCTTCATCACCCAAAAAAGTAAAATTCACAATGTCTGGCATCCAATTAAAGATTACCAGGCATGCAAAAGAGCAGAAAAATATGACTTATGAGAATAGTCAATCAATGAAAACCAATCCAGAACTAACACAGATGTTAAATTAGCAGATAGGGCACTAAAACAGTTATTATGGCCAGGCATGGTGGCTCACCCTTGTAATCTCAACATTTTGGGAGGCCAAGGCAGGCGGATCACCTTAGGTCAGCAGTTTGAGACCAGCCTGGCCAACATGGTGAAACTCCGCCTCTACTAAAAATATAAAAATTAGCTGAGTGTGGTGGTGCACACCTGTAATTCCAGCTACTCAGGTGGTTGAGACAGGAGAATCACTTGAACCCGGGAGGTGGAGGTTGCAGTGAGCCAAGATCATTCCAGTGCACTCCAGCCTGGGAGACAGAGAGAGACTCCATCTCAAAACAAACAAACAAACAAACAAACAAACAAACAAAACCCAGTTACTATAATTGTATTCCATATGTCCAAAAAGTTAGGTGAGGCAAATCAAGCTTCTAGAGATGAAAATTCAATGTTTGAAGTGAAAAAAAATAGATGAAGATTAGACATTGCAGGTGAAAAGATTAATGATGTTGAAGACATAGCAACAGACACCATCCAAAATGAAAGAGAAAAATTAATTTTTTAAAAATGAGAAAAGCACCAGTGAGATGTGGGACAACCTCAAGCAGCTGAATACACCTGTAATTAGAGTTTCCAAAGGAGAGAGAGAGAGCCAGATAGAAAAATAATATTTGAAGAAATAATGACCAAAAACTTTCCAAACTTGACAAAAACCATAAACCCACAGATCCAAGATTAACAAACCCCAAAGACAAGAAGCATGAACAATGAACACCAAGACATGTCCTAGTCAAATTGCTCATACTCAGTTATACAAGGAAAATCTTAAAAGAGCCAGAGAAAAAAGACATATTAAGTACAGAAGAATAAAAATAAGGGTAACAGTGATATCTTGTCAGAGTCCAGAAGCAGACCCACAGGTGCATGCAGCTGGTTGTTGACAAAGGCCATTGAGTAGTAAAAAGATAGACTCCTTTCTTCCTTTCTTTCTTTCTCTTTCTTTCTTTCTCTTTCTCTCTTTTCTTTCTCTCTTTCTTTCTTGCTCCCTCCCTCCCTTCTCTCCCTCCCTCCTTCCTTCCTTCCTTCATTCCTTCCTTCCTTCCTTCCTTTCTTTCTCTCTCTCTCTCTTTCTTAGAGCCTCACTGTTTCCCAGGCTAGAGTGCATTGGCGCTGTCATAGCTCACTGTAACCTTAAATTTATGGGCTCAAACAATCCTCCTGCATCACCCTCCCAAGTAGCTAGGACTACAGGCATGTGCCATCACACCCAGCTAAATTTTTTATTTTTATTTTTGTAGAGATGGGGTCTCACACGGTTACCCAGGCTGGTCTTGAACTCCTGGGCTCAAGCAATCTACCTGCCTTGGCCTCCCAAAGTGTTGGGATTACAGGCATGAGCCACCATGCCTGGCCAAAGATAGTCTTTTCAACAAATGGGACTTAAAATTGTTTATTCATAAGGAAAAATTTAAACTTTGAGCTATACCTCACACTATATACAGAAAGTAACTCAACTGGAATCTGCTGACAAGGAAAAAAGAAAAAAAAAGTAACTCAAAGTGGACTTACAAGATAGATAGGGACAGACACCATAGATGTACCCACATCTTAGATTTATTCTCATAACATCATGAGATAATGCCTTATTCTCTTGGCTTCTCTAAATAAATTTTTGAATGAAGCATTTTTTTAATGACTTGTTAAATGTTCAGTATTTCAGTTAAGATATTCATGAAATGGGTATGTATAGTGCAAATATCCCCATTTTGCAGATCACAAACCAAAATCAGTAAGTTGACACACTTTATGTGTTTTATGGCAGAAATTTAGATCACTTTCGGCAAAAGCATTTTAGAAGTTTGTCACTGGAGCCGGTGGAATTTAAATGAATTATCCCAAATGAAATACAATTGACTTTATCCTTGTAAAAGTTATGTTCTAGGCTCTTTCTGGAATTTGAAGGCTGTAGTTTCAGTCACTGAGAAAACAGAAAATCCTACTGGTGGTTAGATGGGCAGACATGTTAACAGTCTTAGCATTGGAGTCAATCTGAACTACCCGCTTTTAGAGCTCAAAGGCAGGGTTTCCACATTCTGAGAAACAGTCTTCATGAGGGGGAAATCAGTTATTTAAAAAGTAAATTGTATCCAGGATTTTAAAGAACAAAGAACTTTACAGCAAGTCATCTCCATCCTTTGAGCTGTTATTGAGACACCACTTTTAGACATGGTGGTCCATCACCCGGTAATATGGTCCCATTAACCTCCCAGGGCTGAATTTGGTGCTTAAGCAAGAAATCTTTTGCTTCATTCCCAGCGTGGCAGTGGACAGTGAGGCAGGAGCCGAATTCATTTTAATATCACAGCCCATTAGGGAGAATTAGGCCATGATGCATTTATGCCAGGCACTTGAGATGTTTACTATTTTCATTAAAATTTTTTCTTCTTAAATATTTAATGCTAAGGGATTTTCATATAAATGTATCATATAAAGTGCAGTGGCTGACATGGCAGGACTTGTTCATTGCATTATATTAGATGTTGGTACTACTTTAACATTTTATCCTATCAATCCAGAGAGTTTTATCCTATAAATCCAGAGATTTATCCTATAAATCCAGGACACAAGAGTTACAACCCCAGTTTTGACATCGTCCTCTGCAGCCTTGGGCAAGTGCCTCTAATCTCTTGTCTTTGTTTCAATATCTATAAAACAAGCATCATAATTTACTGAGCCCCACCAGAATGCGATGAACTATAACTAATTAGTATTTACAGTCTGATCTGATGAAAGGCATTAAATGTTATTGTTGTTGTATTATTTCATAAATGATTGCTAAGTTTGACATCAGAAGCAATTGGCTTGTTCCAGAAGAGCTTTCTGATGAAATCAGAACTTGCAGAAAAGACGCAGCTCACTTCTTGCCGATGGATTTCCTTCTTCAAAATAATCAAATATACTGTGTTCAATATAAAGTGGGTAAAGCATCACTGTGCACAATAAGACTTAGGAGGTGATTAATTATACATTCAGAAATTTGGGGACTGACACATAAAATACAACAAAGAATAATGAGGGGGCAGCGGGCTGGGGGGTGACAGTGCAGAGGGTGGGAGCAGCCCACCGACCCTGCCCCATATGGACTGCTGTGCTCCCCCAGGCTCCTTCTGGGAATGCTACAGTGAGCAGAAGGATGGCTTTCGTGCCTTTCTTCAGGTTCTTTCTGTCACAAACATCATTTTGCACTAAGAACTGATGCTTGAGCCATGTCCAACTGGCACATAACAAATGAAGCTCTAGGTGAATCGGTTGAACTAAAGAACTGAAAAACCACAGATCACAAGATCCTACCTAGTTGCCAATTAGCCTGTGGTTAGAACAATTTTCTCAGCCATCTCCACTCTCACTTGGAAATAGAAAATTAGTGAAGCAGGTAAGACAAGAGATCAAACAGTGTAAGGAAACTGACAATAGTAACATTAAAAGTAAGCAATGCATTCAAAGGATTATTTTAAACATTAAAAATTTAAAATTTAAAAAGCTAACAGGTAAACTTTTAAAATTTATTTACAAGAGTAGTGGTGAATGTAGTTGAAAACTAAATCAAACAATTGAGAAACTTTAAGAATTTGAGACCAGGTGCAGTGGCTCACACCTGTAATCCCAGCACTTTGGGAGGCTGAGGTGGGAAGATTGCTTGAGGTCAGGAGTTTGAAACCAGTCTGGGCAACATAGTGAGACCCCAACTCTACAAACAAATTTTTAAAAATTAGCCAGGTATGGTGGTGCACACCTGTAGTCCCAGCTACTTGGGAGGCTAAGGCAGGGGGATCACTTGAGTCTGGGAGTTTGAGGCTGCAGTGAACCAAGATCACACCACTGCACTCCAGCCTGGATGACAGAGTAAGACCCTGTCTCAAAAAGTAAATGAATTTAAAAAATAAAAGAATTCAAAAACTTCAAGGAGTAACATGACTGTTCAATACGGGAAATTACCAATCAATGAAAATATGACACTGCATGGGCTTAAAAGCCACACATGAGAAGGAAAAAGAGGTATAAACACATCCTCCAATATGTGATCAGTGACTGAAATTTGGGTGAGTGGTGACATATTATGGAAGGAAAGACCTAGGCATTATAAGAAACTATATTTATTGTTTGGAAGAAAGAGAATAAAAGAGAAAGAATTACATATGCTTAACATCCTAGAATTTATGTTTTCATTTGTGCAAAAGATATTTTTGGTGCACATCATAGGATAGGTTGTCCTTGCCCTCAGCTAGCTCAGCCAAAAGGAGAAATGGCTGTGTGAACAAGTATCTATATGTTACATGCTATAATAGAGGTGTGAGGTTTGTCAAAAAAGTTTCTAGCCAGGCACGTGGCTCATGCCTGTAATCCCAATTACTCAGGAGGCTGAGGCAGGAGTATCACTTGAGGCCAAAGTTACCAGCCTTGGCAACACAGCAAGATCCCATCTCTAAAAAAATTATTTTAAATTAGCTTGGCTTGGTGGCTTGCACCTATCGTCTCAGCTACTGAGGAGGCTGAAGTCAGAGGATTGCTTGAGCCCAGGAGTCAGAGGTGACAGTGAGCTATGATTGTGCCACTGCACTCTAGCCTGGGCAACAGAGCAAGACCCTGTCTCATAAAAAAATAAAAAAGAAAGAAAGCAGCTAGATCTGCCCAGGTAGGGACAAGAAACTTTTCCAGTTAAGATTATATTTGATCTGGGTCTTGATAGAAAGATAAGTTTAGGAGTTTACTAAGCTGAAAAAAAGAAATAGGCATTTTAAGGTGAAGGAATAGCACATGCAAAAGCACTGTGTCCTTGATCTAATTCCATAGTGAATACTGTCTCCCACAGCTTAGTGGCTTAAAGCAGCAACCAGTCTTTATGTTACACGAGTCTATGTGTCACCTAAGCCATTATGCTGACCTGAGTCTGACTTGGCTGATCTTGAATGGTCTGGCTTACAGAGCTGAGGTCGGCCAGCAGGTCAGCCAAGGGCTCGATGGTCAGAACTGGCCTTGACTGGGATGATGTGCAGCACTGCACTTGGCCTCTCATCATCTAGCAGGCTAGGCCAGGCTTATTCTAATGACGGAGACAGGTTCAAGAGATCGCTGAAGCACACACGGCCTCTTTAGGCTCTCACTCAGAACTAGCATGTAGTTATTTCACACACATTCCATTGCCCCAGCAAGTCACGAGGCCAGCCAGATTCAAAGAGTGGGGTAGTGGACCCATCTCTTGATGGAAGGAGCTACAAAGTGTAAACCAAAACTAAAATTCTAAGGCCCCCCAACTGTCTGAATGAACCTCTCCTCTTGGCCAAGGGCATTCCAAAGTTAACCTAAAAAACTGGTTCAGCCATGATGGGAAGGGGCAGTCAGACATGCCTCATCATACCCTCCTCCCTTTTGAAATTCAGGAAAAGCCAACTGGCATTAACATCAACACAGGCCTTAAGAAACATTTACAAACTAATCTCTCTGAAGCCTGCTACCTGAAGGCTTAATCTACATGATAAAACCTTGGTCTCCACAACCCCTTATCTTAACCCAGACATTTCTTTCTATTGATAATAACTATTTCAACCAATTGCCAATCAGAACATTTTTAAATCTACCTATGACCTGAAATCTCCTGCTTTGAGCTGTCCCACCCTTCCAGATTGAACCAATGTAAGTCTTACATGTATTGACTGATGTCTCCCTAAAAGCAAGCCATGCCCCAACCACCTTGGGCACATGTTGTCAGGACTTCTTGAGGCTGTGTCACAGGCATGTCCTTAACCTCAGCAAAATAAGCTTGCTAAATTGATTGAGACCTGTCTCAGATACTTTTGGGTTCACAAAAGTCACACTGCAAAGAGAAGGGTAAACAATTTTTGTAATCGATCTACCACAGTTACTAAGATGTAATATAGATAGATAGATAGATAGATAGATAGATAGATAGATAGATAGATATAGAGATATATATATGGTGTATTTAGGGGGGTGGGTGGGGACAGGATTTAGGTGTGGCTTGAGCAAAAAGTTCAAGTAGAGAAAGAGAGACAGACAGAAGCTACAGCTATAACAGTGGTCTAGGGCCAGGTCATGAATGAAACTTGGAAGCCACATGTAGGAGTTGGAAATTTTTTCTGGAGGCAATTGGAAAACCATTGAAGGTTTGATGGGATTACATATTTATTTCAGAAAAGATATAATGAAAAATTTTCTGAAGGGAAGAGATTGGAATTTTAAAAAAACACACAGTTAAGAAGCTACAGTACCATAGTAATTCAGGTGAGAAGCTATAAGGACTTGTGTAAGGGAGGAATGGCAAAGGAAAAAGGGTGATACATTTGGGGAAAAATTGGGGCAAAATTGCCAGGTCGAATGTGTGGTTGTAACTAATTTGTTGTCTCTCTTCTTTTTTCATAATAAGACCCTCGATTGTAGACAGCCCATGTTGACTCAAAATAAAGACCACATCTCCCAGCTTCCCTTGCAGCTAAGTGAGACCATATGAGTACATCCCGATCAATGAAACGGAACAGATGTGTCATGTGGTGATTTCCTGAACCTTTACTAAAAGACGGCTGAGGCATGCCCTTTGTCTGTTTCTTTTTCCTTCTCTACCCTATTGCCTGGAACACAGTAATCCATTTTTGGGACAGGAGGATAAAGGCTATACTCTGAGGATGGCAGGGTAGTGAGCTAGAAGGAACCTGGGTTCCTAAAGAGGTAATAAAGTCACCAAGTCAGCCCTGGACTGCAGGCCTACTTCCTGAGTTTCTTTATTTTTTTTTAACTTTTATTTTAGGTTCAGGGATATATGTGAAGGTTTGTTACATAGATAAACTCATTTCACAGGGATTAATTGTACAGATTATTTCATCACCCAGGTATTAAACCCAGTATCCAAGAGTTATCTTTTCTGCTCCTCTCCCTCCTCCCACCCTTCACCCTCAAGTAGACGCCTGTGTCTGTTGTTCCTTTCTTTGTGTTCATGAGTTCTCATCATTTAGCTCCCACTTGTAAGTGAGAACATGCAGTATTTGGTTTTCTGTTCCTGTGTTAGTTTGCTAAGGATAATAGCCTCCAGCTCCATTTATGTTCCTGCAAGACATGATCTCATTTTTTATGGCTGCATAGTATTCCATGGTGTATATGTACCACATTTTCTTTATAGACATTTAGGTTGATTCCATATCCTGCTATTGTGAATAGTCCTGCAGTAAACATTTGTGTGCATGTGTCTTTATGGTAAAATGATTTATATTCCTCTGGGTATATACCCAGTAATGGGATTGCTGGGTCAAATGGTAGTTCTGCTTTTAGCTCTTTGAGAAGTTGCCATACTGCTTTCCACAATGGTTGAACTAATTTAAACTCTCACCAGTATGTAAGTGTTTCTTTTTCTCCACAACCTTGCCAGAATCTGTTATTTTTTTGACTTTTTAATAATAGCCATTCTGACTATGTGAGATGGTATTTCATTGTGGTTTTGATTTGCATTTCTCTAATGATCAGTGGTATGGAGCTTCTTTTCATATACTTGTTGGCCACATGTATGTCTTCTTTTGGAAAGTGTCTGTTCATGTCCTTTGCCCACTTTTTAAATGGGGTTGTCTGTTTGTTTCCTGTAAATTTGTTTAAGTTCCTTATAGATGCTAGATATTAGACCTTTGTCAGATGCATAGTTCGCAAATATTTTCTCCCATTCTGTAGGTTGTCTGTTTACTCTGTTGATAGCTTTCTTTTTTCTGTGTGCAGAAGCTCTTAAGTTTAATTAGATCCCATTTGTCAATTTTTGCTTTTGTTGTGATTACTTTTGACGTCTTTTTCAGATACCTTTTCCAATGTATGGGCTGGTATTGCCCAGGTTTTCTCCTAGGGTTTTCATAGTGTGGGGTTTTATTTATTTATTTATTTATTTATTTATTTATTTATTTTATTTTTTTGAGACACAGTCTCACTCTGTCATTCAGCCTGGAGTGCAGTGGCACAATCTCGGCCCACTGCACCCTCTGCCTCCCAGGTTCAGGTGATCCTCCTGCCTCAGCCTGCCGAATAGCTGGGATAACAGGAGCATGCCACCACACCTGGCTAATTTTTGTATTTTTAGTTGAGGCGGGGTTTCATCATATATTGGCCAGGCTGGTCTTGAACTCCTGGCCTCAGGTGATCCGCCCACCTCGGCCTCCCAAAGTGCTGGAATTACAGGCATGAGCCATAGTACCTGGCTTACATTTAAGTCTTTTTTTTTTTTTTTTAACAGGGTCTCACTCCAGTTGCCCAGGCTGGAGTGCAGTGGGGCAATCTTGGTTCACTGCAGCCTCAACCTCTTAGGCTGAGGTGATTCTCCCACCTCAGTCTCCCAAGTACGTGGGACTAGAGGCGTGTACCACCATGTCTGGCTAGTTTTTTTGTATTTCTAGTACAGACAAGGTTTCACCATGTTGCCCAGGCTGATCTCAAACTCCTGGACTCAAGCAATCCACCTGCCTCAGCCTCCCAAAATGCTGGGATTACAGGTGTGAGCCACTGGGCCTGGCCTACATTTAAGTCTTTAATCTATCTTGAGTTGATTTTTGTATATGCTATACGGAAGAGGGTCAGCTTCAATCTTCTGCATATGGCTAGCCAGTTCTCCCACACCATTTATTGAATAGGCCTCTCTTCCCCATTGCATGTTTTTGTCAGCCTTGTCAAAGATCAGATGGTTGTAGATGTGTGGCCTTATTTCTGGGCTCTCCATTCTGTTCCATTTGTCTATGTGCCTGTTTTTGTACCACTACTATGCTGTTTTGGTTACTGTTGCTTTGTAGTATCAAATGAAAGAGAAATAAACTACTATTCTCATATTTAGGCCCTTTGTTCTTTAGGATATTTGTTATTCGCAGGTGAGCATATGCTGAACTGATACAGCTGTGGAAGGAGAACTTAAGTTTATGTGGATCATGATGTTATTAACCCAGGAGGAAGAACAGATCTCTAAGGGGAATTTATGAGATCTATCATGTAGCTGATAAGTTCCTGATGCCTGTGGAAGAAACAGATAAAGATCTTTACCTCTGGAGAGAGGAATTGTGTGATGAGACTCTGGAAGAGGGACCTGGATGACTTAATCTGATACTAAAAACACTTTTGAATCTCTGGTATTTTATACCATTTGCTTGTTATGCCTAAGCATAAATAATTAAATACTTTCAAAAAATGAAAGAGGAGAGAACAATTCCCAACTTATTCTATGAAGTCAGCATTACCCTGATAACAAAATCAGATAAAGCCATCACAAGACAGAAAAACTATACCCACATTTCTTATAAATATAGATGTAAAAATTTTCAACAGAATACAAATGGAATCCAGCAATATATGAAACCATGATCAAATGAGATTTATCCCAAGAAGACACGGTTGGTTTAACATGAAAATCAATCATGTCTTATACCATAGTAATAGAATAAAGGACAAAAATCTCAATTGACACAGAAAAATCAGTTGGCAAAATTCAACACCCTTTCATGATAAAACCACTAAATAACTTCCTCAACCCAATAAAGACATTTATGAAAACCCCACAACTAACATCATACTTAATTGTGAAAGACTAGCCATTTCCCCTAAAGTCAGTAACACAAGAAGAATGTCTGTTCTCATCACTTCCATTCATCATGGAAGTGTACCTGGAGGTTCTGGTAAGGGCAATTAGGCAAGAAATTGAAATAAAGGCATAAATATGAGAAAGGAAGAAGTAAAACTATCCTCAGGTGACATAAATTTTTAATATATAAAATACTAAGAAATCCACCAAAAATGATAAAAACAAACAAGTTCTGCAAGGTTGCATGATACAAGATCAATACTAAAAATCAATTGTATACACTAATAATGAACAATACAATAATAAAATTAAGTAAACATTTCCATTTATAATTGCAGCAAAAAATCTAGGAATAAAGTTAACAAAGGAAATGCAAGATTTGTAAACTGAAAACTACAAATTATGTTGAAGAAAATTAAAGACCTAAAGAATTGGAAAGGCATACTATGTTCATGGATTGGAAGACATAGTATTGTTAAGATGGCAGTGCTCCCCAAATTGATCTGCAGATTCAATGCAGTCTCCATCAAAATCACGGCTGTGTTTGTTGCATCACATCTTGAAAAGGAAGAACAAAGTTGGAATACTCACACTTTCCTCAATTTAAGAACTTAATAAATGCTCCAGTAATCATAAGGATAGATATATAGATATGATGCTGACATAAGGATAGTCATATAGATTAATGGAATAGAACTGAGAGTCCAGAAGTATGCCTTTACATTTATGGTCAATTGAATTTCTTTCTTTTTTTTTTTTTTTTTTTTTTTACCAATGAACACTTTTATTTACTGGCAAAATATAAAAATCCAGGTCTCTTAAATCCACACAATCTCTCCAAATATTTGGCAAGATAGACCCCAAGTCCGTACGGGTGGGTAACAAGAACAAAGGGGTCTCTGCTCAGAGAGACTTATTGTTGTTCAGAGTTCTGCCCTGCTTCCCTCTAAATGCTCATCAACCTGGGCTCTTCTAAAGTGGGCAGACAGGCCCTATTCTAAGCGTAGGACTAGCCCCATTTGTGTGTGACACTAAGTTCCTCCAATGGTCCAAACTGAGCATGGATGACTATCCAACATCACACACAAATGCACATCCCCTCTCTTTACAAGACATGCAGAATCTCAAGATATCTCAAGATATGCAGCAAGTTTAATACCTGAAGGTTAACATAAATGACAACAGGACACAGATGCAATGCTACAGTAAAATGTGGTTGGGGATGGAAGGGGGCAGAGGGACACTGGGTATCATCACAGCAACCAGTGAGTGAGTCCTCTGGTGCCCTGAGGAGGTTGTGAGACACTTGACTCGTGTCACAAAGAATGGAGTAAACTATCAACTCTGAAAGACAAGCAGGTGGCAGCATTGCTGAGATGAGACTCAGGGCAGGGGTCTGCAGCTCTGTTAGAGTGTTAATGCTCAAGGATGCCTGGGCTCAAGAGTGTTCTGGTCAGCATTTTAACATCAGAAGAAGGGCTTCTTCAGGACACACTCCCTTCTCTTAACATGAGGTGAAGAAACCCATCCCGTGCTGAGTAACCGGGCCCCATAATACCTTGGTCTTTTGATACACAGCAGCACTACACACCACTGCACCCCCCCCAGCCAGCTTCACTCTGTCTGCTAAGCACCCACTCTGCAAATAGATCTCAGAGTGAACAAATCCAGAGGAGGTGGGAGGAGACACCGTGGTGGGATTTGAGGGACAGGAGTTGGCTGGAGGAGCAGATGGGTCCCATGTCAGGCCCTTCCTAGGCATCATGAAGATTGCTATTGCTCAGAAGTGCCTTTTCCCCAGGTTTGAAGGCTGGCATCCCAAGGTAGGGGCAGCTGGCACAGCGGAAGGCATCACCCAGGTAGCAGTTTCCACAAGCCGACTTGGGCTGGGAGCTCATCTGTTCCCTTGACTTCTCTTTTTCCAGTTCTTTGGCAAGGCCACAGGTGCAGTTCTTACAGGCCTTCCTCTTTTTCCCTTCCCCACAAGAAGCAGCCTGCAGGGAAGCCGGATCTGGCTTCTTCAAATCTTCTGGATCCAGCAGCTCATCTGAGTCAATGAGATCCATGCTGTCGTCCTCCATATCGTTGGCTGAGAGGGTCCACAGCTTGGCAGCAGCAGGGTCCACTGCAGGCTTCACTGAAGGAGAAGACTTCTTGGTGATGGAAAACTTAAGCTGACTAGAAGAACCCACTTCAAAGTTTTGCTTTTTGCCTGTGATCTGAACAAACAGCAGGCTGTCACTTTCATGACCAAGGTGTTCTCGAACAGACTGTATTTCCTCAGGGGTTAGGGGCTCCCGCTGCAGCTCTTTCACTTCCACAAGACCAGAAAGAGTCAGGGTGAACACAGCTTAGATGCTGTCTTCACTTTGCTATTGTTATCTACAGCTGTCTCTACTGGCTCTTTCAGAAAAAGACATCCACCAGGCCGAAGGATCTGGGTGATTTCAGCCAAAATCTCAGCACTGTGCAGAGTGGTGCTTCCCGGGACTAAACCCGACAAAATAATGTCAAAGCTGGATTCTTTGTGGGCAGACTGCAACAGCTGGTTCATGTTTTCCACAGACCCACGGCCCTCATTGCCAGTTAACCTTGAAGCTCATCCACCAGACCTTTCAGAGCCTCCACTGGGGATGACTTATCCCAGACCACTGCCACAAACTGGCCAGCAGAGATCCCAAAATCTGCCATTCTTGCAGTGCAGTACTGACAGACCTAAAAACTGCTAGCCAAAAGAGAATCAAGACTGCCACCTGGGCTCGCTCCCGGCTTCTCCCCCAGTCAATTGAATTTCTAAAAGAGCACCAAACAATTCAATGGAGAAGGAATAGTCTTTTCAACAACTTTTGCTGGAACAACTGGATATCTACATGCAAAAGAATGTGACAAAAATGAAATAAAAGTCATCATACATTATACCATTTATAAAATTATCACATACAAAAAAAGATCATAACTAATTCTAAGAGCTAAGATAGTAAAACTCTTAGAAGAAAACATTGAACTAAATCTTTGTGATCTTGGATTTGTCAATAGTATCTTAGATGTGATACCAAAAACACAAGTAACAAAAGAAAAAATAGACAATTTGGACTTTATCAAAATTAAAACCATTCTTGCTACAAAAGACATCATGAAGAAAGTCCAAAAGACAACCCACAGAATAGGAAAAAATGTTTATAAATCATAATCTGATAAAAGATTTGCATTGCGAATATATAAAGAACCCTCACAACTCATCAATAAAAAACAAATAAACCTATTTAAAATAGGCAAAGAATTTAAAGAGAGATTTTTCCAAAGAATATATATGAATGGCCAATAAGCGCATAAAAAGATGCTCAATCTTATTAGTCATTAGGGAAATGCAAATCAAAACTACAATGAGATACTCACACCCACTTAGGATAGCTATATAATTTAAAACACAGACAATAACAAGTGTTGGTTAGGATGTGGAGAAATAGGAATTCTCAAACACAGCTGATGGGAATGTAAACTTGTGAAGCTGCTTTGGAAACAATTTTGAAGTCCCTCAAAAAAGTTAAAGATAGTACTACCATATGGCCCCACATTTGTACTCCTAGAAAATCAAAAACGTGTGTGTGTGTGTGTGTGTGTGTGTAAAAAAAGAGAATTGAAAACATATATCCATACAAAAGCTTATACATGAATGTTCATTCCAGCGTCATTTATAATAGTCTAACAGTGAAAACAATCTGAAAACAATCTCAGTGTCCATCAGCTAATGACTGGATAACAGAAGGGAGTACATCCCTACATGGAATATTATTCAGCCATGAAAACAAATGAAGTTCTGATACATGGAACAATATGGATGAACCTTGTAAACGAGCTAACTTCAAGAAGCCAAACACAAAGGTCATATATTCTATGATTCCATCTACATGAAATGTCCAGAATAGGTACAGGATTCATAGAGACAGCAAGCTGATTGATTAGTGGTTGCTAGGAGTTGAGGGGAAGTCAAGCTGATTGATTAGTGGTTGCTAGGAGTTGAGGGGAAGTCAGAATGGGAAGTGATTGTCAATGAGTACAGTGTCTTAGAATCAGCCTTGGAACCCATCATTTCTCCAAGAAGTTCTGGTTTCTTGCACTGAGCAATAGTATCTAGAAGCCAAGGGCCAGGTGCGGTGGCTCACGCCTGTAATCCCAGCACTTTGGGAGGCTGAGGTAGGCAGATCTCTTGAGGTCAGGAGTTCAAAACCAGTGTGGCTAACACGATGATACCCTGTCTCTACTAAAAATACAAAAATTAGTTGGATGTGGCAGCGGACCCCTGTAATCCCAGCTACTTGGGAGGCTGAGGCAGGAGAATTGCTTGAACCGGGGAGGTGGAGGTTGCAGTGAGCTGAGAGCGTGCCATTGCACTCCAGCCTAGGTGACAGAGCAAGACTCCAAAAAAAAAAAAAAAAAACACCAAGACCTCAGTACTAGGTGTGTTCATTGCTACTGCTGTGTTTGCTCCCAGACTCTCTCAGTGGAAAGAGTTAGGAAGCATGTATGTACATACACATAGTTATTAACACCTTTTGTTTACAAAAAATACCCATTTGTTTTTATATCTGCTTATCTTGCAAAACTTCAGCTCATACCAATACCTCCAATTCCAGTCCCTAATCACAGGGTAGTTATCTTCCATCCTATATGATACAGGATATTATCTGATCAGGCCCCTGTATGTAATCAATATTACCACTGCTGCCCCTCCCTGCACAATGCCCTCCTCTCAGTCTCCACACCTCAAGTTTGTTCCTTCCTCCCATGTGCACATCATCATCACCTTGCTCAGGCCCCAGCAGCCCACACTAGGCCACTCCTTTATGGGATGCCCTTGTGCTTTCACCTCAGGCTCTAACTTTCATCTCGGTGTTCCCTCTCTGGGGGTACCCTCCTCAACTTGCCTGGGCTCCAGTGACCTGAGCCAGTTTCCCCTCCCACATGGAGGTCCTCCTCACCCCATGGGACTCCTATTCCTACAACAAGCAGCCCTCCTACACATATATTCTCTTTACCCACCGAGACTCCAGTGCCTTCTCTGGGTCACTGCAGCTTCCCCAGAGCAGGCCCATAGGACCACTTGGCTCTGCTCTAGTGGTGTTACAACCAAATTTTTCAAGAAGGAAAGTGGATGGGAAAGAGGAAATCAAAGAGCCATATGTGATTTTAAGAACTCTTTCATCAGCAGTTCCAACTAACATCTCTTAGATTAACGGAAATGGAACTCAAGGCTTGAAGAGAGAAGAATGTTTAAGACAAACATTATAGAGAGTAGTAACATTCTTAACAACAGTAGCAATGGCTACCTGTCATTTAGTAAACTATTACTTTGTGCTCGGCACATTGATTTAGTCTTCACAAAAACCTTGTAAATTGAATATTACCTCCATTTTTCAGAAGAAGAACCTGATATTTAAGGTGGTAAACCAGCTTAGTCAAGATTACCCAGCTCTTGTTGGTAATGTAGAGTCCAAATGCAAATCTATCTGAATTCAAAGCATCAGTTGTTTAACCACCAAACTCCCTCATCAGAAATCCCTTGCCAGGTACACATGAGTCAGAATTAGTGTTTAATTAGAATTAAGTCCCCTCGGGCTGCCATAACAAAATAGCATAGACTAGGTGACTTAAACAACAGAAATTTATTTTCTTACAGTTCTAGAGGATGGAAAGTCCAAGAGCAAGGTCCTGCAGGATTCACTTTCTGGTGAGGGCTCTCTTTCTGTCTTGTAGATGATCACCTTTTTTTACTGTGTGTTCAAATGACCTTTCTTTGTGCACACAAAAAGAAGAAAGAGAGAGAGAGAGAGCTTTCTGGTATATCTTCCTATAAGGGCACTAATCCCATCTCGAAGGTCTCACCCTCATGGCCTTACCTAACCCTAGTTACCTTCCAAAGACCCCATCTCCAAATATTATCACATGCGAGTTAGGGCTTCAACACATGAATCTGTGGGGGATACAAACATTCAGTCCATTACAATTAGGATTACATTACTTTATTTTTAGTTATTTTTAATTTTTCTTTTGAGACAAAGTCTCACACTGTTGCCTAGCTGCAGTGCAGTAGTGTGATCATGGTTCACTAAAGCCTTGAACTTCTGGGCTCAAGTGATCCTCCCACCTCCTCAGCTTCCTGAGTAGCTAGGACTACAGGGGCACACTACCACACCTGGCTAACTTTTTAAAATTATTTTTTGTAGAGATAGGGTCTTGCTATGTTGCCCAGGCTGGTCTTGAACTCATGGTCTCAAGCAGTCCTCCCACCTTGGACTCCCAAAGTGCTGGGATTACCGGTGTGAGCCAATGAACCCAGCCTACAATACATTTCTAATGTTAAAGCTTTGCCTTATTCAATACAAAACTTAGAAGAGGGTCTACCTAAAAGTAAATGGAAGCCCAAGAAGTCCAGCAGTGATGAGCCTCAGGTAGGTGGTGGTGGCACAATGCAGGGCACATAGGCACTTCTCTGTGATTGCTCCTCTGTGTGTGGCTTCTTATCCCAAAGTCACTTTGTGGCAGTCTAGCCCCTCCATTCTGCCAGCAAGAAGGAGGAAGGAAGGACATCGCCCACGAGTTGTGCAGGCCCCTCCCTCTAACATCCATTGACCAGAATATAGTCACGTGCCAAAGCCTAACTGCAAGGGAAACTAGAAAATGTGATCTTTATTCTAGAGGGCCAAATGTTTACCTAAAAACTGGGATTCTGTTTCTACTGAAGAATGGAGACAGGTTACTAGAGATGCACTTGTGGCTTCTGCCATATCAGAGAAGAATGAAGGAATTCTAAGGAAACTGAGGGCTGAGGTGAAGTTGGAAATAAGAAATGTATGGTGATGCTCAGGACCTATCACAGGAATGGGGTAGGGGGTAGTGAGGAAGCCCCTTGTGCCAGGCCTGAAATCATTCATCAAGCCCTAAATTTAGACTTTCAACTTAATGTCTAAATAGAGTTATACATCGAGGAAAAGGGTCTGTATGAGTCAGAGTTCTCCAGAGATACAGAATCAATTAGATGAAGAGAGGAGAGAGATAAAGAGCAGAAGAGTGGGGAGAGGAAAAGTGGGAGAGGGAGAGGGGAGGAGTTGGGGGAGAGGAAAATGGAGAGAGAGATATTTATTCTAAGGGATTGGCTCACATAATTATGAGGGCTGCTAAGTCCCAAATCTGCAGGTCTGGCAGGTGGGCTGGAAGTTGTTGATGTTGCAGCCCAGAGTCCAAAAACAGCCTGGAGATAGAATTCCTGCTTCCTGGGGGCCTCAATCGTTTCTCTAAAGGCCTTCCACTGACTGGATGAGGCCCACTCACATGATGGGGGGTAATCTGCTCCACTGATTTAAATGTTAATCTCATTCCAAAATATCTTCTCAGCAGCGTCTAGACTGTTGGTTGACCAGACATTTGGGCACCGCAGCCTAGCTGAGTTGACATAAAGTTAGCCATCACCAGGGCCTGCAGATCCAGTAACAGGCTTGAAAGGAGCAGATACTCTCTGATTGCAACGCATTTGTGCTGCAGTTACCTGGATCCCCTCACCTAGGGTTTACTGTGATTTTTGTCTTAATTTCTCTGTCATAGGAACAGCACAATTATATGTGCACTATATTCTTAACTTTAAAAGACTTAATTTGTTAAATATAAACTTTAGGATTTTAAGGAGACCCAACAAAAATCACTTCTCTCCTCCACCTGACTTCTAGACATCAATTAAGAAATAAGTCTGTACACAAATGCCAAAAGTTTACCTATATTACTAAATAAGCTTATTTTAGAGAATGCAGCATACATTTGCAGACAAGTGATCTTCCTAATACTCTACTGATTTAGGCTAACTTCCCCTCCCAGTCACTGGCAGCTCTTGACCTAAGCCTTCCCTAGCAGGAGGAGGAAGGAGCAACCCTTCTAGACCATGGAGTAGAAGATCACAGAGAAATGCCTGGAGAGCAGAAGAGGAGCTGTCCAAGCCCAGCTCCTTCAAGCTCAACAAGATGGTAAATCATGCCACTTGTTATGCTAATGTGATTTCTTCTTCCACATAAGTGAAGGCATCAAGGATGGGGTTGGGGTATTTCCTCTAAACATAAAATATTCCACTCTTTTTATAATCCTGTTTTGACTGCTTCTCCCCCCCTTCTCTTCTTTCTCCTCCTCATCTTCCTCCTCGTCCTCCTCATCTTCCTCCTCCTCCTCCTTATCTTCCTCTTCCTCCTTGTTCTCCTCTTCCTCCTTGTCTTCCTCCTCCCTCCTTGTCCTTCTCCTCCTGCTCCTTGTCTTCCTCCTCCTCCTTATCTTCCTCCTCCCTCCTTGTCCTTCTCCTCCTGCCCCTTGTCTTCCTCCTCCTCATCTTTCTCCTCCTCCTTATCTTCCTCCTCCTGCTTATCTTCTTCCTCCTCCTCCTCATCTTCCTCCTCCTCCTCTTCCTCCTCTTCCTTCTCTTCCTCCTCATCTTCCTCCTCCTCCTTGTCTTCCTTCTCCCTCCTTGTCCTTCTCCTCCTGCTCCTTGTCTTCCTCCTCCTCCTCCTCCTCGTCTTCTTCCTCCTCCTTCTCCTTGTCTTCTTCCTCCTCCTCATCTTCCTCCTCCTCCTTGTCTTCTTCCTCCTCCTTCTCCTTGTCTTCCTCCTCATCCTCCTTGTCTTCCTCCTCCTCCTCATCTTCTTCCTTCTCCTCCTCATCTTCCTCCTCCTCTTCTTCCTCCTCCTCTTCCTCCTCCTCCTCTTCCTCCTCCTCCTCTTCCTCCTCTTCCTCCTCCTCTTCCTCCTCCTCTTCCTTCTCCTCATATTGCTCCTCCTCCTCCTTGTCTTCCTCCTCCTCCTCCCTTATGAGAAGCTTCAGAAACAGAAATGTGCAGGGCCTCCCTGGCCAAGCTAAATGTTCTGGGCAGTCCAAGAGCAAGAGTGAAGCATGGAAGTGGTGCATTGTCCCAAGCTTGGTGTTAACCTGAGCCATGTGGTGGAACATCAGAGAAATGAAATGACTGACCTTGAAGCCCAGAGGGGGACGAGAGACTGGAGAGACCAGCATTCTCTGTGAGATTGAACAATAAAGTTAATAGGTGTGAGGAAGCGGGAGGGAAGGGGAGAAATTAGCTTCACTGAGCATCAGCTGTGTTGCTAGGTGCTTTCAGTCATATGCAGCCCACCTTACAATCCTGCAAAATACTATGTCACAGACAAAGAATATAAGGCTCAGAAATATAATTTACCTGAGGTCACACAGCCAGCAAGTGGCAGAGCCAACTTTTAAACCCAGATCTCTGCTTCTAAAACTTGCCCCCATTTCCCCATTAGATTAGCTGCTTCCAGGGACATAAGAAAGGTAGAAAATGGAAGGTTACAGAGCAAAGGGGATTATAATGCTTAAGTTTTCAGAGCTGGAGCACTTCCCACTGAAGACAAAGTCAAGGATGTGGTCATGGGGGTGGGTTGCTGAACTGGATGGAAGTCAAGATCTTTGGAGTAGAGAAGGGCAAGAACATATAGGGCTCATGTTGGATGGGCCATCAGCATCGACTGTGATGGTTTACTAGGCGGGGCTGAATAGAGGTGAGTATGCATGCAAGGTAGAAACCCCTGAACAGATGCTGTGGGGAGAACTAGAGATTGGAGGACATGGAATGATGGGCACAGACCCCACAGCTTGGTGATGGTAGCCATGGAACTATTGTAAATGAACAATCCCAAAGCGACTGCAGAATTCTGAGTTTTTCCTCTTTTTCCTGATTTTCTCAGCAAAGCATATGTTGCCATTTCACTGTCATCTTCTTACACTTCACTGCAGAAGAACTACATAATTTGAAAGATTATTTAAATTATTTTTCTGGTAAAGAAAAAAACTGTTTCTAACTTTTTGTATCATAAGGGATTTTTTTCAAGTATGGTTTTAAGAATTAGACAATTCTACTCTTAAGAGATGGGAACTGAGACCTTAATTCTCATAATTTGTAGTGACGAAGCTCTGTATGAGCCTTTATTACACATGGTAAAGACTTTCATGAATATGCCCAGGTGTCAGAAGTTGTTACTAGACTAACAAAGTAACTAGTAGTTGTAGTTACTTACACAGTAACTAGACAGTGCATGATTTATGCTCTAATGTTAAAAATAGTATTGTATCATGTGTTCAATAGATTCTGGCTAGGTCCCACATTGTATCTCTTACAGGGACTAATTTTACACAAAAACTGATTTTTTAAAAATGCTTCCATGTCTAACAGTCCTGATGGTAAACTCCAAATCATGGCTGGTTTGTTTGACACACCAGGAGTGCTAATTTATTTATTATATACACCAAGAGGAATATAAAGTTCGGTGGTTCGAATTAGATAATTTAGTGTCCCAAGATTGTTTATTTGATTGCCTTAGGCAGGACTTAAGGGTAACTAGAAAATTTGTACAGCTTACTCTGTGTATGTACAGTATGGAGGTCTGTTGCTTCCACCCTCTCCTTTTGCACACCTTTTGAGCAGTTTAGTACGTATTGCAATTTCTGCAGGAAGGTGGCCATGGTGAAGGCCTTGGGGAAATCCCTGCACCTTGAAAAGAATTTGGGATGTGGCTCTGTAGTAAGATGGACTTGCGGTTCAATCCCAGCTCAGGGCCTTTTTAAATTATTAGTAGTAGTAGTAGTCGGGAGACCTTGAGCAACATGCTTTATCTTGTATCTCAGTAACCCTTCCTGAAAGGATGAAATTATCCTTAAAAGATGAGTAAAGGAGATTGAAAATAATTTAGTTATTTAAAGTATTTTCAGGCCCTGCATGGTGGCACATGCCTGTAATCCCAACGCTTTGGTAGGCCAAGGCAGGAGGACTGCTTGGAGCCAGGAGTTTGAGACCAGCCTGGACAACAAGGTGAGACCCTGTCTCTATGGAAAAAATAATAATAATTAGCTGGTGTAGTGGTATGTACTTGTAGTTTCAGCTGCATGGGAGGCTGAGGCAGGAGGATGGCTTGAGGCCAGGAGTTCAAGCTATAATTGCACCACTGCACTCCAGCCTGAGCAACAGAGCAAGACCCTGACTCAATTGAAAAAAAAATTCAGTGATTTTCATATACATTATCTAATCTGAACCACTGATCTTCATATTCTCCTTAGTGTATATAATAAGTAATAAGCATTCCTGGTGTGTCAAACAAGCAGCAATGATTTGGGGTTCACCATCAGGACTATTAGGCATGGAAACCTTTAGAAAAAAATTATTAGTTTTTATTTAAAATTAGTCCCTGTAAGAGATACCATGTAGGACCTAGCCAGAATCTCTTGAACACAAGATAAAATGTGATACTTCATGTGTATAATACATCCAGATTTCTGGAGTTAGAAATACCAAAAATGCATATAGGCAGTTTTCATCCATAATGGAACGTAAACAATAGCCTAAATAAGTGAATATTTGCAGTTGCATCATGTAACCTTTTAACATTGCTGTGCAAATAGCTATTCATTTTTCAGCAGGTAAAACTGTACCACACAAGCAGAAAAGAAGGCCTGGTTAAGTTTATATTTTCTAAGAGAAGCCTTGCTAAAACAAAACAACCATACGTTTTAAGGTATCGCTTGATCAGCGACCTTTCTAAATAGATAGGGCAATATAAGTCACAATTTGCTTAGGATGCTTTGGGCCACTAATAATAACAGACTCAGAAATGGTCTAATACATTTCTAATAAATGAGCAAAATGCATTCACAGCCGGGCACGGTGGCTCATGCCTGTAATCCCAGCATTTTGGGTAGCCAAGGCAGGCAGATCATTTGAGATCAGGAGTTTGAGACCAGCTTGGCCAACACGGTGAAACCCCATCTCTACTAAAGTGAAAAAAAAAAAATGAGCCAGGTGTGGTGCCATGTGCCTGTAACCCCAGCTACTCAGGAAGCTGAGGCAGGAGAACTGCTTGAACCCAGGAGGCAGAGGTTGCAGTGAGCTGAGATCATGCCACTGCACTCCAGCCTGGGCGACACAGTAAGACTGTCTCAAAAATAAAATAAATAAAATAAAATAAAATAACGCATTCACTTATGAAGTACAGAGATAGGGCTGTTCCAGGATTCACTAATTTGGCAACTTAACAACAGAAGCATTACCTCCTTTCAGTTCTGCCTTCTCAGATCGACTCCCCTTGTGCTCACAAGGTGGCTGCCAATAATCTGGGTATCACATGTAGTTATGACTTCATGAAGTCAGAGAAGATGCTGTTTCTTCCCATGCATCCCTTTATCAGCAGACACATATAATAGTAGTCTCCCAGTAAACTTCCCTTTCTCTCTCACTGGCCAGAATTGCCTTGTGTGCTCATTTCTGGCAGGGGATGGAATCACCATGCTGTGCTTATACCAGTCAAGGTTGACCCACTGGGGCTAGGGAGGGGTCTAACCTTCCTTGATGCACACAGCCACCAGATATCTGAATAAAAATGGGGTTCTGTTAGCAAGAAAGAAAGGAGAGTGGCCAACGGCTAGGCCATTGATAGTAACTACCACAGTAGCCAAGATACTTTGAAAGCATTGTTGTGATGTCTTTGATAACCCTTTTCAAGTTTATTTAAAGTCTGAAAGACTTTATATAACTGGCTTTACACTGAGAATTTCAGATAGCCTGGCCCACCACTGAGACCTATGCCCCTTTGCTCCAGTTACTTAATTTCTTGAATTCTGTTTCCATAAAATGTGGAAAGTCATAAAATCCCATAGAGGTTTCATGAGGATGAAACAAGACCATTCGTGGAAAGTGCTTAACTGAATGGCTTGCATATAATAAATGCTCAGTTAATGTTGTTATTCATTCTTCACTCTTTCTAAATGTCCTCCTGTGGCCAGTGGCCAACCCAAGGTCCAAGACTGAAAATCTGAGCCACAGGCCCGAGTCTTGTCTCTCTGTTGCCCTCACTCACATTCACGTTACCATCCTGTCCTCCCCCAGGTCTTATCCCACAGCCACAGGTCTAGACAGAGCCTTTAATTATGAGGTCGCCTCATGCAGGTATCTCCCTTCATATCCTCCATTCCCCCTACACATATGCCTAGGAGAGGGATCCTTAGAGAGTATTTATCCCTGCTCTGCTGATTGTTTGCAGTTAGATCAGTGGGTTTCCTCCACTCTTCCTGGGAGCCTAGGGATCTGAGTTCATGCTTAAGTAAGCCAAGCCGCATGGACCTCTTCCATATTTCATCCAAAGCAACACACTGCTCTATACTGTATATATTAGGGCTTTGCATTCGATTCTTGTGAAAAAGGAGTTCTGCTCCTTGTGGAAAGTGTGAAAAGCAATGGATTGGATGATGTCTCCAGTGGGGTATCAGGAACCTTCCAGAACCTCTCTCTGCTTTGCAAACTGTCTCCTATCTCATGCAAACTCCAAATGGCCTGAAGTCCCTCCCAAGTTGGCGCCTCCTTCTCTGTACTGTGCTTCTTTGACAGCCCAGCCTCCAAGAAATGCTTTCTGGGCCCCTGATGACAGGTGTCACACACACCAGCTACCTTGTTTCTAATGTCAACTGCTCCCTAGGCAATTGTCACCCTTCAAAGCTGTGCCCAACTCTTCATTACTCTGCAGAATTGTCACTATTCCATACTTATTGATAAACCCCTGCATTCAAACTCTATTTTCCACAGAGTACAAATTATTTTCAGCTGATCTGTATTCCAGAAGTTCTCACTGTGTGGTCCAGGGACCCCGGGGGTTCCTAAAAAACTATCCAGGGAGTCTGTGAGTCAAAACTGTTTTCACTCCCCTCCACTCCCCTCCCCTCCCTTTCCCTTCCCTTCCCTTCCCTTCCCTTCCTTTCCCTCTTTCTTTCTTTTCTTTCTACAGAGTCTTACACTGTTGCCCAGGCTGGCACCATCATAGCCTACGGTAACCTGGAGCTCATGGGTTCAAGCCAGCCTTGGCTTCCCAAAGTACTGGGATTACAGGTGCACAGCACCACACCTGGCCACAATTTCTTAAATTGAGACAAGTATGAATTTTGCCACATGGATTGATTCTTCCTTTTATGAAAGGTTTCTCTGTAGCATGCAAGGCTGTTTGATGGCATTTTACCCACAGTAGGACTTCTTTCAAAATTGGTGTCAGTTGTCTCATACCCTGCTGCTGCTTTGTCACTAAATTTATGTCATATTCTAAAACCTTTGTTATCGTTTCAGCAATGATCACAGCATCTTCCCTAGGAGTAGATTTCATCTCAAGAAACCACTTTATTTGCTCATTTATAAGAAACAACTCCACATCTGTTAACGTTTTCTCATGAGCTTGCAGGAATTCAGTCACATCTTCAGGCTCCACTTCTAATTCTAGTTCTCTTGCTATTTCCACTACATCTGCAATTACTTCCTCCACTGTTGTCTTGATGTCTTGAGCCCCTGAAAGTCGTTTATGAGGGTCAGAATCACCTTCCTCCAAACTCCTATTAATGTTGATAATTTTTACCTCCTCTCATGAATCATAAATGTTCTTAATGGCATCTAAATGGTGAATCTTTTCCAGAATATTTTCAGTTTACTTTGCCCAGATCCATCAGAGGAATCACATAATCTATGGCTGTTATCACGTTATGAAATGGATTTCTTAAATAATAAGACGCAAAAGTCAAAATTACTACTGATTTATGGGCTACAGAATGGATGTTATGTTAGCAGACATGAAAACAACATTAATCTCTCATCTGTATATCTCCATCAGCACTCCTGGGTGACTAGGTGCATTGTCAATGAGCAGTAATATTTTGAAAGGAATCTTTTTTTCTGAGTAGTAGGTCTCAACAGGTAGCTTAAAATATTCAGTAAACCATGCTGTAAGTAGATGTGCTTTTATCCAGGCTTCGTTTTTCATTGACAGAGCACAGGCAGAGTAGATTTAGCATAATTCTTCAGAGTCCTACAATTTTCAGAGTTATAAATGAGCACTGGCTTCCACTTAAAGTCACCAGCTGCCTTAGCCCCTAATAAGAGAGTCAGCCTGTCACTTGAAGCCAGGCAGTGACTTCTCTCTAGCTATGAAAGTCCTGG
Source organism: Homo sapiens (assembly GCF_000001405.40). Lineage (NCBI taxonomy): Eukaryota > Metazoa > Chordata > Mammalia > Primates > Hominidae > Homo > Homo sapiens. Next base: position 26,587,074 of record NC_000018.10, on the reverse strand, counting down.
ATGGTATCTGCTTCTAATAGAAAGCTGTTTTATCTGCATTGAAAATCTGTTTAGTGTAACCACCTTTACTGAAGAAATAGATCTTAGCTAGATCTTCTGGATAACTTGCTGCAGCTTCTCCATCAGCACTTGCTCCTTTACCTTGCACTTTCATGTTACGGAGATGGTTTCTTTCCTTAAACCTCATGAACCAACAACCTCTGCTAGCTTCAAACTTTTCTTCTACAGCTACCTCACCCCTCTCAGCCTTCATAGAATTGAAGACAGTTAGGGCCCTGCTTTGGATTAGGCTTTGGCTTAAGGGAATGTTGTGGCTGGTTTGATCTTCCATCCGGACCACTCAAACTTTCTCCATATCAGCAATAAGGCTGTTTTGCTTTCTTGTTATTTGTGTGTTCACTGGAGTAGCACTTTTAGTTTTCTTCAAAATCTTTTCCTTTGCATTCACAACTTAGAAAACTTGTGCAAAAGGCTTAGCTTTCTACCTAGTTCGACCATCAACATGCCTTCCTCACTAAGCTTCATCATTTCTAGTTTTTTATTTAGACATGCGACTCTTCCTTTTACTTGAACACTTAGAGACCATTGTAGGGTTATTAGTTGGCCTAATTTCAATATTGTTGTGTTTCAGAGAATAGGAGGCCTGAGGAGAGGGAGGGAGACTGAGGAACAGCTGGTTGGTGGAGCAGTCGGAACACATGCAACGCTTATTGATTAAGTTCACTGTCTTATATGGGTGCAGTTCATGGCACCTCAAAACAATTGCAATAGTAATATCAAGTCATTGATCACAGATCACCATTACAGATATAATAATAATAAAAAGTTTGAAGAATTATGAGAATTACCAAAACACGACACAAAGATACAAAGTGAGCACATGCTGTTGGGAAAATGGTGCTGATTGATTTGCTAGATATAGTGTTGCCACAGACCTTTAATTTGTAAAAAATGCAGTATCTTTGAATTGCTATAAAGCGAAATACAATAAAACAATTGAATTGTATTGAAGAGACTGCTTGTTTTGTTTTGTTTTTTAAGAGACAGCATCTTCCTCTGTGGCCCAGGCTGGAGTGCAGAGGCCCAATCCTAGCTCACTGCAGCCTTGAACTCCTGGGTTCAAGCCTGCCAGGTAGCTAGGACTATAGGAATGCACCACCATGCCCAGCTAATCTGCTTTGTTTTGTTTTGTTTTAACAGAGACAAGGTCTCACTATGTTGCCCAAGCATACCTGTACTTTTTAAGTTCGACTATAATTAATCATATTTGGGAGATTTAAAAATTACTACCAGGGAAAATCTGTCCAAAGGGTGCTTATTATTCTCATTTTGCCAATTTTGTCTTTTTTAAAATTAGATGTGTCACACAGAGTAATTCAATAAAATACGATACTTTGAATAATAATTGCAAAATATATAATTAATTCTCTGACTTGGACCATTAAACTGAATGAAATCCCATTTTTGCTTTCTTGGTATTGTACCTGGTCTTTTCCTAGTTAGATAATTCTTTATTAGTGTGCACACCATTTACCAGACTCTGTCAAAGTTAAAACTAAAAGAAAACTAGAGATCACTGAGTTGAAACCTCTCATTAAAAAATGAACAGAGGCCCCTGCATGTTAATTAACTTGTTTAAAGTCACTCATTAAATAGTTGAACAAAAACTTCTGACTCTAGAATGTATTGCAATGCTTTAGTCAAACACTGAATTCTTTGTACAGGTAGAGAATTCCATTTGGATGGTAACTTTAGGCCTTAAGTATATTACCAATATGGTTAGATAATGATCTTACCATAATTGAAAATGTGTTTGTTAAAAGGCATTAGTTGCCAAAAGTATGCCGGTGGCCAAAATGTACAAGGAATGTACCTTCCCAACAGATAGAGGTCCTGGCTACACAGGTGGGGCAGTTAGGGGTCCAGTTAAGTTCACTTTTCTCTTTGGCTCCCAAAAGCAACCTCCAGCCTGGTATCGGGGGGCAGCATCAGACCAGGGCAAGGGTGGCCTGGAATGCTCATGAGGCGTCACCCAAAGTCAGAAGCAGGACACACCTAGAAGGAGGGCTCCTTGCAATCTAGACCTGCCTGCCACCCCCACAGTCCCTCAGCTCACTCCCACACTCCAGCAGGACTACGTGCTCCTCCTACAGGGAGCTGCCGTCTCTCTGCCTCCCAGTCTTATACATGCCGTTATCCATGCCTGCAACACCTTCCTTTCGTATCCCTTTTTCTCCTGATCTGGTTAACTCCTGCCAATTTTCAGCACTCAGTTTATACTTCACCTACTCTAGGAACCCTTTCTTGCCTCAGCCTCCATCATCACACCCTACACAGCCAGTGTGGTCGGGAGCCCCCTCCTAGGTACTCAAAAAACACCCTGTGAATACCTGTCTCAGCACTTCTCATATTCCTCTTGCACTAAAATGAAAGCCCCTTAAAGGCAGGGACTGTGTCTCATTTGTCATGATACCTCCTGGACCCAGCTCAATGCCTGACACATAGTAATCTCCTCATAAATAGTTGTTGAATGAATGACTGAAAGATCTAATGAATAGGAAACCCCCTAACTTAGCACTAACAAAAATGTAATGCAAATTACATATGTAGATTTAAATTTTCTAGTGATCACATAAAAAAGGTTAAAAGAAACAGATGAAATTAATTTTATTAATACATTTTGTTTAACCCAATACATCACAAAATTATTTTCAACATGTAGTCAATATAAAACATTGTTAGTGAGATATTTTACCTTTTATTCCCCCAATCTTCAAAATCCAGTCTGTATTTTATACGTGCAGCACATCTCAATTTGTCTTGCCACATTTCATGGCCAGTGGCTACTCTATTGGATAACACAGGTGGATCCACGCCAAGAAATATCTGTTCCGGGTATTGCCAGCACACTTGATGAGCCCTCAAAGCCCTCACTCCAATCCCAATATTGCCTCAGAACCCTGGTCTTTCATATAAGAAATGACTTCAAATACACAAAACCTTCTGGGCTGGCACCAAACCCAACTGGATTCTGGAAAATACAAAGACAGGCCACTATATGGATTTATTTCTTGATCTGTGGACTGATGTTAACTTGAGGATGCAAAACAACAGACCCAACTCAAAATCAAGAAATGCCTGACATTCATTTACAGGGAAGCTGGGTGGCTGTCCTGTGCTTAAGAAAACAGCTACCATTACTGAGAGTGTCATAATCTTCCTCCAGCGTCCTTAGGAGCCACTTTTGTATTTTGACAGATGGAGAAAGAAGTTGGACAACTTTTCTTAAACAGAAAGGATATTTTTAAATTTCCTAAAACACCTGTTAATATATGTCATCAAAACGATAGCTGAAATAACTCATTAGTGACCTCATTGTATTTTTGTTGTGCTAAAGATTTAGATGATAGCAGCATCAGATGAAATAAACTTTTATCCACTTTAATGGAACTTATATATGGCCAAGTGCTTTTGAATTCCTATAAGGTGAAACAGAGTACATCAGAGAGTACCATTTGCATAGAATAATGTCACACATGAAGCCAGATTACATTTGTTAGATGATTTGGTAGTTTTAGTAGCTGTCATAGTAAGTCCTATTACCCACATCTCTGAATAAAAGCTCATGCTCACTTTTACTCTTTTCTTTTCTTTTTCTTTTTTTTTTTTTTTTTTTTTTTTGAGACAAAGTCTTGCTCTGTCACCCAGATTGGCGTGCAATTATGCGATCTCAGCTTACTGCAACCTTCGCCTCCTGGGTTCAAGTGATTCTCCTGCCTCAGCCTCCTGAGTAGCTGGGATTACAGGCGCCCGCCACCACATCCAGCTAATTTTTGTATTTTTAGTAGAGACAGGGTTTCACCATGTTGTCCAGACTGGTCTTGAACTCCTGACCTCAGGTGATCCACCTGCTTTGGCCTCCCAAAGTGCTGGAATTACAGATGTGAGCCACTGCACCTGGCCTACTTTTGCTCTCTTTTATCTCCATCATATTTTTTTTAAATTACCATCTATCTACTATTAAACATTACGGAAATATATAACTTAAAAGTGAAAATTCCCTGTAATGTTTTTTGTTTATATTCTTTCAGATTTTTCTATGTATACTTATTTTTTCTCTAAATTGAATTCATAAGTTCATATTTCAATATTAATTTTATTTGTAAAAGTTACACTTCTCAAAGGCAACCACTACTATCAGTTTCTTCTGTATTTTTCTAAAGATAGTCTATGCAAAGAACTCCATATAAATCCTTTTAAAAAAAAAAACCAAATGGTGTTATTCTATACATGCTCATTCTACTTTTTCATACTTAACGTATGTTGGAGATCCTTCCACATCTATACATGAAAAGCTGCCTCTTTCTTTTCTAGAGGTGCATGGTATCTTGCAGGCTGCACGTTAATTTATTTCACCTATTGATGGACATTTAAATTATTTTCCATATTTTGGGATTGTAAGCAATGTCTCAATAAATAACCATGCAATTGTGTCATTTCGAACGTGAATATTTCTATAGGATAACTTTCTGAAATTAGAATCATTAGATCAAAGGGTATATGCACTTTAAATTGTGGTTACATATTGTCAAACTGTACTCCCTACAAAGTTCTGCTAATTTACAATTCCACTAGTACAATGTGTTCTTGTTAGCTGAGAGGTGGAAAAACAATAACTCATTTAGTTTAATTTGCTTTTCTCTTATGAGTGAACTTGGTCATGTTTAAATAGGCTTAAGGAGCCATTTGCAGTTACTTTCTATAAATTGCCTGTTATTATTTGCTGACTTTTTTTTTTTTTTTAGACGGGGTGTCACTCTGTCACCTAGGTTGGAGTGCAGTGGCACGGTCTTGGCTCACCTGTAACCTCCACCTCCCAGGCTCAAGTGATCCTCTCACCTCAGCCTCAGAGAAGCTGAGACCACAGGCACGCACCAATATGCCCCGCTAATTTTTTTTTTTTTTTTTTGGTAGAGACAGGGTTTCACCATGTTACCCAGGCTGGTCTCGAGCTCTTGAGCTCACGCGACTTACCCACCTCAGCGTTCCAAAGTGCTGGGATTACAGGCATGAGGCAGCATGCCCAGCCCTATTTGCATACTTTCCTATTGGGTTGTTGATCTTATTGATTTGTAGGAGTTCATTAAGTAATAGGCCCTTGGTGATTTCTTGAAGTTTATCATGGCTAAGTTTACTTATGATGGTTTTGGCCATGTAAAAAATATATATTTTTATCTTTTAAATTTTTATGAAACCAAATTTCATATATATTTTATATAGCTCCCTAGGTGTTGTGTTATATTCATTCATTCATTCAACAAATATGTATGTATTTATTTATCTAGAGATGAGGTCTTGCTGGCCTTGAACTCCTGCACCCAAGAAATCCTCCTGCCTCAGCTTCCCCAGTAGCTGGGACTACAGGTATGTACCACTGTGCCCAGCTCAACAAATATTTATTGAGAGTATACCAGGGGACACAATGTTCTAGGTACTGGGGATATAACGGTGAACAAAGGCCAGGCATGGTGGCTCATGCCTGTAATCCTAGCACTTTGGGAGGCTGAGGCGGGAGGATCTCTTGAGTCCAGAAGTTTGAGATGAGCCTGGGCAACATAGTGCCATCTCATCTATCTAAAAGATTTAAAAATTAGCCAGGCATGATGGTGTGTGCCTATAGTCCCAGTTTCCTAGTAATACTATGGAGGCTGAGGTGGGAGGATTGCTTGAGCCTGGAAGGTTGAGGCTATAGTGAGCCATGATCATACCACTGCACTATAGCCTGGGAAACAGAATGAGACCCCATCTCTAAAAACAAAAACATGTACAAAACAGACACAGGTCTGCACTTATGGAGCTGATATCCTAGTGGAATATTTAGAGAAGTCAGATGTATTATACTCAAATTGTTTTTGTTTGTTTTACTTAACATATCATAGACATCACCCATATGGAAATCTAATTCTTTTTCATATTTGTATAGTATTCTTTTTCCAACACATACCAAAATGTTATACCCAGTTCTTTACTGAATACAAGCCATACTATTAGCCAGGGTCAACAGACTTTGTCTTATGGACCAAATCATAAATAGTTTAGGCTGTGTGGGCCATACAATCTCATCACCACTATTAACTCTGCTATTTCAGCACAAACGCAGCCAAGACAACATGTTCAAAATGAGCATGGCTGTGTTCCAGTAAAACTTTATGTATGAACACTAAAATTTGAATTTTATAACATTTTCTCGTCACAAAGTATACTACTGATTTATCTGTTTATTTATGCATTTTTGGCCACCCATTAAAAAATGTAAAATATAATACATCCTTAGCCCATGGGCCCTACAAAAATAGATAGGGGGCCGGATTAGCTGCAGGCCATGGTACGCTGACCCCAGCTCTAAGCCATTTTGCCACACTCCCTCCCCAGTGTCCTCTGGTATGTGAGTTTCTGTGGCTTCTTTGAGAATCATATTTAGAAACAATGGGAACTTCATTGCCAAGGCTGACAGAGGTGATAACAATAGTAATAATAAATCACATCCTTGGGCTCCACACCAACGCAGGCTGAGAGTGTGCTCTCAGCTGCTGCTTGCCTAGCTATGTTGGTGAACAGAGTGTGCCCTGTCCTTATCAGAATTTAGATCTGACTGAATGATAAAGGTGCTAGGTTCACCAGGGAACCACACTGAGCTCCTATATCACCCTGGGTATCCTAAGTTCCCTTACTAGATGCAAACCGCGCCCACTGCACAGTCCACCTATTACTCAGTATCCCCTGACCCTACTGTCCTTGTTGTCACTGCACTCAGGACACCTGACATCATATTATGCATTCGCGTGATTCTTGTTTGTCTCCCCGGCCAGAAGCAAGCAGGAACTTTGCCTTATTCACTGCCTAAACCAAGAGCCTGGAATGGGGCTTGGCACAGGGTGGGTGCTCAATAGTTGTTTGTTGACTCAATGAATCACCTCTCTAAGTCACCCACTTGGCTTTGGGCAGGTGGAGCCTGAACTCTCAGAAACATGGAAAGCCTTACTAAAAATGGAACTTACCTGCTTCTGAGAGAATCCACAAGGGCTATGTTACCATTGGCCAACTTCTCCACACTGCTAAGTAGATAGAGATGAGGCAAAAATGGGGGTAGCTCAAAGTTTCATCATCCTATACTTCCTTTGTGACTCAAAGGATAAACGGGGCTCCTTCCAATGTGTGGGAGACCTAAGCACCAAGAGAGGGTGCCCAGCTGAAGAAATGGCTTCAGTTTTCCCCTTCCAGCTGGAGTCAAAAACAAGCTTTTTAAATGCCACTTATTGTTCCCAGGCTGTGGCTTGGCCATTTATAGACTATTTCGTCATTATTAAATATTTCTGCATGCTAACATGAAATAAAAATATGAAAATTTGATGATGGGAAATAACTTTTGTGTTTTGCATGTAATTTATGGAAAATCTGACTTGTTCCCCAAACTATTTCTATGTTACACTTATATTTTAAGAGAACACAGCTAAATTATAAGAAGCAAATTAAGCCTCCTCTTAGGGGAAACAGTACAGAAAACCCTAACTTTATCTAAATCAGGTGGAACTCACCAGATGACAATTATTGAAAAAATTTACAATTTTCGTTTTCTCTGGGGTCATCTGCAAAATTGTTATGTAATTTAATTAGTTCCTAAGGTCATGCATAAAATAAAGCAATTAACCAATCACCAAATATGTTTTGATTGCCAAGTGTGTCCAACACTAATTGGACACTAACTGGACATTCAAAACTTTGGATGCTTTGTGTGTGTGTGTGTGTGTGAGGGTGAGAAAAAGCTCACACTGTATAAAATTAACTTATTTTCTACTGGAGGTATTAAAAAGATCCAATAAATATGTTTAGAGCACTGACTGTGTGCCCAGCTAGGTGCTGGAGGTATAGTGGAGTGAGACAAATAAGGAGTTTGCAGTCTGTACATTTCCTACTTGTTAAGTCTTCATCTTGTATATGCATCCAGTATTTGGCGGACTGAAAAAAAAAACAAAACAGGTAAAAACACATCCTGTAGGAACTATATGGGATACATAAAATAAGCCTGGCTTTGTTGAGAAGCCCTCCTATTTCCTATGCAATTGGCATGTGGTAATTATGTTTGCTTTCTAATTCCTAATGAGCACTTCTTAAGTAATTGGTACCCTGTTCATGCTCCCCAGTACTAAGAATTACACTGGATAACCTCCACGGAAGTGTGGATGTGTAATTTGATCAACTGGAAGGGGTAAGGCATCCACTGTAATTGAAATCAGTTTCCCTGGTGCATTTAATATTGGCATAGAGGAAGGGAAGAGAAGTCATATGTAATTATGATTAAAAGGGAGTTTCTCAGGCATGTCAAGGGCTCCTTCATACAGTCACCTAGGGAAGAAATGTGTAAAACCATACTATTCCCATGGGTTAGAGCCCAGAGTCTGCAATGGAGAATCCACAGGTATGGCCAAGGTTGGTTCAGTTGAGTTCAGCAAAACTGATGGAACACCAACTACATGGCACGTACTTTGCTAGGTACAATTTTATTAAAAAAATGAGTAAGATGCAACCTTGGAAGTTCTTTATAATTCTTCAGGCAGCTTACTCTCCACTTGGGAATATAAATAGGAGCAAATACTAACAATAGTTTATGATACAAGCAATTTCAAATCCTTGATAGAGTTTTAATTTTAGTGTAAATATGTTTTCATTAAAGGCGGTTCAGTTCTTTTATAAACAGCAATATACTACCAACACTTGTAAAAGTGATTTATAGAAGAGCAAAAATATTTATAGAAGGACATTGATATTACTGCTTACTAAGATAAAAGGTGGAATTAGCCGGGTGTGGTGGTGCATGTCTGTGGTCCCAGCTACTCAAGAGGCTGAGGCAGGAGATCGCTTGAACCCAGGAAGCTGAGGTTGCAGTGAGCCGAGATCGGAGCACTGCACTCCATCCTGGGCAACAGAGCAAGACTCTGTCAAAAAAAAAAAAAAAAAAAGAAAGAAAAGAAAAGAAAAGCAAGGTGGAGATGGGGCAAATAGAAAAATACTACAGTGAGTTACAGTGATGGCCCAGAAATAATCATCTTCATTGACTTCTTCCCAAATCCCTAAATTCTTTCCAACACAATTCAGATCACAGACACCATTGTATTTATGGGTGATCAGAATTAAGAAATGCTCAGCCACACATGCTGGTTCAAACTTGTAATTCCAGCACTTTGGGAGGCTCAGGCAGGAGGATCACTTGAGGTCTGGTGTTCAAGACCAGTTTGGACGACATGGCAAAATCTCATCTCTACAAAAAAACAAAAAAACAAACAAAAAAAAACACTAAAAACTAATTAGCCAGGCATGGTGTTGGACTCCCGTAGTCCTAGCCATTCAGCAGGCTGAGGAGGGAGGATCCTTGAACTCAGGAGTTCAAGGTTACAGTGAGCTACGATTGAGCCACTGCATTTCAGCCTGGATGACAGAGCAAAAACTTGTCTAAAAAGTCTAAAAAAAAAAAAATTAAGAAATGCTCATGAATTTATCCGAAAGAAATAATCACATTGAAAAGAAAAGGAGAGCCCTGTTCAAGATGTCACAATAAGCGCCTGTATTTAGCTCTACTACCTCCCTAAGCCCCATCAAGATGATAACAAAGATACCCTGAAAAGAATTGATTGATAACAACATTAACAAGGGAGGTGTCATTAGCAGATAAGAAATTTCAAAAAATTTCTAGAAGCCAAAAGCAGAGACATTGGACAGAATAAATGGAAACTACTAAAGCCCAGATGTAAATATCATAAACCTTGACAGTGATGGATGATGAAGCTGAGAGAAGTCTGAAGAAATGGAAGGAGTGTGTAGGTGTTCTAACATCCACAAAGCACACAGCAGGGTACCAGTATTTTCTGGGTAAGGTTGATGGGGCAAGATGGAATTTTAGTATTTTATATAAGGTTATTAATGTAACCACTAAAATAACTAAACATAAACCACTAAATTCTTCAACTTATCAAGGAGTTGATAGATACTATCTAATGCTGAGAAATCAAGAAACGATTTATAGTTGCAGGGATAACCACCAAAAGTACTAAAACTAGGCATGGTTACAAAGTGTTTACTTCTGCAATATGAAATAAACAGTGGTAATGGACAAAGGCAGTTTCACTCTTCATTTTTTACCTTCTGCACTGTTCAATTTTTTTAAAACAAGTGCATTGAACATTTTAATAATAAATACATAGATGAATACCTGATTAATAAATATTCTGAGCCTATATATACAAAATAATAAGAATGTGTTATATATTAAGTAGAAATGTCAAGACAGAACAAATCCTAAAATATAACCTTGTTTTAAAAAATATTTTTGTTGGTATATTTAAATATGTGTTTATAAATGTGAAGAAAGGCTTTAACAGTGCTTTCCTCTGGAGGAAGGGGGTGGGATTGATGAGGAACGATGAAAACAGGTTCATTTTTTCCCCTCTGTATGTACTTCTGAATCGTTCGAAATGGCTGCTAGGAACATGTATAACTCTTGAAAGCTTAAAAGCAACTTGCAAAGATTAATAAATTAAGGGAAGCCAAGAGACTGGCAACAGTACATTCAAATGTATTTTTATACATTTTATTTGATAGGAATTCAGTTATATGTGTGTTAAATGGATGAATGGAAACAGGTTTGAGCACCCAAATCTCAGCAAGGGAGTAGAATATGGATGATGGATCCATTCATCCATTTAACAAATATATACTGAATTCCTACCATGTACTATGCATTGTACTAATCACAGGAGAAACAGCGATAAACAATGCAATTTTTGTCTTTAAAGAATTCGTAGTCAAATGGTACAACAAACAATAACATACAATTACGAGACACGGTGAAAAGTGCTGTGACAGATGTATGCATAAGAACCTGGAGAGGGCTATAAAGGGACATCTACTCCTACTGAAGCGGATGGAGCAGTGTTAGCAAAGCTTCCTGGAGGCGATGCTATCTACAGGGAGTATAGACACAGGAGTGCCAAGGCATGTATGAGGTGTATCCTTCTGTGAATATATGTATTTACTTACACGTCCATGTGTCTGGAATGTGTAAGCATTTATATGAAGTAAAAAAGCAAGCAAGCCATGCTAATAGCAAAATAACACCGAATATCGTCGTAGCTGACACTTAAAGCCTCATCCTTGGCTCTGTTTCAGAAGCTCCAATAATCAAAAGATCAGTGCTTTCAATGAGGCTTTAGGGAGGGCAGGATGAGTAAGGGACGATAGCACGCTAAAGTTTCTGAGTGATCCAAATTCCCTGAGAAGTTTGGGGGAGCATAATGAAGTATGAAAAGCACAACCTAAATAATGTACAAATATTTGAATAATAGTTCAGAGCCTTCCTTTGAAGATCCCAAAGCACTTGAGCAAATAAAGGCTTTCCCTTTCTAGCTGGCAGGCTAGAGACTAAGCCATTTCCCCAGGTCACAAAGACCGTGACTTGCAGAAACAGACCACACCATTTCTGACCTGGCTGTCTTTGTTCTGGTGTCTGGATCATGCCCCTCCCTCCACCCCTGGAGAGACAGAGAGAGGAAAGTTAGAAACCGCCCCGTCCAGGGGGTCGCAGTCTCAGGCGTGAACTAGTTTTGTTTCCCGAACCCTGCCCGCACGCACACCACGTTCTTGGGAGACGCTGCATGTGGTTTCCCAGGAACGCAGGCTTTGGCGCGGCGCTCTGCATTTTCAAGTCTGCACGCGTATCCGAGTTGCCACGACTCGGCGATGCTTTGCTGGCGGGTTAGTTTATGCCCTGCAGTACTTTCGGTTGTTTTTTATGGTCTTTTAAAGCCACCGTGAAAGTCAATGTGTCTGGAATTCAAACTTCTGAAATATTCTACTCCATTGCTGAGATTCGGGTGTTCAAACCTGTTTCTTTCTGCAACAGGAGTCTCAGCATTTAAGACAAGATGGATGTGATAAGACAATGGCAGAGGAAATTGTGGGTTTATGTCTCCAGGTGGGCTAATTTCCAAGTTACACTGGAGAAAATTGCTCAGGATAATTTCACAGATTTCCTCCATGGTTCGTGGTAGCAGGATTGTTGCACCTGCAAAATTTAATTACACGTTTATTTTTTTTTCCACAGCAAAGATATCACTATAATTGAGGGTTGCTTGTCCTAGCCAAACTTGTTTCTCATAGGGCCCAGGAGAAACAGTTTTATCCTGGGAATGAATAAATGATGATGTGAAGCTATCTAACATAATTACTCTGCAGATTCCAGGTTCTTCATTTTATCTATCATAAAATCACTGGAAGAAGAATCTGTGCAAAAGTTTTGATCTTCACCGCAACTCACATTTCTCTTTATCAATTGTGAGATGATGACATACTTGAAAGTGAAATATAGTACATTAAAATGCTGTCTATCTGGAGGGATTGAAGCTAGTGTGTTTTGATTAATTAATATTCGTAGTTATTATAAATATCTAACATAGACAAATTCAATTCAACAGATATGTACTGAGTGCCTTCCATGCTCAAAGCTACCTGGGAGGCACTCAAAGGCCTGCCCTCAAAGCCCTTGTGCTCTTGAGAATTACTTTTTGTGTGTTTGAAAAGACCATGGTAGAAGTCTGTGTTAACTGGGAACCATTTTTAGTGTAAGTTAATCCTTCTCAAATGACTGGAGGATACTGTGCTACCTAAAGGCATCACGAGTCCCATGGCAACATGCACGGAGGGCTAATATTTAGAACAAATATCTGACATCAGCTCATTCATTTGTCAGCTTTTATAAAAGGAGCCGTGTGTTTATAAAAGAGGAGAATGTGTTTATTTAAGATCCTCTATTATTTGGTTTTCAGCTAATTAGGCAGCACTGTTAAAAAGCTGTTTTATTTTTTATTAATTATGATCAATAAGAGACAATCAAACTATGAGCTCCAAGATGGAGAAAATCATAGTGGAAAGAGGGATCTGACCAGCACTAGTGAGAGGGTCCCTGGACCTGGGGCACAAAGTATGGCCAACACGTGTCAGTGGCTCTCAAGAAGGGGTTTGATGGAAACCTGGGGGGTCTTTTGGTTGTCACAATGACTTTGGGGCAATACTGGTATTTGATGGGCAGGGACCAGGGATAGGAGATGTCCAGCAAATGCAAGGACCAGTCTTGAAACACAAAAACTTCTCACGACTTTCACATCCAACCCAGTCTGTAGGTGAAAAAATCTGCTTAGAATTATCTATGAATTCAATTTGTTTTACATATTGAATTGAAAAACATGATGTATATTTTGCAAGATTTTAAAGACACTGAATTTTCCAAAAATGCAACTACCATACACATGTAGACAAAATTGTGCCTTGCTTTGGGCAGAACTTTCTGAGAGTTGGCCACCTTTTGGCAAATTCCGTGCACAGCAGCATTGCTCTGGAAAGGCACTTATAGCCGACTGCATTTGTAGCACACACATTCATGGTGATTCCAGAGATAACCAGCTTCTCACCACCTTATCACGTCTTCCGGCATAGTTGTGCCCAAACATAAACATTTTATTGTTCGTATTAATTCAAAATAAACAACTTGCCCTTTTTGTCTCTTTATAAGTAGGGCAGCATCACGATTTTTTTAATTGTGGTAAAATACATGTAATATTTACCATCTTAACAATTTTTAAGCGTATAGTTCAGTGGCATTAAGTACATTCACACTGTTGTACAACCATCACCATCATCCATCCACAGAATTTCCATCTTGCACAACAGAAACCCTGTATCCATTAAACAATAACACCTCATTCTCCCCTCCCCCCAGCCTCTGGCATCCACCATTCTAATTTTATTTCTATGAATTTGACTTCTCCAGGTACCTCACTATATAGTGATTTTTGAGGTTATAGGTGAAACTAGATTATATTATCTATGAATTACATTTCAGGATGGTAAGGTGTTATGAAATATTTGTTATAAAAAGGGGTTATTGCCATTGCACTCCAGCCTAGGTGACAGAGCGAGACTCTGTCTCAAAAAAAAAAAGGGGGGGGTGGTTATTGAGTCTGTAGGGTTACACTATACATCAGACTATAAATACATGGTCTGTATCTCAGAAACTCAACTATTAACTTAGTTGTCTACTTAATATAAAATCATTTCCTTCAAACCTGGGCCATTTTGAGGAGGACCTTTGTTTACTTGGGTTTTTCCAGCATTTTTTCAACTCCTACACTAGTTTGACCTGCAACTATCTTGAGATTTTATGTCCTCTCATCTACAAACATGGGAGCTCCTCACCTAGCTCATGGTCTAATTTATTTAGTATCTCAGGGTTTACCACCATGGGGGGCAGTTCCTGAAAAAATAATTGTTGGAATGTTTGGCAGCACAAGTGGCTTATTGGTGTAACCCCATAGTCTACTTTGCAGTCCCTGCATCAAAAGCAACAGAGTGCCTCATCCCATTGCCATAACCCCACACACTGATTGATTTAAATAGGATCATTATATTGTAGTCATTCTGATGTTCACATCCCTTAGCTCTTCTGATAACTCTGGCCCTAATAAAATGCCACCCAAAACCAATAAAAAGAACTTGTTACAATCGGATTCATGTACCATGCCTGTGACTTTTCACTTTCCTTGAATTACCTAATTTTCTTGCACAGAAAGAAATCTCATTTGTCATGCTGTAATGGTGCCAGCCAAGAATTTTTAAAACCAGCAGTGACTCACACCTGAATCCCAGCACTTTGGGAGACCAAGGCAGGTGGATCATGAGGTCAGGAGTTCAAGACCAGCCTGACCAATATGGTGAAACCCTGTCTCTACTAAAAATACAAAAATTAGCTGGGTGTGGTGGTGCGCGCCTGTAGTCCCAGGTACTCGGGAGGCTGAGGCAGGAGAATCACTTGAACCTGGGAGGCAGAGGTTGCAGTGAACCGAGATTGAGCCACTGCACTCCAGCCTGGGCAACAGAGCGAGACTACGTCTCAAAAAAAAAAAAAACAACAACAACATCAACAACAAACAAAACAAAAAACCTTACCACTAGCATGAAGTTTAATTTTTTTTTAATGAATACAGAATTAAGTATCATGTACTATCTCACATTCAAACAGAATAAATTCACTCAATGGGTTAATTTGTTCTTCTTGACTTCTACACCAAACACTTCATACCATTGTCTAAAGAGGCAACATGGAACATTATACACGTAGACACCTTTTAGCAAAGCTTGCATTTGCTACCCCGTGACTTTTTTTAATAATGGCTATTTGAAATGGGTTACACTATGAATGCCAGTTACTATGCACGGTCACCATACCATATTTATGATCCAAGAATATCCATATACAGTTGGCTCTATGTATCTGTAAGTTCCACATTCTTAGATTCAACCAACCTCACATTGAAAATATTCTAAAAAATAAATAAATAAAAAATAATAATACAACAATTAAAATAACACAAAAACAATACAGTACAACTATTTTCATAGCATTTATATTGTATTAGGTATTATAAGTAATCTAGAGATGATTTAAAGTACACGGGAGGATGTGTGTAGGTGATATGCAAATACAATACCATTTTATATCAGTAACTTGAGCATCCTCAGATTTTGATATCCTGTTGGGGAGGGTATCTTGAAACCAGTGCCCCTCAGATACTGAGGGACAACTGTATAACCAGATATGGGTATTTTTTTAAATTGCAATATGAAGTGTTCTTGATTATTCTCTGTTTGTTAAGGCTATGGCAGTTTTTCCAAAGCTTGGAGAATTGGAACTCAGTCATTCATTTACTTACTTACCCATTCGTTCATTCAATAACTTGTATTTACTGGCCTGCTATGTGCAAGGGACATTCTGTTAATGCAGAAATGAATGGATACTCGGTCTCCACCCTCTAATTAGTGAGAGAAAGACTTTTTTTCATATTCAATGGTTACTTAGAAATCTACTATTAAGCTTTTACATTCCGTAGAAGTGGAGGAATTTTAGATGTAATGGCTATTTACCAGTAAAAATATTTTATAATTAGCAATAAAAATACAAATGGAGTATTTGGAAATGTTATCTGGCCAAAAATATTCTTAGAACCATGGAAGTGCCTGAAACAAACTCAGAGATTAATTGAGTTATACTCGGCATATGATTTAGACAACCTCACAGAATAATAGAGCTATACATGACTGAGGCATTCTTAGAGAATAATGGAATTACACTCAGGGTATAGACATCTCTGACTTATGATGGTTCAACACAATTCATCAACTTACAATGGGTTTATCAGGAGGTAACCCCATGGTAAATTGAGAAACATCTGTATACCTGTGCATCCTCAGAAAGTAATAGAGGCCCGGTGTGGTGGCTCATGCCTGTAATCCCAGCACTTTGGGAGGCTGAGGTGGGAGGATATCTTGAGCCTGAGAGTTCCAGACCAGCCTGGGAAACATAGTGAAACCTCGTCTCTACAAAAATAAAAAATAAACTAGCCAGACCTGGTGGCACATGCCTGTAGTCCCAGCTAATTGGGAGGCTGAGGCAGGAATATAGCTTGAGCCCTGGAGGTCGAGGCTGCAGTGAGCTATGATCACACCACTGAATTCCAGCCTGGGCAACAGAGCAAGACCTTGTCTCCAAAAAAGAAAGAAAGTAATAGAGAGTTAGGATTATAGTAAAACTGGAACATCCTTAGATAGAATGGAGTTACACTCAGAGTATGGCTGGAACATCCTCGGACAAAATAGAGTTATACAATCCCCCAATGAGAAGCCTTTTTCCAAATTTCCTTGTTTCTGTCAGCTGAAACATGATTTCCCCTGTCCTTAAGGTTTGAATTGCTGAAATCATATATATATATATATATATATATTTTTTTTAGATGGAGTCTTGCTCTGTCGCCCAGGCTGCAATGCAGTGGCACAATTTCATCTCACTGCAACCTCCCCTTCCTGGGTTCAAGAGATTCTCTTGCCTCAGCCTCCCTAATAGCTGGGATTACAGGCATGTGCCACCATGCCCAGCTAATTTTGTCTTTTTAGTAGAGACAGGGTTTCACCATGTTGGTCAGGCTGGTTTCGAACTCCTGACCTCAGGTGATCCACCCACCTTGGCCTCCCAAAGTGCTTGGATTACAGGCGTGAGCCACTGCACCCGGCCTATGTGACCTTTTAGTTAATTGACTGCAATATCTAATTAATTCAGTTTCTCAGACAATGTATTATTCCTAATTATTTGGGAGTGAATAGCTTTATAAGCTGTGTGTCTTTCTGTCTAAAACTAAATTCCAATAGATGATTTCAGATCCGAGCTAGGAGAGGGTTAAGATCAAGTTAGAGCAGGTATTTCATAACCCGAGGTGAGCTGGGAATTATCTGTTCTTTGTGAATAATCTGTACCCCTTCTTCCCCCTCAACAATTAATGTAACAGTTTAGTTGTCATTGTCATGAGAATCAAGGCAATGTGCACCCCGCACCCCCCACCCCCCACCTGCCTGATTTGTGTCCCAAATGCTTTGCAAGAAGAATCTGACAGCCTGAATAGAAGAGTGTTGTCGGGGGCGGGAGAAAGGCGAGAGAGGTAGGAAGTGTTTCTTTTCCATGACATTTGAGCTGTGAGTTGTCAGGAAGGAAGGGATCTGAGTGGGTTTTATCAGTTACTGAGAGAAGCTCTGCCCAAAGCACTAAGATTATTTCTCAGAGCCCCATGTAGTACTTCTGCAATTTTTAGGTGGCAGCTGTAGTGTAGTGAAGGAATACAGGATTTGGGATATAAGCACAGGGTTCAATTCCTGGCCCTGCATCTTAATACCTGGATTATCTGGGGGCAAGTTGTTTAAATGCTCTCAGCCTGTTTTCTTATCTGTCAAGTGTAGAATAATAATACTACTTCCTCATTTTTTTGTTGTGAAGTTTTGATGAGCTAATACACGTAAAAGTGCTTTGTAACCTCTAACACACCATACAAAGGTCATATGATTAACATATTATTATTACAAGTGCTTTAGCTCAGTCCTTTTGTTAAAATGCTACTTATGCAATAGAGGTGGGATCAGTTAACAGACTAATTGCCTTTTGAAAATATTAAGCAGTAATTCCTGTCCCTTCCTCTTAAATCAAATTGTTATGCCCAAACCAAAAAAAATAAGAAAATATTCTTTATTTTCCCAAAGAAAATATATTTGGAATCCAGCTTTGTATTTTCAACAGTATCAACAAGGGTCAATTTAGCACAAAAGATATCAGAGCAATTTGTTGAGCTTCCAGTGTTTTGCTTGCAATGTACAAAGCTGGGTATCAAAAGTATACCAGTAGCAGCAAATTAGTTACAAATTAACAGGAAGCAAACAGAGTGTTGGCCTTGATTAAGCTCTCCATGGATCATGTTAATTACTTTATTTTTTATTTGTACTATTCTACAGTGTAACGGTTTTAGATGCAATGATTATATAAATGACTGTCTACACAACCTACCTCATTTTTTTTTTATGTTGTAGGAAAAGAAATCATTTAAAAAGTATGAGCTGAGGCTGGGTGTGGTGGCTTAAACCCATAATCCCAGCACCTTGGGAGGCCGAGGTGGGTGGATTGCTTGAGCCCAGGAGTTCGAGACCAGCCTGGGCAACATGGCGAAACCCCGTCTCTACTAAAAATACAAATATTAGCTGGGTGTGGTGGTGCGTGCCTGTAGTCCCAGGTACTCAAGAGGCTGAGATGGGGAGATCACCTGAGCCCAGGGAGGCTGAGGCTGCAGTGAGCTAGGAGTGACACTTCACTCCAGCCTGGGTGACAGAGTGAGACCCTGTCTTGGAAAAAAATAAAAAATAAAAAAATACAATAATTGTATGAGCTGATCCATTTATATTTGTTAACTACTCCACTCTTTCCCTCGTGATAATTCCACTTATATTACTTTTGCTGTATGTGGGGTTTCATTTAACATCACCTTGTGGAATCTATTAATCTTGCTTCATTAAGTAGAAGGAAATGGGTAGGAAATGAATTTTCCAATGGCCAGAGAAGAAAAAGATCTAAAATGTTGTGCTAACTTAAAATCCTACAAATGTTTACAAAACATGAGGCCTTGATCATCTTGATTTTGCTTTCGAAACAATATTTTTCTGAAAAATATAATTTCATTGCTGTTTTCCTCCTTCTGATGCAGTAAGAGAGGGGGCAGGTGGAGAAGGACAGCTGCTTTTTTATATAGATTAAAAGAAATCTCAATCTTCAAAGTTTCTATTTACTGTAACAGTAGATGGTTTCAAAGAAGCACTTGGCCGGGCACGGTGGCTCACACCTGTAATCCCAGCACTCTGGGAGGCTGAGGCAGGCGGATCATGAAGTTAGGAGTTAGAGACCAGCCTGGCCAACATGGTGAAACCCTCGTCTCTACTAAAAATACAAAAATTAGCCAAGTGTGGTGGTGCATGCCTGTAATCCCACCTACTCGGGAGGCTGAGGCAGGAGAATTGCTTGAATCCAGGAGGCGGAGGTTGCAGTGAGCCGAGATCATGCCACTGCACTCTAGCCTGGGCAACAGAGTAAGACTGTGTCTCAAAAAAAAAAAAAAAAACAACAACAACAGAACAACAGCATTTCTAGAACAACAGCATTTCCTCTAGAACAACAGCATTTCCCTCTCATCCCCACACCATCCCTAAGATGGAGACACAATTAACTTACTCTCAAGAAAGCATGCTGGAATTGCAAATAGATTCCAGAGTGGTTGTTACACAGTTTGTATGTAAATAACCTTCTGATTTCAGCACCTTTGAATTAGTAACATGTTTCTTGAAACACTGAGAAATGCCTGGGGATTTCTTATCTGAAGGTAAGGATTAGCAGAAATCCTAAAAGATAGAGACCTTGGTGGTGTTTGGCTATAGCTCTTTAAAATGTAATTGATGGAAGAGTAGGCAACTAGTGTCAAGGGAAGACTGGGCAGTATCTGAACTCTACTGGCAAAGAGAGGGTTTGCAGGAGCCTCTCAGAGTTACTCCCTTTTCTTTCTTCCTTAGCTCCCAGAGAGCCACTTGCAGCCAAGAAAACCAACCCTCCCCTGCTCGTTTGTCTCAGGGAACAGCCTTTTGTGGCACTACCCTCAAGGCTGATGCCTCCACCACCCCAGGGACACTGGGGCACAAATCCCTGACTGGAAATGAACAGATACATAGATCATAATCCCTTCCCTGTTTGCCCCCACCCCCAACTTTTTTTTTTTTTTTTTTTTTAGATCTTGCCTCCAAAGTAGAGCTTGGGGACTGTTGTCTAATCCAAACCACCAGGGGAAATGCCAGTTGTGTGGGCTGTGACTTTGGGATGAGACCGCAGAGCCTGTAGAATCAAGTTGAACCTCAAAGTGCCAGCCTTGTGGATTTCGGCCCACAGGCTGCTCCAGCAGAATGTTCATGCAGATGCTCTTTGAACAAACTCCCTCCTCAAACTGCAAATTCAGCCTTCCCAAATGGATTTGTCAAGTTGGAAATCTCTTATATATACCCATCCTCACCCTTCGTAGGCAGAAGCAATTCTAGAGCTGTCTTCTCAGCGAATTGTTAACCAACTCAGAGCCTGGTGGTGTACCGGGAGTGGCAAGTTCTGTCAGTTTATTTCAGGACAGCCAGAAGGTGTTCGGTGGAACTGGTCCCGTGCCTCTGCAGTGCAGGTGTGGGCCTGGTGGGGTGGGAAGTGCAGCCAGGGAAAACACAGGGCAGAAGCCTGGGCAGAAACTGTCCTTATGGAATCTGACTTTCCTACTCCCTACCCAGGTCACAGATACAGTGCTAGGATCCTTGGACAGACCATGAAACCTGGAGAATTGGAATTTCAAGAAGAAAATGGTTTAAAATGCCATAATCTTGCATTGAATTAATTGAAGAGGAAACAATATTTGATTACAGCTATCTGATACCACTTCAAAATGGCAAGCCATTAGATTCAACTCAGTTCAACAAACTGGTCCCTACTGTGTGCTAGGGTCTGTGTTAGGCACTGAACATAATGCCTGGATACAATGAATCCCATAGGGTTCAGCTTCTACCAAGACAAGAAAGTTATCTTGGGGGGGGAAAAAAAAGTAAAAAGTACTTGTCAAAGAAACACATTTTTCCTAAACAAAACTTAACATCATAAATCTGGAGAGAAAAATATCCAGTAATAATATACTCTCTGAATGGAAAATTCCCACAATAATAACAAAAATAACAATGATCTGTATACTTAGTACAGCTCTATTTTTGCTTTTCATCTAATGATTTCAAAGAGTTTAGCAACCACTGCTGAGCTAATCCTTAGTACTAAACTTGACTCTTCCATCCTTCTTTGAAAAAAAAAAAAAAATTGGCACTAACTCCTCAACATCCCACAGGGAAGAAGTTCTGGAAACAAAGCATGGCTCACTCCCACACAAGCATCAAGCAGCAAATTAAAGACAGTCTAATTCATCCAGAAAAGTAAGTTGGGACCCAGAAGAATCAAATGAATGCCCACAAAATGAAAGTCATTTGAAAAAGAAAGACAAGTTTCTTTCTTGCAGGTGAAAAGGAAAAACTTTTCAATGTACCATTGGGCATTCTTGATGGGTTTATATCTCTCAGAGATGTAAGTTCCAGAGTATACTCTGGGAAGGCTTTCATTTTCAAAGACAGAATTTAAATCCTGTTTTAAAAACAGAAAGGGAGATAAAGATTTCATTTCCATAACATGGTATGTAAAGACAACTTGATTCAGCTGATGATCTCCAAGCTCTTTGATGAATCCCCTCAGAACCACATCCATGTAAAGGGAAAGGTTATGAATGAAAGAATTCAATTGTTTGCAAAAATAAAGGGAGACTCTGCCAGAGATAGAGATGATCTGGAACAGAACTGGTCCCTAATTACACAGTAATCTGACACCTTAGCACTCTCATCCTGCAGTCTTCACCTTCAAAGGATCTTCCCAATATTAATGAATTCTTCACCTCCTTTTCTCTCATCTTATCCATAATAGCTACTCTTTAAAGAAAAGTTGGTCAACTTTTTAGAAGACTTGACTAACATTATCATTTTAGCCTAGGATTTAGTCACAAGTATCTCTTTCCTTTTGATGCTTTGTGGTGTTTCCTTTTGCCTGGTTTTGAATACATATTGCAGGCTGTGTTTATGACCCTTTGATTTTTTTTTTTTTTTCTTGAGACAGAGTTTGGTTCTTGTTGCCCAGGCTGGAGTGCAATGGCACAGTCTCAGCTCACTAAAACCTCTGCCTCCCGGGTTCAAGCGATTCTCCTGCCTCGGCCTCCCGAATAGCTGGAATTACAGGCGTGCATCACCATGCCCGAATAATTTTGTATTTTTAGTGGAGACAGGGTTTCACCATGTCGATCAGGCTGGTCTTGAACTCCTGACCTCAGGTGATCCACTCACCTCAGCCTCCCAAAATGCTGGGATTACAGGCATGAGTCACTGTGCCTGGCCTGAAACTGTTATTACACACACACATACACACACGGCAGCCTTGCTGGGAAGATATTATAATAAAATAATATAGAAGTATTACCATAGGACAAAGATCAGAGATGGCTTTCTAAAAGCCTCAAAGACATGTGTGAGCTGGGTCCTAACAGATAACTAGGAAGGTGTCAAGTGTGTAAGAGGGAAAGGCATCCTAGGCAGAGGGGAGCTGTTTGGAGAAAGGCTGGTGACATGGATGGGAATTGATGGTCCAGGTATAAGGCACACTGAGGTGCAGCTAGAGCCCAGGCCTGGGGTATATATTGTGTTAATCAGAATTTGACTGGAAAAGTGACTTGCTCAAGCTTACACAGTCAGAAAGTAGCACTGCTTGATCTCAGTGAGG
This sequence comes from Homo sapiens, assembly GCF_000001405.40. Classification (NCBI taxonomy): domain Eukaryota; kingdom Metazoa; phylum Chordata; class Mammalia; order Primates; family Hominidae; genus Homo; species Homo sapiens. The sequence continues at coordinate 26,564,225 of NC_000018.10, read as the reverse complement.
CTATCTGGCTCCAAGTCCATGCTCAGTCTGAGTTAGCATCCCAGTCCTTCTCCTTGTGCAAAAAATGAATGGATACACGGAGCTTACAGCCAAATGGGTGATACAGGCATGTAAATTCACAATTACAATACATGCAAGAAACATCTGTCAAATACCTTCTACGTGCCAGTAGCTATGCTAGGCAATGCGAATACAAAAAAAAAAAAGCCCCTCTCTTTGAATGAAGCCTAAGGAGTCTGGTTAAGAAGAAAAATAGCAGTTACAATACCTGTCCAAAGTGCTGGGGAACCAAAGGAGAAATCTGCCATACAGAGTGAGAGAAGGTGCCTCAGAGGACTTGAGCTAAGACTGGAAGACTCACAATTCAGTGGTTGGCACTACCAAGGCAAGATCATGATCATTGCTAACATGAATAAGCACTTAAGAGTATGCCAGGCACTCTTCTAAGCTCTTTATCCATATTAACTCATTTAGTCCTCACAACAATCCCCTATTCTACAAACAAAAAGGTGAAAGATTTTGCCCAAGATCACACAACACATAAGTGGCAGTGCCAGAATTTGAATCCAAGTTGTTTGGTGCCAGAGCCCATACACTCGCCACTATACTACATTCTCTTGCTTTCACAGAGAGGGAAGCCCAGGCCTGCTGAAGTCAGGGAATGTTTCCAAGAGGAGGTAACATGTGAAATCATTCCAAAAAGATCTCTGGGAGTTGAGTTGTTGAGCCAGGAGACGAAGAGTATGGCCAAGGGCATAAGAGTCAAGGTAGGATGAGAGACAAGTGTTTTCAAGGAAGAGCAATTACTTCCTGGTAGCTGGAGGGTGAGGCTGGTTTTGGAGAATGGTGGACCCCTGTAAAGGAGTAGGCAGGGAGTACGTTATAGTTTGGTTTGTTGGTTTTCAGGGAAGACAAACTTATACCAATAGTCTAAGTTAAAGGATACAAAGGACCAGGGATCAGAGACTAAACTCAGCCTGGACACGTTTGCAGGCTGCCCACTCTCCTGTGGGTGGTGCTGCCTCCAGTTTCACCTTCTACTTTGTTTGCTGCATCACTGAACAGCAGAAGTGGCCTGAATTAGTGTGATGCCATTGGAACTGGAGAGCATGGGCTGAATGGAATGGATTTGACATAAAGGAGAGGAAGCAGGGAAGGGGACTACAGAGTTCCTAGCTCGGGTGCATTGCAGAGATGGGAAATAAAGCAGGAGGAGCAGATTTGGATGGTGTTGCGGACGGAACTGTGTTCCTCCCAAATTCATATGCTGAAGCGCTAACCCTGCAGTGTGACTCTATTTGGAGATAGGGTTGTTAAAGAGGTAATTAAGGTTAAACAAGGGCATAAGGGTGGGCCCTAATCTGGTAGAACTGATGTGTTCATAAGAAGAGAGAGATGCCAGAGAGCCCTCTCTCTCCAGGCTCTCACACAGAGAAGAGGTCATCTACAACCAGGAAAAGAGGCCTCAACAGAAACCAACCCTGCTGACACCTTAATCTTGGACTTCCAGCCTCCAGAACTGTGAGAAAATTAATTTCTGTTGTTTAAGCCACCCAGTCTATAGTATTTTGTTAATAGTACCCCAAGCCGATTAATACAAAAGAAAAGACTATTATCAGCCTTTGGATGAAGACATAATAGATGGATTTCAAAACAAATCTTGAGGCCGGGTGCAGTGGCGCATGCCTGTAATCCCAACACCTTGGGAGGCTGAGGTGGGAATATCACTTAAGCCCAGGAGTTCAAGACCAGCCCAGGCAACATAGGGAGAACCCCCCGCCCCCACCCCCCCACCCCCCACCGGGCTTCACACACAAAAAATAAAAATTAGCCGAGCATGGTGATGTGTGCCCGTAATTCCAGCTGCTTGGGAGACTGAGGTAGGAAAGTCACTTGAGCCTGGGAGGTCAAGGCTGCAGTGAGCTGAGATGGCACCACTGGAGGCCAGCCTGGGTAGCCCTATCTCAAAAACAAACAAACAAATCTTGAGACACAATTGGCAGGGCTTGGTGCTTCAGTGGAAGTGGAGCCTGAGAAAGAGTGAGAAGGAGGATGGGATATTGTCCAGGTTTCAGTTATGGATACAGGGTGAATTGTGGTGCCTTTCCCTGAGTCAGAGATTTGGGAGGTGCACCTGGGCGGAGGGCGAAGGCATAGTTAGGATTTCTTGGTTGTAAGCAAGATAAATTTAAGACAGGGCTGATTAACTATAGGGATGTAGTGAGACTAAAAGGGAAGTGGAACCTCATTCAAACCCAACATCAGCACTCTAGGAGAGTGAGACTCCTTGGAGGCCAGACTAGACGGTGGGTCTGGATACAGAGCAGCCCCAGGCCCTCAGCAGGTGCTCACGCCAGCACGGGACTGGGCTGATTCCATGGCCCTGCCCCCTTTCTTCTAACTACTGACTACTCTGACCCTGATTCCTAGAGAAAGAGAGACTGTTTGGCTCAGGAGTTTCAATCCAGCCTTCTAGTTAGCCCAGGGATTAGCTGCCCAGGGACCCATCCTTGGGCACATCCCTTATAGTTGCTGGTCATGTGACAGACCACTTGGCTTGACAAATCTGTCCCTTCATCAGTGGCTGTGAGCAAGTCAGCATCCTTAGAAAGGTCTGAGGTATGTCAGGCACTGTAATAGAAACACCTAGAACAGAAGGTGGGCGTGGTAAGAAGACCATTGTGTTGGTTTTAGGCTTATTGGGTTTGGAGGATCTGCTTGACATGCAAGCAGAGAGACCCAGAACATATATCTACAATAGGCACCTGGAGACATGGGCCACTCAACAGAGCAATGAAGGCCATGGAGACAGATTTCAGAGATGACAGCACATGGACGGACCCAATTCCTATTAAATAAGCAATAAAGGGACACATACTCATGTTGCAAAATTCAAACAACACCAAAGCATGGAGAATAAGAAGTTAAAGTTCCTCAATGCTACTCTCTTCTCCCAAAGTCACCACTGTAAATGATTTTATGTGTTTTCTTTTTACTCCACTGCAGTTACATTTGTAAAATATGTATGTATCATTTTAGGTCAGAGTTTTTTTTTTTCAGCAAATGGGCTTATACTTTTCATTAATTTTTTTACTTGCTTAATAAAATGTCTTGGAGACCACTGCACTCAGCACTTACAAACCTACATTATTCTTTATATCTATAGATAGTGTTCTGTTGAATAGATGAGATATAATTTATTTATTCACCATCTGCCTCTGAAGTTAGATTGTATCCAATGATTCTTTATTATAAACAATGCTTCAAGAGCACCCTTGTACATATATCTTTGTGTGCAGCCCATTTCTAGAAATGATTTACTGCGTTGAAAGGGATGTGCATTTTCCCACTGTCCTCTAAAAAGACTGTACCATTTACCCTTCTAGCAATGATAGAGGATGCACATGCTTATTGCTCTACACCCACGTGGTTGTTTCTTAAACCATTTTGCATCAGACTCCTTTAAGATGTTGAAAGCTATGGATTTTAATTCTAGAAAAATACACAGATGTACATATACAGAACATTTTGCATACAATTTCTGCAGGTTCACAGACAACCTAAACACACCCCAGAACACACCCTTCCCCACCCCCTGCCAGACCTGAATAGACATGTGTGAATGGGTGCCAGTCTAAGGGCAGTGGGTCCCAATCTTAGTTGCACATTAGAATCACCTGCAGGACTTTGAAAAGTCCCCATGCCCAGGCCACTTCCCAGACCTATCGATCTGGTTCTTTTGGAAAAGGATCTGGGTATCAGTATTTTTTGCAAGTTCTCCAGGTGATATTAACATGCAGCCAATCGCAGGAACCACTGCAGTCTAGGAGAGGCCTGAAGAAGGATTAAAAAGAATTTAATAACAGAAAACCAGAGTGTACAAGGGGCTCTTGGGGGGCTCACACGTGGCTGGAGGAGCTTTTATTTTAACAAATCTGGGGTGGGATCTGGCATTGATACATATTTTTTGTTGTGAGAATGTTTGTCATACACAAAAGTAGAGAGAATGAACACCCATGTAACCTATATTAAATACTTTAAAAAAATTGCCACATTTTCCTTATCTGTTTTGTTTTTTTTTTTTCTGGTGGGGGGAAGGTGGTAACGGCTAACATTTGTCTTAAATTATTCTGCAGTGTTTAAATTTTTAAAAGCTCCCCTGGTGATTCTAAGATATAGCCAATGTTGAGAATCACATGTAATGTAAAGCCTCCCAAAGAGAAGGAACCCCAGGGAACGAGAGTAGAAGGAAGAAAAGCCAAATGCAAATCCGAGAACTTGTAACTTACAACCAAAGGGAGAGTGCTCCACTGAAGGGCACTGGCAAAAGGGCCTGGCCATTGCGTCCTGCAGCAGAAGGTCGCTGCTTTCGACCCTCCTAGAGACATGGGATTTGGAGCTGGGCCTTAAAGAATCAAGACAATTTAGATCAGTGGAAGGGAGAGGGGAAATTTCCCCATTGGAAAGGAAGTTGATATTTTAGGGTTGAGTCTACTCTGCTTCAGGCCTTTTAACAGCCCCTCCTACCATGGGAGCCATAAAAAAGATTCTGAACCCCCGAGTCCTCCTGAATTGACCCAGAGAGGCTCACCAGGCTCCACACCCTTGATCCTTAGCCCCACCAATCCTCCTTTACTATGCTGACTCTTCCCTCTGGGGATGTGTATCTGCCTCTTCTAGGCCCGTGGTTCTCACAATGGGGTCCAGGAACCAGCAGCAGCATAATCACCTGAGCGTGTGCACATGCTCAGCTCCACCCCAGACTGGCTGAATCAGACACTCTGAGGGTGAACCCAGCACTCTGTTTCTTCTCTTTTCTTGTTTTCTTTTTTGTGGGTACATAGTAGGTGTGTGTATTTTGGGGGTACATGAGATATTTTGTTAAGGCATGCAATGCATAATAACCACATCATGGAGAATGGGGTATCCATCCCCTCAAGCATTTATCCTTTGTGTTACAAACAATCCAATTATACTCTTTTAGTTATTTTAAAATATACAGTTAAATTATTGTTGACTATAGTCCCCCTGTTGTGCCACCAAATAGCAGATCTTATTCATTCTTTCTAATTTTTTTGTACCTATTAATCCTCCCACCACTCCCCCAACCACCCCACTACCCTTCCCAGTCTCTGGTAACCATCCTCTACTCTCTATCTCCAGTGAGAACATGGGATATTTATCTCTCTGTGCTTGGCTTCTTTCACTTAACATAATGACCCCCAGTTCCATCAAGGTTGGTGCAAATGACAGGATCTCATTCTTTTCTTTTCTCTTTTTTTTTTCTTTTTTTGCTTCTTTTTGAGACGGAGTCTTGCTCTGTCACCCAGGCTGGAGTGCAGTGGTGCAATCTCGGCTCACTGCAACCTCCACCTCCCAGATTCAAACGATCCTCCTGCCTCAGCCTCCTGAGTAGCTGGGACTACAGGTGCGTGCCACCATGCCCAGCTAATTTTTTGTATTTTTAGTAGAGACGGGGTTTCACCATGTTGGCCAGGATGGTCTCGATCTCTTGACCTCGTGATCCGCCAGCCTCAGCCTCCCAAAGTGCTGGGATTACAGGCTTGAGCCACTGCACCTGGCCGATCTCATTCTTTTTTATGGCTGAATAGTACTCCATTGTGTATACCAGCCACATTTTCTTTATCTATTCATCTGTTGATGGACACTTAGGTTGCTTCCAAATCTTAGCTATTGTCAACAGTGCTGCAACAAACATGGGAGTACAGATATTTCTTCTATATACTGATTTCCTATCTTTTGGGTATATATCCAGCAGTGGGATTGCTGGATTGTATGGAAGCTCTATTTTTAGTTTTTTGAGGAACCTCCAAACTATTCTCCATAGTGGTTGTACTAATTTACATTCCCACCAACAGCATACAAGCATTCCCTCTTCTCCACATCCTCGCCAGCATTTGTTATTGCCTGTCTTTTGGGTGTAAGCCATTTTAACTGGGGTGAGATGATATCTCATTGTAGTTTTGATTTATATTTCTCTTGATGATCAGTGATGTTGAGCACATTTTCATGTGCCTGTTTGCCATTTGTATGTCTTCTTTTGAGAAATGTAGGCACCCTGCTTCAACAAGCCTTCCGGGTGATTTGGAAACACACGCAAGTTCCATGATCACTGTCCTGGGGCCTCCCAGCCAAATGTTCTCCCGATGTCTGAGCTCTCCAGAACTCTCTGGAGTTGTCCCCAACAGAGAGCTGGACTCATATCAGGGAGATGAAACAGAGAATGTCAGGAAATTAGACTGTGGCAAGACTATGGGGAGTTTGGACTTGAAACTAAAGTAAGAAAGGAGCCAAGATGATGTTTTGACCAGGGGAGGATATGTATTAAAGTGGTATTGGAGACCAGGTAGCTGCAGAGCTTCAAGAATGCAGGCTTCACTCCAATCTCTGCTGAAATGGTAGGCAAAATTGGTGTGTGTATGTGTGTGTGTGCATCTTCTGAAGAGGTTTCACAACTTGCATTCAATTTTCAAGTGAATTCACCGCCCCAGAATGATTGCTAGAGAGGAAATTATTTTATTGCTTAATGTATGAGCTTTGAGGCAGTGTTTCTCGAAGTGTGGTCATATTAGTATTAGAATTGTTTGAGCTGTGTGTTAAAAATATACATCCCTGGGCCACACTCAAGAGCTGCTAAATCAGAATCTCTGAAGTTGGCACCCGTGAATATGCATATTTTAAGCAAGTTCTCCAGGTAATTCAGCTAATTCTGATGCACTCTAAAAGTTATTATATCTCAGGCTCTAAATCTAAAAACTAACAATTCTAGGAAAGCAAAGTTAATAGTGAATTTAGAAAGCATGTTGACCACTAAAGCATGGTACTGAGGTCTAAAAAGCACTTACAATATCCAAAGTATCACAGCACTGGGAACAGTAGCCACAGCAAACACTTTCCTGGGCATTTCAGTGACCATCCACTTAAAAGCTGTATTCTGTATGTAATACCATATGAATAGCAAAAAAAGCTTGAGGAATTCATCCTCAAACTCTGACAGTTCAACTAACTTCCCAGAGTTGGACAGAGAATAAGTTTGTGTGTTTTCTACGGCAGATTGCACTAAGATAACCATGAGAAAGACAGGAGGAATGCTATTAACAGAAGAAACACTATTGACCATTTTGGGCTTATTGAAAATTTGCCCCTCCCTGGAGTCAGGGAGTTCCTGGAGAGACCCTTCTTTCCTTCCTGTCTCTTAGCAGGTGCTTGGCGGAGTTTGCCAAAAATCCACTGATTACGTAGTTTGAATTACAGATTTTCAAATATTGTATGTAGTACTTAAAAGGTAAATGGCATGTGATTGAATTCACAGAAATAACACCCAAATGTATTTGGGTGGTTTTCTCTAGGCAGTGGAAATAGAACTGAAAGGTCCTGGCCTGGTGAGTTGTTCAGAAAGTATGTGTGCCCTAGAGTCTGGCCTCACTAACTCTGTGAGGTTGGGCAAGTTATTGAAGCTCTCTGGGTTTCTACACATGTGAAATAGGAATAGGAACAACCCTCACATATACTCATAAGAAGAAATCGAGAGTGTTAATGTAAAAACCTAGGCCCACAGCAAGCATTCACTAAACGTTAGCAAGAAAGAACTATGATGCATGTATGTTTCCAGATTTCTGTACTTCCCAAATCTTTGCCAATGAACACACACTGCTTTTATAATCAGAAAAGAATGATAAACCACATTTTTGTTTTGTGCTTTTTAGTTTAAGGGAATGAGCTATAAAGAGAGAAAAGATTGTAAAACAACAGATGCAATCCATGTCAGGGGAGATTGTTTTTACTGGGAGTAATGACACCATGTGACCCCTGGGGTATCCTAATCCAGGGACAGGCTGTAGGAAGACTAAACATGAAGAATGGTGAGGCTTCCCCTGGGAGCAATGATGCCCTGGCTCTGCAAACTTAGGTCACAGAAGAGAGGGGCCAGGTCACAATGTTTCCTGCTTCTCTGCCCCTCTCCAAGGCAGTCTCCTTCCATCAGGTGCAAAGCCTGGATCTCCAGCATCAAATTAAAGAAATAGAACAAACCCATCCCAGGGCTTCTTTAAATATTCAGATAAACCCATGTGCCCCTATCAGTTAAATTAAGCTTTCCTAAGAAAAAGTAAGTCAATTAGTTCAAAATGTGGGTTAGTGCTTCTGGGTATTTAAAAGGGGATTTTTTTTTCTTTTTTAGTTCATTTAGAAACACAGCCACGGGGCAGGTACATACCCACTCCTCCACACATCCTGTGAATTGCCCCAATACACCCAGATACCAGTTTCTGATATCTAGAGCTTCAAAATCTGGTCCTTAAACTTTCTCAATGTCATGAAGATATTGAAATACGAGCTTTAAAATTTATCTTGTTTTGCCCTTTAAGTACATATCGTTTATTTCACTATCATTATCGATACTCATTAAATGGTAACTGACATTGCTATAGAACATTGATAAGATGTGATTTTACCCTAATTGAACTTCTTTCTTCTCCATTCCACAAATACTTATTCTCTAAACTTCTGTGAACAAAGAGAGGTCTCTAAGACAGTATAAAATGCAGTTCTACAGCATAGTTTGTGACATATACCACAAAATTCATTTGTCCAAGTGGCCTGGATGCAATAAACCAAACTTTACCAAACTACAAGTAAAGCAGGATATTTCCTAAGATGAACTTCTAGAAGCAATTTGTGCATCAAAGCATATGAACATTTTCATGGCTTTTGAAGACGTTGCCTAATAATTGCATTCTTAAAAGGCTGTTTCATTTTTATTTATTTTATTTTCATTTTTGAGACGGAGTTTCACTCTTGTTGCCCAGGCTGGAGTGCAGTGGCGCAATCTCGGCTCATTGCAACCTTCGCCTCCCAGGTTCAAGCGATTTTCCTGTAAAAGGATATTTTAATTTATATTGATAGTAAAAGAAGATAAGGATAACATTTTCGTACCAACATTTGGGTAGAAAGTGTTTAAGTTCGTATTTGTTTTGCTTTTACTAACTTAGTAGACCACTTTATTTGAAATAACAGCAAATCGTTTCAGGAATATTTTAGATTGTGAGACCATTGTAAGTAGTTCTTCCATTATTTAAAAAATACATATTTGTTACATGACATATTATCACATACCTTTATCTCCTTTTCCACCATAATTAGTATTCCAATGACACTGAAATAAAATTTTATTTAATAGCAGGACTAATGTCCACTTTAATCCCACATACCTTTTACCAATATATACAACTAGAAGATAGAGAAAGAAATGACTATCATTCTGAATTTTAGGTTTCATTTAACTTTGACAACCTTTACATTTGACTTCTTTATTAACCAAGTGAAGTTTCATGATCAGAATATTATAACAATGAGAGATGGTACACTCTTAGGCTCGATAAAAACCCAATTTACTTATGGAAAACTACATTTCTCTTGTACATTATTTGTTTTACAAATAGCCTAGGAAACAAGTAGGTGATTATTAGGTGGAAAGACCTAGAATTGTAGTTACCAGGTAGCAATTAGGAACTAAATATTCTATTCCTGTCAATTACTGCATTAAGTTTACTCTGCCTGTTTTTTGACAAAGCATTGAAGAAAAAAATAGGAATACCCTCTTTGCCCCAGGAGATTTACAATAGCCCAGGATTTCAATAGAAAGTGCCTCTTTCTAGTCTGGTTGAATTTGTGGGCGTTCCTTTTGTCTATGAATTCTTCACTGCCATTTCTTCTAAGACACAGATGGGTCCCTACTTCCAATAGCCAAGAAAACATGTACCAGTGTTTAGGTGGCCAAGTGACAAAGGTGACACTGTTTCTCAGTCCATTTATACGTGTGTCACAGTCCAAGACCTTGGCAAAGTACTATTCTGCCTTTCCAAGTTTCCCAAATCCTATTATACACAGGGGTATTTTAATGGTAGGGAATTTTTCCCTTGAAGTTTCTTTCTTTCTTCTCTTCTCTTTTCTTTCTCTCTGTCTTTCGTCTTTTCTTTCTTTCTGAATTGTTCCCTTGAAGATTCTCTTTTCTTTCTTTTTTCCTTCCTTCTTTCTTTTTCTTTCCTTCTGAATTGTTCCCTTGATTATTCTTTCTTTCTCTTTTCTTTCTTTCCCTCCTTCCTTCTTTTTCTTTCTTTCTGAATTATTGAAGATTCTTTCTTTCCTTCCTATTTCTTTCATTCTTTCCTTCCTTTCTTTTCTTTCATCTTCTTTTCTTTTTTCTTTTTATCTTTTCTTTTCTTTCTCTCTGTCTCTCTTTCTCTCTTCATTCTTTGGTTCCTAGAGGCTGAATATGGTCAAGTGGTTCAAGCATGGCCTATGGAACCAGACTTGCCTGCCCTGGTCAGGTCTGGGAGACCTTGGGCAAATGTCTTCACCTTTTTTTTTTTTTTTTTTACCCTCTCTGGCCTTAGTTTTCTTGTTTGCTATCAAGCTTGGGAAACAATAGAGCCTTAATAAATAAGAAGTAATGGTCAAATGTGTATGAATGTTCCAGACAATGTGTTAAGTGTTTTGTGCATATCAACTTATTTAATTCTCAAAACAATCCCAAGGGGTAGGGACTGTTATCATTATCACCCAGGTAATAAAATGAGAGAACTGAGCCATAGAAAAGGGTGGCTAGTAAGGCAAACTAGGATTCACACCCAGGTAGGCTGGCTTCAGAGAGAGTTTTTCACCACTCTGCTATACAGCCTTTTGTTGAAGTTAGCTTTCTCCCCACACATAAATGTGCGTATATTTATTGGGTATCTACTATGTGCCAGTCACTCTGCTAAAATATACCAAGAAACTGAATTGGAAATGAACTGGAAATACAGAAATAAATAAGACAAAGTTTCTGCTCCTGTGGAGTTATTTTTCTTTTCTTACACTTTGTCAACTTAGATGACATGGGTTCAATTTTCATCTGAGTTCAAAAAACATTACTCAAGATGATTCTCAGTTGAATTCAACAGAATTAATAGCTAAACTCTGAGACAGGAGTGGTGGCTCACTTGAGACCAGGAGCTCAAGACCAGCATAGGCAACATGGGGAAACTTATCTCTACAAAAAATACAAAAATTAGGAAGGCTTGGTGGAGCAGGCCTGTAGTCCCAGCTACTTGGGAAGATGAGATGGGAGGATCACTTGAGCCCAGGAAGTTGAGGCTGCAGTGAGCCATAATCATGCCACTGCTCTCCAGCCTGGGTGAAAGAGTAAGACCCTGTCTCAAAAGAAAAAAAAAAAAAAAAGAAAGAAAAAGAAACCTCTAAAACCAAGATATACCAAAATAGTTTCAATTTGAATTCATATTTAGCCTTGAAAGCCCTTTATGAATCTTTCAGTAATTACATCAAGACAGTATGGCGTCTCTTTTAATTTGTGTCTTTAAAATGATGAACTAAATGCTTTTTCTGGCCTCTGCTCTCAAGAGCCCACAAAATTTCTGAAATTTAACAATTTAAATCCTCCCCAGCCCACCTCTCTTAATAGAGACACTTCCATTCCCCAGATCTGCCTTCAGAAGGGGCAACATTAACTCTACTGCAAGAAAAGGGTCCCTCACTCTACTTCTGCAATAAGTTTCTAAAGCATGTTCCACTAGAGAGGGAATTAATGATAAGGAAATATTCATCCAAAGCAGCCATTAAATTCATTTTAACTTGCAAACAATAATGTTGCCTTGTAGTTACTATTTGTCCTGATTTTTAATACAGAGCTTCAGATTCATGTTATTTTTAATTTTTCACAAAAACTTCCCTGCTAAATGTAAGATTTAACCAAACACAGATTCTCTTCATTCAATATAAATGACAAGTGCTCACCATGTCCCCAGGCACCAGACTGAAACTACAAGGGTGTGTGTTGCTTTAGTAGAGAGGAAACAGGCAGATAAAAACCAACTATATCCAGTATATTAACAGATGATACTCAGAAAACTGGAAGCAAAAAGGAGGAAGAGCTGAATATGTTTCTGTATAGTATAACCTTTCATAAAATGTGAGCCTGAAATGGAAGTAGTTGGGTTATGAATCGAGGGGGAAACATTTGGAGTTTTTCATGCCGAAATAACCATGTCACTATTTTCAAGTATTCTGAGAAGTGGAGAAGCACAAATATACAAAGAGACCCCCCACCCCCACCAGCAAAAGGTGGAGAATCTTGTTAAAAGTTGTAAACATCTTACCATAGTTTAGAGAGTTCTGACAGTTAAATAATTGCAATAAATGTTCCCTATAGTACTGGGATTATAAAGAAGTCATGTATCCTGCACAAGAAATAAAAAGCATCCTTTCAAAGGGGTGACCGGCAGCTTCGATTGTCAAGGTGGTAGTCTGAACGGACTTCATGATATGGAGAGGTCAAGTAGAGGAATTGGATGCTGCCTGATAGGCAGAACGACAACCAATATTGCCTCTACAGAAATAATAAGAAGAAAGCTTTTTTGATTCTTTCATTTTGGAATTGAGTGTATGGAACCACAGGATGTTTTTAAGGGATCATTTATTAAACTTGGAATTGAACTACTTTATGAACTCCACTGTAATTTTGTGTTATTGGGTTTTAAAAATTAAGCAACTTTTTTTTTTCTTTTGGTCGAGGGGAAGCAGGGTATATATCTGTTTTTCTGGGTGTTCTTCCCGTGACTCCTATAGATAGTAGCCCAAAGACGTCTTCTTTTCCAGTATTTAATGAAGTATCCTACGGGCAGATCATTTTGGTAGCCTTTCCGGAGCTGGTGCAACGAAGCAGATCCACAGTTGCCCGATAATCAGGCCAAGGCATACTTTCCAAGGTGCGTTTTTCATATCGAATTTAAGCGCGGGTCCTGCCCGTTGTTTGCAAACTGTCCAAGCAGCACCCAAAACTGCTGCTTTTCCAAGTCCGTTAAAAAGTTATTTGCGCTTGGGGTTTTTCGGTTCTGCTACACCCCACCTCCTTCCCCTGACTTTTGCCAGTAGAGACCTGCCCTGGGGGATATTTTGTCCTGGGAGCACAAAACTATTTTCTTTTCTGGAAATAAGTTGACGTCAACTGGGAGCTGTTTTGGGTTGCTTTGTTTCCCGGAGCGTCCAACCCAGCACACCGCCTCCGGCAAACTGCGAGCAATTCAAAGCAGCTCGCCCAGTAGGGAGGGGAGCTGGTGGGAGGGGGGTGGACCCCGCCGCCCGCAGAGGTGGGGAGACCTGGGGGGCGGCTCCGCTCCCAGGCTGCAGCGTGGGCCTGGTCCCCTGCCAAGCCAGGAGCGCAGCCCGGAGCCAGCGCGGCCCCCGGGTCCCTGCGCTTATGGCGAGGGTCGCGGGGGAACAGCCCCTGGTAGGTAACTTGCCGGGCACCCACCTGAGTTCTCCGCACCGCGGCCCGAAAACCTGGGAGCGTCCCAGGACAAAGGGCCAGCCCTCTGGAATTAGCCGTGTGTGACTAGTGTGTGCCAGCTCGTATGTGGGGGTCCCAGTGTGCAACTAACTTAGCTGCTCACCGCAGCCTCGGAGAAACGAGCACGCCTTTCTGCACGTGTCCAGGGCGGGTGCGGCGGGCAGTGCATTGTGAACAAAGCCGGCCACCTCCCGCGCCGCACCTCGGGGACGATTCCCGGACGGTTCTCCGCGGAGAGCCGGGCGGATGAGAGCGTGGTGTGTGTGTGTGTGTGTGTGTGTGTGTGTGTGTGTGTGTCTGTGTGTCTTGTGTTTCCCTAAGGAGCCGGAGGCGGCCCGCGAGGCAGGGACTTGCTCTAACTTGTTTCACACCTGGCGCGGTTTCCCCGAAGCTCGGGTGGCGTCCAGGGCCGGGCAGGCACGCGGAGGACCAGCAGCGTTCGCTGCAGAAAAAGACATCGTCAACTCCCACTCAGAAGCCCACACTGCCCTGAGACCTGGTCTTTCATTCTTTCTTAAAAAAAAAAAATGCAAATTGATGGATGGGTTTCAATTGATGCGTAAAATGCTTCCCTTGAGAGCAAGACAGGAGGGCCAGGGAAGGGGGAAACAGGCAGTTGACATAACTCTCACAGCCTAACTGCCGAGAATTCGGACTTGGAGGTAAATTCGAGGACGCACCCGAGGAGCAGGCGAGGCTGCCTCCCAGCAGGACGGCCTGGCACCGGGGCGCACTGCTGGGGACCTGACTCCCTCGTGTCCCCTCACCCCAGGGACTCGCAGCTGGCCCGCGCGCCAGGGTACACACGGGCTGCGGGAGAAGGTGAAAGTTAGGATGCAGCACGAGCTCCGAGAGTGGCCTGGGCTGTGCCTCCTAAGAGAACAGCCGAGGTCCCCGGCGGCTCTGGGAAGCTGCCCCTGGGCCGGGAGAGCGGGAGGCGGCGACGCAAGGACGCGCCCGGAGCCTGGGCGCGCCGGGGGCGGGCGTTTGGCTGGAAGTGGGGCAGTGTCTCCTATGGGAAAGCGAGACCCGGCGAGCTCTTTGGCTGCTTTTCCAGTTTCCGAGGTGCCCGCCCCCGCGCGCCTGAGGCAGCGCAGCCCGGAGGGCGAACGAATGGCGGTTGGCAAACTTTGAGTGAGAGTGCGCTCCGGATCCGAATTGCCGAATTGTGGCTGCGGCAGGGTCGGCCGAGACACAAGTTCGCTTTTTCCGCCTGCCCGATGGGCCTTAGGGAGACTTCAGCTCCAGCTTGGTGGAGCGCCTCGCCCGAGGGAGTTGTGTCACTTTGCTCAGGGGCAGGGAGGGCGGCGCCCTGGGCGGGTGGGGAAGGGTCCCTGTGGCCCCTGGGGTCCCAAGCGCCTCTTCCCTCGTCTCCCCTCCCACCGGCCCCTCCCAGTCTTCTCTGCCTCGCTCCTTCCCGGGGCTGGCTGGACCGGCGCGGACTTGCCCCAGACCTACGGGGAGCGCCCCAGGTCTTTAATGACAGCTTAAATGTGGCTGTTGGAAAAGTCGAAAGGGATGTGGCTGACGTGGGGCGTGTTTCGCTCCTTTGCAAGAGTCGGAAAGGGAGTTGGGAGCCGCGCGGCTGGCCCCAGGCCCCCGCGCCTCGCCGCCAGCAAGTAGGTGGGGGAGCCGCCGCCGCCGCCAGCCCCATCCCGCTCCCAAGCCTCGCCCGCTGCGCCCTGGCCGCGGGCGCCGAGAGGGTGCGGGGCCTCGCCGTGCCTCCTCCACCCTGCTCATTAACCTGCCTGCTCCGCTCCGCTCCGGGCGGCCCCAGACACGGGTTTCCCGCGGCAGCACCCGCGGCCCGCCCGGCGCAGCCGCCGCCCCGACCCCCCGGCTCCGGGGGGCAATGAGGGGGCAGTGGAAGGGGCACTGCTCCTCGGGCATTACTTAGAGAAACGAGACCGTCCCGCCCTCTCGCCGGCCCTCCCTCTCTCCCGCCCGGGCCCGCGCAATTCTCCGCCAGAGGGTAAGTTGGGAGTGTTTCGCCCCCACCGACAGCTCTCCCTCCCTTTCCTTTTTTTTTTCCTTCAAAGTTTTCTTAGAAGTGGGAGCCGGGTGGGGGAGGAAGAAGGTCTGGTCAGCCTCCGTCCTTTACCCTATCTCTCCGGTCTAACTTGTCCCCCCCTCCCCCCTCCCCTCCATCCCCTGCGCGCCGCTGCCCCTCCGGAGCTGCGCTCGGGAATGACAATTGGAGCGCGGCTCCTTTAAGAGCCCGGCTTTGCCTCCCGGTAGCTGAAGGTCATTAAACACAAAAGCTCTCAGCGCTGCGGTCCAATATAGCGCATGCGCCCTGCCCGAGGACTGGCAGAGAGACGGCAATATGGCGAGAATGCCTGGCAGCGGGGACTGTAACACCAGCGCGGGCGGCAGCGCCAGCGCTGCCGCCGCCGCCGCCGAGAACAATGGGGAGCGGGGCGAGGGCGAGCGCGGCGCGGGGGGCCGCGGCCGCCGCCACAGCCGTCCGCACTACTGCAGCGCGGGCGAGGAGGAGGAGGAAGAGGAGGAGGAGGACGAGATCCAGGAGGTGCAGATAACGGGGGACGAGGAGGAGGAGGAGGACGGAGGTGGGGGGCTGGAGGAGGACGAGGAGGAGGAGGAAGAGGAGGAGATGGGGCTGGACTGGGACGAGCCCCTGGAGCCCGAGGACTCGGCCGGGGAGGAGCTGGAGCCCGAGCCGGTCCATATGATCAATATGGACCAGAGCGCCGCGCTGGAGCCCGAGGCGCCGCCGCGACTGCTGGCGCCCCGGGCCCGCGGTGGGCCGCCCGGGGACGGCTCCGAGCTGGACCCCGACGTGCTGCAGCGCCCCGAGCGGGCCCGGCTGAGCGAGAACACCCGGCTGGCCACCCGCTACGCCGTGCGCATCTTCCGGGAGTACCTGAGCGAGAAGGCGCAGAGCCCGGACTTCGAGACCATGGACAAGGGGGCGCTGTGCCGCGTGCTGCGCTCCTTCTATGCCGAGGCCCGCTCCAAAAGCGGCCAGCTCTACAGCAAGTCGTCGCTCATCAGCATCCGCAGCTCCCTCAACCGCTACCTCAATGAGCCCCCGTACTGCCGCACGCTCGACCTCACCAAGGACCCCGAGCTGCGCAGCGCCAACCTGACGCTGGCCGCGGTCATCCGCAAGCTCGAGGAGCAGGGCGCCGGGCCGGTGGTGCAGAAGCAAGCCATCACGCGCGCCGACCTGCGCAAGCTGTACACCTCCAGCGTCTTCAGCACCAACACGCCCTTCGGGCTGCTCAACAAGGTCTGGTTCGAGACGTGCATGTACTTCTGTACCCGCGGCCGCGAGAACCAGCGTGAGTTGGAGGAGGACTCTTTTGGGCTGGCCATGGACGAGGACGGTCGCAAGTTCGTCTACTTCAAGTCCCTCGGGCCCTACCACAAGTCGCGCTCGTCGTCGTGGAGCAAGAAGCGCGCCGAGAGCAGCGACGAGGAGAACTTGCCCCGCATGTATGAGACGGGCACCGAGTTCTGCCCCTACGCCAGCTTCGTCAAGTACCTGTCGAAACGCAACCCTCTCTGCAAGGCGTTCTTCCAGCGGCCCCGGGACCACTGCAGCGAGGGCGATGTGACCTGGTACGAGAACAAAGCCATCGGCAAGAACTTGCTAGGCACTCGGATGCAGATGCTCTCCAAGGCGGCCAAGCTCTCCAAGACCTACACCAACCACTGCATCGGCGCCGTCTCCATCGCCACGCTCAACAGCATCGCGGGCATTGGCACCAAGCTGGGCTCGCCCGCCCCGCAGGGCTGCTACGCCGAGGCTCTGAACGGGGCGGCACGGCACCACTCCCACCACCCCCCCACCCATCCCTCCCACCACCACCGCCCCCAGCCGCCCTCGCTGGGGAACACTTACATCCTCCCCAAAGACAGCCAGGTCGGGCCCGACGTGAAATCCGAGGCTGCGCCCAAGCGCGCCCTGTACGAGTCTGTGTTCGGGTCGGGGGAAATCTGCGGCCCCACTTCCCCCAAAAGACTTTGTATCCGCCCCTCGGAGCCTGTGGATGCGGTGGTGGTGGTTTCCGTGAAACACGACCCCCTGCCTCTTCTTCCAGAAGCCAATGGGCACAGAAGCACCAATTCTCCCACAATAGTTTCACCTGCTATTGTTTCCCCCACCCAGGTAACCAAACCAAACTCTATGCATGAAATGTTTCTTTGGTACCACTTCGGGACTAACTTTTGTGCTAATGCAGCTCTGGGTAGGGGGGAAGTTTTAAAAAGTAGGTAATGTACTGAATCGGATTTCGTTTCACCCTTAGAAGTTAACTCTCTTGGTGCTTTTTGGGAAACTTTACACCTAACCTTAAAAGATGTGAGAGAGGGCATGCTACCTAACAAATCACTGCTGTGCAGTAAGGCGAAAAACTTCAAAGTTCGCCGAACAAAAGGATTAGCTCACTCTTGCAGCCGCTCTTCATTGAATGCATGAGTTTTATAAGGCAAAGACTGCGAGAACACTGTAAATGTAAAGGAAGCAGTTACTTAAGACATATTTGAATCAAGTAACCCTTAAAAGACTCTATTACGTATTCGCCATGACCTTAGAAGGTAGAAAAACAGTTATAAATTATTGAAAAGAAAACGTGCCAATCCCACTTCCTGTAGCTTTTTTTTTTTTTTTTAAAGAAAAGGGGTGGAGAGTGGAGAGCCAGGCAGTTGAGTGCCAGTTTATACTGTAACATGTAGTTGAATGTAAACTGGCAGTGTGGGGTGCAATTTCCATAAACTAAAGTGGGAACGTGGTATCTGCAATTCCAGTCAGGCTACAAATTGGAGTATGGGCCTGTGGTGCCCAGCACTGTGGGCACTGAAACATTGCTGTCTCCCCCTAGCCCCACGGAGCTCACTATCTAGGGGGCAGATAATACCTACGAAGTAGATAATTAGAGTAAGAGTGCTATCCCAGCAGCTGAGTCAGCATGGACAAATCACTTCACTTCTCCTTGGCTTCACTATCCTCATCAAAGAGGAAGAAACTATTTCCACCCTAACATGATTTAAGTCTAAGCAGTGCCAAATTCTGGGTCGAGACTGGGGCCTCTAGTGTTAGATTCTTCTTTCCTTATTTTCCCCAAGGTAGTATTTTCGTGAGTATTATTAAAGTTATATTCATGTTTTGGACACTCTCTAGTCTAGGAGTCAGAAACCAGGGGTCTTTGGACACTGTGTTCTATTCTGCAGGCAGGAGTACCCACTGGAGGTTTTACAACTTTGACCTGCCTGCCATCAAGCAGAAGTAGGAATTTTGCAGGTCTGAAGGTATAGTGCAGGCCCTCCAGGAACATATGTCAGGTACCTCTGTGCTTTTTCCAAAGTGGAAATTCCAGTTCTGGACACACTGACCCTTTCAAACGTTTACCAGCTAATGGGCAAGCCTCAAGGCCAACTGAGAAAGGGGCTGCGAGTGGTAATATAAACACCAAAGTTCTCTAAAATACACAAGACCTGTAGGCTATGTGTCTTCTGTACTTCAGGTGTGTAGTCTATTTCTGACAGGTTGTGTTAGTGAATTTTAAGAATGGAGAGGAGAATTTAGGGTTTGCTTTTTCTTTGAAAGCAAAAATAAATGTTCATATTCTTCTGATACAGTAAAAACCCTTGAAATGCCCTAATTTAGAATAGCACCTGATTAATTAAGAGTTAAAAGTCTAAGAAAGTTTATTAAGGCGTGCATGGCCTTGGGATAACAATGAAACCATTTGTCTACTGGCATCTGTCTGCTGGTTTCTTGACACCAGTGTAATATAGAATTGTGACGTAAAGAACCACAAAATATAAGAGGGTTTCGTTTCATTGGTTTTGTTTTGTTCTAAGGAATGCAGTCTTTCAGTCATTATCTTTTATTTACCTGAGTAAAATAAATCAGTTCCAAAAAACTGTATACTGATGCTTTTATTATTCTTGCATTATTGTCAGGTAACTCCTAAGTTAAATATAGATTTGAGTGTCCATATATGGCTTATATGATTATTATGGCTCTCAAACAAGATCTTAGCTCCAAGTCCCTGTTAGTTAAAACACTACAAAAAGTTTTCAGTTTGCACATTTTTAGTAGTCAGCTTTTCACTTATGAAGTCTGAGCAGTCGAAGTATTGCTCAGTAGAAAGCTGAGAGCAAACTTTTTCCTTCTTTGTATATTAAAATCACTGTAAGAGTTGAGGTTCAGTGCATTTCCTGGGGCTTAATGCCTAGCTGAGGTTGCTGGCCTGTGGCATTGCTTTGGGTCATCAACTCTTCTGGCTGGTCATTAATCCGCAGGAAATGCCCTGTGCAGCTCCAGCTTCAGTCATTATTACTTAATCATAAACATAGGCTCTCTAGCCTAATACTGACTGGACTTTATCAAGTAGTGTCATACGGAATTCCACTGTTGACCATCTTAGAGACATCTCGATAACAGACAGGTCACACACTGATGTTTTGATTTTCTACTAATGTTGCAAGTTTCCCTAAAGATGAAGAGCCTGCTTCTTTAAATGCATTTACTCTTTTTACTTCTTGAGGGTGTTGTTAAGTATATTATTTATGGGACTGGTTAAAAAATGAATGCATTCAAGGATTAACAAAGATTATGGAATGTGTGATTGCTCATGTGAAGTATCTGGCTTTTGGGGGGAGTGAGGAATTATGGCGATGGTTGTGATGGTCGCTTTAACTGGTCCACTCTTTAATTCTCTTGAATGGTTGTGTTAAAAGTAAAGTGTAGTTTTAGTTCCCTTGTCCCCCAAATAGCTATTGTGATCTAAAATGATCCAGTTATTGGTACGGTTTGCAAGCTGCCAGGTGGAGGTCATGTAGTCCATTTTAAACTGCTTACCACTGTATCGTCCATCCTTATAACTATTCTCTTTGCATAAAAATAGAGCATTTTTCCTACCTCAGAGAACAGTACTTCAGTTTAGAGGGATGATAGAGATTTATAATTTTGTTCTTTATCATTCTCAGAGGAGAAAATACTAATAAAGTTTAGATTCTGAATGTCATAGTTTTGTCACTACAGTTTTTGTAGACATGTCTCTCTCCTGTGCTAAACAAAAGTGTGAAGCATTTGCAAGCTGTGACAAAGGTGTCTTTAGTTGCACTTGCTTGACCCTAACCTAGATTATTTCCAGAAATACTTTTAAGGAATTCTGTAGAGAGGACATCTATTAGTGGAAAGATTTTGGGGGCTGGTACACATCCCCTGTTTGTGTTTTATTGTCTTCAGTGTGGGCCGTTGGTCCTTATAGTTAGCAGAGTGGAAACTGCAGCAGGCTGCAAGCAGGCTGACACAGTTAGTTGTTCATTAACTTACCTTTGAGGAGAAGCCAGAGGCTGACAGCTCAGGGAATCCACTCAGGTGCTATAGGGGCAAGGAAGAAGGAATATTTAATGTATCTACTTAATAGTGAAAGGCATGCATTTTATGTATTATTGAAATAACTGCTAAGGTCCTATTTTGAATTTGAAGACTAAGAGGGAGGGATGTTCTTTATTTCTTATAGATGGAATCAAATTTTTATAAACATGAAAGGAGTATAGCGATTGTAACAAGACTTCTTGCCATGGTTATTTGGAGCTATTAAGATTAACTGCCTTTTAAAGAGTGGGTATTTTTCTGATTTTCAATATTAGTTTGTGGCTACATTCCTTTTTCTACTGCAAGAATGTTTGCTCTCCTTTATGAAAAGTTCAAGTTGGTGGAGAAACTAAATGTTTTGTACATAAGTATATAACTTTCTTCATTCAGGAAGTAGTTACTGAGCGCCTACTGTTTTGGCTTTTGTACCAGGAGTCTATAAATTAATCGTTTTCCACCTGGCAAGTAGTCTCATTGGCAAAATTTTGGCTTCTTTATCTGTTTAAACTAGATCAAAATAAAGACAGTTAAAAGGTGATGCACTCAGTGTTTTGCAGCAGTCATTTTGGGAAAGAAATCTGTACCTTTATATTCTCTTCCATGCACTCACATATTAATGTTGTAACCAGTATTCAGGAGTATTATTTTAAATTGATATAAACTCATATCTGATGTCAGTTCACTCTGTACTCAAGCTGACCCATGAAACAGAAAAAGAAATATTTGTTGCCAGGGAGAAAGTGGATCCCATTCATCCAAAACTTAAATCTTTGTATCACCCTGATTTTAAAATTTGACTCCCCAAGCAAATGTCACCAAAAGGCCACCCTCTTGTCATTACTAAGTAGTTTTCAAGCAGGAAGAAGCCTTTGTTTTCCGAGGACCACTAGTTATATGTGAGACCACTTGGATGATCATCCAGGTGGGTCCAGGCCAGTCAAAGCCCTACTTCAGTTATCCAATAAAACTTGAGTTTCAAGACACCTTTTGGTGTTTTAACTGCCATTTTGAAAGCAGAATCGATACAGGAGTTCCTGTGTAGTATGTGTCTTTGAAGTCTTAGGAACGTACATGTAAACTAGTCATCTGTAGGTCTGTCATATGTTAGAACTTTTATTTGTAGAATCGATTTTACTTATCTGTCATTCATTGCATTGTACCAATAGTCAAGTTGCCTTTTTAAAGATTTCTTTGGAGAATTTATATAAGGGATAAGGTAGTATGAATTAATTGGTTCAAAAAAAGGGGATATGGATTGACCTTGATAAACTAACATGAAAGAAAACGTAGCTTTAACATTTGAAACATTGCACAGGCACACTTCTTTAATTAACGTTTTTAGTGCTCTAAGATGCTGAATTCAGTTCATCCACTGTTAACTGAGCATCTTTCTGCTTGCTAAGTGCTGCAGAGAGGAGCAGGATTCAGTCCTTGCCCTCAAGAGGGATTCATAGAGGCTGGGCAATTAGTGGATTTATGCCCTTAAAGCTGAAATAATTCTCTGCTTGCTACATGATCATCAGAGGGGAAACAGGTGAACTCTTAAAGTTTTGGGCCCTATAAAGTTCTTTTGGATTTTCAGATTTATGAAAACTGTTCCTTTGCCTACTCTTCTCTTTCAAGAGAAGATGGGTGCTGAATGGTTTTGAGTCTTTATGACAGCATGAGCTTCTAGATGGCCCAGAAATAAATGATCTTTTCAGCTGTTCGAGATACACTACAGCAAAGGGTATGGGTTGAGATTAAACCTGAATATGAGGTTGTGTTATCTAATGCCCATGACCATAAACTGGATGACAGACCCTGCAATGCCCACACTAGCACTACAGGAAGCTGAACCTAATGAGGCATGTTCTGGGTTTTCAGTGATACTCCAAATTCCTTTCAACACTTTCTTTACAGCCAGACTTCTTACCTTTTAGCTTATAGCATATAGCAACCTGACAGAGCCTTTTCTTTCTCCCTAAAAAAGATCCACTTACATATGACAGCAAACTTTCATTCATGACAGACAGGGTTTTTTTATTTGGCAGGGGTGGATATCATAAATTTTGCCCAAGCTTTGGGTAACAGAATTTTCAAAAATAACAGAGGTGGGAGCTATCTTACAGTATCGTAAGTGAAAAGTGTCTGCGTTTTCTTTGGAGTTTTTAATCATATGTGCTTTTAGGCAACTCCTGCATGTACGTAGTGTGCTTTGGGCTAGCTTTTAACATTTTCACCCCCAATGAGAATTTCCTTTCTCTGAAGACCCTCTCCATCCTGAGGTGTGTGATTCAGCTCCTCTTTCTCCAGGCAGGGACTTTGGTTGTGTTTAATCCTGTGGGCTGCAGGGCAGCAGGAAGATGGTGCAGGCCTCTAGTGATGAGTTCATTTATGTAACCCTGGATAGCTGAGGGAATTGGAGAGACCTGGAAGGAGAGGGCTGAGGATGGACTCAAGCTTCTTAGTGACCCCCACTCCACCAGCCCATTCTGCACCTCCAACCCTGCAGCACCATCTCCACCGGAAGATAGAGCCAATGCCACTTGAAAATGCTCTTCATAATCCAGACCTTTCCTGGGAGTATCTGGACTCATTCACACCCTGAATTACAGTTGACCATTGAACAACTCAGGGCTTAGGGACACCAACCCCCTGCAGTCAAAACACTGCTTTTAACAAATTTTTAACTTCACCAAAACTTAACTAATAGCTTGCTGTTGACCAGAAGCTTTGCCAATACCATAAACAGTTGATTAACACATATTTTGTGTGCTTTATGTATCATCTGTATTCTTACAATAAAGTAAGCTAGAGAAAAGAAAATGTTATCAAGAAAATCATAAGACAGAGAAAATATATTTACTATTCATTGAGTGGAAGTGGATGATCATAAAGGTCTCCTTGTCATCTTCAGGTTGAGTAGGAGGTGGGGGAAGAGGAGGGGTTGATCTTGCTGTTTGAGGGGTGGCAGAGGCAGAGGAGATAGAGGAGGTAGAAAGGGAAGCAGGACAGGCAGGCACACTTGGTGTGACTTTCATTGAAAAACACTCGCATATAAGTGAACCCGCACAGTTCAAACCCCTGTCATTCAAGGGTCAAGTGTACTGCTTTCCCCCGACTGGCAGTGAACCCTGGAAGGTTTTGATCCATTCTGGGAGGAAGGGGGGTAAAACGTGCTGCCCGAAGAGGCTGGCAGATTTAAGACAGCATTAGGTGCTAGGCCTCTAGGCAACAAGAGGAGGAGTTCAGAAAGGAATGCTAAGGGATGACAGAGACAGATGTTGCTTCCTTTGTGAGTAATTCAGTTGCCAAATTAAAATGTCAGGACTAGTTTGGGAGCTTGTGATCATGAATTTCTAGTTTTACTTCATGTCCCTAGTCCGGTTTAACCCAGTTCAGCCTAGTATCTCCCCATTCAATCCCCATCCTTTCTGTCTTAACACAAGAAAAAGGAAGCAATTATTTATAGCACCAGTTCCCATTTGGGCCCTTTCACTGTGTGCCAGGGACCAAACTAGTTAAGTACACTATCTATATTTTTTAAATTGAATTTCATATTTGTACATTTCTCTGCCTCACCCTCCATTTAGACAAAATGTTCATAGATAATATCTTCATATATATATATGTATATGTAAACTTGATATTTGAAAAAATCCTTCATTTTTATCATAATCTGAGAAATAAGTGTTGAGGATAAGTTTCTTGTGATTGTGGATTAATTCTGATATTTCAAGTTGCTATGGTTTTTGACATGCAGTTTTAAGGAACTTAACTTAGAAACATGAATTATTTCCACATTCCTGGCTGTTATGGGTCAGTGAGTGGACTGTTAGACCAGATCCAGGCAGGAGTAAATGGGGGAGCACTGTAGGGGCATAAGGCACGAGGCTCCCATCTTGTTGTACTGCAGACTGCAGAGACAAACTTGATTCATTCATTGGAGAGTTCTGATATAAACTGTCACAATCTCTAACTGGTTCTGTAGCTATGGAGTAGAATATAATCATTAACATTAATAATAATGAAGACATACTGAAAGCTTTAAAGTGGTCCACCAACCAGCAACATCTGCATTACTTGGGAGCTTGTGGGAAATGCAAAAATCCCGCCACTCTGTGCCCCTGAATCAGCCCCTGTGCTTGAAAAGACTCCTAGGCAGTGCATGTGCTCTGAACATCTTGAGCACTGGCCGATGTGGTCTCTCATTTAATCCTCATGCAGCCCTTCCAGGAATTATGGTTATTATTTTCATTTTATAAAGGAGGAAGCAAGCTAAGGGTCATAGATGTTGATTCACTTGTTTGAGCCCTAACAACTGGTAAGTAACTATGCTGGGATTTGAACCCAGCCTGTCAGATTCCACAGTATGTTCTTTCAAACCCATGGCCTGTTGATTGCAAAATTCATATCAACTGTTCAAATAAAAGAATCCAATAAAGAGAAGATGATAGAACATGAAATCACATTATTACCTGTGATGCTTTCTGGAACAACTAAAGAAGAGAGAACTTGTTAAAAGACAGCATCACAAAGCAGTGACATAAGTATGCAGAGACACAAAAAAGAATGTTTCCGGTGTGTGGCAGGCTTCCGTTTTGCTGTGTGGGGCCCCCAGCCTTTGCTGGGTCTGGGATTTGGAGCAACCTCATTTGAGAAACTATATCACATAGTGGTTAAGAACAGACTCCAGAGCCACATCCCCTGGAGCAAATCTCAGCTCTGCCCAGATCTCTGGGTGCCTCAGTTTCCTCCTCAGTCAAACGGGAATGATGATAACAATGATCTCACAGGAGCATGGGTGTTAAATGAGATACTGCTTGAAAAGTGCTTCAAATATGAGCACTATATGAATATTTGCTATCATTTTGTTAGTGCAGAATGCTTTACATTTGAACAAATGCAGATCTTTATCATAAAGTCCTAGCCCCAGCCTTCAGTTTGGCTCTTGGAAGTAGCTTGTCCAGGTGCTGCACCGGGGGCCCCTCTGTTGTTTCTTCTTTTGGGGCATCCATAGACTCTGGCCAGTAGCACTTTTGCAGGTCTTCTGGGAGATACGAAATCTCAGTGCAGGCTCTTGCACTCTGGCCTACCTGGGCCCTCTTCCCTCTCACAATTAACCTAAAAAAGCCCATCCGTGTGGATGCTTTACCTTAAGATTTGCATGTTCTGTGGCCCACGTGGGATTTAACTCCACACCTTCTTCTAACTTAGTTCTGCAGACCCTTCCTATTTCTCTTTACAGAGGCATGGAAATTTTCTTTTCTTTTTTTTTTAAGACGGAGTTTTGCTCTTGTTTCCCAGGCTGGAGTGCAGTGGTGCGATCTCGGCTCACTGCAGCCTCCGCCTCCTGGGTTCAAGCGATTCTTCTGCCTCAGCCTCCTGAGTAGCTGGGATTACAGACATGTGCCACCATGCCCGGCTAATTTTTGTATTTTTAGTAGAGACAGCGTTTCACCATGTTGGCCAGGCTGGTCTCAAACTCCTGACCTCAGGTGATCCACCCGCCTCAGCCTCCCAAAGTGCTGGGATTACAGGCATGAGCCACCATGCCCGGCCAGAAATTTTCTAGTGCTAAAAAATTAGCACTAGGATTTGGGCAGCCCACTGATGGGCATAATTGCTGCCCAGGCTACAGCACATTCACAGATGAAATGAGACAACAATGAACAGAATGAAATCAACAGTTTTTCAAAAGAGATTAAATTTTATTTGGAATGGCTTGAGATGAAGGGAGTGGTCATTATACTAGGATTCCTAAAATATTATGAAGGTCATTATAGCTATAATCTACATAAATCTCTTAATTTCAGTATTCTAGAAGTAGGGTCTATATTTGGCTAGAGCCTGTGTTATGATGTTTACGTTTCCCTAATGCAAAAATGCACCACAATTTTCTAATACTTGACTTCTGCCTTCGATACTATGTAAATCAATAGAAATGCCACTTAAAGTTGAGGTGTACTAATATACGGTTGAAATAGACTACAGAATTAAGATAATTGGTTGGTATTTTGATACATTATCGCTGACCAGTTAATGATCTTTTGTGACTTGTTTTTAGTGTGACAGTGCAGGGATTTATTACCTCTGATTTAGTTTGCCCTCCAAATACTTACAGTATTCAGCCAGCATAGTCCTTATGGAATAGGTTTTTGGGTTTTATAGAATAGCATATTGTATTAAGCCAGTTTATATGGAATATTGGCTTCTATTTTGTGATATTCTTTCTGACAAAACTATATCTAAATAGATTTTGGATATTTTCTTACATCTTAAACAAATATTGTTGTTGTTTTTTCACTCCAGAAAAAAAAGAGACTTGCTGAATGTTTATTTTTCAGTGAATTGAGGTAGCAATTTAGAAACATGTTGCTGTAGAAACACACAGATCTAAGTAAAAGTATAACAAGAACATTAGAAAGCTGATTATGCTAGCTTCTTTTCCGCTCACCCCAGAGTTCTTTCACATGTTCGTCTTTTATAATTAATGGTAGGGTGTTCACAATGCTGGATTTTACTATTTTTTTCAGGATCACTTTATGGAGGTGGTGGGGGTGGTAATGATCCAGGAATGTGTCTCGTGGGTTTTTTTTTTTTAATTTATGAAAAGGATCATGGAGTCATAGAATCCCATGTCATCCTATAACTCCTCCCTTGAAGGGTTTTTAGAACCACCTCTTGGGACGTGAGCCAAGATCTGAGAGAAAGGCAAGGTGAAGGAGAATGCTATTCAGAAAAACTGAAAAGCAGATTCATTTCTGAAAGCATTTATTGAGCACTTACGGTGTGCAAGGTAGGAACTTGGAGGTGAAGAATAACTTAGAAATATTTAAGAGAAGACACTGGAGAAACTACAGTGGAATACCTAGGGCAAGTCCAAAGTACTGGCTGGAGATCAGTCTTATCTCATTTGATGAGTGTTCCCAGGTCAGCCCTGGAGAGTAAGGGGTGTGTATTAGTATCTCAGAAATGGGACCAAAAGTGGCCTAACAGAACTGAAATACTAAACAGTTAAACCTGAAGTGCATGTATGGGGAATGTGGAAACCCAGGAAAAAATAAAATATTACCTTGTCAAAAAATTTAAGCCTTTTCTTTGCTGTAACATTTCAGGCTTCTCCAGTAAGCCTTAGTATACTTGTGTTTTAGGTGTCCCCACTCCAAGTAAGCTGCCACATTCCACCACATATGAGCCACTCTAAATGTTCACCCTGTTGTGAAGCCACATATTTTAAGATTGAGCATATGTACAATAATCCCACAAAATCCAGAACTGGTACCCTGTCATAGTTCACATGTTAATTACAACTCACAC